>NC_000005.10:67609807-68234807 GCF_000001405.40 Homo sapiens
CTGTACACCTATTTTATATCCCTAGTTTATGATAAAACCCTTTTTAAAAGTTGTCAGCTAGTGATGCATTCAGAAACCTACTCACTCCCTCCTCTCCAGGCTCTGAGTGCATTGCAGTGAAGACATAATACCCAGCATCTGATGTGTGTCTAATAAATTAGCAGTGAGCTGGATGTCACTTGAAATCTCCTCCCATGGGGACCAAGTGAGCCACAGATTATCTCCACCATTCGTTTATCATTCATATACTTTGCTTTCATTTTCCAAAGAGTAAAATGTGGAGATAAGTAGTCCTATCTGTTTACTGGGACACGGAAGACAAATATTCCCTCTTTTTTTCTCCTTGCTTCTACCACACAGCTATATGTTTCCATGAGGTCTCTCTAGCTAATTCAGCAGAAATTTCATGGATGAAAGGAAGGTAGGTAGATAAAGGTAACTGGATTTAGAATAAGTAATTGCATTTCACTGACTCCTCAGAGTCCCCCTCTGTCTATTGGATCCAAATGGAATATACACTATGAATTCATTAGCAACTCCACATGGTGGCCACCTGTTGCAGATACAGCAATTGGCTCACTCAACTCCATTCCAACCCCCATGTAACAGATTTTGCATCAGGCGGTGCTGTGGTTTCCAGAACAGCCGCTTCAGCATCATCTAAGCACTTGTTAGACACCTAAGTATTTCTTCAAATTCTTAGGCTCCACACCTACTGGATCAGAAATTCTAGGTGTGGGACTTAGCAATCTGTGTTTTAACAAACTCTCCAACACACCACAGTTGGAGAACTGCTGTCCATCTTTGTAGCTCAAAGTGTAATCTGCATCAGCATCGGCACTGCCTGAGAGCTTGTTAAAAATGCGTAATCTTGGGTCCTAACTTGCACCAACCAAAAAATGCAGATTCTGCATTTTTACAAAATACCAGGGTCATTCATGAATACAATAAATTTGGAGAAGCCATGCCTTGCATCTCTGGTTTAGCACTGGCTACACATGAGATTCACCTGCAGTGTTTTTTAAAAAGCAAATATACCGAATCCCCAGTGATTTCGATATGCTTGTTATGAGGTATAGCCTCAGTGTTTGGATTCTGAAAGCTCCCCAGGAAGTTCTAATTTACAGCAAAGTTTGAGAACCACTCACATGTCATGCTAAAGACCAGGAACTAAATATAATATTTTCCAGCTAACTTAGGTCTTCCTTCAAGTATATGTATCTGAGCATGATTTGCAAAGCATACATGAAGAAGAGTATGACACCAGTCATGGTTTTTCTGAAGCAGCATTTCAGGGGTGCCAAGCTTCATCTCCAGCTTCACAGGCATCAAGAGGTGGGGCATTGGTTGTTCTGGGGTGGATCTCAGCAGAGGAGTGGTGGAACTAGATCTTGCAGTTGGGAAAGAGGTTCAATGATTTCCTGAGTCCCTGATGACATGACAATGGAGATAGCAGTTCTCCTGGTGGGCAGGTTCGGCTGTGTTTTTCTACAAGTCATCCATGCAGTCAGCCCAGAGCCCTCCTACCCATTTTGTTAGCATTTAATTTCTTTTAAATACTTTGCCTCTTAAAACAGCTAGAGTGATTTTGCTATCTGCACTGAACTCTGCCTGATCCATCTATGTAAAGTATAAATTCATGTCCATGCCTATCATTCATTGTTCACAAAGTGACTGAATTGAGCTGAATTAGTTATGAGCCCTTTTCATAAGCATTTGATTTGTATCATCAGAAACAAAAATTAGTCATAAGGAGACTACCATGCAATCAAAAGTTATGATCTTAGTTAAGAACAGCTTTTTGTCTAAATCTTATCCCCACCCTTTTCATCAGTACACATCTTCCCCAGGCTCAAGTGTTCAAGTCATATTTGTGATGATTATAAAATATTGTGTACTGATACTTGCCCTGTCCAAATCTTAAAAGGCCATCCCATTTAGAGACACATGGGTGATTCCTTCACTGTCTGGTAAGAAACTTCATAAAATGATATTTTCCCACTTATTTCGGGTGTTAAAAAACCAAGCGTGATTTTTGCATATAATTTCACATATCTGCTTTTATATTCATGAAAGAAAGAGACCTAAATTTGGTTAAAAAATATATATTTTATTTTCAAATGATGCTTTTTGATTGCTAAACTCGTTTACATTAGTTGTCCAATTTCTCAAGAGTCTTTTCTGTGCACGAACAGTAACAAGGGCTTTTGGTGTCAGGAACTGATGGCACAGCCAGAGGGCAGATAGGAAGATGGAAAGCAGAGAAAAGGAAAGAGTAGTAAGGAGACTGAGGAGAAGGAAAGGCCCAGCAAGATCAAAGCTGCCACAGATTCCTTGCACATGGGAGATAGGCGTTAGCTATGGGCACCCTACCCTGCATGTTAAATAAAATTGCTCATTTTTCATTTTTCCTGGATGTCCCCTTCCACATTGGTGGTTGGCAGTTACTGAAGCATACCTGAAAGCTAAGTTTAGATGGAATCTCCTTCCTAGAGACCAGTGGCCACACTACACAGGATTTTCACATGGTCGCTATTATTTTAAAGGAGCAGAGTAGCAAGAGTGAATGGGCCACCCTTCACAAGACAATCCCAGATGCTCATTGCCTTTCCCTAATTGGTCCCATTTACCAGCAAAGGAGGCAGGGGAGGTGGTTGAAGATAATTTCCAGGTAACGAGGCTCCCTTTCCCATTGCGTTTGCTTCCTTTGAAAATAATCTCAAAGAGTAGCCCCCATCACACAACTTCACGCCTGGATGGAGCTGCGGTAATGTACCGTTAGACTTGCGCTTACAAAGAAAGATCAAGGAGATACTTTGCAGCCTAAATTGGACTGAGATAAATGCAATCTTTTTGAAGCTGGGATTCTCCATGGATATATAAGCATCAATGATTATCTTTATGTACAATGAGTTGAAGCTAAACTGCACGTGGAGGTTGACGTGTACTTATAGACACAGCTTTACTTCCATTCTTGTATAAGCATGAGTGCTTATCATATTGAATTTGTTGTTGGTTTTATGCATTTTTTTTCTTTACTCATTGTGCAGGTCTGTGGCTTTCCTTTTAACTTTGCAAAGCTTTGATACAAAGGAAATTTTAGAACATGAAAACATTTTTCAAATAATTTCAAAATGAACTGTATCCCCAACTAATTTGATTTGTAGGAAGAAAAGAACAAAGCCTTGCTAACAGAGAGCTTTAAAATATAATATAATTATTTACACGTGCAAGCATCTTTAAGCATGCTTTCTCAATGGAGGCACATCGTGCAATACTTTCATGCTCTAACTGTTGCCCATTAAAAAGATCCTGCACCATATGCAGGTGTGATTATACAGCCAACTGCCAATTCTGACTGGCTCAGGGATCCATTTTCAAATGTCCAGATGGATATGAATGTCGGATTTGGCAGTTAAATTGTAGAGTCCAATATATCCCTTTTAAGTTCTAAGGCAATGAAGAAAAATATCGATGTTTCCCTTCACTCCCAAATAGATTTCAAAAGAAGACTTTTGTCTTTAAAGTGGGATTATATTTCCTCATTTCTTTTGAATATCAAGATAAACTTTGTTGTGACTTTTATCACTTTTCTTCAGTCCAAATACGTTAACTAACAATCTCCATTGTTTCTGGTGGATAAGCAAAACATTAGCAAGAAATTGGCTTTGGAGGTAACCTGGTGTCTTTAAACAAGTGTAAAGTGAAAGAGAAATAAAACGACCCCTGAGCAGCTCCCCAGAGCATGCCATCTACTCTCCAGAGACATGGTTTACAGGAGAAGGACATTTAAACAGAACAGAGGGACAAGTAGGCGTCTCCTGGATTCCTGTTTTGAATCACAAATATGCGCATCTGCCACCCCCAAGAGAACAAGGCTCAGCAGCAACTTGCTATCATCAATGCACGGGAAAGTGCCATAAATATCACACTTAATATTTTCTTTTTCCCTGACTTAAAGTCCTCAGTGGTATTCAGGAAACTCCAGGTTATTGATCGTCTTTTTATAAAATGTGTGTGGCAGATAGAATATAGATTTGCCTCATCAAATGTGTTGTACGGGGCTTCCTTCTTGAGGACAGGAGCACCTGTGATACATCTCTAGAGCTTCACCCAGGACAGGCTTCTACATAACATTGCTGCCTGATTGAAGGGAAGTAACTAATCCTGTCTGTCCCATGATAGACCCAGCATAGCATCTGTAGGTGCTTTAAGCATGGGGTGGAGATTGAAGAAAAAAGATGTGCTTTTAAAATGATCTGTAGGAATAAGATCAGGAAGACTCCAAAAATATCTGCTCTTGTCACTTCTATTCAACATTGTACTGGAGGTACCAGACAGTGTAACCAGACCAAAAATAAATAAACGAATAAATAGAAAAGACATTCAGATTGAAAAGGAAGAAGTAAAATTATCATTATTCACAGATGACATGCTCAACTGTCGAAAATTTGATAGAATTCACACACAAAAAAAGCTACTGGCACCAACAGATAAGTTTCTATACTAGCAATAAAAAATCAGAAATTGAAAGAAAATTTCCTTTAAAATGCCTAAAAATATAATGTACTTAGAGTTAAATCTCACAAAAAAATGAGGATGATCTGTATACTGAGAGAAATTAAAGAAGACCTTTATAAATGAAGAGTTACACCATATTTATGACAGTACTCAATATTGTTAGGATGTCAGGTTTTTGTTTTCCAAGTTGATCTAGAGATTAAAGGCAATGTCAATCAAAGCCTCAGCAATTAGCAAGCTGATTCTGAAGTTTATATGTAAATGCAAAAGACAAAATATACCCAAAACAACTTTGACAAAAAGAACAAAGTTGGAGGACTAATATGATCTAATTTCAAGATTTATTTGTAAAGCTACAGTAATCAAAACACTGTGGTATTTGTATAAAGACTGACAAATAGCTCAATGAAACAGACTAGATAGCCCAGAAATGGACCCATATATACATGGATAACTGATTTGTGACAAAGTGTAATGGTCATTAGTGTAAAGAGATAGTCTTTTCAACAAATAGCACTAGTCTTTTCAACAATTGTATATTCACATGTAAAAACAAACAAACTTCAATCAACAATTCACACTATATATAAACATTTGCTCAAAAAGATTATAGACTTAAATATCGAACTATGAAATTGTAAAAGAAAACGTAAGTGAAAACCTTTGTGACTTGGGCTTAGGCAAAGATTTCTTAGCTAGTACACCAAAACACAACTGATAAAAGAATAACTTGTTAAGTTGGGTTTCATTGCAATTAAAAACTCAGGCTTTTAGAAAATACTACTAAAAGATTGAAAAAATAAACCACAGCCTGGAAGAAAATATGTACAGAATTATATATCTGAAAAAGAAGTTACATGCAGAATATTTAAAGAACTCATAAAACTCAATAATAAGAAAACAACCCCATACAACAATGGACAAAAGATCTGAAGGGACACTTCACCAAAGGAAATATATAAAGACAAATAAGTACATGAAATATATTCAACATCGTTTGTCATTAAGAAAATGCAAATTAAAAACCCAAGGAGATGCCACTGTACACCTATTAGAATAACTAAAATGAAAATGACTGACCGTATCAAGTGTTTGTGAAGGATGTGAAGCAACTGGAATCCTCATATACTACTGGTGAGAATGTAAAATAGTACAGCAAATTTGGAAAAACAGTTGAACAGTTTCTTAAAAAATTAAACATATATGAACCATATGATATAGCTGCTCCCTTCCTGGGCATTTACTCAGGAGAAATGAAAGCTGTCCATGTAACAAAATTTTAGCCAGCTGCGGTGGCTCACGCCTGTAATCCCAACACTTTGGGAGGCCGAGGTGGATGGATCATGAGGTCAGATCGAGACCATCCTGGGCAACATGGTGAAACCCCATCTCTACTAAAAAAATACAAAAATTAGCTGGGCGTGGTGGAGTGTGCCTGTAGTCCCAGCTACCCGGGAGGCTGAGGCAGGAGAATCGCTTCAACCCAGGAGGCAGAGGTTGCAGTGAGCCGAGATCGCACCACTGCACTCCAGCCTAGCAACAAAGCTAGACTCTGTCTCAAAACAAACAAACAAAAAATTTTTAGCAAATTGAGTTTAATAATTTAATTGGCCTTTATTAGTGATCCATTAATCGACCAGCATTCCATATATGAAAAAGAAAGGCACTCCACTAAGCTGAACGTAGTAGGTGGGCTTTACAGGTAGAAAATAGCTTAAGAAAGCAGAAAAAAAGCAGATTGGCCATTTCAAAGTTACTTTCCTTATACAATTAAAGTAAAGAGGATTTCATTATCATGCCAGTTCCAGTAGATTGGGCTTCTGTCAGTTGCTGTGAATCTCCTGTTCAGTTTGACCTCATGGCACCTAGCATGAGTGACTCTATTCTGGTTTGGTCTGATCTGTTACACCTAGTGCAGGAGCTCAGCCCATAACAATGCCCCCCACCCCCCACCATCAATTTTATTTAACAAGCCTAAGACCTACAGAGACTTGAACATGAATGATTATAGCCAAAAACTGGATATGACTCAAATGTCCACATACAGGTGAATGAATAAACAGACTATGGTGTATCCGTACAATGGAATATTACTCAGTAATGAAAAGGAATTAGACTACCTTATGAGCTACAATATGGATTAATCTCAAAATAATTATGCAAAATAAAAATTTTATGGTTTCATTTATATAAAATCTTAGAAAATGCAAACTAATCTGTATGGCAGATCAGTGGTTCCCTAGGCATGGGAGTGGGGAGGATTGCAAAGGTGGGATTACAAAGAGGCATGAATAAACTTCTGGTAGTGATGAATATGTTCATTATCTTGATTGTGGTGACAGTTCCAGGGAGGGATACATATGTCAAAACCTATTAACTTATTAACTATGTAAAGTTCAGTGTACATCAGTTATGCTTTAATAAAGCTGTTTAAAAAAAGACAATGGGGGAAAATCCCTTTCCTCTTTCAGTCTCTGTATACCTCTTTTTAATGTATGGTTAGGTGCTCTTACATTCCTTGTGTAATAGTGGCTTCCTCTGTGAACTCTCATTTAAGTTTGTATGTGCTTCAAAGTGTTCCGCCATTATTCCACCATATCATTTTAAGCCCCCTCCTTTTTGTTTTTGTGTTAAGGATATGAATTTATCCTCTCTATATTCATTTTGCCCCTGCTGACCCCTTCCAGAAGACAGTTGAATCTCTATGCCTTTCTGTAAACATTGGAAGAACTGCCTTTTCACAGAGACATGACATTTTCCATGGGGATTTATGGGAAGAGACAAACTGAATCAGATCTTCCTCACAGTTGAGCATGCCAAGGACAAATCCTCCAGGTTTTCTCTTTCTTTTTCTTCATAGAATTTGTGGCTCCAGGGCCCTTGGGGGTGTGTCCTTTGTGAGCCACACTCTCTAGTAATTACATAGAAGTACAGCCTCAGGCAGGTGTAGCTGAGCGTCCCCACTCCAAGGCGGAGCTTCTCCACTTCCAACACATCTATTGTGACACTGGCTACAGAGAAATTCCTCTTATATTCTTTATTTTTTTTTCTTTTTTTTTTGCAATATTTCTCTGTTTAGCTCTGTGTTATGCTATGATTAAACCGGGCATGAAGTGTAGCACAATTACTTCAAAGGCAATTCCAGTTGACTGGGTCTTTTCTCATTTATTAAAATATGAAGCATGTTGGACCTTCAACTTTTCCTTTGATATCTGTATCCCTAAGCTGTTATTGGAGCCTTGATTCTCTGTATTTCACATGCGGAGAGCAAAGGGTGTTCTGGTAGGAAACAATCCCTAAATATTTCCAGAACTTGAGTAGCCTCAGTCTTTTGTTCTGCCAGTTTATTGTGGAAATGTTCAGAGAGAGGTTCTTCCCAAGGAAAAAAAAAATCACTTACTATAAAAATCTAAATCTGAGCCCTTTTGGAATATTGTTTCACCTAGTGAAAAGTTTACCCTGATTTTATCTGTTTGTTTCCTCAAGTAAAAACAGCTCAAGTGACTGTTATTGGCTAGACAATGAAGGAAATAAAAATGGCATTTGCCTGTTGGGTAACTTTGAGCAAATTAATTGAGCCCCTGTGCCTGGACTTGCTCATCTTTCAGTTGAGGCAGAATGGTTTCTTAAAAAGTTGTTTCATGTTGAAGAAGTTTGTACTCCATATCTGAGTTTTCACCTGTCTAGGCTTCTATGGTGGCAAAATAGATAGCAAAGCTTCTAGGTATAAAACATTTTCAAAACAAATGCCTTCTAGTAATAAAATATTAATTTAATTTATATAATATTTGATTGATACAGAATAAAGCATGTAACGTATGTGTTTGTCAAAAGCATAGCAAGAAATGCATACCTGTGAACATACCACCAACAGTCAAAATTACATATGTGCTCCTCAATTCCATCCTCTTACATATCCCACTGCTTAAATTTCTTGCTTTTTTCCACAGTAATCTTCCTACACATGTACATATTGCTAAATGACATCTCACTTAACTTTCCTTATTTGGGGGCTTAAGAAAAAAATTAATCATTCTAAGTATTGTCATCTGCAACTTGCTTATTTTTTTTCTAAGATTCCCCCATAATGTTGTCTGTATCTGTAGTTAATTCATTCTTACTGCTATTTAATATTTTTACATGCATAGTTCATTTTCTATCCTCTAGTTGATGGAGATCTCAGTTTGCTTTTTTCTATTACAAAAGTACAGCTGTGAATGTTTTGGTGCATGACTTCCATTGCCCCTGTGCAAGAATTTTTCTCCTAATAGTGGAAGTCCTAGGTTATAGAGTACGTATTAGAATATATATAGGCATACCTTTAGAGAATAATGCCAAATTATTTTTTAAAGAGATTGTACAATAAATTTTTCATAAAGCATGTGTTGTGTGGGTCCTACTATATCAATGCAATATTTCTACTGTATTCCACAAGCGGAGCATGTGGAAATGGTGCTTGTTTGATAGAAACTTCTCTTCATCTGGCTTCTGTTTGTCTACCTATAGTAGAAGTCAAACAGCTCTAATCTTGAACTTAGGGATCTAATCTTGATCAGGGATGAGGCTGGCAAGGCACACATCCATTTCCTCAGCCTTGGAATCCCTGAACTACCTTTCAGCTCCAGGTACCTTCCCACTCTTAGCCCCTTTGAACATGAAATTGGTTAGTCACCCTGTTCTGGATAGCTTTCTGTCTATATTTTCCCTGTAGCTGTAAGTAGTGAAGGACCACATGTCCCATCTATTTGGCTTCTAGAATGAGATGCTACCTGCATACATCCCTTAGCAAAGCTTTATTCTTCCTGCCCTTTGCCTCTTTCCTTTTTGCTTAAACTTTTTCTTTCTTTTAGTAAATGTGAACATACGTTAGGTTTTCAGATTTGGGGGGTAATATTTAAATTAATATTTACTTTTAATTAACTTAATGTAATAATTATAATTAAGACTTAATGTAATATTTATCTTATAAAGTAATCCATAATCACATTTTTGATGAGTCATAAGCAAAGACCTCTTGAATGAATGCTTACTTTACTTATTGCCAGGTACTGAGCTGAGTGCTCTGGCTACAAAGATAAATACAGTGTAGTGATGAGTGGGCAGAAAATCATCAGATGCCTCCACATGGTGTGATGATTTCTATGTGGAAATTATAGACACACAGGATGTGAGGAAATATGTGCAAGAAAGTAATGGACTCTGGTTGAGGGAGTGAAAAAAGAAGGCACAGAGATGGTAATGGCTCAGCTGTGCCTCTTCAGGTGAGTTTGCCATGTGAGAAATGGAAGAAAGGCAGGCAAAAAAAGAACAAGCCAAGAGTCCCAGCGGAGACTTGGCCAAGTGTCCTGGGCTGCTGGAACATTCCCCTTTGAAGGTACAAGCCATCTAGTAGGATGTTCAGAGGTAAAATGGACTGAGAAAAATGTGAATTAATGGCTCTCCCTCTTCTATGGTTCTTCCAGGGGTAAAAGCTGACTTGGCAGAAGCTGTCTGATACTGTGGGTCATCCTGACCTTGAGACTGCGCAACGTGCCCTGGCAGATTCAGAGTGTGTCCTGCTAGAACCCATGTGCTGGACTCATTTCCAGTGAGTAATGGGCTGAGGTCAAAGGCTGTTCTCGCAGGAGCCTTTCAGGGTTATGTTTATATCCAACCCCATTCTTTGTGCTAACAGAAAACTAGAATATGTAGGAACTGGAAATCCCCATGCCACACTCTAGTCAGTACTTTCACTGCCTTCCCCACTGAACAATTAGTAAATACTTCTACTATTTTGTTCTGATTGCTGGGAATTTTATCCCCTTCTCCCTCCTCCAGGAGAGAATGAGTGAAAATTAGCAAGTAAGATGACTACATTCATTGCCTGAATGCTAGAAAGTGCCGCATGCCCCCAGATTACATTTGTGGAGTGAAGGCTTTGATCTCTGCTTCCTACATGTGTCTGCGAGGATTGGTACTATGGTACTAACTTATTTCTTCCCTTTCATTTTATCCTGACTGACTGAGACACATGGACTTTGACTTTCCAAAACCTAAATTCTAACTTGTCTTAAGAGTCAAAATAAGCCATGGTCTACCATTCTATTCCCTCCTCAACTAACCTTTCTCAGATTGATACAACAGCTAGACTCTGTCTAGGGAAGATTGAGGTCTTGGAGACATACTACTTTTCCTGCATTTGCTGGCCTCGGTATGAATTGAGCCAGCTCAGCACTCTTCTCTGGTGTCTGTTTTTAAAGCCTTGTGCTTTTATGGTGCCAATGGCACTTGGGGAGGATTTAATGGCTGCCTGTAAAAGCTGCTAAACTCTGAAGGCTCAGGTGAGGCAGTGTGAACAGGGGAGCAGCAGCAGTTTTTTCCATAGCATTATCTTCCACCAGATATCTGCAAAAAGTCTCTACAAAGTACCTTGTTTTGGCTGACTGGGTAGTTAAGGAGTTAAGCAAAAAAGAGAAACGGATGTTTCAAACAAAAGCCATGCTAAAGACTTTTATTTTAAGCACACTTTGCCCTGCCCTGCCCTATCCAGCCTGGGAAAGAGTCAGCAAGTTCATACAGGTGAACCATATCATATTACGTGAACACATCAAATATTTTAGAGTCTGTTTCAATGTGAAAGCTGTACATTGAAACTAATGTCAATTTTGCTGGCAAGATTCCGTTTGTTTTTTTCCCCCAAATGGTTTGTCGTATAATTTTTGCTCTTAATTATAACTGCTATAATTTAGAGTTAAATTAGAAGTCGAAGGAAAAAGATAACTTACAGTGCAGTATTCTTATATAGCTGAAGTTTCCAACAGTTATTATGTCTCACAAGGATCTTTAAAAATAGCATTATTATTCATAGCTCATCTTTCTCAGCTTGTAATGTGCTGTGCCACTCATACAGTATACTTTGGAGGAAGTTGGGGTTTTATCTTCAAGTTTTGATTTGGAGAACTGTAAAGAACGTAGGCTTTCATTTAAAGTCAGATAGGCACATCTTTAAATCTTGGTGCCACCAGTAAGTAGCAGAGTGACATCGAAATACCGAAATACCGAAATACCATTGAACGTCCTTGAGCCTCATTTTTCTCATAAGTATCATGTAGATCGGGGGATGGCAAACTTTTTCTGTAAAGGGACAAATAGTCAAGATTTTAGAGTTTGCAGGAAAAATGGTCTCTGCTGCAACTACATACTCAGTTATGCCATTGTAGCACAAGAGCAGCCATAGATAATACAAAAACAAATGGGTGTGGCTGTGTTCCAATAAAACTGTCTACAAATGCAAGCTGCAGGTTGGATCTGGCCTATGGGCTCTAGTTTGCTGACTCCTGATATAGGTAAAGATATTATGTCCCAGTGTTGTCATAAGGACTGCATGCTATATGTAAGATATGTGGAGTGATTGGTGCTGGCATAAAGTCAGCTCTATGACTCAATTCATTCCCTCACTCTGTGCCTCTGTGATCCCCTTTGCTGCCACTAGTGATCCAAATCAGAATGCAGGCAGGTAGCGGAATGCCCTTTTCGTAGGATGTAAGACTGTTTGGATGGAGTTTCTCTTCGCATCCTACTTATTATGTATAAAAGTACTTTTAAAGCTCTGAGCACAGTAGGAATGCCAGTTGTTATTTTTTTTTCCTCCCTGGCATCAGGGCAAGAGAGGAAAAAGTATTCCTAAAGAAAGTGACCCCTTGGCCCAAGGCAGCCTCTTGATTAAATCTTCCTGTTAGAGCTTTGAGAAAAAGCAGAGGTAATTGGATTGTGTCATCTTCCCCTCTGGGCAAAAGTTTTCTGATTTTGTTTTCTGGCTCTGTTTCTGATTTTCTCTCTTTTGATGATGGTGGGTGCCTGTAATCCCAGCTACTTGGGAGGCTGAGGTGGGAGAATTGCTTGAACCCAGGAGGTGGAGGCTGCAGTGAGCTGAGATTGTGTCATTGTACTCCAGCCTGAGTGACAGAGCAAGACTCTGTCTCAAAAAAAGAAAAAAAAGTTATCTCTATCTGGATGGATAAAGAAGGATAAGTTACATGTGAGATTTTAGTTTGAGAAAAATGTGGCATGGTTGAATAATTTTTATTTAAGCCTTACCCCAACATTGCAAGACACAGATTTGTGTGAAAGTATCTGTTGCTGTTGAATTGATATAAAGAAACAGAATCTACTGGATCATTGGTGTAGAGAATAACCCTAAATATAACATTTATTGAGAGCCTGTTATTTTTTAGCAAGTAATATATTTCTACTCTAGAAAATTTGGAAAATGTAGGAAAGTATATAGGTAAAAAATAAATAAAAGGATAAAGCAAAACGATAACAACAAGAACCAAATCTTTTCTCTCTCCGTCAAATGTTGATATTGGACATTTTAATGCTTCTTGTCTTTTATAATAGTTGCACTCTCCATTTTTGTTAGTTTACAAAACTGGAATCATATCCTATGTTCATATGGATTCATCTGTAAGCTGCTCTTTTCATAATAATGGCATGAAGTGAACACATTCCCTTGTTTTTAAAAACCTTTTATGGCGTCATTTTTAATGGCTATGGAGGATTCCAGGGATTGAGATAACACATTTGGAGGCTGATCTTTCAAAACCATTTAGGAACTTCCACTTCTCCTTAGCACTTTTGTCATAACTAAAAACAAAATCAAAGAAGTTAAAACTCACATCAGTTTGTTTGTCTCTTTTGTAAAGCGGTAAGAGGTTTGACAATGGGATCGTCCTTTCCAGCTGGATCAGGGCTAAAGGGAAGCAACTGAGCATGGGTCTGTGTTGCATCTGGGCAGTGGGATCCCAGCATCAGTGGCCAACCTGTTTCTTAGGGGCATTGCCTTAACTACAGGGCTGCATGGTGACAATTCAGGAGTTGACAACATCTGCTCATATTGTATAGTCACCACATGCATGCCCCGTCTTGATTAATTGGGTTGTTTCATTTTAGACATTCTCTTGTCACAGAACATTCTGAGCTTGTACCAGTGATAATGAGTTACCCAAGGGATAGCCTCTTCAGAACTAATAAATCTGTAACTCTTAGAGTACTGAATACATCAGCATCTTTCTAAAGATACAAAGCAATACAGCTGTGCATTAGTAACATTTAACATTGTAACATTTGTGTCTGGATGGGTAGGAAATGTTATACTTTAGCAATTAACCCTTTTGTCTGTGGCATTAATGAATGAGATTAGAGTTGGATTTAAGGATTTGTTAAATGACAAAGTCCAGTGACCTTAATTACTCTAATGCCGTTCCTAATCTTATCTGACCTGTGTAAATGAAATGCATTTTCAGCACATCAAATGGTAAGGGTTGTTACTTTATAATGAGTAAACTGCTGGTCAGAACTCTAGTGTTAAAAATGGCATGAGAAATAATGGAACGTCCACTAATTTATGCATAAATCTCTAAAAATAAAACTAAAGAGCCTTCAAGTCTGGGCCATGTAGCATCTTCTGTCAATCCTTTTCTAACTTTAAATAAAAATTGCTTTCTTGCCCCCCAATTATAAACATTTACTCAGCCATTGTGAAAACAACAGATGACGTAGCAACTTACAAAGGGAGAAAGTAAAAACCTTCCATAAATCTGATTGCTAAGATTTAAGCAATGTTCACATTTTTATTTGTATCCTTCTGGGAATTTTTTTCTATGCATGTATACACAGAAATATGTATTTTCCTAATATATAGAAATGGGATCATGTTACATGTATTATTTATTGTATTCTTTTTTTCAGGCTAAAGAATATATCCTGAGCTGATATTGTCCCTCTTTCTATCTTCAGACCACAGGAACTTAATTGCTTTTGTTTCTCTTCAGAGCTGCCACCACCTCCCCAACTTCTTAAGGTCTCTCCCCAAGACCCCCTGCAGAAGACAATACAGCCCCACCAGTTTTGCTTGGCTCGCTCTCGCACAGACCATTGTTAGGGATTTTATTGTTAACTGAGTAGGAAAACAGAAGGATATAAAAATAAAAACCATGGCACATTGTATAGGTTTGACATATTAAGACCTTCCTGTTCCTTGGTTGGGTGGTGCTTTGGGGCCTGAAAGTTAATTGTCATCTTTAATCCTGGGCAGAAACCTCACCAATCTCCCCCTTACTTAGACATTTTCCTACCTTGAGCTGCTTAAAATCAGTGATTCTCAAACTGTCTGTGGAGATGTGGAGAATATTCAGTTGTATTTTATGAGGTTTTTTTTTTGAGACGGAGTCTCGCTCTGTCGCCCAGGCTGGGATGCAGTGAGTGGCGCGATCTCGGCTCACTGCAAGCTCTGCCTACCGGGTTCATGCCGTTCTCCTGCCTCAGCCTCCTGAGCAGCTGGGACTACAGGCGCCCACCACCACGCCCGGCTAATTTTTTGTATTTTTCGTAGAGACAGGGTTTCACCGTATTAGCCAGGATGGTCTCGATCTCCTGACCTCGTGATCCGCCTGCCTTGGCCTCCCAAAGTACTGGGATTACAGGCGTGAGTCACTGCACCTGGCCTTTTTTCTTTAAAATTGTTTTTGTGGTAAAATACATATAACATAAAATTTATTATTTTACCGATTTTAAGTATGCAGTACAGTGGCATTAAGGACCTTTACACTGTTGTACAATTGTTACCACTGTTCACTCTAGAACTTTTTCATCGTCCCAACCTGAAGCTGTACCCATTAAACATAAGCTCCCCCTTCCCCCGAAACCCTGGCCCCACCCTTCTACTTTCTAACATGTGAACTTGACTATTCTAGCTACTTCACATAGTAGGATCATACAGTATTTGCACTTTTGAGACTGGCTTATTTCACTTAGCATAACGTCTCCCAGGTTCAGCCATGTTATCTCATGTGTTATAATTTCCTTTCTTTTTAAGACTGAATAAAATTTTATTCACATTTTATTCAACCATTTATGCATTGATGGACATGGGTTCCTTCCACCTTTTGGCTATTGTAGACAATGCTGCTATGAACGTGAGTGTACAAATGTCTGTTTGAGTCCTAGCTTTCAGATTTTTTGAGTATATACCCAGAAGTGGAAGTGCTGGATAATTCTATTTTTAATTTTTTGAGGAAACATACTGTTTTCCATAGTGGCTGCACTAGCTTACATTCCCACCAACAGTTGTTTCTTGACTTCTCTAACAACAGTTGTTATTTGCTGGGTTTTTTTTTTAATAATAGCCATCTTAATGAGTGTGAGGTGATATCTCATTGTGGATTTGATTTGCTTTTTCCTAAGAATTAGTGATATTGGCATATTTTCGTATGCTGATTAACCATTTGTATTCAGTAGTCCTCCTTATATGCAGGGATGTGTTCCAAGACCTCTAGAGGATGTGTGAAATCTCAGATACTATCAACCCTGATGTCCACGTCATCTACCCACAAATTTAATGCCTTTTCCATCTTAACTAAACACTTATGCACTGTGGCCACAACTTTTGCAGTTTGAAGTCTGACAGCAAAACTAGCACAAATTTCTTCCTTTTCGTCTTCACAATTTCATGGATAGACGATTCGTTCTTACCAAGATCTTAGCAACTTCTGCATACATTTTTTTCTTTCCTAATTAAGTTGAGAACTTTCACCTTTTTACCGAATGGAAGCACTTCATAACTTCTCCTTATATCCCTATTGCCAGCATGACTCTCTTGCTCTTTGGGGTCGTTATTAAGTAAAATAATGGTGACTTGAACACATGCACTGCAATACCTCGACAGTAGTTGTGATCACCGAAATGGCTCTAAATGACTAATGGGTGGGTAGCTTGTGCAGTGTGGATATGCTGGAAAAAGAGTTGATTCATATCAGAGGTGGGATGGAACAGGATGCCACAAGATTTCATCATTCTACTCAGAATGGCACACAATTTTAAATTTATGAATTACTTATTTCTGGATTTTTCTATTTAATATTTTGGACCATGGTTGACCATGAGTAACTAAATCTGTGGAAAGCAAAACTGCAGATAAGAAGAGATGAATGTATCTTCTTCAGATCTTTGGCTCATTTTTAAAATCAGGTTTTTATTTTGTTTTGATTTGTTTTTTACCTTCTTTTTCATTGCAGATTGATACTTTTATAAACAATAGTAATGTTATTATCAGTGAATTATGGAATGTCAAGATGAGGAACTTCAGGATGAAGTCCTAAAATGTCTACTTCTAGCCACAATTAAGTAAAAGAGACTGATCCAGTTTTCCACCTTAAACAATCAGAAAACCAGAAAAATACATGAAACAATGGTTTTCAGATACTGGACAAAAACCCCTGCATATGTATGATCCCTTCAGAGTGATGGTGCCATGGATTGAATGTATGTTTTCCTCCAAAATGCATATGTTGGAACTTAAGCTCCAATGTGATAGTTTTAAGAGGTGAGGTATTTGCGAGATGATTTAAGTCACGATGGTAGAACCTCTATAAAAGGCATTAGTATCCATGTAAAAGGGCTGGAGAGAACTAGCCAAGCCCTTCTTGCCTTGCATCTATTCTGCCTTGTGAGGACACAGCATTCATCCTTTTTGCCCTTTCGGCCTTCTGCCATGTGAGAATGCAGCAAGAAGGCTGTCACAAGACACCAAATGCTGGTGCCTTGATCTTAGACTTTCCAACCTTCAGAACTGTAAGAAATAAACTTCTATTATTTTTTTCTTTATTATTATACTTTAATTTCTGGTATACATGTGCAGAACATGCAGGTTTGTTACATAGGTATACATGTCCCATGGTGGTTTGCTGCGCACATCAACCCATCATTTACATTAGGTATTTCTGTTAATGCTATCCCTCCCCTAGTACCCCACCCCCACCAACAGGCCCCAGTGTGTGATGTTCCCCTCCCTGTGTCCATGTGTTCTCATTGTTCAACTCCCACTTATGAGTGAGAATATGCAGTGTTTGGTTTTCTGTTCCTGTGTTAGTTTGCTGAGAATGATGGTGTCCAGCTTCATCCATGTTCCTGCAAAGGACATGAACTCATCCTTTTTTATGGCTGCATAGTATTCCATGGTGTATATGTGCCACATTTTTTTTTTTATCATTGATGGACATTTGGGTTGGTTCCAAGTCTTTGCTATTTTGAAGAGTACTGCAGTAAACATATGTGTGCATGCATCTTTACAGTAGAATGATTTATAATCCTTTGGGTATATACCCAGTAATGGGATTGCTGGGTCAAAAGGTATTTCTGGTTCTAGATCCTTGGAGAATTGCCACACTGTCTTCAACCATGGTTGAACTAATTTACACTCCCACCAACAGTGTAAAAGCATTCCTATTTCTTCACATCCTCTCCAGCATCTGTTGTTTCCTGACTTTTTAATGATTGCCATTCTAACTGGCATGAGATGGTATCTCGTCGTGGTTTTGATTTGCATTTCTCTGATGACCAGTGATGATGAGCTTTTTTTCATATATTTCTTGGCTGCATAAGTGTCTTCTTTTGAGAAGTGTCTGTTCATATCCTTTGCACACTTTTTGATGGGGTTGTTTGTTTTTTTCTTGTAAATTTGTTGAAGTTCCTTGTAGATTCTGGATATTAGCCCTTTGTCAGATGGATAGATTGCAAAAATTTTCTCCCATTCTGTAGGTTGCCTATTCCCTCTGGTGGTAGTTTCTTTTGCTGTGCAGAAACTCTTTAGTTTAATTAGATCCCATTTGTCAATTGTGGCTTTGTTGCCATTGCTTTTGGTGTTTTAGTCATGAAGTCTTTGGCCATGCCTGTGTCCTGAATGGTATTGCCTAGGTTTTCTTCTAGGGTTTTTATGGTTTTAGGTCTAACATTAAAGTCTTTAATCCATCTTGAGTTAATTTTTGTATAGGTATAAGGAAGGGGTCCAGTTTCAGTTTTCTGCATATGGCTAGCCAGTTTTCCCAACACAATTTATTAAATAGGGGATCCTTTCCCCATTGCTTGTTTTTGTCAGGTTTGTCGAAGATCACGTGGTTGTAGATGTGTGGCATTATTTCTGAGGCCTCTGTTCTGTTCCATTGGTCTATATATCTGTTTTGGTACCAGTACCATGCTATTTTGGTTACTGTAGCCTTGTAGTACAATTTGAAGTCAGATAGCATGATGCCTCCAGCTTTGTTCTTTTTGCTTAGAATCGTCTTGGCTATATGGGCTCTTTTTTGGTTCCACATGAAGTTTAAAGTAGTTTTTTCTAATTCTGTGAAGAAAGTCAATGGTAGCTTGATGGGGATGGCATTGAATCTATAAATTACCTTGGGCAATATGGCCATTTTCACAATATTGATTCTTCCTATCCATGAGCATGGAATGTTTTTCCATTTGTTTGTGTCCTCTCTTATTTCCTTGAGCAGTAGCTTGTAGTTCTCCTTGAAGAGGTCCTTCACATCTTTTGTAAGTTGTATTCCTAGATATTTTTTTCTTTGTAGCCATTGTGAATGGGAGTTACTCATGATTTGGCTCTCTGTCTATTATTGGTGTATAGGAATGCTTGTGATTTTTGCACATTCATTTTGTATCTGAGACTTTCCTGAAGGTGCTTATCAGCTTAAGGAGATTTTGGGCTGAGACAATGGGGTTCTCTAAATATACAATCATGTCATCTGCAAACAGAGACAACTTGACTTCTTCTTTACCTATTTGAACACGCTTTATTTCTTTCTCTTGCCTGATTGCCGTGCCCAGAACTTCCAACACTATGTTGAATAGGAGTGGTGAGAGAGGGCATCCCTGTCATGTGCCAGTTTTCAAAGGGAATGCTTCCAGCTTTGCCCATTTAGTATGATAGTGGCTGTGGGTTTGTCATAAATAGCTCTTATTATTTTGAGATCCATTCCATCAATACCTAGATTATTGAGAGTTTTTAGTATGAAGGGGTGTTGAATTTTGTCAAAGGCCTTTTCTGCATCCATTGAGATAATCATGTGATTTTGTGATTGGTTCTGTTTATGTGATGGATTACGTTTATTGATTTGTGTATATTAAACCAGCCTTGCATCTCAGGGATGAAGCCAACTTGATCATGGTGGATAAGCTTTTTGATGTGCTGCTGGATTCAGTTTGCCAGTATTTTATTGAGGATTTTAACATCAATGTTCGTCAGTGATATTGGCCTGAAATTTTCTTTTTTTGTTGTGTCTCTGCCAGGTTTTGGTATCAGAATGATGCTGGCCTCATAAAATGAGTTAAACTTCTTCCTAGTTTAGTCTAGGGAGGGTGTTTGTATCCAGGAATTTGTCTATTTCTTCTAGATTTTCTAGTTTATTTGCATAGAGGCATTTATAGTATTCTGATGGTAGTTTGTATTTCTGTGGGATCAGTGGTGAGATCCCCTTTATCATTTTTTATTGTGTTTATTTGATTATTCTCTCCTTTCTTCTTTAATAGCCTGGATAGTGGTCTATTTTGTTAATCTTTTCAAAAAACCAGTTCCTGGATTCATTGATTTTTTAAAGGGTTTTTCATGTCTCTATCTCCTTCAGTTCTGCTCTAATCTTAGTTATGTCTTGTCTTCTTCTAGAATTTAATTTGTTTGCTCTTGCTTCTCTAGTTCTTTTAATTGTGGTGTTAGAGTGTTGATTTTAGGCCTTTCCTGCTTTCTCCTGTGAGCAGTTAGTGTTATAAATTTCCCGCTAAACGCTGCTTTAGCTGTGTCCCAGAGATTCTGGTACATTTTGTCTTTGTTTCCATTGGTTTCAAAGAACTTATTCATTTCTGCCTTAATTTTGTTATTTACCCATTAGTCATTCAGGAGCAGGTTGTTCAGTTTCCATGTATTTGTGTGGTTTTGAGTGAGTTTCTTAATCCTGAATTCTAATTTGATTGCACTGTGGTCTGAGAGACTGTTATGATTTCTGTTCTTTTGTATTTGCTGAGGAGTGTTTTACTTCCAACTATGTGGTCAGTTTTAGAATAAGTGTGATGTGGTGCTGAGAAGAACATATATTCTGTTGATTTGGGGTGGAGAGTTCTGTAGACATCTATTAGGTTCACTTGGTCCAGAGCTGAGTTCAAGTCCTGAATATCCTTGTTAATTTTCTGTCTCATTGATCTGTCTAATATTGACAGTGGGGTGTTAAAGTCTCCCATGATTACTGTGTTGGAGTCTAAGTCTCTTTGTAGGTCTCTAAGGACTTGCTTTCAGCTCTTCTTGTTGCGTTGATTCCCTTACCATTATGTATTGCCCTTTGTCTTTTTTGATCTTTGTTGGTTTAAAGTCTGATTTATCAGAGACTAAGATTGCAACCCCTGCCTTTTTTTTTTTCTTTCCATTTGCTTGGTAAATATTCTTCCATCCCTTTATTTTGAGCCTATTGTGTCTTTGCACTTGAGATGGGTCTCCTGAATACAGCACACTAATGGGTCTTGACTCTTTATCCAATTTGCCAGTCTGTGTCTTTTAATTGGGGCATTTAGCCCATTTATATTTAAGTTTAATATTGTTATGTGTGAATTTGGTCCTGTCATTATGATGCTAGCTGGTTATTTTGCCCATTAGATGATGCAGCTTCTTCATAGTGCTGATGGTCTTTACAATTTGGTATGTTTTTGCAGTGGCTGGTACCAGTTGTTCCTTTCCACGTTTAGTGCTTCCTTCAGGAGCTCTTGTAAGGCAGGTCTGGTGGTGACAAAATCTCTCAGCATTTGCTTGTCTGTAAAGTATTTTATTTCTCCTTCACTTATGAAGCTTAGTTTGGCTGGATATGAAATTCTGGGTTGAAAATTCTTTTCTTTAAGAATGTTGAATATTGGCCCCCACTCTCTTCTGGGTTGTAGGGTTTCTGCCGAGAGATCCACTGTTAGTCTGATGGGCTTCCCTTTGTGGGTAACCCGACCTTTCTCTCTGGCTGCCCTTAACATTTTTTTCCTTGATTTCAACCTTGGTAAATCTGATGATTATGTGTCGTGGGGTTGCTCTTCTCGAGGAATATCTTAGTGCTGTTCTCTGTATTTCCTGAATTTGAATGTTAGCCTATCTTCTTAGGTTGGGAAAGTTCTCCTGGATAATATTCTGCAGAGTGTTTTCCAACTTGGTTCCATTCTCCCCGTCACTTTCAGATACACCAATCAAACATAGGTTTCGTCTTTTCACATAGTCCCATATTTCTTGGAGGCTTTGTTTGTTTCTTTTCATTCTTTTTTCTCTAATCTTGTCTTCCATGCTTTATTTCATTAAGTCTATCTTCAATCTCTGATATCCTTTCTTCTGCTTAATCAATTTGGCTATTGATACTTGTGTATGCTTCACGAAGTTCTTGTGCTGTGTTTTTCAGCTCCGTCAGATTATTTATATTCTTCTCTAAACTGGTTATTCTAGTTAGCAATTCCTCTAACCTTTTTTCAGGGTTCTTAGCTTCCTTGCATTGGATTAGAACATGCTCCTTGAGCTCGGTGGAGTTTGTTATTACCCACCTTCTGAAGCCTACTTCTGTCAAGTCATCAAACTTATTCTCCATCCAGATTTTTTCCCTTGCTGGCAAGGAGTTGTGATTTTTTTGAGGAGAAGAGGTGTTCTGGTTTTTGGAATTTTCATCCTTTTTGCTCTGGAATAAACTTCTACTCTTATAAATTACTTAGTCTATGGTATTTCTGTTACAGCTACACAAATGAACTAAGACAAATGAGGAATAAACAAGGTGAGCCCTACTATTGCCTCAGCTTGCTGTGCGGAGGCAGCCTGAAAGCACACCTCCAGGGGACCAAATTAATCCTTTGTACCGTAACTGCAAGCCACAACAAAGTCCCCCACTACATAAAAGAATACAGCAAAATCCAACACCCAACTACCAAAAATGCATGCTCTCCAGAATCTAATAAGAAATTATCAGGTCTGCAAAGAATTGTAAAATATAATCCATAAACAGGAAAAAGAAACCAACTGGTAGAGTTGAATTATGATAAAAAATAAAATGGAAAAAATGAAATAGAACGTATAAACCCCCATTTCTTTTAATTATTAGATTTAATGGACATTAAAAAATTACATTGCTGAAATCCCTATAAAATTTCTAATGACCTACTCCCAAGTTTTGTAATACTTACTGCTCTGTGAACTGGTAACAATTCACACACTGTCACCAGGTCTCTGGACCACACTGTGTGTCCCTGTTTAGGCCAACTTTTTTTTTTTTTTTTTGAGACAGAGTCTCGCTCTGTCGCCCAGGCTAGAGTGCAGTGGCGGGATCTCGGCTCACTGCAAGCTCCGCCTCCCGGGTTCACGCCATTCTCCTGCCTCAGCCTCCCAAGTAGCTGGGACTACAGGCGCCCGCCACTACGCCCGGCTAATTTTTTGTATTTTTAGTAGAGACGGGGTTTCACCGTTTTAGCCGGGATGGTCTCGATCTCCTGACCTCGTGATCCGCCCGCCTCGGCCTCCCAAAGTGCTGGGATTACAGGCGTGAGCCACCGCGCCCGGCCTAGGCCAACATTTTTTTACCCCTAGCAGATTGACTTGAATATGCAGTTAGGGCAAAAAAAAAAAAATCATGTTTGAATATGTTTATATAAGAGTGTCGTAACCTTAAGTGAATTACTCTTCCTCCAGGGAGTCCAGACTAAGAGGCTCCCATCTCAGTGGTTTTCCAGCACCATTCTAGATCCCAGGGGAACACATGAGGTAAAGGCTCGAGGTTGTAGAGTGAAGTATGTCAGAGAAATTTATGAGAGGCCTAATTAGCACAGTCATTGTAGATAAGTAGAAACACCAGTTTTAAGTTAAATGCTTCTGAGCCTAATTATTTCCTCTTTTAGCATGGACTTAGAGGAAACTGCACTAAATCATTCTGGAAATAGATCGCCAGTTCACAGGATGCTGAGAACTAATTATTGAATGCACTGAATCTTGTGCATGTTGTAGCTGCTAAGAGTGAAGACACAGGAGAGCAACCATAGGGCTCTTCACCAGCCACCTCCTCCTCTCAAGCAAATGTCTGTGGACACATTTTTCCAGTAGAGTATGGGTGTTTGATGTCCTATTAATTGACAGCAGTTTCCCCTTTCAGTCCTCAAGATCACTGCTTAGCCTGCCTAGGTTCAAAACTCTTGTTTGTGAGCTGGGAGGAAAAAGAGAAAAAAGATAAAATAAATGTGAATAAAATAGAAATAAGCAAATGTCATTGATTACATTTCATTTGTTACTTTCATTTTGGAACCCATTGCAACCCACCTATCATGTCTTTTGTTTCTCATCTATAAAAAAGATACAATGATAATAGTACCTACCACATGACGTATAATTGAATTCACATGTGGAAATATATTGGCACATGTAGAGTGTTCAATACATATTAACTCCCTATAACTAGAGCTATACATCCATATGTGTTTACTTCTTTCCTTCATTCTAATCCACTCAAGAACCATATAGTATCTGGGTGATCAATTTTAAAAAATTATGCAATTCATCTTTTTAAATTAAAAGCACTGGTATGATTTTATAAAATGTAGCACTGTTTAATTTAAGATAGGGAGTTTTCATTAGTTTCTGTGATAAAAGCACGTCTCACCAAGGGCAAGGAGTTGAGTCCTGAGGTGTGGGTGGTATGATCGATCTTTGAGGGCCAGCTGCCCGACATGTACTTCATCATCCTCGCAAAGGTTCATCATCTCCTTTTGTTTTTCTATAGAATCATTAGTATCCATGTCCTGTGCCTGGGTCATTTTGGTTTATTGGTAAGAAAAGCAATCAGATGGCAGAGCACTCAGTGATGCCTGCCCTGACTAGGTGTTGCCACATGAACCTTGCAAAGCCCAGAAGAGTGAGAAAGGTGATGCATTTATAGGCTAGGTCTAAAGCTAAGGATGGTAAATCACCTTTTTATTTATAAATTCCAAGATCATATCCCTTTATCCTGCTATGTAAAATAAAATCTCTTGGTAATTGGTTTAAGGTCCTAGATGATGCTCTGCCAAGACACAAAGAGGATCTCAGGACGTAGGTGTTCATATCTGAAACTCTTTGTGAGCATGTGGCCTGGTCACAGACAACTATAGAAAGTCTGGGGCTGGGTACAGTGGCTCATACCTTGAATGCTAGCACTTTGAGAGGCTGAGGTAGGATGATCGCTTGAGGCCAATAGTCCAAGACCAGGCGAGGCAACATGGACTCCATCTCTACAAAAGTGAAAAAGGAAATAAATTAGCCAGGGTGGTTGTACATGTCTATAGTCCCCTGATATAGTTTGGCTGTGTCCCCACCCAAATCTCATCTTGAATTCCCATGTGTTGTGGGAGGAACCCGGTGGGAGGTAACTGAAACATGGGGGCAAGTCTTTCCCATGCTGTTCTCATGATAGTGAATAAGTCTCACAAGATCTGATGGCTTTAAAATGAGGAGTTCCCCTGCATAAATTCTCTCTCTTTGCCTGCTGCCATCCATGTAAGATGTGACTTGCTCCTCCTTGCCTTCCGCCATGATTGTGAGGCTTCCCCAGCCATGTGGAACTGTAAGTCCAATTAAACTCTTTCTTTTGTAAATTTCTCAGTCTCGGATGTGTCTTTATCAGCACCATGAAAATGGATTAATACATCCCTAGTTGCTTGGGAAGCTGAGAAAGGAAGATTGCTTGAGCCCAGGAGGTTGAGGCTGCAGTGAGCTGTGAGCATACCACTACATTCCAGCCTGGGTAACAGAGTGAGACCATGTCTCTTAAAAATATTAAAAATGCATACATACATAAGTAAAATCTGAAGATAGCACCTTTTCTTCTAATAGTGGGTTGCTGAGTTTCTTTATAGATTTCAGTGACTGCTCCCTATATGAATGTGGAAACTTCTCATAAGATGGCAAGTGTGTTCCTAGGGATGAATAATTACTTTGGTAGCAGTAAATAAAATTATTTTGAAATGGATCGAAGGTCTCGTCTATAGAGAAAGAACTCTTTTAGTTATCCTTATGCTTGGCTACATTGGTTTTCTGAAATGAGAATGTAATATTCCCGAGAGATTGAGTGTTCATACTGAATTATTTTCATCTAAAAATAATCATTTACAGAGGTAGAGGTGAGCTTTTGTGCTAAACTAGAAGTGGCAAAAACTTAGGTAATAAGGAATTTATTTTTTATTTTTCTGCTTTCTAACTTTCCTCCTTGACATTCTCTAAATTACTACTTTTGACCACTTTTTAAAAAATTTACATGTCCTCTCATGACACAGTCTGCCAATCTCTTGGCTGTGTGACAGAGACAGCCAATTCTCTCTCTACAGCTTTAAGACTTCTTGTTATATGTAATAATAAATCTCTATCATCTAAGCCATCTTGATTCGGTGTTCTGTTCCTTGCATCTGAAAGCACCTTGATTCTTTTTCCTCTAAACGATAATGGGAGAATGAACCATTCTAAAGCGAAGTCATAATCATGTTACTCCCATGCACAGAAATCTTAGTAGTTCCCTACTCCCAACCAAAAAACAAAACCCCACATTTATAATGTAGTATTTAAGGCTTTCCTAAATTTTGTCCCAATCTACCTTTCCAAGCTTATTTCCCATATGCTTAGTTTACCTGGTCCCTTCCATGGGTTACAACACTTTAAGAGCTGCAGTGAGGGAGAGAGGAGAGGGATGCAGTTGGGCCTGACCCTGGACCAAAGCATCCCTTGCCCCTCCTCTCCTCTTCTAGTTTCCACCCTGCCTCCAAAAAATGAATGTGGAACTAGCTGGTATCTGTTTGATTTTGACCTAAAAATCATTTCTGTTTGAGAGGCAGAAATCATTGTTAGTAAATTCTTCTGTGTCTCAATGCAGAAAAAAAGAACAAATTTGAGTGTCCTGAAAGATGAAGGTTGCCTTTGAGAACACGGTTCCTAGATTCCTCAGCTCCAGGATAAGCACTACCATGGGGTAGCCCTGGTCATATCATGTGTGCTAGAGAGGAGAGATTTTTCTTTGGCAGCAGGAGGTATATCCAGAGAATGCTGAAGCTCCTAGACTAAATTCTGCAGCAGAGATCAACAAAGAAGAACAAGGCATACTGTTGACCAGTGTAAAGGCATGCAGCCAGCAAGCACTGAACCACTGCCACCGCCTCAGCTGCTCAGTCTGAGAACAACCCTGAAAGCCTGCCCCTGTGTGTGATGCAAGCTCAGGAGCTCTGTCAGTGTATTCCAGTCACATTAAAGTGAAGGGCTCTCCATCAAGAAAGACAGTGAAAGCCCTAAATCAAAGTCAAAGGGGATGGGTTCTGCCCTTACAGCAATGTTCCTATCAGGAAAGCCTCACCTGGTTTCCAAATTTTCCAGTCAGGCTGAACATGGGAGCTTGTCAATCAGTCCTAGACACCTCTGGGACAGTGACACCGAGAGTAGAAGCCACACCCCTAAAGCACTCCTTAACCCAGGTGGGAGCATGGGTCTGAAGACAGAGACTGGAAATGATGCCAAGGGAGGCATTCCCATCTACTCCTTTGATCTAAGAGGTCCTGAGACTAAAGAATGTAATTCTGCTGACCACATAAAGTTCCAGGATTCCCAGCACACAACACACTTGATGATACCCTCAAATTCTGTGGCCCACAGCTCTTCCATACCTTCCCATAGCCAGACTATTGCTCAGAGTCCACACCTTCTTGGAAGACATCAGCCCAAGTGGTGCATGTGCGTTCAAGCTGCAGAAGCTGTATTGAAAGGTCAGGTTGAAACTGACGCCTCTTTCCAAATCCAGAAAATTCCTAGCAGCAAGATAGAGAGAAGCAAAACCCTGAACACACAGATATCTGCCTTTGGAATGATCCAAAACTTTTCCCACAACAGCCCCCAGCTCCAGCCAACCAGGGCCATATGTGCCTTTCTAGACTTTCAGGAATGTTAGGCTCTGAAATGTAAGGGCAAAATGTCTCCAACCCTGCACCCAGTCCAAGTCTTTCTGGAGTCAGTTGGCCAGACAATGTGCCAAAAATTCCAGATGATGGAAACTTCTCTCTTGGCAAAGAGGTCTTCGGTGTTCTTGGGGTACACTCCCCAAATCCCCAAAGATTGTTTTCAGAGATGTTTTAATAGCAGCTGGCAGAGAAACAGTGAGATCTTCCCCTTGGGATAGCACAGCTGACCTAAGGCCCAGCATAGAGATGACTAGGATGATCCCAGGCTCTCTGTGAATATTCCCATTTTCCCTTGACCAGTTGAGAGACCTCTCAGTCCTACCAGGGAAGACTTTTCCAAAGCACTGTCTCACAGATGGGCTCCAGTTGGGAATTTGAGTTTGGGATGGTTCTTCATGTCATGAAATAAAATGTCCATCTAAATATCAAACGTGGGATCTAACTCTCAGATGATACCTCAAAAGATGAGAGGCTGGGTGTGCCCTGGGGAGATGGTGAATTACAGTCAGGTAGCTCAGCTGTGCTGCCTGCTCAGCAGAAGACAGCACCCCTGCCATGTGGTGAGCACCCTCAGCAGGAAGATGACATGGGCTTCAGGTCATTCTTTCCCATATCTTAGGGTCCAAACTGCAACAGGGTTTGGCAGAATCTTAGTGAACCAATCAGACCCAACAGAAGGACTAACAGCCAGCTCAGTCATAGCCACCACTACCTTTCAACCCTTCCAGAAACCCCATTAGCCTCAACACAGCTTCTGCAGTTTGACATGGCCTGAGGCAGGGGCCCTTGAATAAATCTGGGGCATGCAGCCAGGTGTGTTCTCTTGATGTGAACTCTCTGAAATCTCCCACTCTACACAGTCCAGTCCAGTCCACAATATGGGACTTGCCCTCGGGAAACCTCAAGTTTCCCCAGGTTCCATCATACCTGGTGGGCCTAATGGCAAATCCTGATGCTGTTGCTTCCATTAAACTGCACCATCTTGAAGTGAGCAGGTTTGGGAAAGGATAGGCTCTGGAGGCAAGTTGTACTAGACAGAAGACTTCTGCAGATTATTTGATGATTGATATTTTTTTGAATATGCATTTTGATATGTTGAGTGTCCAACTTTGCAATGTCCAGTTCTATCAGATTATATCATGATACCATCAAGCTAGTGGTTAACTCAAATGAAAACGCTCCTCCAACTCCCTCACCCAACTTATCATTAATTAAAAACATGCCAGGAATTGGCATTAATAATACATAAAATCTGCAAATTTTAGATCCAGACTCTATGATTCCAATGACAACCCTCCAGCTCAGTGGGAATAACCTAGCCACTTCTCACTCCAACTTGACACCCTTCCTGAATGCCACGGAACCCAGCATACTTCCCCATAGTGCTCCAATGGGGCCTGCTTTGATGTCACACAATCCTATGATAAGTCACGAGTCCTAGGAGCCTTGGCTGGTATCACAATCCTATGATGGGTCATGAGTCCCAGGAGCCTTGGTTGGCATCTCAAGGACAGAAGAATTTCTCTAGGTGTTTGTAAGCCAGGAGGCCCAGAGTGTCTGACTCCTTTGCTATGCTGGGGAATAGCATGACTTCAGGGTTTGTGGACCCAGATCTGCAGCAATCCATATGTGAGTTTGATCTGTCTTCCGTGATTCCATCACAGATGTCCAACCAGACAGTGAACTATTTCCCTCAAGGGAAAATCTCAGGCCATAAACAATGCCAGGGTTTTTGCAGATGGAGGAGGTGACAGGCAGATAAGTTCCACGGTGGCACTGGCATTGCTTGGTCTAGGGTCAGCACAAGCTCTGAGCATCCTTTGGGTACAAGTGTATCCTTTCCAGACTTTGTCAATGACATTGCTGGCCTTTCTCAAGCAATAACACCAAAAAAAGAAAAATAAATGCAAAAAAAAAAAAAAAAAAAAAAGGAACTAAGTTTAGCATAGATAGGGATGGAAAAGAAATCTTTCGTTTTAAAAAATAGTGAAGTGTAGGACATTGTTTTTGTGTTCAAATGCTCTTCGGCACTGTCTCTCCATGTGTATACAAATTCACCTTCGTGTTTCTCGTGTTGTCTCTCATCCTTCCCCATCTCTGTTAAGTGTGCTTCACAGACATCGTGCCCGCCTTGCTTCCCTCCTCTGTTTTTCCCTTGGGCGCCGATCTACAAGGTGTTCCTCTGGGTGATTAATGGAGACAGGCCTCCACTTCCATGCTGAGCATCTTCGTGGTTTTGAGGGAGAGAGAGAGGTCAGCCACTGGGCTGCTCTATGGCTTTTCTTTCCCTGCTTTGTCTTCTCCTTCACTAATATGCCCTTCCCAGCACCCCGCCCCACCCCCCTCCTTGTTTCCTGTCTTCCTTTTACTCAGAATTCCCAGGTGAATTGTATTAATGTGGGAGTGGAACAGATGCTAAAAGTTACCCAGGACTTTTGTTTTTGTTTTCTTGTCTTTTTTTTTTTTTTAAATGTTGTGGTTATTTCCCTTTCTTCCTCCTCCCACACATGCAATGTTAGAGCAACTGCCATTCCATTTGGTACAGAACCACTCCCTGGGGCTGTGATGTCAGAAAAATAGAATATATTATTTATTACAAAATTAAAAACCGGAAAGCTCACTTTAAGGCTGAATCAAAAAATCACTTCCATGAGACACTTCCTGGTCTCCCAGGAAGAACAAATGTCATTTTCTTCGGAACTTGCTGCTGAGATCTAACACTTTCTTCTCTCATGTTCTTATAATACATATATATATATTTTTAATTTCAGCTTTCCTATAAACTGAAACTACATGAGGGTTGGGCCTGAGCCTGATTCAATTTCAGATGTTCCACAGTGCTTTGCCTACAGACATTGTGCACAAAAATTTTCTCTAACCACTTTAAATTATAGCTAAACATGGGGAATGGTGAAAAGGAGCAATTAAAGCAAGCCACAAGTTGGGACATGAAACTCAATTTATGAAATTAGAAAAAAAAATAGACATGAGGAGGACAGAACTTGAGCTATAAATAGATTCAGGGAGACTAAGCAACAGATGGCAGAGGGGTTTGTATGAGATCACAAGTTGCTGAGGGTGAACAGCCAGAGCCCTCCGTAAAGAGAGGGAAGTTTATAAAATTGGCTTCTTAGCACAGTGAGGCAATGTCAGGATTTGCTGTGGCTTGCACTGGCTCAGAAAGCCCCCATATCAGCTGAAGTGAAAAGTCATGCTGATGACCGCCCTGCACTGCTGGCTGTGCCTTTAAGGCTGCAGAAATGGAATTTTCATAAAATTCAGTGTTCCTCAGGAAAAGCTGGAGGTTAAACTGTTATCAGATTCAGTGCCATTGTAAAATGGGTCCTTTGTGGCATCCCCAAATTAGTTTCTCACTCAGAGCACCTTATTTCACCCAGTCCCAGGTCAGTTATAATAAATGAGGGCTTAGAAGTACAGAGTGCAAACGGAGAAGAGAAACAGGCATCTGTGTCTACTCCAGAAACAATTCTGTGTACACGACTAAATCTTAATTTTTTGCAACCATCCTTTTTAAAAGTGATTATTTTCTACATTTTATTTTTATTTACATTAAGAATGAAATCTGCTAACAAAATAATGTCTTTTGAAGCAACATGAATGAAGCCAGAGACCATTATTCTAAGTGAAATATCTCGGGAATCAAAACCAAATACTGCATATTCTCACTCATAAGTGGAAGCTAAGCTGTGGGTATGCAAAAGCATACAGAGTGGTATAATGAACATCAGAGACTCAGAAGGGGTGAGGGATGAAAAACTACTTATTGGGTACAACGCACAGTATTTGGGGTGACAGGTGCACTAAAATCCCAGACTTCACCACTATACGATTCATTCATGTAACTAAAATCCACTTGTACCCCTAAAGCTATTGAAATTAAAAACATTTTTAAAAAAGAATAAATATTCTCAGACTTAAACGGTGAAAGAAAACAAGTGTTGGTGAGGATGTGGAGAAAGAGAACCTTTCTAGACTGTTGGTCAGAATGTAAATTGATACAGCCATCTTAGAAAACAATATGAAGGTTTCTCAAAAAACTGACAATAGAATTATTGTATGATCCAGCAATCCCACTTCTAGACATATATGCAGAAGAAATGAAATTAATATGTCAAAGGGATACCTGCATTCTCATGTTTATTGCAGCACTATTCACAATAGCCAAGGTATTGAAACAACTGACATGCCCATCAAGATGAATGGATAAAGAAAATGTGGTGTGAATATACAATGGAATACTACTCAGTCTTTAAAAAGAAGGAAATCCTGTCACTTGTGACAATACAGATGAATCTAGAGGATACTATGCTAAGTGAAATAAGCCAGGCACAGAAAAGCAAATATCACATGAATTCACTTGTATTAGGAATCTATAAAAGTCAAACTCAGCCAGGTGTGGTGGCTCACGCCTGTAATCCCAGCACTTTGGGAGGCCGAGGTGGGTGGATCACTTGAGGTCAGGAGTTTGAGACCAGCCTGGCCAGCATGGTGAAACCCCATCTCTACTAAAAATGCAAAAATCAGCTGGGCGTGGTGGCAGGCACCTATAATCCCAGCTACTCGGAAGGCTGAGGCAGGAGAATCACTTGAACCCGGGAGGCGGAGGTTGCAGTGAGCCAAGATCACACCACTGCACTCCAGCCTGGGCAACAGTGCGAGACTCAGCCTCAAAAAAAAAAAAAAAAAAAAAAAAAAGTCGAACTCATAGAAGTGGGGAGTAGAATTGTGATTACTGGAAGATGGGGGTTAGAGGATGGACAGGAAAGGAGATATGATTGTCAAAGGGTACAAAGTTCAGTTAGAAAGAATAAATTCTAGTGATCTATTGCACAGTATGCTGACCTTAGTTAATAATAATGTATAGTTCAAAATTGCTAAAAGAGTAGATTTTAAATGTTCTCACCACAAAGTAATAAGTATGTGAGGTAATGGTGATGCTATTTAGCCTAATTTAATCATTACACAATGTATACATGTATCATAATATCACATTGTTTCCCATAAATATATACAGCTGTCATTTGTTAATTAAAGATTAAATTTTAAAAAGTTTCTGTAAATCTTGCTTAAGTACCACAATAATAACCCTCTGAAAGTAGCCTCAGACAAATAAATGTGCAATAAATAGGTATTCTTAAGATGAGTAATGTCATATCCAGGAGTCTTAACTTCTAAACTTAATGCTGATGAGAAATTCCTACAGCATTGCTACTGTGGGGACCAAAAGCAAGCCATGGACAGTTCACCAGGAATTTTATCACTCTCCTGAGCTTAACACTCTCTATTTACTCACAAGCATAATCTGCTTTAAATCCAACTGAGGAAAATTTAGACTTGCCAAATTAAAAAGCCAGCAGAGTGATTATCTCCTAAAGAAAAGGATCATTTGCTGTATCAATACTTTAAATAACAAGGTGCCTTAGTACATTTTAAAGTTGGAAAATATTTATTTCACAGCACCTCTGGATTCCTGAAAATGTGATGTGCCTATATTTTTTTCTTCAGTGCTCTAGCGCAGACCCAGACAATTTCTGAAGCCAGTTAGAAATAAGATGGACAACTAACAGTCTGTGTGATGTAATCTGTGGCTCGTGAGTCCAGAATTAGAGGCCAAAGAAGAAAATAACTGAATCCTTTTTCTAGCACTGATTTGCTGTGAATTGATTTTAAACCGCAAAAATGAATCGTTTTATTTTGCTAACAGGGAAATCATATTACATAGCCTACTCCATGTAAAGTAGTTTCGGTTTCTGCAAAGGAAAAAGAACATGATCGGATTTAGCAAAATGGTGTATTACATAGGGCGAAAATCAGATCATCACAGAATATTAGAGCTTAAATGGTCCTTAGCATTCTCAGTCTAAATCCTTTATATTGTAGATGCTAAAACTATGGTGGGCACTTGAGTGGTGTCTGTCCAGCATTTCTTCTCTTCCCCAGTCAACCTTAAGAGACAAGTCCATTTCCAGGAAAAAAATGACAAAGGGTGATGGTATTACCGGCATTACTAGTGCCAGGCCTTCTAAAGGGACTCCTCTGAAGCTTCTCACTGTATGTCACACTAGATATTAATACATGCAAATTTTTTATATATGGTGGGTGCCAGGAAAAAAATGGTTATCATGTGAATTTAAAGAATGCTCCACGTTTATTATTTTCATCAAATAAAGTAAATTTTTTTTTCTTTTTTGGTTTGTTCTGACTTGTTTTGCTTTGGCCTGGGGTGGGGCAGAACAGAGAAAGGCACTACAAATTATGAAGCATAATCCTGCACTGACAGGCGTACAAATTTAAACACAGCTTTGAGTTTGAATTCATCTATATAATGTCTAAACCATGCAGTTCTTCTTTTGTTCTGTAGATCAACTTAAGAAATAAAAGACAAGGCAGTTTCTGGTTAACGTGTATCCTCCTATTCTGTCCTATACCCTGATCTACGAGGATTTTGAATGAGCTGCAGTGGTATATTATGGCAATGTGTTCTGTCTTGAAAATAAATAAGATATTTCAGTTAAAAATAGATACAGAGATTAGAAGTAGATAAATCTCATTATGTTTGGAATTTGGATTGACTTCATATGAGCATTCTAGGAGTTCTGAAGCTTAATGACAAATTACAGAAATATTTGGGGATTAAAGGACTCATCAAATCCAGGAAAAACATATGGCCTTTAAGGACTTAAAAAACTTACACACACACACACACACACACACACACACGTATATATATATGTGTGTGTGTGTATATATATGTGTATATATATATGTTATATGAATTACTATTTTTAACTTAGGAGAGAAGAATGAGTGACTGAGGCTGTAAGTTTTCCATGTTCATATGTTTTCCACTTCTATGGGAGAAGAGGATGCTATTCTGACCCATGTGGTCTGGAGCAGGCAGATCAAATGTAAGAGCACAGAATAGTTTCTCAATGGCCATACTAAGAACTGGGCTTTCCTGTGGGTACAAAAGAGATAGCCTGGTCTGAGTTCAAATTCTGTTTCATTTTACTTGGTATGTGGCCGACTTGTGCTATTCTTTCTCACAGAGCCTTCATTCCTTCAACTTAAAGGAAGAGAGTAACAGGTGAAGATAGAGTCGCTAGTACAGAGAAAACTTTAAAAACCATGTCTAATTTAAAAAAGCAATTTAAAAACCCTAAAAATGAAAGTAGAAATTTACCTTCATGTTGACATTGTGAAAGGCTTTGTATGTTTCTGAGGAGTCCTGCCTTTTTTGTACTGCTTATGCAAATGGAGTCCTGCTTATGCAAATGGGCCCATTTATTCAGCCCTGGGGCAGTAGTTATTTATGTGCTGTAACACGAGAAGAGGCAGTGGCCCTTAAAAGAGAGAATCATGGGCTTATGGTAAGAACTAGACTTGAGCTCTGACTCCTCCAGGACCTCTGACTTTGGAAAAATCATTAAACTTCCCTGAGTTACGGTTTCTCATCTGTAAAATGATATGATGGAATGAAGTCTGAGTCCTCCCAAAATTCTTATATTGAAGCCTTAACCACAGTGTGATTGTATTTGGGTGTAGAGCCTTTAGGAGGTAATTAGGGTTAGATGAAGTCACAAGGGTGGGCCCCTTACAATGAGATTAGTGCCCTTATAAGAAGAGGTAGACCAGAGCTATCCCTCTTTCTACCATGTGAGGATTCAGCAAGAAGGCAGTCATCTGCAAGTCAGGATGAGGGTCTTCACCAGGAACTGAATTGGCTGCCACGTTGTTCTTGAACTTCCCATCCTCCACAAATGTGAGAAATAAATGTCTGTTGGTTAAACCACCCAGTCTATGCTATTCTGTTATAGCAGCCTAACCTAAGACAGATAGGAATAAGAATACCAATCTATTGTGTAGAGTTGTTAGGCCACAAATGAGACACTTGTATATGAAATCTATGTAAATTTTCAATCAATTTTAAGTACTATGTTAGAACCTAGAGAGATTTGAAAGTGAATCAGACATAGACCTTGCCCTCAGAAAGTTCAATTTCCCAGGTGATGTAAGACTCATATAACCAACAAAAATACAAAGTATAAAGGGCCATATTCATTAATTCTTTGTTCATTCATTTATTTAACAAATATGCTTTGAGCATTTAACTATGTGCCAGGTGTTATTCTAGATGTTCGGGAGACTGCAGTAAACAAAAGAAATTCTGTGTTCTTAGAGAATTTGTATCTGAGTTTGGGAAGCAGTCAATATATAAAATGTTAAATATGTCTGGTGGTGGGAAGTGCTTTGAAGAAAAATAAAGTAAGACAATAGATAAGAGTAATAAGGGGCACATGGCCATTTTGTACAAAGTGATAAGAAAAGCTCTAGTCAGGTCTGTCTGATAAGGGACATTTGAGCATATGTGTCCATGAAGGGAGCAATGATCCAAGAGGTTTTTGGGAAAAAAATGTACCAGGCAGAGGGAGCAGCAAGTGCAAATACCCTGAGGCCGCCGGTTATTTATTTATATTTATTTATTTTGTAAGACAGAGTCTCACTCCGTCGCCCAGGTTGGAGTGCAGTGTCGCGATCTCGGCTCACTGCAACCTCCGCCTCCCAAGTTCAAGTGATTCTTGTGCCCCAGCCTCCCAAGTAGCTAGAATTACAGGCGTGCAACACCATGCCTGGCTAAGTTTTGTATTTTTAGTAGAGATGAGGTTTTGCCATGTTCACCAGGCTGTTCTCAAACTCCTGAGATCAAGTGATCCACCTGCCTCGGCCTGCCAAAGTGCTGGGGTTACAGGAGTGAGCCACTGCGCCCAGCCAGGAGTCTTAATCACACAAAAGATTCTTCAAAGTGGTTCTGGGAATTCAGAGTTGAGATTATTTCCAGCTAAGGGTGATAATGACACAAGACCCTAGAGAAGGGGCTTGTAAAAAGACACCACAAATTTTCATAATATTTCATAGTTTTTACTTGTCTTTTGCTTAGATCATATTTCATAAATTCCTAACAATAAGTACAGGTTTTTAATTCTTATTCTCCCCTCAAAGAAAAGCCATAAACATCACTTTTCATTTTCCTATAAACATAATGAATGAACATTGCTATTAGTCATCCTTTCCCATTTCAGATTATTAATATTATCATCATTTTCAGACACAAGGTAGATTGTAGTTAAGAACCTGTGCTTTGAAGTCAAGCAGACAGTAGCTGATGTCCCAATTCAACTTCGTACTAGATTTCTCACCTTGGGAATATTGCTTAGGCTTTAGAATCATAGTTTCAGTCACCTCTTTTTACCTATGGCTCCTCATGGATGTGATACTAAAAAATTGCTCAGTGTTGCTATCCTTTTCCACCCTCTCTTTATTGAAGTATTCATAAACATCAAACTAGAAAGCAAGAAGCCCAAAATCTAAAAGTCACACTATGCAAATTTTATACAAAATAAATGAAAGTGAAAGTATGAAGAGAAGTAACAAGAACAAATGTATATACATCTTTACTGAATAAAAAGGGCTTTCATAGATACTCACCTATTAACTCTTTGATAAACTTGTAGCCTGAATATTATTCATCTTCAGTCGACTGATAAAAAATACAACTCAGACAGATTGAGTTATTTTGGCTAAGATCTCTCAGCTCGTAAGTGGCAAGGCTGCAATTTGTATTGCTCTTCTGAGTCCAATTCCTTGGGGTTAGTTATTGGTACAACTAGTGCCCAAGAAGTCCTCGCAAGACTGGAAGAACTTCCAAGTGATTAACCAAGTTGGTTGCATTATGGGCGGCCTCCCTCCTACTTGTGGAATTTGTTTTCTCACTGAGGATTGTTTTAAAAGTTACCTAAGCTGCTTCACAAAGCTTCAAAAATTCCTGGTTATGTGATAGATAATGATGTGTACAAGGCTTCCTTCTGGATGATTCTACAGGGTCTAGAATATAAATAGTTTCTCTCTATGGTGAGCAAGATCTCTGTGCTCTAAGGCTCATTTGATCACTCATCTGGGAGCTCTGCAAGAACTGGGACCATGTCTTACTCATCTCTGTATCCCAAGGCCAGCCGAAAGCCTGGCACGTGGGAAGCACTCAGGTGGGGTTTGAGCACCAGGATGCCAGGCATTATGATGGTGATGCCTGTTAAAAATCATCGGTTAAGCTCCACTTTTGCTGCAGTGAACAGACTAGACATCAGCTGTCATGAGAAAACATATTACCAGGCAACTTTTCCTTTTTTCATCCTGAATCCAAGCAACTGGCCAGGACAGTGAGATGACAGCCCTGCAACTTCCACATCTCACATCACTTCTCTCTTCTCCTACTTCCTTTTCAGAGAGCTTTTTTTTTTTTTTTTTTTTTTTTCCAAAATACAAGCCTGAGCCAGAACTACAGGCTTTGTTTGCCCCAATAGGGAATATACTTTTAAAGCAAGGATGTTAAATCACCCTGTAATTTTAGTCTCTCGAGTATCAGTTCCACCTAAACCTTCCCCATGGAGAAGGGTGGCACTGATCTCTAGACTGGTGAGGGAAATCAGCACCAGCTTGGAAGGGAGCTGCACTAGGTTTCAGTCTCCGCACTGTCATATAACAATGGCTGAATTTATTGACCAGTTACCTGCACTGATCACCTTACACACATTGCTTTCTTTAACTCTCTGTGAAGGATTCTCATTATCATTCACGTTTTGAAGATGCGAAAGTTAGAGCAGAGAGGTGAAGTGACTTGCCCAAGGTCACAGAAAATGATCAGCAGATCTAAGATGAAACAAACCAATTGTACTCCACAGCTGTATTCCTAACTGTGCTACATCAGGCAAGTGAATGACCCTCTCAGCACCTCCGTTTTCTCATCAGTAAGATGAATGGAGGAACAACGACTTTATTGGATTGTTAGGAAAAGTAATTGAGATAATGCAGGCAAGCTCCTGACACTTAGTAGTTACTTAAGGTATGTCAGTTCTCTCCCTTCCTTTACATAACCTGGAATTGGAGAGCATCACCTCTTAAGCAATCCTTTAGAAATATAAAGCTGAAATTAATCCAAACCACACCAGAGCCAATGACAATAAAGCTGATTTGTTCAGACTTATTATTCTGTTTCAATAAAGATCTGTCTCCAGTTTCCTCGGCATCCCCACAGAGCCAACCCAAACTGAAAACACATGCGGCGAATGCAAACTCATTGGTGAAACATGATAGACACTTCAAGAACCAGGAAATTCCTTCTTTATATGACTTGCTCCTTAGCCAGAGCAGTTATGGGTTAAACAATACAGCAGTGCGGCTGTGGCCTTCAAGATGCACAGTGGGGCTTCATGCTCCTGGAGGGAATGGAAGCACAGGGTTCTGCTTGCCAGCTGGCACCGACACTCCACGGACAAGATACGCATGGCCTGGCCTTCCAAGTTGAGAGCAATTGCTGGCAGTACACTGTGAGCATGTGAAGCTAAGGGAGTATTTTTTTTTTAAGTCCCATCATTGTTTTTCTTTCTTTAAATGGTAGCCACTGAAAAGCTATGCAAACACTTCAGCTGTGGAATATTTAATCTGACATTTGGCATGGCTCCCTTGTTGATCCAAGACATAAAGTATGCAGTTGTTTCATGGCTTACTCAAAAAAGATAAGCTAGATACAAATTAATTTTCCTTCTCCTTGCTTTTAGCTGGGTCCCTGCATGGATGCATCCTTGATTCCTAAGCAATGGGATGACAATTATAGACCACAAGAGCAGAAGGTGAATAGTTCATTTAACTAGATGGGTCAATTGAATACTTTTCTTCTGGGGGGTAAAGGGGGATACTCTACTAAAAGCTTTAGGAGTCCCTGTGGTTGTGGTGTTTTCAAAGGTTTGGCAGCTCTTCTCACAAGATTTGGGGTTTCGGGGTTTCATGTGCTGTCATGGAAACATCACCAGAATGGTCCCCTCTTCACTCTGTTGTCATTGGTCTTTAGCAAGAGGAGAACCAGCATCTTGTGAGAGTCTTGCACCTGTTCACATCGGACATACCTCCTGGCTGTATCTGCTTTTTCACTCCATCAGGACAAGTTTAACTATCTCACTGGCAGATTTGGTTTCCTGAAAGTAAATCTCCTGTAGGTTCTCTTTCACTGTCATTGAGTGGTTTCTGACCCTAGACTGGTAAGGAGAACATTGCCCCTTCTCACAAAACACAGGGATCCAAAAAACTGAGTGAGTGGGCAGTTCTTGTTTCTCAGCATGTGCAGGGAAGGACACAGAAATGTCCAACATTAGAAAGGGAACAGAGACCTTCCTTGTCCAAGTGTTCCTCCACTAGAGAGTTAGAACAGTTGCTGAATGTAAACAAACACACTTCCTAAAGTCTCATCCTTTCTTCAGGTGGACCAAGAGTGCCAAAAACACTGGAAATTATAGTCCAATGAGGACTTTATTCATTCTCCTGTGTTTCAATGCCCATTGTTATAACAACCATGTGATTTAAACATCAGGCTGCTGTCACTTGACTGCAGGTAATGATATAATTTTGCATTAGAGAAATACTGAAACACAGTTAATCCTTTAAAAAGGGATGGATGAGGGAATGGGGAGAAGAGAATCAAATGGATTTGTTAAAAGAAACCAAATCTTAAAAACCCTGAAACTGCTAAAGTAAATGGAACTGACCAATTGGGACATTTTGTTAGTTCTGATTTAAGTTTCTGGATCCTGTTCCAAATAAAAACATATCTTTTTTTCTAATGGAAAATTCAAAGAACACAAACCTGAGCTTTAAAAGCCATGTACCAGTTTGTTCTTTTATGGTTTTTGAGCTTGAGGGATTCAGTTTGGTGAGAAAGGAACTTCTTAACCTTAAAACACTTTAGTCAACAGACAAAATTGTGCTTGAAGGCAGGGAACTCCTATAAGAATGGCCTTTCTAGCAGGTATAACACAGTTATATATTTTGATTATCAATTTGTACTTAAAATATCTGCCTAAATACTATTAATAGAGTTTTTCAAAGATAGTGACAAATGATTTTTACTTTCTTCTTTATAACTTTTCTCTCTCTCCTTTACAGTTTTTGACATTGAATATCTGTTTTGTATATAAATGGAAAAATGAAAGTTAAAAATACATTCTTTCTCCAAGGATCTAGCAGTGGACCTTTTCTGGGAGTGGCTAGTAAGTCCTGAAATGAGGTAATTCTGAGCATCCTCATTGCAACGAGGCACTCACTCTGGGTCTGGAAACTTCTGTGGAGAGTTTCCAGCAGCTTTCTCTAAAGGGTTCAAACTCTTTTTCCACTTTTTCTAGGCCTTCCCCATGTAAGAAGGTCTTAATATCATGTCCTTATAATGCATCAATTATAGTCAAATTATGGCAGTGATAAACTAAATTCCATAAGCCGAAAATATTTCATAGAAATTGCTTCCCAAAGTTTTGTGAACGTGTTTTCAGTTGTCCAGTGTCTTCAAAATAGGTGGCAGGGCATTTCTTGGTAAGTAATTGGGAAGCATACCAGAGCTCTGCAAGTCCTCCTAAATTCCTTAAAATATAGATTACTATAGATAATTGAGTAACTCTTTAGGGTCTAGAGTGGCAGAGTAGTGACATCTCACCTGCTGACCCTAATTGACTGGGGGCAGCTTCTGGAATGTTCTGTTGAGAGGAAGTAGAAGGAATGGGCTTAGGCTGATGAGCAATGTTGGTACCGTGTCTAAGGTAGCAAATTGGTGACACAGTTGGTTTTAAATTGCCAACCCTGTTCTAGATTTTGTCTGAATGAGTTTCTAGTGATTTGTGTAGTAGTCAAAATGTCTTTCCCACAATGTTTACTTGGACAATATGGAAGCATATCCTAGGGGCACCTCATACTATTTCTCTCTTCTTTCCCACTTGCCTGCCTTTTTTGCATGCCAGGAGCTTCGGGGTTACTGGCCAAAGCTTTTTGAAGACTCCATGATCTGTGCTGGAGGCTGTGAGGCTGTGGTTAAGTTCTTGGTGAACACTGTCACCCTTCTCTTAGAAAGCAAGCATTGAGAACCCTTGTTTCATGTTTGGTCTTAAAGAAAAAGTAAAAGGAATGAAAACAAGAATATTTCTTTTAATGATTTGCCTTTATATTTGCATTTCCCCCAGTCCTGTACCACTCCACCACAGAAAGGAAATTTTAAGGCAAGATAATCCTATGAAGGCAGTGCTAAACTATCTCTCAGCAGTATCTTTTGCCATTGCCTTTCAACAGATTTCTTATTTATATTTAGATTGTAATGTATTCAATGTATGCAATGGAAACCTTAGAGAAATCAACTAAAGCTGAATTCCTGTGGAAAAAATACTTTACTTCCTGCCATATTGCTGCAACAGAAATTTTATTGGCAAAGTAAGTTGCAATATTACTCCCAGCAGAAGATTTCTGCATATGTAAAAAAAAAAAAAGGAGTATAATTGCTTCATTCAAAAATAAAAAGAGGAAAAGAAAAAATGAGCAATTGGGAATCATGTTGCCATAACCATCGTTAAGCTCTGTATTTATTAAATCTAACTTAAAAAAAGCCATATTTATTAAACATATAAGGAAAGCAGTGAATTGTCTCAAGATGTTATACCCTATAAGGTTTAAGTCCATACAGAATTCATTAAAAGAAAAAGAAAAAAGAAAATGAGTTAGAACTTCTAATATTGGAAATACAGGGATTTAGCAGAAGATAAAAGTAAACACAATTTTAACGTTTCCCTAGTAACTATCAAAACCAGATTAAAAGACTACAATGAGGCAAAAATATGTAATAAAATTATACCAGCACTGAAACTTAATGTCAATCTAATACTATAAAATGTCTGACATTTCTATCAGAAAAAAAATGGCTTTTGAATCAAAACAAAGATCCCATGGACCACCACACAACTTAGAGAATAATAACATCATATAAATCATGAAAAATAAAAAGAGAACATTGTAGGAAATTCTTCTAAATATCTCTTAGTTTGAAAGGACAAGGACTGAAAGAATTGGGAGGCTGTGGGAGAAACCATTGCAATTCTGCAATTGGAACCCAGCTCTGTTCTGCATGGAGAGTCCTTGAGGAAATCCAGAGAACTTTTTTTGTATTTGTCTCTGGCTCAGACAGTTATTAATGCTCTCTGAGTGGTAATGGGGAAAAGCAATCTCTAGAAGGTAGCTCATTGAAGATCTGGGACTCAATTCACTAGGAGCTATTTCTGCTGCTACATATTATAAGTGTAAATGCATTGTGATGTGTGAAGGGGAAAAGCTGTGGCAGACAAAAAAATATAGTTTGTCCACTCACCAAACAAAAAGTACATAGTAGTGGGGATTTCCTGATCTTGAATTTGTACTAGTATGACTGGTAACTCTGACTCTGCTGAATGAAACAGAATATTCTCTCAGCTCAGTGGAGCTGGAGCTTAGTGAGGTAGTTTCCGTAATACATAGAAAAAGCTTACAGTCATAAAATTATTTGAATATAATAGCTCAAAATCCATACCAATCTCTTCAGCCAAAGGCTGCTGAATTGCTTAAATGGCTGGATAGATTCCATTAGCTTGTGGCAGTCAGGCATTCATTTTATGGGGAGATAGGAAACTCCCCTAAGTTAAAGGAGAGGAAATGCAAAAGAAATACATCATACTATTTATTTATTTATCGCCTGTTTTGTTTTTTTTTTTTGAAAATGACAGTTATAGACTGACTTGTCTCTTTTTTAACTAGAGTAAATGTAATAAAATAGACTAAATGGGCTGGGGAAGTTGCTCACACTGATAATCCCAGTGCTTTGAGAAGCTGAGAAAAGACAATAGCTGGAGCCCAGGAGGTTGAGGCTGCAATGAGATATAATCGCACCACTGCACTCCATTCTAGGAGACAGAGCAAGACCCTGTCTCTTAAAAAAAGAAAAGAAAAGAAAAGAAAAAAAGTAAGATAAATATTACATTCCAAAAAAGAGTATCATTTTAACAAATATTTATTCTGGGAGACTCAAATAAAAGTAAATGATATTTTCATTTTAAAGAGATAATATAAAATATAAATTCTAAGAAATGATGTTAATAGACTGAAATTAAAAAGTACAAGCTTAGCAATAAAAACAAGTAAGTTATTTCAAAATTTAAAATTGTATTATAAGTTGAAATAGAGAGCAAGTGGGGAGAGAGAATGAGAAAGAAAGAGAGAGAGGAGAATCAATGCAGAAAGACAAATCAGTGTAATGCAGGACTAGCAGCAGGAAGTTCTACAGATTGGAGAGGGAAAGGACAGAATGCTGGAAATAGAAGGTAATAGATACCAAATGCAAAAATAGAGATCCTGCATATGAATAATGAGTATGAATGAAAAACTGAAAAAAAGATTTTAAAATGTAAAAGAAAAAAACTAACCGAAAGAAGTTTTGACTGTACAGAGTAGAAAACATTACTCCACTTAGACAAAATTATTGGAAAGCAATCAATAATTTCTTATGATATTCTGAAATTGAAAGGTAAAGAATTCCGAAAGTACTGAAGAATCCAATCACTTAAAATGAGAAAAAGTGTCATGCTGGCTTCAGACTTCACCTAGGTATGTATGTTACCAAAATACATAGCAGACACATCCCAAGACTAGAAACTATTCAAATGCCTACGAATGGTAGCTGTATATTCCCACCACAAAGTAGTAAATGGCAATAAGACTAAACTGTTTATGACTATATGGAAAAGTGTATGTGAATCTCATAAAACTAATATTGAATGAAAGAAGCCAAAAATAAAAAAGTAAATCCTGCATGAATCCATTTACATAACAATATAAAATAAGGCAAAACAAATGCATGCTGTGAGAAGTCAACTAATGGTTACCCATGAGGGGAGAACGCCAGCAAGGGAAGATTAGTGGAAACTTCATTGGGTGCTGATAATCTTCTGTTTCTTGATCTGCAGGCATTTTATAGTGTGTTAAATTATTCATTTTATAAAAACTTACCAAACTGTACACTTATGACTTGCGTACATGAATAAAACATTTTTAAATATTGAAGTAAAATTAGAGCAATCATTGAAAATATGGAGGATTCAATGGATAGATGCTGTGAATAGAATTTTAGATAAGCATATGAAAAATCTGATGGTAATAACTAACTATATATGCCATAGCTTCAAAATCAGCAGAAAAATAGAGAATAAAGAAAATTGTATCAAGTTAACAGGAGATAGGAAGGATGAATAAAATGGAAAAAAAAAGCATAGTAAACAGAAAATAAAAAATAAGATGGCAGAAATTACTCCAAATATGTCAGTCTTCACAATAAAATATAAATGGATTGAACTCACTTTTTAAAAGATGCAGATTATAAAATAAGATGAAAACATATTCACAGTCAAGGTCCTGGTTTTAAAATGTCATTCTCTAATAAAAGTAACCAGGGCCCTCTGGAGGAATGGTTGATTTCAGAGATAGGTGAGGATAAATAAATATCCAAAAGTTCATGATGATAAATAATTGAATGAATAAACACATGATGGAAAAGGAATAACCCTTCCTTGTGGAAGAATTCCAATTAATAGATGTAAAGGGGTTGAAGAAAATAGAAAATCACCATAGGCCACGTAATAATCGCTGCAGATAAGAGCCACTGATTATTCTTAAATTAGTGGGTAAAAGTATGAGGAGAAACAGAATATTGCATGGCCTCAAAGTATCAACTGCTCCCAAAATATTAATTAATTACAGTGGGGAAACCTGGCAGGTAACACAGGAACCAAATAGTAACAGTAAACATCATCAACAATAAGACAAATCAGCATCCCGTAACCCCCGATCTCATGCACTGAGAAGGGCAAATATCCTCTGTGTTGTTCTTCCCAATAAGCAAAACCTTACTCTAATCCTGAGAAAATATCACACAAACTCAATTAGTGGGATATTCTACAAGATACATGACCAATACTCGTCAAAGTGTCAAGATCATAAAAGACAAGGAAAGACAAAGAAATTGCCACAGACTGAAGCAAACCCGACGACTAAGTAGAACGCTCAGGATCTTGGACTGAATTCTGGAAAATGACTAGTACAAAAACTGGTGAAGCCTGAATAAAGTCTATAGTTAATAGTATTGCAGTGATGTTAATTTCTTGATTTTCATAATGTTTCTATGGTTATGTAAGATATTAACATTACAGGAATTAGAATAAAAGGTGTATGGGAACACTACTTTTTTGCAACTTTAAGTCTAAAATTATCTCAAAATAAAAAAAAACTTTTCAAAAAAGAATCAGATCTTAGTAGTTTGTAGAGGCCTCAACAGCCTTTGAAATTCCTTATTATACTTGGTTAGTAAGGTTTACTATATATATTTTAGTCAATATTTATAAAATATTCTCCTGGAAAATATTCAATTTCCCCAAGATATACCAATTTGTAATAATAGAATTCTATCTATTTTTTCTATATTTTAAAACTACTTCTGTTGAATAAATGTGGCCCATTTTTGTTACTTATTCATGTCCTTTTATATTTCTTGATTTAACTGTTAGAGTTTTATTTGTTTTTTATCAAATAACCTATTTAATCATTACTTAAACCCTGCTAATTCTTTAACATTTTTTATTAATATTTGCCTTGTTTGTAATAATTTGAAAATTCTAGTTGACTTGCATTTTTTTCTTCTCTTAGCTTACAAATGTAGGCAATTGGCTCATACATTTTCAAGCCTCTTGCTGAAAGCTTCTGAGGTTATGCATTATTTGAAGATCACTCTTTTGGCTGTATTTCATAGGTTTGAATCTTTCATTCTTCATGATATAATGGCTTGATAATTGGCAACATCATGTTGTACGTTAGTTCTTTCAAGCTGCAACAGCAAGAATACCATCCCAAGTGGCTTAATCAACAGAAATTTAATTCTCACAGTTCTAGAGGCTAGGAAGTTGGCCAGTTTGGTACCTGGTGAGGGCCCTGGTTATGTCATCACATGGGGTAACAGAGGTAGGGTGGGAGGTGATGGGGCAGAAGCAATCTCTCTACTGTCTCTTTTTATAAAGGCACTAACTGTATCACGAAGACTTCACCCTCATGTCCTAATTACCTCCCAAAGGCCCATGTCCATATACAATTAGAATTTTGAGGAGATACAAACATTTAATTCATAACACATTGATTATACTTTAGTCCAAATATATGCAAATTATTTATTTGCTCGATTTTATTTTCACTGATTATTATCTATTTTTAATTTGATTCTTCTCTGTAACCAACATATAGGTCATAGATTATAATCTGTGGTTAGGTTCTGTGGGTATACTGAAGTCAAATAAAAAATTTGTTTTTGTGAAAAAGTATATACACTCTATACAAACACAACTGACACATGGGCATACATATACTACACACAATATACAACCTAAGCATATGCTTCTTATATAGATATACCTAAAATTAAACAACAAAGAAAGGTTGAAAATAAAGGGATTCCAAAAGATACCATGTGGGTACCAACTAAAGGAAAGTTGGTACAACACTATTTGTATCAGGCAAAATGTAAACTTAAATCGCAAAGCGTCTCCCTATCTTGTGGAATATGAAGAAACACATTGTTGTCAAAGGACTATCCAATTAGAAATATTTAATCATGCTGAAGCTGTGTGCACATAGCACCAGAATTATACAATATATAAAGTAAAACTTAGAAAAATTACAAGGAGAATTTGCAAATCCACAGTCATACACATTACAAGTAGACTGCAAATTCTGCTTGTTAAAGAAAACGAATTTAGTTTTAGAAGAAAGGATTTAAAATAAAGTTTTCAAACTTTAATATATACCCACAGAGAGAATAAATATTGTTTATAAGTTCACATAAAACATTAACAAAAATCAACCACAATACTAGTTTACAAAGAAAATCTCAGCAGATATCAAACAGTTCATACCATAAAGAATACTTTCTCTGAAGAAAATAGAGTTGAATTAAAATTTTTAAATAATAGAAAAAATACCATAGTTCTAGAAATTAGAAAAACATTGAAAATGTACGTATTAAACAGGATATCTGATACAAATTATTATCTATGATTTATAGAACAACAATGAAAATACTGCATATAAAACTCAAAGAATAAAACTAACGTGGCAGTTCACCATTAAAATCAAGTTATAAAACAAATATATTGAAAATAAATAATTCAATGCTCAATTCAAGTAGCCAGAAAAGGAAAAAAAATGCTGTAAATGCAAAAAAAGTCAAGGAAGGAGATATTAAAAATAACGTGCATTTATGAAGTAGAAAATAAGTAAAAAATAATAACTACAAGTCAAAAATTGATTCTCTGAAAAGAGTAAAAGAAGTATAAATCTCTCAATAAGAATGATCGAAATCTAGGAAAAGACACAAATAATTTATGACAGGAATGGATTACATAACGTAATTACTAGTAACAGTTGAGATGTTAAAAAATATTTGAAGAACTAGGAACAAATTTATACCAATAAATTTTGGATAATTTTCTTAAAAATATGAATTATAAAATTGACTCCAGAATAAATAGAGAAATTAAACAGGTAATAACTACTAAGGAGCTTGAAATTATAGCAAAAATATTTTTCTCACAAGACACCCACCTGCCCAGACAGATCTTCAGGCAACTTTTACCAAAATTTTAAGAAACAGATAATGCATATATTATAAAATCTTAAGACAATTAAAGAGAGAAAACACCCAGCTTATTTTGTAAGGGTAGTATAACCTAGATATTAAAATCAGGTGATAGAAGTATTAGAAAAAATCTAGTCTCAATATTCTTAGGAAGGTTGATGAAAAATAAAATATAAAATATTATTCAGTTGAATCCAGGGTGCGCATGGAACATATGGCCATGTGTGTTTATCTTTATATATGTCATGACTAACTAGACTTTGTCCCTGGGAAGCAACAAGAAATCTATGTTTAAATTGGTGTATTGTAACAGACTAAATAAGAAAAAAAAAGTGATTTTTAAAGAAAGGATAAAGAAAAGCTACTCAGAAGTTACCAATAAGCCCACCAACCATAAAGTCATTAATGGATTACTTAACTCCATTAATAATGAAAAGAAAAAAAATTTAGATGCCATTGCTTCCTAAGTAAATTGGCAAAAATGGAAAAGATTGAACTAAGCAGTGATGTTGTGTCCAAGGAATGAGTGGTATAGATTATTTCAATGATTTTAAAGGTAATTTAGCAAAATAGATTACAGTTTAAAGTTCACGACTTTCATCTCAGAAAATCTATTTCCAAAAATATGTTTTAAGTAAGTAATTGGGAAAAGGTACGGATATTATGTTCAAGGATGTTTATTTTTGAAGTGGTATGGTATGTACAACTAAGGGAATATTGGCTTTTATTCCCCATCACTCCTAACTCTGGATGTGATACCTGAGTTAGGACACCAAGTTGGATTTAAAGTGAGGACCTGACACAGCTCCATGGATCAGGAGACAACTCATAACCACTGTATCCCTGAGTTTTGCACACTTGGGCCAGCATTACTTATTTATCCTCAAAATATTAATTATGGATTATTAGTCCCTGACAGTTGGGATAGCCTTAGAAGTAGGCTGAGACTGTGGTTCTCAAGTTTGAGTGTGCATCAGAACTACCCGGAGAGCTTGTCAGTCACCAATTGCTGAGACCCAACTCCAGAGGTTTTGATCCAATACACCTGAGAATTTGCATTTCTGACAAATTCCCAAGTGTTGCTGATATTGATGGCCCAAGGACCACATTTTGTGAAACACTGCTCTAAAGGAAATCTGTTCTGATTATTTTCCTTTATTAATGAAATCATTGACCAGAGAGAAAACAGAGTCTAGGGCATAAGCCATTCTTATCTCCACCTCTCCTGATACATCCTCCCTTTATTTTACTTTGAGAGGGGCATTTATAGCTGTAATTCAATATACATTCTCTGAAACCTCACAATAGCACCATTGTCTTCCTATATAAAGACAAAGAGTGAAAAACTAAACAAATACACACACACACACACACACACACACACAAAATCTTAGGCATGGGACAGCTTCTTCCTGCAGCTTGTCTAATAGGATCTAGTTACTACGGTACCAGGATCTTTTAAAAAAGCACAATACTATATTTAATGCTCTTTCCTACATTAACACTGAAGGCACCCTTCTAAGCAAGATTCTACCTCATATTACAAAATCTGGGGCTAAACTTTTCCAACATTCTCTCTATTCATGGGCTTCTTATCAAAAGGAAAAGAGAAAAAATAATAAAAGATAAAAACATAAACATAATTTGCCAAAAAGATATGGAAAAAAAAGGCATTTCGCTTATTAGCCAAAATGAGGCTGGGACAGAGCTGATCGCCTCCATCAGAATGGGAAGACTGAGAATTGAGTCTATCCAGTTGTCTCTTTGCCAGAGAACACATCAACACTTTAAGCTGATGACTGTACTGCACCGTCTAACTTCACGTTTCATTAAATTACAAAATGTAATTCAATATGACTGAGGTAATGAGGCTTAATGTGTTGGCTTGGTATACGTCAAAAGACGCAACTCATTGGCAACCACAACTCAGCTATGTGGTGTTTAATCCACCCTCCTAGCCAGAGCCTACCTGACTTTGAAATCTTTTTGTTTCCCTTGAAATTCTGAAATAATAATTTTATTGCTTTAGAAACATCATTAATTTCCAGTTCTAATATTTGCTCCAATAATTTATAATCAGAAAAACAGGCAACAATTTTCCCACATTCAGTCTTTTAAAATGACCTCTATCAAACACTTTGGTAGTTAAGAACATACTCGCAGAAAGTCAATTACTAGGGCTCAAATTCTGTTCTTGCTGTTGTTAACTGTGCAGTCTTGGACAAGTCAATTACTTTTTGGGTAAACTTAATTTTCCTTAACTGTAAATTTTTCTCATTGAATTAAATAAACTAATACATGTAAAGTACTTAGAACTATATCTAGAACTGAGTAAGTACTTAATAAATGTTAGCTCTTATATAACTAATTCATTCCTTGCGTGCTTTGGTAGCAGTCTCTGGGACTATCCTGTTTAGAAGCCTGGTCAACCTTAAACAAATACAACCTTGTTTCCTAAATAAGTTGAAAGCTATAGGACTTAAATATAAGCTGGGTGACACAAGTTGGTTTTAATACAGGAACTTTAATTTAGGTCCCAAAGTAATTTTTGTTAGAGTGTAAAAATGAAAAATCTTTTAGCAATATTTTACAACAATGTAATGATTACTCACACCCTGACAGCCCAGCCAATGGACAGCTGAGCTGAATGGTGCCGCTCTGTTTGTGTCTGCCTATCTCTTGGCAAGGTCAGCAGCTCCAACCGCCTCCTGGAAAGGTGAGAGATTAGCTTAGGACTTGCCCATACTGAGAAACGATCATTGAGAAGCAAAAAGTAACATTTCATTAAACTGATATAGCCAGTTATGGATTCATTCAGATAAATATTAGATATTTCTTTACCAACCACATGTTGAATTTTAAGTTCAACGATGGGCAAGGAGAGAGAGTTTTACAACAATAAATAAGAGAAAATCCCTCACTAAAAAACATTTGTTTAGAAAATGAGATATTTTTCCTGTTATTTTTCATTATTTTCATACAAAAATGTTTTCTTTCAGCAAATTCATGACCTACCAATACATAAAGTTTTATATTATATATTATTATATTATACATATAAAATATTTTATATACCTAAAACGTATTATTATAAAATGTTTTCGTTCCTCTGCTAAGGAAAAAAATCTTCTTTTTAATTTGCACCCTTTGATTACCAGTAAGGTTGAATATTTTATTGTCCATTTGTAAGTCTTCTTTCTTTTTTTTATTATACTTTAAGTTTTAGCGTACATGTGCACACCGTGCAGGTTTGTTACATATGTATACGTGCACCATGTTGGTGTGCTGCACCCATTAACTCATCAGTTATATTAGGTATATCTCCTAATGCAATCCCTCCCCCATCCCCCAACCCCATGACAGGCCCCAGTGTGTGATGTTCCCCTTCCTGTGTCCAAGTGTTCTCATTGTTCAATTCCCACTTATGAGTGAGAACATGCAGTGTTTGGTTATTTGTCCTTGCGATAGTTTGCTGACAATGATGGTTTCCAGCTTCATCCATGTCCTTACAAAGGACATGAACTCATCCTTTTTATGGCTGCATAGTATTCCATGGTGTATATGTGCCACATTTTCTTAATCCAGTCTATCATTGATGGACATTTCGGTTGGTTCCAACTCTTTGCTATTGTAAATAGTGCCGCAATAAACGTGTCTTTATAGCAGCATGATTTATAATCCTTTGGGTATATAACCAGTAATGGGATTGCTGGGTCAAATGGTATTTCTAGTTCTAGATCCCTGAGGAATTGCCACACTGTCTTCCACAATGGTTGAACTAGTTTACAGTCCCACCAACAGTGTAAAAATGTTCCTATTTCTCCACATCCTCTCTAGCACCTGTTGTTTCCTGACTTTTTAATGATTGCCATTCTAACTGGTGTAAGGTGGTATCTCATTGTGGTTTTGATTTGCATTTCTCTGATGGCCAGTGATGATGAGCATTTTTTCATGTGTCTGTTGGCTGCATCAGTGTCCTCTTTGGAGAAGTGTCTGTTCATAATCCTTTGCCCACTTTTTGATGGGGTTGTTTTTTTCTTGTAAATTTGTTTGAGTTCTTTGTAGATTCTGATATTAGCTGTTTGTCAGACGGGTAGATTGCAAAAATTTTCTTCCATTCTGTAGGTTGCCTGTTCACTCTGAAGGTAGTTTCATTTGCTGTGCAGAAGCTCTTTAGTATAATTAAATCCCATTTGTCAATTTTGGCTTTTGTTGTCATTGCTTTTGGTGTTTTAGATGTGAAGTCCTTGCCCGTGCCTATGTCCTGAATGGTATTGCCTAGGTTTTCTTCTAGGGTTTTTATGGTTTTAGGTCTAACATTTAAGTCTTTAATCCATCTTGAATTAATTTCTGTATAAGGTTAAGGAAGGGATCCAGTTTCAGCTTTCTACATATGGCTAGCGAGTTTTCCCAGCACCATTTATTAAATAGGGAGTCCTTTCCCCATTTCTTGTTTTTCTCAGGTTTGTCAAAGATCAGATGGTTGTAGATGCATGGTGTTATTTCTGAGGGCTCTGTTCTGTTCCATTGGTCTATATCTTTGTTTTGGTACCAGCACCATGCTGTTTTGATTACAATAGCCTTGTAGTATAGTTTGAAGTCAGGTAGCGTGATGCCTCCAGCTTTGTTCTTTTGGCTTAGGATTGTCTTGGCAATGTGGGCCCTTTTTTGGTTCCATATGAACTTTAGTTTTTTCCAATTCTGTGAAGAAAGTCATTGGTAGCTTCATGGGGATGGCATTGAATCTATATTGATTCTTCCTATCCATGAGCATAGAAGGTTCTTCCATTTGTTTGTGTCCTCTTTTATTTCGTTGAGCAGTGGTTTGTAGCTCTCCTTGAAGAGGTCCTTCACATCCCTTGTAAGTTGGATTCCTAGGTATTTTATTCTCTTTGAAGCAATTGTGAATGGGAGTTCACTCATGATTTGGCTCTCTGTTTGTCTGTTATTGGTGTATAAGAATGCTTGTGATTTTTGCACATTGATTTTGTATCCTGAGACTTTGCTGAAGTTGCTTATCAGCTTAAGGAGATTTTGGGCTGAGACAATAGGGTTTTCTAAATGTACAATTATGTCATCTGCTAATAGGGACAATTTGACTTCCTCTTTTCCTAATTGAATACCCTTTATTTCTTTCTCCTGCCTGATTGCCCTGGCCAGAACTTCCAACACTATGTTGAATAGGAGTGGTGAGAGAGGGCATCCCTGTCTTGTGCCAGTTTTCAAAGGGAATGCTTCCAGTTTTTGCCCATTCAGTATGATATTGGCTGTGGGTTTGTCGTAAATAGCTCTTATTATTTTGAGATACGTCCCATCAGTACCTAATTTATTGAGAGTTTTTAGCATGAAGAGTTGTTGAATTTTGTCAAAGGCCTTTTCTGCATCTATTGAGATAATCATGTGTTTTTTGTCTTTGGTTCTGTTTATATGCTGGAGTACATTTATTGATTCACGTTTGTTGAACTAGCCTTGCATCCCAGGGATGAAGCCCACTTGATCATGGTGGATAAGCTTTTTGATGTGCTGCTGGATTTGTTTTGCCAGTTTTTTATTGAGGATTTTTGCATCAATGTTCATCAGGGATATTGTCTAAAATTCTTTTTTTTTTTGTTGTGTCTCTGCCAGGATTTGGTATCAGTATGATGCTAGCCTCATAAAATGAATTAGGGAGGATTCCCTCTCTTTTTATTGATTGGAATAGTTTCAGAAGGAATAGTACCAGCTCCTCCTTTACCTCTGGTAGAATTCATCTGTGAATCCGTCTGGTCATGGACTTTTTTTGGTAGGTAGGCTATTAATTATTGCCTCAATTTCAGAGCCTGTTATTGGTCTATTCAGGGATTCAACTTCTTTGTGGTTTAGTCTTGGGACGGTGTATGCGTCCAGGAATTTATCCATTTCTTCTAGATTTTCTAGTTTATTTGCCTAGAGGTGTTTATAGTATTCTCTGATGGTAGTTTGTATTTCTGTGGGATCAGTGGTGATATCCCCTTTATCATTTTTTATTGCGTCTATTTGATTCTTCTCTCTTTTCTTCTTTATCAATCTTGCTAGCAGTCTATCAATTTTGTTGCTCTTTTCAAAAAACCAGCTCGTGGATTCACTGATTTTTTAAAGGGTTTTTTGTGTCTCTATCTCCTTCAGTTCTGCTCTGATCTTAGTTATTTATTTCCTTCTGCTAGCTTTTGAATGTGTTTGCTCTTGCTTCTCTAGTTCTTTTAATTGTGATGTTAGGGTGTCAATTTTAGATCTTTCCTGCTTTCTCCTGTGGGCATTTAGTGCTATAAATTTCCCTCTACACACTGCCTTAAGTGTGTCCCGGAGATTCTGGTATGTTGTGTCTTTGTTCTCATTGGTTTCAAAGAACGTCTTTATTTCTGCCTTCATGTTTTTATGTACCCAGTGGTCATTCAGGAGCACTTTGTTCAGTTTCCATTCAGTTGAGCGGTTTTGAGTGAGTTTCTTAATTCTGAGTTTTAGTTTGATTGCACTGTGGTCTGAGAGATCGTTTGTTATAATTTCTGTTCTTTTCCATTTGCTGAGGAGTGCTTTACTTCCAACTATGTGGTCAATTTTGGAATAAATGCGATGTGGTGCTGAGAAGAATGTATATTCTGTTGATTTGGGGCAGAGAGTTCTGTAGATGTCTATTAGGTCCACTGTAGATGTCTATTGGGTACAGAGCTGAGTTCAATTCCTGGATATCCTTGTTAACTTTCTGTCTCATTGATCTGTCTAATGTTGACAGTTAGGGTGTTAAAACATCCCATTATTATTGTGTGGGAGTCTAAGTCTCTTTGTAGGTCTCTAAGGACTTTCTTTATGAATGTGGGTGCTCCTGTATTGGGTGCATATATATTTAGGATAGTTAGTTCTTCTTGTTGAATTGATCCCTTTACCATTATGTAATGGCCTTCTTTGTCTCTTTTGATCTTTGTTGGTTTAAAGTCTGTTTTATCAGAGACTAGGATTGCAACCCCTGCCTTTTTTTGTTTTCCATGTGCTTGGTAGATCTTCCTCCATCCCTTTATTTTGAGCCTATGTGTGTCTCTACACATGAGATGGGTCTCCTGAATACAGCACACTAATGGGTCTTGACTCTTTATCCCATTTGCCAGTCTGTGTCTTTTAACTGGAGCAGTTAGCCCACTTACATTTAAGGTTAATATTGTTATGTGTGAATTTGATCCTGTCATTATGATGTTAGCTGGTTATTTTGCTCATTAGTTGAGGCAGTTTCTTCCTAGCATCGATGGTCTTTACAATTTGGCATGTTTTTGCAGTGGCTGCTACCGGTTGTTCCTTTCCATGTTTAGTGCTTCCTTCAGGAGTTCTTGTAGGGCAGGCCTGGTGGTGACAAAATCTCTCAGCGTTTGCTTGTCTGTAAAGAATTTTATTTCTCCTTTACTTATGAAGCTTAATTTGGCTGGACATGAAATTCTGGGTTGAAAATTCTTTTCTTTAAGAATGTTGAATATTGGCCCCCACTCTCTTCTGGCTTGTGGAGTTTCTGCTGAGAGATCATCTGTTAGTCTGATGGGCTTCCCTTTGTGGGTAACCCGACCTTTCTCTCTGGCTGCCCTTAACATTTTTTCCTTCATATCAACTTTGATGAATCTGACAATTATGTGTCTTGGAGTTGCTCTTCTCGAGGAGTATCTTTGTGGCATTCTCTGTATTTCCTGAATTTGGATGTTGGCCTGCCTTGCTAGATTGGGGAAGTTCTCTTGGATAATATCCTGCAGAGTGTTTTCCAACTTGGTTCCATTCTCCCTGTCACTTTCAGGTACACCAATTAGACGTAGATTTGGTCTTTTCATATAGTGCCATATTTCTTGGAGGCTTTGTTCGTTTCTTTTTACTCTTTTTTCTCTAAACTTCTCTTGTCACTTCATTTCATTCATCTGATCTTCAATCACTGATACCCTTTCTTCCAGTTGATCGAATAGGCTACAGAAACTTGTGCATTCGTCACGTAGTTCTCATGCCATTGTTTTCACCTCCATCAGGTCATTTAAGGACTTCTCTACACTGATTATTCTAGTTAGTCATTCATCTAATTTTTTTTTAAGGTTTTTAGCTTCTTTTTGATGGGTTCAAACTTCCTCCTTTAGCTCGGAGAAGTTTGATCGTCTGAAGCCTTCTTCTCTCAACTTGTCAAAGTCATTCTCTGTCCAGCTTTGTTCTGTTGCTGGTGAGGAGCTGCGTTCCTTTGGAGGGGGAGAGGTGCTCTGATTTTTAGATTTTTCAGCTTTTCTGTTCTGTTTTTTTCCCATCTTTGTGGTTTTATCTACCTTTGGTCTTTGATGATGGTGACGTACAGATGGGGTTTTGGTGTGGATGTCCTTTCTGTTTGTTAGATTTCCTTCTAACAATCAGGACTCAGCTGCAGGTCTGTTGGAATTGGCTGAACTTCCACTTCAGACCCTGTTTGCCTGGGTATCAGCAGCAGAGGCTGCAGAACCACGAATATTGCTGAACAGCAAATGTTGCTGCCTGATCGTTCCTCTGGAAGCTTCGTCTCAGAGGGGTACCTGGCCATGTGAGGTGTCAGTCTGCCCCTACTGGAGGGTGCCTCCCAGTTATGCTACTCAGGGGTCAGGGACCCTCTTGAGGAGGCAGTCTGTCCGTTCTCAGGTCTCAAACTCCGTGCTGGGAGAACCACTACTCACTTCAAAGCTGTCAGACAGGGACATTTAAGTCTGCAGAGGTTTCTGCTGCCTTTTGTTTGGCTATGCCCTGCCCCCAGAGGTGGAGTCTACAAAGGCAGGCAGGCCTCCTTGAGCTGCAGTGGGCTCCACCCAGTTTGAGCTTCCCTGCCACTTTCTTTACCTACTCAAGCCTCAGCAATGGCAAGTGCCCCTCCCCAGCCTGGCTGCCGCTTTGCAGTTTGATCTCAGACTGCTGTGCTAGCAATGAGCGAGGCTCTGTGGGCGTGGGACCTTCTGAGCCAGGCACGGGATATAATCTCCTGGTGTGGCATTTGCCAAGACCATTAGAAAAGCTCTGTATTAGGGTGGGAGTGACCCAATTTTCCAGATGCCATCTGTCACTGCTTCCTTTGTCTAGGAAAGGGAATTCTCTGACCCCTTGGGCTTCCTGGCTGAGGCAATGCCTCACCCTGGTTTGGCTCACGCTTGGTGGGCTGCACCCACTGTCCTGTCCCCACTGTCCGATAAGCCCCAGTGAGATGTACCCAGTACCTCAGTTGGAAATGCAGAAATCACCCATCTTCTGTGTCACTCACACTGGGAACTGTAGACTGGAGCTGTTCCTATTCGCCCCCATTTGTAAGTCTTCTTTTGTGAATTTGTGTTTATTACTCTCTTATTTGTCAGCCTCTTGCACAGTTATCATAGTAGGATTTCTTGTTTTTTTTTTTTTTTTTTTTTTTTGAGACAGAGTCTCTCTGTCAGCTGGGCTGGAGTGCAGTGGCATGATCTCAGCTCATGCAACCTCTGCCTTCTGTGTTCAAGCAATTACTATGCCTCAGCCTCCGAAGTAGCTGGGATTACAGGCATGTGCCACCATGCCCGGCTAATTTTTTGTATTTTTTGTAGAGACAGGGTCTCACTATGTTGCCCAGGCTGGTCTCAAACTCCTGGCCTCAAGCAGTCCACCTGGCTTGGCCTCCGAAAGTGCTGGGATTACAGGCGTGAGCCACTGCATCCATCTCATAGCAGGATTTCTTTCATCCACTTAGTGGTTACCATCATATAATATATCTCATATTCCAAGCCTTTATCTCTCTTTCATTATGTTTTGTAGCAGTTTCATTAAGATCTGGTTCACATATAAAATTCATCCATCCAGTGGTTTTCAGTATAGCCAGAGAGTTGTGCAACCATCACCACGATCAATTATAGAACATTTTTGTCACTCCAAAAGAAACTCTATACCCATTAGTTGTCTCTCCCATTTCCTTCCACTCCAAACTCCAACCCTAGGCAACCCCTAATCTACTTTCAGTCTCTAATGATTTACCTATTCTGTACATTGTGTTTAAATGGAAACATACAATACATAGTCTTTTACATCCAGTATCTTTCACTTAATATTTTCAAGGTTCATCCATGTTGCAGCATGTATCATTCTTCATTTATTTTTATTGCTAAATAATATTCCGTTGTATGGATATGCCACATTTTAAAAATCCATTCATCAGTTGATGGACATTTGGGTTTTTCCACTTTTTTTGGCTGTTATGAATAATGCTTCTGTGAATATATAAGCTTTTGCCTGAACATATATTTTCATTTCTGCTGGGTCATATAATAATATGGTTTGGCTGTGTCCTCACCCAAATCTCATCTCTAATTGTAATCCCAATAATTCCCATGTGTCAAGAGAAGGACCTGATTGCAGGTGATTAGATCATGGGAGCGGTTCCTTTTATGCTGTTCTTGTGATAGTGAATGAGTTCTCACGAGATCTGATGGTTTTATAAATAGCTTCCCCTGGGCTTCTCTCTCTCTCTCCTGCCACCATGTGAAGAAGGTACTTGCTTCCTCTTTGCCTTCTGCCATGAGTATAAGTTTCCTGATGCTTCCCCAGCCATGTGGAACTGTGAGTCAATTAACTCTCTTTCCTTTATAAATTGCAGTTTCTTATATTTATTTATAGCAGTGTGAAAATGAACTAATACAGAGAATTGGTACCTCAAAGAGTGGGGTACTGCCATAAAGATAGTTGAAAATGTGGAAGCAAATTTGGAACTGGGTAATGGGCTGAGGTTGGAACAGTTTGGAGGGCTCAGAAGCAGATAGGAAGATATGGGAAGGTAGAACTTCCTAGAGACTTGTTGAATGGTTTTGACCAAAATGCAGATAGTGATATGGACAATGAAGTCCAGGCTGAGGTGGTCTCAGATGGAGATGAGGAATTTCTTGGGAACTGGAGCAAAGGTCGCTTTTGCTATGCATCAGCAAAGAAACTGGTAGCATTTGCCCCTGCCCTAGAGACCTGTGGAACTTTGAACTTGAGAGAGATGATTTAGAGTATCTGGTGAAAGAAGTATCTTTTTTTATCTTTAAGTTCTGTGATACATGTGCAGAACGTGCAGGTTTGTTACATAGTTATACATGTGCCATGGGTGGTTTGCTGCACCCATCAACCCATCATCTACATTAGGTATTTCTAGAAAAGGAAATTTCTAAGCAGGAAAGCATTCAAGAGGTGACAGAGTATAAAATTTTGGAAATTTTGCAGCCTGACCATGTGGTAGAAAATAATAATCCATTTTCTGGGGAAAAATTCAAGCTGGCTGCAGAAATTTGCTTAAGTAACAAGAAACTGAAAGTTAATAGCTATGACAGTGGAGAAAATGTCTCCAGGCCATGACAGAGAGTTTATGGCAGCCCCTCCAACCATAAGCCTGGCGGCCTAGGAGGGAAAAATGGTTTTGTGGGCCCTGTTGCTTTGTGCAGCCTCCGGACTTAGTGCCCTGTGTCCCAGCTGCTCCAGCTCCAGCTGTGGCTAAAAGCGGCCAAGGTACAGCTTGGGCCATTGCTTCAGAGGGTGCAAGCCCCAAGCCTGGTAGCTTCCATGTGGTGCACAGAAGTCTGTGGGTGCACAGAAGTCAAGGGTGCACAGAAATCAAGGTTTGTGAACCTTGGGCCTGTGGGTGCACAGAAGTCAAGGTTTGGGAACCTCCTCCTAGATTTCAAAGGATGTATGGAAATGCCTGGATGTCCAGAAAGACATCTGCTGCCAGGGTGGGGCCATCATGGAGAACCTCTGCTAGGGCAATGTGGAAGGGAAATGTAGGGTTGGAGCCCCCACACAGAGTCCTTACTGGAGAACTGTCTAGTGAAGCTATGAGAAGACAGTTACCATCCTTCAAACCCCAGAATGATAGATCCACCAATAGCTTGCGCCTTGTGCCTGGAAAAGCTGCAGGCACTGAACACCAGCCCATGAGAGCAGCTACAGAGGCTGAACCCTGCAAAGCCATGGGGGCAGAGATGCCCAGGGTCTCGGGAGCCCACCCTTTGCATCAGCATGACCTGGATGTGAGACATGGAGTCAAAGGAAATTATTTTGGAACTTTAAGATTTAATGACTGCCCCACTGGATTTTGGACTTGGGTGGTTCCTGTAGCCCCTTCGTTTTGACCATTTTCTCTCATTTGGAATGGGAGCTTTACCCAATGCCTATACCCCCACTGTATCTTGGAGGTAACCAACTTGCTTTTGATTTTACAGGCTCCTAGGCAGAAGGGATTTGCCTCGTCTCAGATGAGACTTCAGATTTGGACTTTTGGATTAGTGCTGTAATGAGTTAAGACTTTGGGGGACTGTTGGGAAGGCATGATTGGTTTTGAAATGTAAAAATGATGTGAGATTTGAGACAGGCCAGTGTCAGGATCATATGGTTTGGCTCTGTGTCCCCACCCAAATCGCATCTCAAATTGTAATCCCTATAATCCTCACGTGTCAAGGGAGAGACCTAGTAGGAAGTGATTCAGTCATGGGGGTGGTTTCCCCCATGCTGTTCTCATGATAGGACTAGGCCCCTAGGCTTCTCTCTCTCTCTCTGTCTTTGTCTCTCTCTCTCTCCTGCTACAATTTGAAAAAGGTCCTTGCTTCCCCTTCACCTTCTTCCATGATTGTAAGTTTCCTAAGGCCTCCCCAGCCATGTGGAACTCTAAGTCAATTAAATCCCTTTCCTTTATAAATTACCTAGTGTCAAATATTTCTTTATAGCAGTGTGAAATGGACTAACACATATGGTAAATCTAGGTAACTTTGTGTTTAACCTTTTGAGAAAAAGTCAGGCTGTTTGTCAAGTGGCTACCACATTTTTAAAATCACACCAGTAGCTTATGAAGGTTCCAATTTTTCTATATCTTCACCAGTACTTGCTATTATCTGCCATTTTCATTATAGCCATCCTAGTGGGTCCAAAATGGTATTTCACTGTCATTTTGATTTACCTTTCTCTGATAAATAATCTACTACTTTTTAATTTTGCTAGAGTATATCCCAAAGTAATTTTTTCCTAAGTAATATGAAGTTACTTATATTCCCCAAAATGTACTTGGGGGTGGGTTTATACTTTTAATCTAATTCATATGTTTTAGCCACTTTAAACATGTCTTCTTAATTACTTAACACATACCCTATGAAATCAATATTTTCTAATTCACTTTTTGTTTGCTTTTTTGTTTTCCTTTAGAGTTGTAGTCACAAAGAAAATATTCGATAGGTTTAGAGGAAAGGCATGGAGTGTGTAAACTGCCATTACTACATTGTAAATTTCTTTTATAAATGTTAATTATTTTTTGTCCAAGTGGAGACATGATTACCACATAGTGATTAACAATTTAAAAAAGAAGTGTTGGTCTTAGCATATCCTAGAAACACAAGAAAATAAATTGAAGAGGCGGGGAGCCTAGAGGTCATATCTTAATTTCTATTGTTGGAAACTATATCAAGAAGGACAGAATTTTATAATTAAATGAGAAATTAAATGCATGTTGATCAAGCTTCTCCCTGTTTGTTGTGATCAAGGAGTGGGAATTTCTAGAATGGGCAGTTTCCCAGTTCTGGGGCACAATTGTCAAAGTCTGGACACACATGTGGAGGCATCATGTATGTTCCCGTGAGAGCTGGAAAAATGTAAAGAGCCCCAGAGCTAGTCTAACATCTTACTTTATAGATTAGAAAATCAAAGTATAGAAAGTCTCAAGTCTCACAACCTGCTCGTAGCAGAGATGAGGCTAGAATGCAGCTCTCATAAATCTTAGTCCAGTGATCTTTGAATTATCCAATGTGCTGTAGACTGAACGTTTGTGTTTTCCCAAAATTCATATGTTGAAATCCTGATTTGCAATGTGATGGCATTAGCAAGAGGAGTGATTAGGTCACAAGGGCTGTGAATGGAGTTAGTGCCCTTATAAAAGGGACCCCAGAGAGCTGCCTCCTTCCCTTATACCATGTGAGGACACATCAGAAAGAACCAGGAAGTGGACCCTCACCAGACATTAAGTCTGCTGGAGCTTGGATGTATGATTTCCCACCCTTCACAACTCTGAGAAATAAATGTTGTTTACAAACCACCCAGTCTATGTTATTCTGTTATAGCCACTGGAATAAGACTAAAACATGTTTCTTAAGTTAGTGAAACACTTCCTATTTAATACACACCTATAGACATCAACACATCTTCACAAAAAATCTCCCTTGAAATGCTGATTCCCATTCAAATTAAGATATCCTCTTCATCATGCCCAGCTGATAGTTATGTGGTACAGAACAATATACGATTTCAGTGTCACCTGATGTTACTTTTATTTTTGTTTCATTTTTGCTTCTGGTTGTGTATATTTTAAACAACTATCTCAAAAATTGGGGCTGGGCACAGTGGCTCACACCTGTAATCCCAACACTTTGGGAGGCTGAAGTGGGTGGATCACTTGAGGTCAAGAGTTCAAGACCAGCCTGGTCAACATGGTGAAACCTGTCTCTACTAAAAATGCAAAAATTAGCTGGGTGCGATGGTGCATGCCTGTAATTCCAGCTATTTAGGAGGTGGAAGCACGAGAATCGCTTGAACCTGGGAGGCGGAGGCTGTGGTGAACTGAGATCATGCCACTGTACTCCAGCCCAGGTGACAGAGTGAGACTACATCTCAAAAAACATTAAAAATAAAAATTGGGAGGGGCTTCATTTTTCTATCTGATGTAGATTGTTACTTTTACCCATTGTATTCTACTGGGGCAACAATAACCTGTTATATGTTATTTCCCAATTAATATATGTCTGCTGGGCACCTATTCTCTCTCTAGAGCCATGGCAATCACTCTTCCTGGTGGACACTCTGGTGAGTGTCAACAGAAAAAGCAAAGGTCCTCACCCTCCATGCCCATGCTATTTGCCCATACCTTCTTCTTTATCTTTCAATATTACCCCTTCCAGACTTTTGAATGACCAGTGAAACAATTCACCACCGCCCAAGAATCCCTCAGCCATTTCTCTTTTAACCCAAAGTGATGATCAGATGTATTGTCCCAAGCTCTATCCATTAGTAGGATTTTTTCTTACTTCCCCTTTTCTGGGCCATTTATAAATAAGACTGTAGTATAATAACAGTCCATTTTTAGCTTGTACCCACATTCCAAATTGACTCATCTGTGACTAGTCTCTTTTTCCTCCTCCTTCAGCTGGTGTTAAGGAGTCCCATGCAGTCATGGGTGCAAGCTGAGAGAGAGAAGCCAGTGAAGCAGTGGTTGATGACGGGGTCCTCTGGGCCACTTGATTGCATAGCTTTCCTGTGTCTCTGTTTTGTGCATTTCTGATCCAAGATACAATTCCATCTTATGGCAGGTTGCTATTGACACTGCCTGACCCCTGGCTCTGTATTCAGACAGACCCAGCTATAAGGACAGCTGTGGCTCCATGCTCACTTCATGGCCTAAATCAGAAGTGTGAGCTCTACAGGAGTCTAGTAACTTAACAGGAGCTACATTTGAATGGTGTATATGGTTTCAAACTTCAGATAGCGCGGCTTTGCTCCAGAACTGTAGAGGTCATCATTATTTTCCTATAAAGCCTGGTTGTAAGCTCCACAGAATGTCTCTTGTTGTCACAGATGCCTCTAGTATTATAGCTTCTGCTGGATTTTATTGTGCAAGGCACAGGTCTAAATCTACCATGGCCTGTATTTGCTGCTTTTGGTTCCACTTAAAACTCTTGACCTTTGTTTCACTCAGTAAGTGGATTAGAGAAATATTTCCAGGTACAAAATATGCTGCCTCTAGAACCTGTGCTTCCGTCTTTGTGGTAGGAGAAGGTGCAATAATCTGGCCTTCACTTTAGAGGGATATCTAGGCATGCCCTGGATCTCTGGACTCTTAAAAACTTTACTGATATTGGGGAAAGTCAAATCTTCATAGAGTTTATCTCTCACACTCAAAAACAAAAGTGTTCCACTACTGCCTTCAAATCCAATTCACATGCCATCAATACAGTGGGCCAATGTGATAGTCTGTGGAATGTCCAGTGGGTTGTGATCCCTTCACACCACATTATAACAGATAATGTCAGTTACCACTCCAGTGGTGCCTTCAGGATCAAGGTATTCATTTCCTTAGCTACCAGAATTGTTGGCTGCTGATGGGCCACAGATGAGCCTCTACCCAGTACTGCCTGTAAACAAAGGGAGCTCCCACACTCAAGTTTACACATCTTCTCTTAAGTCAGCTGCATTTGATGATGGGTTCAAGTGGCCTTTCTCAGTTTGGGACACCTCTGAAGCATGATCCCAGTGTCATAGTGCCCTTGGAGAATTGACAGTACACTGAGGTAAAATCTTACATGTTGTTCCTGCATAAATGGGAATTGCTTCTGATCCTCCTTCTTAATAGGGACAGAAAAGAATGCACTTACCAGATTATGTTCTTGAGGTCACGTTGATGTGCTCAAGCAGAAATACCACATCTGGCACAGCATCTACAATTGGGGCTAGTGCTTGGTTGAGTTAGGGGGAGTGCATTATCATCTGCCAGGACCCATTTGCTTTTTGTAGTGGCCAGACTGGTGAATTAAATGGGGATATGAAGGTGATTAAAACCTAGGTCTTTGAGGGTAACACTAACCTTTAACATTCTACCCAGGATGCAAAAATCTTATTCCCTCTCTTGAATAGAGGGAGGGGCAGCTTCATAAACTACTTTGCATTCTGCATTATAATAGCTACTTCACCTCAGGTCAAGAAACCAATGTAGGTTTTCTGCCAACTACTAAGCATGTCCCTCCAAAATACACATTTGCTGAATGGGGAAATGACCACCAACTGAACCCTCTGTGACATACTCAACATGACTCTATTTATTACCTAGCCCTCAGATACCACTACTCTACCAGGGCATATGATAATTTTTTAAGTCCTCAGCTGTCAATGTTAATACAGAACCTTTGCCAAACAGTCCTCAAAACCTTTGGTTATTCCTGTTTCTCCAGTGGTTACCAAGGAAAGTGGATGTTGTTTTTTCTAATTAGGGGCTTATTCCTATACACACTTGCTGTGGTGCTGGAGGGTCTTTTCTTATTGCACCATGGCATACCTTTTCATCAATGAGATATAGGAACAAGTTTGGAAATTGATTGTTGTGAAGTAAAGTGCTTGAGGTTGAGAATTCAACTTTCTCTGAAGCTCTGATACTCTTATAATTAAGGAAGAGTCTGGTTCTCAGATTTTTCTGCCTTTCAGTTGCTGGAGATGAGCCTCCTTCTGTTGCCAGTAAGACCCTCTAACCTTCATGTTTATCTTAGGTCGAGGAGTATCTTCCTCGTATTGTGCTGTCTTTTCCCAATATAAAGTAGCACCAGAGCAGCCATCCAAATGCATAATCTTTATAAATACTACTTCCTCCATACTTCTCAAACTCTCCTGAGACATTACACCAATAAGTGCATTTGTTTTAGCTGGTATCTCATTTTGGTTCACCACTGATAATAATAGCATTAATAATTCTACTCCAGCACACTGGGGGCTATTAGTACCTACCACTAGTGACAGGGTCTTCATTAGCAGCTGACGGGCAGGTAATCAAGTTCTTTATTCAAATAAAATTCCAATTTAGAGTCTGCTTCCTAGTGCTACTGCCAGTATCAACTCTTTTTGTAGATTTCCCAGAAAACAGACCCTGAAGTAGAGATTTTTTTTGCAAGAAATTTGCAGGAGAAATGAGTGAAGCAAGGCTGTGAGAAGGAGAAATTGAGTTACAATGTGGTGGCAGCAGAGTTCTTAACTGACCTCACTGGGGTCTATGGCACTGTGATGGTGCTTTAGTGGTGTACCAACTTGAGGCAAGAAGGCCACTTGAACCAGTCATTGGACACAAGTTGCCTCCAGAAAATTTGTGTAAACTTGAGTAAGGCAGCTCCCTTTGTCTGCGGGCAATTATGGGGTAAAGGCTCAACTGTGAGTCCTCAGCAGCCCACAGTCCTGTTAGAGGAGGAAATGAGCACTTCGGCCCTAAAGGAGCCATCTGAGTAGTATGTGACAGTATCTACCACATCATGATTCCAACGATCTCAATGAATGCTCCAGAAATTTAGTCTTCTGTTGAATTTTAAAACCAATTTATTGAAAAAATAGGCTGAATACAGGGAACCTGAAATTTACCAGAGTAAGAAAATATCCTGCTGGGGTAAAATAAGCAAAATCTCTGCTAAGTAACAGATCATATTTCTTCTGATCTATCTAAGAATTAGCACACACTGTTGAAAAGGGAAGTATGCTTTTGAACATTAAATATGTGGTCTTCAGGCGCTGATAGTAAAGGCTACTAGGAAGGGCTAGAGCTTTTTCAGGTAAGCACATGGTCCCCTAGTTGTTCTCCAACAGAAGTTTCAATCATACTTGTCAAAGATATCATAAAGTTTTTAAAAGGATGAAATTTTTTTTTCCTTTCACTTTTTTCTCCTTTGAGTCTCCTCCCTCCAGAAGCATTTATCTCTATGTGAGCCTACTAAGATTCTGTCAGGTTCCCTGTCTAGGTACCCAGTAGAGACTAGGGCTAACCCACAATGGCCATGACTTCTTTCTTCCCCGCAGGATGGGCACACAGAAAAAAAATAATAATAAGAGCATACCAGAAAATTGTAAGGAAACAGATGATTAAGAAAATGGGGAATTTAGATTCTAGTAACATTTTAACATTCTGTGAAAGTCAGGGGAACATGATATGCCAACCAGAGGGAGAGAGCATTATCAAGCACTCAGTAACAAATCTGTGGATCTGTCAACCAAAATGTTAGTAAGATGCTTCTTTTGCCAAGATCCTTAAGATTAATGGGGAAAATCTGAATTATACAAACACCATAGCTTTAATAACTATGAGAGAAAAGTCTCTGAGAGATTATTACGAATATAGAAACACTTCAAGTCCTACAAATGCATATACATTATACTAACAAGGAAAAGCCTGGATATAGAACTAAAGAGGGTCATTTCACTCTCTCTCCTCTCTCTCTCTCTTTCTCTGTCTTTCATACATTCTCTAAAGCAATAAAAGGTTGTCAGATCAACCAATAAACCTCTAAAACTCCAAAATATGTCTGAAATCACAAAATAATATTCTTTGCATGATGAAATGTACTCTGTCTCTGATTACATAGACCTCAATGTGAGAGTGCCTTGGCCTCTATTATTTAAAGAATACTATGGAAACAAAAACTTTAATACAGTAAATCTGCGGTTGTAAACTGCTATCACATAAATTAAGTCTGGTTTATCAATAGTTTTTGGCCTCAGATATCTATTTTATTAATATTCTGAACAATCTGAATCCCTAGAAACACTGGACTTCCAGGCCTATGTGGGGCATACGCTCATCTTTTCAGCCCTCTCCTTCATGCCACTCTCTTACCACTTCATTTAGGGATTTGAATTAGCAACTCTAGAAACAAATATAAAAATAGCAGTGAGGCAATTAATAAATACAGGCTGGGAGAGGTCAAGAATAAATTATGTTGCTGAATAGCTAACCTTAAAGATATCACTAATAAAAGTAAACTAAAACCTTGCTGTTTGAGGGTTTTTTATGTAAAACAACTAATTTGACCAATTAGCTATACATGTGGTTATAAATTAGGCAATATATTCAGCTAAAGAAAAGCAAGGCCCTCTAGATACCCATGTTGTAGAAGCTGTCACTTAATGACATAAATAAGCTCTACGCCAAACAGAAAATGCAATCATAATTAGTGGTTTTTTTCTAAGTAAAAAAATGCAATAGTCAAAACACTCATAAACAATTATAGACAAGTTCCTTAAAGTTCTGAGATTATTAGCTGGGGCTTATTAACCACAAATACTCAACAAACAGTCACTTGGTAATTATGCTAGGAACACTCTTGTTAACTTAGAACCAATTCTAAGAACTGATGGTGAAAACCAACACAATTAAAATGAAACTAGAGAGCTGTACTGAGGGGGATGAACTCAGGAAACCCAAGCTCTGTTGGATTGTGGAGACTTGAGAGAATCCATGGGGTTAGAACATTCAAAGTAGTCACTTTTGACAGCCTGAGTACAGTTAAGCCATTGGTGTTGTGTGTTGCGGAGGTGGCATCAGGTTTCTGGCAAGCTGCACTGGAATGAAGGAAGCAATACCTCATGACATTTGCCACACCATATGGCAGGTGGAGGTTTTGCAGAATGCCATGCAGTGTCACCTCATCACAGGAACTGTTCTAGTGAGTGTTACTTGATACATGTAGCTTGCGAAGGAGTTCAAATTCCTGTAGATGATTACATTATCCAGAGGAAAAGACAAGGGCTGAGATAACCTGAGAATTCTGGAGGAGCCAAGCCAAGAAAGAAATTCTGTATACAGTGAGAATAAACTAGAAATTAGAGGACCAGCAAAAGTCAGGGGAACAATACTCAATGGATCAATATTTACTGAGCTTTGAATAAAGTGACTAAGGATGTGGGATCTAGGTCAGACTGGTAATTAATGTTACTTCCATTTCTATTGCAATTTTCTCCAAAAAATAAGCATAATTGCTATTTATTATGTACTTATTGTGTGCTAGGTACTGCGCTTTATGCTTTTCCTGCTTTAGGATGCTTAATGAACATTTGCTGACTGAAGGGATGAGTTAATTCTTCCAGCCACCCTGCAAGGATTACAGATGAGAAGTTAAGCATCTTGTTCAAGCTGTGCTACTAACAGACAAAAGAAATAAAATAAAATCTAAGTCTGCCTCACTCCAAATCCCACGAATTTTCTACTGTTGCTTTGGGCATAGCGTTGATAAATGAGCAAAGTTACAAGTCACCAATAACCACTCAACGAGTAGTATCAGAGTAGAATAAGAAAGAGAATGGCTGAAAGAAGTGCAGCAAGAAGAGTCTGAACAATATCTGGGGACATGGAAATGATATGAGGGGCAGTGACTTTGATAGATGGAAGCTTAGAAAGTGAGAATGCTGGACTTGGATTAGGTACTCACCTTCTGATCGCAGACATTAAGAATCTGCTTGTCATGAGGCATGATTTCTTGTAGGATGTAGGCTCAATATCTCTGAATGGTGCTCTCTATAGAATGTTCTATTTCTGGGGCTGGGAAGGTTGGGGGGAATGAATGAAAAGATTGTGCAATATGCGTGCGGTCTCAGATGCAGGTCTTTCTTGACTCTGAATGCTCACATGGTTGTGGCTCCCAAAGTCTGGGGTCTCATTAAAGTATTCTCTCACTTTATGCACATAATGAGTTCACAGGAGGAGGGATTCAAGCAGCCAGCATTTTTCATCTCCTTATCTATCTCTGTGGACTTTCATCTGTAACCAACTATGGGACTTGTAAGCTGGGACGGTGGGGACCCATCTGACATTATGCCTGCAATTCATTACCACCTCCTACGCCCTCCTGGAAGAATTTTCAAACAGTTCTTCCAACAACAATCCAGCTAATATGTATATTCTCCTGGAGTAGTGGCTCTACTTGTCCAGACAACATTATGCTTGCCCCATGCCGGTGTAGACATCTCTGCAGACCATAAAAATTATTGTGTCAAGCAGTTAAGCCATTAGGCTATTGGGTACAAGAATTGATCTGCTACCAATGCCATTTGCTAATGCCATCCAGTGTAGGATAGATGCAAGAAGCTGAAGCTCAGCCAGTGGACTTTGTTTTACAAATGCAGCTGCTTCTCAATTATCCTGAATAATGAGGAACAGAAACTGCCTGAGAACAATGATGGATAGGTCTCAAGCTGTTTTCAGTAAAGTACATCTCCTATAGGAGGGTTATAACAAAACCACACAAAGAGTATGTGTCCCTCAATATAAAGTGAGGACACCTAGACTGATTTTGAACTTATATTTCTAAGTTACACGGATGTTAAACATTGAATTGCAGCTGAAGCAGATGGACATAACTCCAGAAATCCAGGGAGGCTGCCAAAAAGCCCAAGCTAACAGATTGCTGTAGCCATATAAAATAGGTCAAGTTGGACCTTATGCATGCTCCAGGGAAAGCTCTGAGACCCACACACATGCACACACGCATGCGCACGTGCACGCGCGCATACACACACACACACACACACACACACACACACAGAGATTTGAGACATAAAGCCCTGATTATGTAGATATTCTATATATGCATATATAAATATCCTTATATGTACCTGCATCTATATCTATATACATACAGCTAAGCAGAAAGTGACATTTCCACACTAAAGTCCTGTTCTGCAGAAATCATTTTTAAATACAAGCTGCAATTGTTGTAGTATGGGTAAGGCTGTGCATACCAAAGTCCTGATATTTGCAGTAACTGAACCCCTTTGGAAGAAGTCTAAATTAGCATCAACAATCCTGAATTCTATACAAATAAAAACTATGTATTTTGACTCTAGAATATCACCAAAGGAGACATTCTAGATCTTCAAAGGCAATATGTTAAAGCATTCTGGATAAAATTTGAAGCATGGGAACATTTCATCTGCTTCATCATGGAAATCTGTTGCAATTATTACTAACAAAATCAAGTGTCTTCAATTAGTGAAGTCTGTTTCTAAGGAACATACATTGTTTCCAAATTACCATGGCTTCCTCCACTCTTGTAACCTACTGTAATTTTTTCCACAAGGGTTATTAAGTAATTCTGTTTGTCTAAAGCTGCCCAGAAAGTATCCCTTCCAAGTACTATTCTTTTACATTTTTGTTCAGAGCAGAGCTGTTGGATGATGCCTCACTGTTAGACCAGCTTTAGTAATCCCATTAAATAATGCAATAACAAGGGATACTTGAAACATGGGACAGCTGTATAAAAAAGATTTTCAGGTACACTGGAGGTGGATTATTATGGCATCTCCCAGATGCTGATTTTTGCCTTGGAATCACCCAAACTAACCCCTGATGGGCATCTGTACCCTGAAGCTTATCACAGACTCTTGTGTCTCTGCCTCTGCTCCCGCTCATAGGGAAGCTAACACTGGTCCAAGTCCTATTTCAGAGCTTAAATAATGAATTAAGTGTTTTGGAAATAACTCCTTTATTAAGGAGTAACTGCTGGCTCAAATCTTTGGCCAAGTGTCTCATTCTATGATTCCTGTCTGCCTGCCTGGACTCTATTTTCCTTACCTTGTCACCTTCTAAACCTGGACTTGCAATATGCAGGTGGAAATGCAGAAAATCCACCCAGAAGAGCCTGTTGAAAGGCTATTTGTAGTTGCATAGGGTAATTTTGTCAGTCACTGTTATCATTTCCTATTCTAGAGTTTTCCAAATGTCAAAGTTGTTAATCATATAGAGGACTGGTTATGAAGACAAGAATTACAGGGTATCTTGCCCTCAGAATTTGAGAGGTGAGGTGGAAAGCAAGATGTCTCTTCATTCCTCATGATTAGTTTTCATTATTTAGCGCACAATAAACAATTGGGCATTTAGTTTATTCTTTTCCCTGACTTCTCGAACTATGAGACTGTTTGCTAACTGTAGGTTAGAGCCTTGTCTCACGAAACAAATTTATTAGAACATGACCAGTGAAAATAATAAAATATATCAGAAGTGAGGACATGTTCTTTCACATGCATATATACAAAACGTGTGAACTACAGAAAGATGAGAAATGCATTTTTTTGTACTGTGGATTGAGACTGAAAAAATAAAAATTTTTAAATGGCCAAGGTTTTACATCAAGATTCATATATTCAGAGACCTACAGGGGCCAGGCAGATAACATATATTTATACTCAGGCCAAGGACTAGCCACAACAAGATTGTAGGTGCCATGGATAACCGGAGAGTGCATGCCCCATTTAATCTGTAAATGCAAGTCAATTTAAAAAAAAATAATTAATTTAAAAATTTTAATTTTTCGGATACACAGTAGGTATATATGTATGGGATATTTGAGATATTTTGATACAGGCATACAATGTGTAATAATCACATCAGTGTAAATGGGGTATCCATCACCCCACCCATTTGTCCTTTCTTTGTGTTATAAACAATCCAATTATACTCTTTTAGTTATTTTTAAATGTGCGATAAATTATGTTAACTGTGGTCACCATGTTGTGCTATCAAATACTAAATCTTATTCATTCCACCTAACTATATTTTTTTACCCATTAACCATTCCCATTTCTACCCTCCTTCAAATACCTTTCCCAGTCTCTGGTAACTATCATTCTACTCTCTATCTCCATGTGTTCAATTGTTTTAGTTTTTAGCTGTCACAAGTAAGTAAGAACACGTAAAGTTCATCTTTCTGTGCCTGGCTTATTTCACTTAACGTAATGACCTCCAGTTCCATCCCTGTTGCTGCAAATGACAGAATCTCTTTATTTTTATGTCTAAATAGTACTCCATTGTATTAATACCACATTTTCTTTATCTGTTCATCTGTTGATGGACACTTGGGTTGCTTTCAGATCTTAGTTGTGAATAGTGCTGCAAGAAACATGAGAGTGTAGACACTTTTTTGATATACTAATTTGTTTTCTTTTAGGTATATACCTAGCAGTGGGATTGCTGGATCATATTTTTAGTTTTAGCTCTATTTTTAGTTTTTTGAGGAACTTCTAAACTGTTCTCCACAGTGGTTATATTAATTTACATTCCCACCAAGAGTGTACAGGGTTCACTTTTCCCTACATCCTCACTAGCATTGGTTATTGCCTCTTTTTGGATAAAAAGCCATTTTAACTGGGATGAGATGATATCTCATTGTAGTTTTAATTTGCATTTATCTGATGATCAATGATATTGAACACCTTTTCATATACTTGTTTGCCATTTGTATGTCTTCTTTTGAGAAATGTCTATTCAAATCTTTTGCCCATTTTTAAATCAGATTATAGGTTTTTTTCTGATTGAGTTGTTTGAGCTCCTTATATATCATGGTTATTAATCAATTGTCACAGGAATAGTTTGCAAATATATTCTCCCATTCTGTGGGTTGTCTCTTCATTTTGTTGATTGTTTCCTTTACTGTGCAGAAGCACTTTAACTTGATGTGATGTCATTTGTCTTTTTTTTGCTTTGGCTGCCTGTACTTTCAGGCTATTACTCAGGAAATCTTTGCCCAGCCTAATGTCCTAGAGAGTTTCCCCAGTGTTTTCTTTTAGTAGTTTCATAGTTTCAGGTCTTATATTTAAGTCTTTAATCCATTTAATTTGATTTTTGTATATAGTGAGAAATAGGGGTCCAGTTTTACTCTTCTGCATACGGATGTTCAGTTTTCCCAGCACCATTTATTGAAGAGATTGTCCTTTCCTCAGTATATGTTCTTGGCATCTTTGCTGAAAATGAGCTCACTGTAGATGTATGGATTTGTTTCTGTGTTCTCTATTCTATTCTATCATTCTATGAGTCTGTTTCTATGACAGCACCACGCTGTTTTTGTTATTATAGCCCTATAGTACAATTTGAAGTCAGGTAATGTGATTCCATCAATTTTGCTCTTTTTGCTCAGAATTCTGCATTTTTTGTGGTTCCATATAATTTTTCTCAGCTCACTGCAACCTCCACCTCCTGGATTTAAACGATTCTCCTGCCTCAGCTTCCTGAGTAGCTGGGATTACAGGAGCCTGCCACCATGCTCAGCTAATTTTTTTTTTTTTTTTAAATTGGAGGCAGGGTTTTACCATGTTGGCCAGGCTGGTCTTGAACTCCTGACCTCAGGTGATCCTCTTTTCTTGGCCTTCCAAAGTGTTGGGATTACAGGCATGAACCACTGTGCCCAGTCAGTTCCATATACATTTTAGGGTTTGTTTTTTTTTTTTGTCTATTTCTGTGAATAATGTCATTGGTATTGTCTTAGCGCGGCCAGATGCCCCTTTCAGGTTTGTTTTCTCTAAAATAAACCTGTGTTGACCGTCAAACCACTTTTTTTGTTTCTTTCCTCTTTCTTTAATTCTTACAATAAGGGGTTGCATTGAATTTGTAGATTGCTTTGGGTAGTATGGACATTTTAACAATATTGATCCTTCCAATTCCTGAACATAGAATATCTTTCTGTTTTTTTGTGTGTGTCCTCTTGAATTTCTTTCATCAATGTTTCATATTTTTTTTCATTGTAGAGATCTTTCATTTCTTTGGTTAAGTTACTTCTTAGGAATTTTATTTTATTTGTAGCTATTGTAAATGAGATTACTTTCATGGTTTTGTTTTTCAGATTGTTTGCTATTGGCATACAGAAATGCTACCTATTTTTACATGTTGATTTTGTATCCTGCAAATTTACTAAATTTGTTTATCAATTCTAATAATTTTTTGGTGGAATCTTCAAACAGGGACAATTTGACTTCTTCCTTTTTTGAGGGTTTTTATCATGAAGGAATCTTGAATTTTTTCAAGTGCTTTTCAGCATCAACTGAAATGATCATGTGGGTTCTGTTCTTTATTCTGTTGATATGCTGTATCATGCTGATTGATTTGCATATGTTGAACCATCTTTGCATCCCTGGGATAAATCCCAGTTGGTCATGATAAATGAGCTTTTTAACATGTTGTTGAATTTGGTTTGCTAGTATTTTGTTGAGGTACTTTATAACAAATGCTTAGCAGGGGTACTGGCCAGTAGTTTTTGTTTGGTTTTGTATCAGGGTAATACTGGCCTCATAGAATGCATCTGGAAGTATTCCCTCATCCTCTATTTTTTGGAATAGTTTGGGTGGGATTGGTATTAGTCTTTAAATGTTTGGCAGAATTCAGCAGTGAAGCCATCAGGTCTTAGGCCTTTCTTTGTGGGGAGACTTTTTATTATGGCTTCAATCCTTTTACCTGTTATTGGTCTGTTCAGGTTTTGGATTTCTTCATGGTTCAATCTTGGTAGGTTGTACATGTCTAGGAATTTATCCATTTCTTCCAGGTTTTCCAATTTATTGGTATATAGCTGCTCATAGTAGCCTTAATGTCCTTTGTGTTTCTGCAGTATTGATTGTAATGTCTGCTTTTTCATCTCTAATTTTGTTTACTTGGGTTTTCTCACTTTTTTTCTTAGATAGTCTGGCTAAAGTTTTGTTAATTTTATTTCTCTTTTCAAAAATTCACCTTTTCATTTTGTTGATCTTTTGTATTGTCTTCATTTCATTTTTATTTATTTCTGCTGTGCTCTTTATTGTTTCTTTTTTTCTACTAATTTTGGGTTTGGTTTGCTCTGGCTTTTCTAGGTCTTTAAGATGCATCATTAGATTGTTTATTTGAAATATTTCTACTTGTTTGATGTAGGCATTTATAACTATAAACTTTTCTCTTAGTACTGCTTTTTCTGTATCCCATAGGTTGTTGTATTTACACTATCATTTGTTTCAAGACATTTTCCAATTTCCCTCTTAACTTCTTCATTGACCCACTTGTCATTCAGGAGCATATTGTTTAATTTCTATGTGTTTGTATACTTTCCAAAATTCCTCTTGTTGTTGATTTCTAGTTTCATTTCATTGTGATCAGAGAAGATACTTGATATAAGTTCAATTTTCTGAATTCTTTAAGATTTATTTTGTGGCCAAACGTATGGTCTTCACTTGAGGATCATCCATATTCTGAGGAGAAGAATGTATATTCTGCAGTCACTGGATAAAATGTTCTGCAAATATCTATTAGGTCCATTTGATCTACAATGCAGCTTAATTCTAAAGTTTCTTCATTGATTTTCTGTCTGCATGATCTGTCCAGTGGTGAAAGTGGGGTGTTGCTGTCTCTGGCTATTATTGTGTTGGGGTCTATCTCTCTCTTTAGTTCTAATAATATTTGCTTTATATAGCTAGGTGCTCCAGTGTTTTGTGCATATATATTTTCAATTGTTATATTTTCTTGCTGAACTGACCCCTTAACACTATATAATGATCTTTGTCTCTTTTCATAGTTTTTGTCTTCAAATCTGTTTTGTCTGATATAAGTAGGGCCACCTCTGCTCTTTTTTTGGTTTTCATTTGCATAAATGTCTATCTCTTTATTTTCAGTCTATGTTTGTCTTTTTAGGTGAGGTGTGTTTCTTGTAGGCAACCGATCATTGATTCTTGTGTTTTTATTCCTCAGCCACTCTGTGTCTTTTGATTGAAGAGTTTAGTCCATTTACATTCAATGTTATTACTGATAAGTAAGGACATACTCCTGCCATTTTAAAAAATTTGTTTTCTGGGTTTTTATTTTTTTGTGGTCTTCTCTTCTTTCCTTCCTTCCTGTCTTCCTTTTAGTGAAGGTGATTTTTCTCTGATGATATGTTTAATTACTTGCTTTTTAATTTTTTGTTTGTATCTGTTGCATGTTTTTGATTTGAGGTTACCATGAGGCTTGCAAATAATATCTTATAACCCATTATTTTAAACTGATTACTTACCATCGATTGTTTACACAAACAAACAAATAAGCCAAGCGAAAACTAATAAACTCCACACTTTAACTTAATCACCCCATTTTTTAACTTTTTGTTGTTTCTATTTATATTTTATTTTGCAATCTATGTCTTGAAAAATTGTTCAATTTGGTGTTCCTGTGGGGAGGATAATCAGTGGAAGCTTCTATTCAGCCATCTTGCTTCACTTCCTCCATGAGTCAATATTTTAAAACACAAAAGCCTCTGTGCAGGCCTAAGAGAAGGCATTGGCACAATAGCCCCTTACTTCCTTCAAGGATCTGCTTGGATGTCATTTCCTTAGGAAAACCTTCCCCAGACTAGACACGGACCCTCTGTTGTATGCTCTTCTAGCACCATATACTTTCCGTCAAAACATTTATTAGAATTTTATCTAATCTGTGTGACTATTTGTTTAATGACACTACCCACAAAATCAGGGCTTTTGCCTGCTCAGGTCACTTCTGTGGCCTCAGTTCCTCATTCAGTATCTGGCACATAATAGGTATATAATGAATATTTGTAGGATGCATCAATGAGACCATCAGGAGGAATATCAAGTAGTACAAGTTTAGTAGTGCATTGTAAAAACAGTATTTTCAGAAATTATTTCATGGCTTATTCATTTATCTGGCAAACACATATTGAGTACCTACCAGATTCTAAGACCTTCATTGTATATTGAAGATAGAAAACAGATTATGTGATAGTCATTACCCTCATGAAGTTTACAATCTAATTATACCATTAAAAATTAGCATTTAAATATTATTAAATAAGATAATCATAGTGCTTTTTTAAACGGTAAAACATAGTTTTTAAGTAATTTTTAAAACATGGCATCTCATTCATTCTGATTCTGGTTATCATCTTCACACATATTTTCATTATGATTTCATTTTCCATTGACATAATCTGATGGAAACTTGGAGAAAATAAAAGCAATATAATTTAAACCATGTTTGTGCAGAAACTGCCAAATAAAAAGAAAATAAAGAATTGGTTTGGAATTATGAAGACATCAATGCATTTGCATTAAGTGTAACAGGAGCTAAATCACTTCTACCTATTAGTAAATTCACCTGGGAAGGAGCCAATAAGCATGTTGTCCAATTATGAGATGCAGTTGGCTTCTGGAATATGAAAAAGGTAAACATAAAAATGAAAAATGTAACTTTATGACTGCCAAGAATGTTCTGAACATTATTCTTTGTGCACCCTAAGGGTGTTAGAAGCAAGAAAAGATGAGAAAAAAAGCCTGGTCTCTGATGGTTTTTCCTTGACCTTAAGACAAGAGTATGATGATAGAAATAGGTTTGGGTTTTAATTGCAAGTCATTTTCTATGTAATTTTACACAAGTTAATTAATTAACTTGAGACAGTTTCCTCCTTTGCAAAATGGAAATGATAATTCTTAACTTATAGTGAATATTAGAGATCCTGTATGTTAAATATGCAGCATATTGCGTAGACCATGGTGCTATATAAGTGATGCTACTAATTATCATTCTATAATATCCATAAGGGTAACATAATTTCGGCTGATTTGAATGGTAACTAAATAGATTCAGAAAGGGAATTATTACAAAAATTTTATTTTTGTACAGGTTTTCTACAAATCCCTTCAATAATCTAAACAATCATATAATGTGAATATATGGTTTGGGAAGGCAGTTTGAGAATATCTATCAGAAAGTATGTTTAAAAACCACATATAAAGCCTAAAAAACCTAAAAATATTGAAACTATACAAAGTATGCTGCCCAACCACAATAGAATACAATTAGAAATTAAAAATCAGAGATGAATTTTAAAATTTCATAAATATGTGGAAATTGAACAACATACTCCTAAATAACCAATCAGTCAATGAAAAAAATCACAAGCATTAATAGGAAATACATTGAGTAAATTAAAGTGAAGATACAATACACCAAAACTTATGGGATGTGGTTAAAAAGTAGTTACGGGGAAACTTATACCTGTAAACACTTATATTGAAAAAGAACTATATCAAATCAATTACCTAATTATCTACCTTAAGACACTGAAGAAAGAAGAACAAATACACCTAAAACAAATAGAAGGAATTAAATAATAATGATTAGAGTGGAAATTAATGAAATTACAAATATACAAGCAATAGAGGAAATCAACAAAATATGTTCTTTAAAAATCAACAAAATTGACAAAGCTTTAGCTAGATTGACCAAGAAAAACAGAAGAATACTCACATTGCTAAAATCAGAAATGAAAGAGGTGACCTTATTACCAATTTGCAGAAATAAAAAAGATTATGAGAGAATACTATGAGCAACTGTATGTTGGTAAATTCAATAATGTAAATGAAATGAACAAATTCCTAAAAAAAAACCAACTACCCAAATTGACTTGAGAAGAAATAGATGATCTGAATAGATCTGAATAGATAAAAATAGAGATTAAATTAGTAATTAAAAAAAACTGCCAACAAAGGAAATCTAGGCTCAGATAGCTTCATTAGTGAACTCTACCAAATATTTAAGGAATAATTATTAGTGATTATTCATAAACTTTGTCAAAAAATAGAAGAGAATACTTCCTAAATCATCCTATGAGCCAGTATTACACTGATACCAAAATCAAAGATATTACAAAAAAAGAAATCCACAGACCAATATATTTTATAAATACAGGCACAAAAATCCTGAAAAAGAAATACTAGCAAACTGAATTCAGCAACATATAAAAACTCCTACCATGGCCAAGTGGGATTTATCATAGGAATACAAGGTTGGTTTGTTATCTGATAATTAGTTAGTTTAATGCACCATATCAATAGAATAAAAGGCAAAAAAAAAAAAAACACATGATCATCTCAATAGAGGCAGAGAAACATTTGATAGAATCCAACATCACTTCATGATAAAAAATTCAATAAATTAGGAATAGAAGGACACTTCCTCATTCTGCTAAAGGTCATTTACGAAAGAAAATATATAGCTAATATTATGCTTATTTGCAGATGATACAACCTTGTATACAGAAAATCCTGAAGAATACACACACAAAAACTAGTGCTAAAAAGCAAGTTTTGGAAGGATGCAGGCTAGATCAATATATGAAATCAATTGTATTTATATGTTTGCAATCCAAAAATAAAATTAAAAACCAATTTTATTTACAATAGTATCAAATGGAATAAAATATGTAGGAATACACTTAACAAAAGAAATGCAATACTTGTGCAACTGAAAACGTCAAATCATTGTTGAAATAAATTTAAAAATATCTAAGTAAATGAAAAGACATGCCATGACCATGAATTGGAAGAGAATGCTATTAAGATGGCAATACTCTCTACATTGTTGTACAGATTAAATGCAACCCCTCCCAAAACCCCAGCTCACTTTTTTGCAGAATTTGACTAGCTGATTTTAAAATTAATATGAAAATGGAAGAGACCCAAAACGGCCAACATGATCTTGGAAAAGAACAAAGTTGGAGGATTCACACTTCTTTATTTCAAAACTTACTACAAAGCAAATATAAGCAAGACAGTGTCATACCAGCATAAGAATACATGTAAAGGTCAATGGAATAGAACAGCGAATCCAGAAATAAATTCTCGCATTTGTGGACAATTGACTTCAGACCAGCATGCCAAGATCATTGAACATAGAATGTAAAATCGGCAAAGAATCTGACTAGACATTTCTGCAAAGAATATATAAAAATGGCCCACAAATACATTAAAAGATACTCAACATCATTATTCTTCAGGATAATGAAAATCAAACTCCAATGCGATGCTACTTGACACACATTAGAATGGCTACAATCAAAACGACAGATAATACCAAGTGCTGGTAAAAATATGGAGAAATTGCAACCTTCATACACTGCTGGTGGGATTTTAAAGTGGTGTAGCCATTTTAGAAAACAGTCTGCCAGTCCTTAAAATGTTTTTTAAATATTAAAAACATTTAACTTACTATACATATTTAAATTTTGGAAAGTTATTAGGCAGATGCACTTTGCTTTATCAGTTTAGTTTGATCTTCAGTTACCATTTTATGAGATCTTTCCAATAGCTTATCCCATATCGTAAAACGTGCTCTTAAGTGAATGGGTAAAGACAGACCCTGGAATCTTCATATAAGACTTGGCTGGTTAGGTTGAAGATTGTGAACTGCTGACACTTCATACTGGAAGCAAATACTTGTTCTTGGAATCAGAGGGCCCTCACTCACATCAATGAAATTACCTATTCTGTGTAGCTTGACTATTCTCTCAGGGTTCTGAGATGCCTTCTTTTCTGTGAAATCTGTTTTGTACTTGTGTTGTAATATTTCCAATGCCACTTTTGCTTCAGCATCCAGAGTTTGAAATGAAAGATCTTTATAAATTAAAGCATGAACGTCCTTTGTGAAGGAACGTAGGTTCTCTTTTGCTCAATGTAGAGAGTTACCATTTGACACAAGAATTCCACTCCTAGGTATACACCCAAGAGAATGAAAAATATAAGTTTACATAAAAATTTGTGCATTAATATTCATAGCAGCGTTATTCATAAGTGCTCAGAGATGTAAGCAACCCAAATATCCATCAACCAATAAATGGATAAATAAAATGTATATTCGTACAAATGAATATTATTATGCAGTTAAAAGAAACGAAGTGCTGATGCATGCCACAATGTGAATAAACCTTAGAAACATTATGCTAAGTGAAAAAAGGCAGACACAAAACCAAAAATTTTCTGATTCCATTTATATGGAATATCCATAAGAAGTAAAGCTATAGAGACAGAAGTAGATTAGGGGTTTCCCCGAAAGGGAGGAGAAGATTGAGGAGTGATGGCTTAGATGGTTTGTGTGTTTTGGGGGGGTAATAAAAATGTTCTAAAATTTATTGATTGCACAATTCCGAATATACTAAAATCATTACATTTTATACTTTGGGTAAATTTTATGGTATGTGGATCATACCTCTGTATATCACCATTACAAAAAAGTAAATAACAAACCTCACATATATCCATCTACTCAAAATTCTGGATGTCTATCTTAGAGAAACATTTACATATTTTCACCGTAAGTTTCATACAAAGAGATTCACTTTTTGTGATTTAAAAAATAAAAACAACCCTTCAATAGGGAGTGTGAATAATGTGTGGCAAATCTGTACCATGAAATACTCCACTTTTATTATAGAATATAAGAGACCTTTCTCTATAACTCAGATAAATCTTCCACAATGTTGAGAGCAAGTTGTCAAAAAAACGTGTAAAGTATGATCCCATTTATGAAAAAAACTACGTCTTCATATACATGCATATATAAATGAAAAAATGACTGATGAATGTATATCAAACTATTAACAGTAGTTTGTTCTGAAGTAAGAACGTTGGTAGGTTGATAAGAAGTATAGCAAGAGAAGTTGGATGGGGTAACCACACTTCACTCTATAAATTTCTGTATTGTTTGCATCTTTTTTTTTTTTTTGAGATGGAGTCTCACTCTGTTGCCCAGGCTGGAGTGCACGGTTGTGGTCTCGGTTCACTGCAAGCTCCGCCTCCTGGGATCACGCCATTCTCCTGCCTCAGCCTTTCGAGTAGCTGGAACTACAGGCGCCAGCCACCACGCCCGGCTAATTTTTTGTATTTTTAGTAGAGATGGGGTTTCCCTGTGTTAGCCAGGATGGTCTCGATCTCCTGACCTCGTGATCCACCCGACTCGGCCTCCCAAAGTTCTGGGATTATAGGCGTGAGCCACCGCGCCAGGCCTATTGTTTGCATCTTTTCAACAAGAAAGTATTTATGTGTTACCAGTACAAAATAAAAACAAAAAGAAAACAAAATACGATGAATGTTAACACATGGACCAAGTTCCAAGGCAGTTCATACCATCAAATTGTGGTAATGAACTTGTGAGCTAAATGAACAATAGTATTGGTGCAGGATTAATACGTTCTTCACTACCCTGTTAGAGCAGAATTTTATTTTACGGTAGAAGAGAGATGAGATGCTTTGACAAATGTTCTGTCTGGTACATGTTCAGGGCTTTGTATTTGTTATTTCTTCTGCCTGGAATGCTCTTCCTGCAAATATCCACATCCAACTCTGCCCCCTCCTTTAGATATTTACCCAAATATTTTCTTCTCAGCCAAGTCCTGCCTGCCCACCCTGCCAAACTTCAATGTTCATTCCCCTCTTACTCCTCATGACCCTTCCTGCTTAATTTTTCTCCATAACATTTTCAGCCATCTGACATTCTACTGAATCCACTTATTTACTTGTCTAATGTCCATCTCTTCTTAGTACAAGTGAAGTCTATGAAGGTAGAAACATTTGTCAAGTGTTTCAGAGCTGTAACCCTGGAGCTAGAGTGAAAGCTAGCACATAATATGTGCTCAATGAATCTTTGCTGAATGAATGAAAAAATAATTTAATAATAGCATTTGAATCAAGAGCTATTGACATAGGTAGGATAAGAAAAGGATTGTATCTCTGAATTCTCATCATCAAATCTCTTCCACCGAGCGAAGAATTTAAAACCTAGACACAGATGGCCTCAGGAAGATTTTCAGATTTTCTTTTATTGACCAAGACCTTTTGCCCCCATTCACCCACCATTCATCATCTAGATGCACAAAGAGGAGAAACATGAGGACAGAAATGCCATTTTCCTTTCTCTCTTCTTCTTGTCAAGCTGAACTAATCACAGAATCACAAAGAAATCTGAAATTTTTGTATTTAAAATTAGCCATCTGAGTGTTCTTTCGATGATCCCAATTTTGTTGGCAACATCCAAAGCATCATAGTCAAGCCTTTTTTTGTTCATCAGGCCTGATCAGTGTGTTGATCTTGGCCATGTTAGTGTCATGAAGCTTCTTCACAGCCTTTGGAACTGGTGCATGTTGGTTTTGACATCTAAAATGAACACATATGTATTGTCTTCCCTATTCTTGTCTGATTCAAGTGGAACATGATGGCAGAGTGATCAAGCTTGCTTCTCCTGGTGGTACTTTTCTAAGGACATTTTGCTGCCTTAAAAGCTGCAGAGTCTTGGGCCACCAGAAGTGGAGTAGTGTGAGGATCTTTTGAGTATGGTTGTGGATACTTTTCTGCACTGCCTTTTTGGCCTTCAAAGACTTTGCTTTATCTTGACTTTGGGAGGAGCAGAGGTTTCCTTGTTAACTTTCAGGGACATCTTGGTGAGAAGTTACATTTTTAAATTTAGTTCTTCATCCACAACAGGACTATTAGGATTTATTATGCAGAACCAGTTTTAGAAGACCAAACACAGAGAAGAAAGAGGTAGTTAAAGCGAATTAACAGCAAAACCACCTAAAGGAAGAGTGCGCGTGGGTGAGATGTGAAGCATTTATTCATCAAGAGTTAGAAAAACTGATTTCTTCCTCCAAAGAGCAACAGCAATTTCATAACAACAGAAAAGAACATAGAGTCATAAAACTACAAAACACTACCATTTAGTCTTATATTTTTTCTTTGTCTTCTCAAATGCACTAATTTAGGTATTCCAAAATGGGTGAAAGATACATCTCTTTGTCACTGTTTAAAACTCCACAAAGAGACTCTGAAATCCAAACACTGCATGTTCTCACTCATAAGTGGAAGATGAACAGTGAGAACACATGGTCACAGGGAGGGGAACATCACACACTGGGTCCTGTCGGGGGTTGGGGGGCTAGGGGAGGGAGAGCATTAGGACAAATACCTAATCCAGGTGGGGCTTAAAACCTAGATGATGGGTTCATAGGTGCAGCAAACCACCAGGGCATATGTATACCTATGTAACAAACCTGTACGTTCTGCCCGTGTATCTCAGAGTTTAAATTAAAATAAATAAAAAATTTTCAAAAAATTTATAGTTTAGTGGCCTAAACTCTTTAAATCTGATTTAAGTCTCTCTTGTTTCAATTTAAATTCAATGCCTCTTCTATAGTTCTTGGAGTAAAGAGAGAGACTGCCCTTCTTGGGAAAACAGATTCCTCTGCCCAAGCAGATCTACAACTGGTTAGGGTATGGCTGCACATAGTGTGCTTTATACTGCAGTGCAAAACACTGCGTTCCGTAAACATTTCTAAGAACTATTATAAAGTATTAAGGCTGCTCTGCCAATCAGATTCTAAGTGAGCTGAACACTCCTTACCCTCTCATAACAGAGTACATGTTGCCTGCAGCTCTGGCTGTTAAAAGGACAGAGCAATGTTCCTAAACAGATTGGGTGGTGAGCAGAGGTCCCGTGATTCACCCCTAAATTAGTTTTAACTGACAGGTTTTGGAAGTGAGGCTGGCTAGGGTCTGGCTGCGTGGATACCACGTGCTGCTCTGTCCAGTCCGAATTGCTCAGAAGGAATCTTGAGCTGTGTGATTGGGTAGGGTGGGGGTGGGCAGCTCAAGAATGTGGGGTTAAAAATAGGAGCAATGATTTCCAAAGTCCTTGGCCAGCTGTGTGGAACCTAGTGTCTCATTCAGTACATGTTCCTTGAAGGCAAACTACCAGATCAAGTTTGGAGAGATTGTTGTTTGAGCTGGTTTGTCCTTTGGGTTTTGTACAACTTTGAAAAGAACAAACAAGAAATTGGTGTTTCTCTTTCATACTCAGTCTCATTCCATTCTCTATTTTATTGGATTCCACTGTGTCAGCTGAATAGAAGAAATATACAGCCCTTGTCTCATATTTCCATAAGCACATATTTTACTCATACTACAAAGTAGTAATTATTCTCATAAAATAATGATGTAATATTAATAAAGATGAAATTTTGTGATTGACACCAACAATGGCAAGATAAAGATTATTTATTATTGCTATTATTGAAGTGTTTCGTATTGTACTCTTTGTCCAAGGCTTCATAGATAATTAAAATTCATGGACTGCACAAGTGTCTCATGAAATGTGTTAGATTGTTTTCTGATATGCAAAAATGTCCTGACATGGTTTGTAAATGCGTACTGCACATCTCCAGCCAATTACCATACAAAATGCAACTATTTCTTTTTGTCTATCACTGAAGCCTGAACAGACAGCATTAGACTCAACTGCATAATTCTGGCCTAATTTTCGTGTCTGATACTGTAGTGATGTTGTGAGGCATTGACTTAACAACAGGAGTAAATGTTCTTTTTGAATACATATTTTTTTCTTCAGCCTCTTTGGAAATATGCCTACATGAAGAAGCACTCCTTCGGCCTCTTCAGAAAAATGAGCATGTGTTTACACCCCTTTTGCCCCCACCCTTTGTTTTCTCTTCCTAATTTGTGATGATTTTGATGGGATGAGGGTTTATGCTGGCAAAATTCCAAAGGGTGGACAAATTGGGCTGTACTTTCATTAATGCAAAACTGAAAATATTGCTAAATTATTGTGGCTAATATAATTTGTGTCTGCTCAGGCTTTGTATTAGTTTGCTAGGGCTAGTATAAGAACCACAAACTGGGTGGCTTAAACAACAGAGACTTATTGTGTCACAGTTCTGGAGACTGGAAACCCAAAATCAAGATGTCAGTGGGATTGGTTCCTGCTGAGGGCTGTGCAGGAAAATCTGTTCCAAACCTCTCTCCTGGCAGTTTGCTGGCAATATTTAATGTTCCTCGGCTTTTACATCTCTGCCCTCTCTCTTCATATGACATTTCTCTGTGTGTGTATCTATGTCCACATTTTGCTTTTTCAGAAGGACACCAGTCATACTGGATTAGGGACCCATCTTACTCCAGTATCTTAATTAATTACATCTCTTAATTAATTACATCTGCAATGACTCTATTTCCCATTCTGAGGTACTTGGTCCCATTATGGGATACTTGGGATTAGGATTTCAACATAAGAATTTTGGAAGGACACAATTTAACCCATAACAAGCTTCAAATAAATAATAGACTCTGTAATTCAATGAACATATATTGAATTGTAGGTTCAAAAATAATGAAATAGAGAAACTGATTTTTAAGATTAACATGATATTTGCTTTTCAACTCCCCCAGAGGAGTTAAAAGTGGCTCCCCCAGAAGGACTCTTATATCTTGATTTGCCAAGCAGTAGGAAGAAGAGTTATAACTAATGGAGTGAGCCTCGCTGTTGGCAGAACTTTAGTCCAGCCTTTCCTAGTTCAAGATATAAAAAAGACTTTTTATATAGTGAAGTTTTCAGTGACTTCTATCACTTCTTCCTTCACTGCTTCAATTGCTTCTGGTAAATATACAAGAGCATGTGCTTACTTAGAGGGGCACAGCATTTATTGGGGTTTGACCTGGCTCAATCACAAAGTATATAAAATGAGCCAAGGACCTTTTGAGGATGAATTCAAAATCCAGTGCTTGTCATCTTCTAGACCCTAAAAAATACTGTAACAGAGTAGTGGGTTGGTTAGTAAGTGTCCCATCGAAAGGCATGGCTGACCAGAGCCTTATTAGTTATTATAAGATATATAGACTAAAGAATCCAGAAATTAGGACTAGAACTGCTCAAGAGAAGGTAGGAAAGGAAATGTATGTATTTGAGATACAGGAGAGAGGTTCAGTATAGCAGGCAGAATATAGTATCTGAAAAGGCCTGGCAACAGATAGCAGGTGGCATGCCAGGATAGCACTGGGGGGCCCAACTTGAAGACACAAGGGTCTGTGGTAGAGCTTGGCCCTGGGAATCGGGAGCAGATGGTGATCAGAAACACAGGCAAGCAGTTGGGATCTGAGAAGTCAGAGCCAAGCCTCAATGTTTCTTAGAATTTTGCTCTCAAATATGGTATAAACCCTCCTTGACACTTTTCAGTTCTTAATATGTTGGAGGCATTGATCTTTCTCTGCTAGAGTCTTATCACTGTGACATTGCTCTAATTCTTCTCAATTTTCCTGCCTCCTAACTATTTTTTTACTAAATCCATTCACTTTGTGTTTCAGGGAAAGAACGGTGATCTTAACGAAGGCAGATTCAGTAGTGTGGTGGGGTTATAGATGTGAACTGGAGTTGGTTGAGGAGAGATTGGAAGATAAGAACAGGAGAGTCTTACCATGATGGGAAGCAGCCCACCTGCACCCACTCTTGAAGTCATGTCATCTTGCTCCTTCTCTTCCAATGTCATCCATACTTTGATGACTCCTCAATTTGTATCTTCAAGCCTGACTTCTCTGCTGGACTACAGACTCCTATTTCCAGCTTGCTGGAGCTCTCTACTTGTACGTCTCTAACAGAGTCAACACTCTGCAAAAAAGCCAGAGGGATTTTCTGAAAATGTGAAGTAGAGCATGCCATGTTTTACTTAAAGCCCTCCCATGACTTTCTAAAATGCTTAGAATAAAATCCAAATTCCCTATTATGACCTCCAAGACCCCCAGTAATCTTCCTCCCTAATCTCACTTCTATGACTTTATAGTTGTTTCACTGTTCTCCAGCCAGTCACACTACTAGTCTTCCATTTGTTTATTGAGCAAGCCTCATGTGCTTCTCTGATTGCAAACTTGCAGTTCATTCTACCTGGAGCAATCACCCACCAGATACTCACTTGGCTTCCTTCTTCTCATCATCCATGTCCAAGCCAATAGGTTACCTGGTCTTTAGAGTGGCCTTTCCCAAAGAGATAATCTGAAGTAGCAAAGTAGCATCCATCCACCCAGCCAGTCACTCTGTCACATTAAACTGGTTAATTTGTTTCACACTGCATATTGCTATCTGAAATTTATCTTGCCTATTTCTTACAACTATGTTGCCTGTTTCTGCCCCCAACTTCCCTTCTCCAAATTCAGAGAGGAATAGAGACCATGGGTTCGATTTTTTGCTACACATGCTTTTCCAGTAATCAAAGTAGCATCAGTACATAGTAGGGACTTGATAGACATTTATTGAAAAAGTGAGCAAAAGTAGGTCCAAAATTCAACCTACTGCGCTGGTGCAAGCCACCACCTTTTCTTGGGTCAATTACTGAAATAACATCCTAGTTGGTTTTCATTCTGCTTTTGTCTCCTTCGGTCTATTCTCAACACAGCTCTCAGAGTGAACTCTTTAAAAAGGAAGTCATTAAAAAAGTAACCACTCTTGTGCCTAAAATCCTCCAATGACTTCTTATCTCAGTGTGAGAGCTGGAGTCCTCATATCCCAATCTTTTGCTCCCTCTCTGACTTCACCTATTATTTTCTCTCTTCCTCATTATACTCCATCTACACCGACCTCTTCAGTGTTCCCTGAGGACACCAAGAAGCTCAGGGTCCAGGAATGTTGCACTTGCTGTTCCCTCTGAGTGGAATGCTCTTCTCTCAGATATCCATATAGCTGGCTCCTTCACTTCCTTCAAATCTTGACTAAAATATCACTTTACCAGCAAGAACTTTAAAGGCCACCATAATATAAATATTCAACGTAAGTTCCAATCTTAATGAAAATAAAAAATATCAGTAAAGGGCCAAACATTTAGCTCAATATGATTTTCATCAAAAATCTTGATATCATTTATTCAGCATTAATAATTATGCTATTTCAGGCCTGGAGTAATTAGTTGTCTATTAAGATATTGACTATATTCTGAGATACATCTCTTGTGAAAAACCCTTAAAAGCATTAATCTGGTCTTTATTGATATTATCAGGGTCAGAGAGAAATGATTTTCCCTTTCCTCATTTGAAATCCTCTTATGACAACTTATCAATGAAAAAGGAGCAAGATATTTAATAATTATTGCCAATTTACTTGCTCATTGGATCAAAAAGATGTGGGCTTATTGGCTAGAACTTGATAAAATTTGTTTCTTTCTCATTTCATTCAATATTAGATCAAGATCAGGAAATATTCTGCCAACTGTTTTCTTTGCAAACAATAAGGTTCTAGCACTCAAGTACTTTATGTTCCTTTAATGTCCACAACAGCATATGTAGATGATCTCCTTTGAACCTGATCCCAATATGCCTACTGCATGATTTCACTATTTGTTTAACTCTAGAAAAATGGTTTTGTTTTTCTTACTAGTAAAATGTTTTCTTCCTATAGCATGGCTTTCCAATATTAACATAATAAAAATATGTTGCTTACTTCTTCATATGTATTCTACACATGCTGAGAAACTACTTAAATGTATACATCAGTGGTTTCAGCCAAATGTGAAGCAAAGTGTATGCTATCAGCTATACAAGCTCCTACCTATTTTATGTAGTGATACTATTAGTACATTATTATCAATGTTTTAGTTTCTGAAATTAGAACTGACTGTATATTCCCTGGAATCATAAGAGGTTTATGGATCACACTTGAAGAAATACTGCTACATTGATGGGAGCCAATAAAGCTGTTTTAAAAATTATGTTTAAAATATATTTAAAGGAAAGTGAGTAAGGCAGATGAGGAAACAGGCAGAGAAATGGTGGGATGAAGGAAATGGATGTTCATTTATATCTACTCACCCTTCCAGTAGACTTCACCAAGGCAGGAAGTCGCATTGGGAGCAACTGGAGTCCTACTACCAGGTGATCCCATTTCTCCCATGCTGTACCTCCAAAAGGACATAAAAGATTGAGTGCTCTCAGTTCTCAGTGCTCTCAGCTCAGCAGCTCCAATCTTTTCTTGTCTGGGTTTCTCTGAGAACACAATGCATTCTTCTTCTTTTCTGTCTGTCAGTCTCCAACAAGGAAACTCTTGAGCAGTGTTTTGCACATTGGAATGGGAACAGTTTAAGCAGAGTAGAAAGCCCCACTAGCTTCTATCCATGGTTGGCCATCATCATTTCATAGCCTAGTGCAGAGCATAATGTTCACCATGAGGACTCCACACAGAACTTCACTCTTAAAGTGCTTTCACATTCATTGTTTTCTTAGGTGTGGCTAAGCTGCCCAGCCCAAGGAAATTTTTCTCCAGCACTGGCAAGAGGTTTATTGAAGGTACAATTCAGTCATAATACCTCCTCCCATTGAGGCAAAACATTTATACAGTTGATAAACTCTACAATTCAGAAAGATAATGAAAGTCTTCAACCATCTTATTCTGTTTCTGAAACTTAGGTTTTGCTGAAAGAAAGGCACAGAAATTTCTAAGAAATGGATCAGGGTGAAAATGGAGTTCAGGTCATTAAGAAAGGAAGAAACGGGTCTCTCAAAATATGGGAGCAGCTCAGAAATATTTGCCTTATTCAAGAAATAAAATTTGCTAACATGGGTGGCAAGTATCAGAGCCTACTAAGAATGCAAGTTCCTGCAGTTCAGACATGTAGCTTAACAGATATGTAATCTATGGTGCAAGCCCCTAAAATCTTTAATCATATTGATGGAATCTTTGGGATTTCAATGCACTTGAGAACATGAAGTAATTCTCAAGGACAGCTGCATTCATGTGCCAGATATCAGAACCAGGAAGTAGGTTAGATTCTTCTTTTTCTGTAAGTATCATAGTGATGGTCAGGAGCTGCTCCTCCCTTTTTTTTCATCTCTTTTTTACTCTCTTTCTCCCATCCCATACCCTCTCCTCTCTCTCTCTCCAGAGTTATTTAGCCCCTACCATGAGCCAAGCCTGGTACGCCACTCTAGAAATTCTGAGATGAATGTAGCACTTTGCCTGCCTTCCAGATGCTCATACACTAATGAAGAGGCAGACATCTGGTTCATGCTCTACCAACTCAGGGCATCTCCGCTTGTCAATATCTCCCATTATGTCTCATTAATACACTGCCACTTCCTTAAAGGGGATTTAAATAGCTGTGTAATTCCATCCTGTCTCACATTCCCAGGGCAAAAATGCAACAAATTAAAATTAGAGTATGATGGAATTACTGAACATAGAATACACTTCATTAATGTATTCTATATGTTAATTAGAGCCCTAAATTGGGGTGTGATTTCTACATATTTATAAGAACTTTTGACATGAGTGCTTGTGCAGTGATTCAAGCCACTAACAGAAATATTAAACGTAGGAAAACACTTCCTAAAAGATATGCAGTAGGAAACACCAAGCCCTGCTCTGTGATCATTACAACTGACCTTATGCTACTCTTCCTTTGTGTCATTAGGTGGACTAAATAATAATGTAACTTCAAATCTGGCATACAATTATCATCAAACTCTTCAAACTTTGAGACATTTAAAGAAACAAATTCAGGTCTTCTTGTTCATTAAATAGTGTGAATTTACCTGAACCCCATCTTTCCTCATAAGCACATAATATATAACATTATTTTAATATGTGTAGTTGAGGTAACAGGAAAAGTAAGAAAAATCCCCAGGTGACAGGTATTCTGAGAGGCAGGGTATAATACCGTGAGGCACAGCTGAGGCTTTCATGGTTAGTTAGCTCTGGGTGACAGGGTCTGTGAGAGACTGGGGGAGTAGAGTTTGCCAGTTCAAGTAGCCTAAGAGCTTTTATGTTAAAGTCCTTAGGGTAACAGAGTACATTACTCAGAAGCCCATGAGGGGAGAGCTGGAAACCTTGAAGGACTAGGCCTCAGTAAAATATAGGACTAAATCATCTGTGCCCACTGACACAGGAAGACAACAGAAAAGCTTACCTATCTCTGCTTGAGTTCCTGAAGAATTTGTACTCTGAGCCTGTTTCATGAACAAGTGTGTGGTTCAAATTTGTACTAGCTTCAAAATCTTCAATGTTCAGGAATATCCAAAATAAGAAATTAACATAAATATGCTCCTGTACCAGTGATAATTCTGGACACCTGTTAGACACAATGACAACATTAGAGCATGTGTGCTCCACAACTTCCACAGATAAAGCACCTCTAAACTTGAATCTTCACAAGTAAATAATCTAAAATGGACGAGAAACTAAAGACACAGCAGGTAACAGCATTAGAAGATCAATATTTTCACATTAGAGTGTCTTCTAATAGATAATATAAAATTATTGTGTTCACATAATTAAAAGTAATGAGAATTAAAGCTGTAAGAAATGTACAAAAAATAAAATAAGCAAAAGCCACATAGATTAAAACAAATAAAAAGGACTTTTTAAATCAAGCCATAAACAAGTAGCTTATGCTGCATATTAAAAACAACTAAAAGCAAATATTTTGAATTAGAAGGTAGATTGGAGGAAATTAAATGAAATGTATCAAAGGAACATAAAGAAATTGAAAATGCAAAAGAGATTATTCAGTGACATGAAGGAGAATGAGATCTAATATATGTATGCAAAAAGTACAGGAGGAAAAAGAGAAAGAATGACAAAGAGTCATAGTGTAACCAAATGGTGGCTGAGAATTTTATAGAACTGATGAAAGACATGAATCCTTAGATCCAAGAATTAAAAGCTTTAACTAAGATAAACAAAGGAAAAACTCTTGACAATAGACTTCTTATGGTAACAATAGAGGCCAGAGTATAAATGAGCATTATCTTTACATTGCTGAGAAAAAAATAACTGTCAAGCTAGAATTATATACTAGACAAACTATCAATCAAGACTGAAAGTATAAAAAGGGCAATTTTGGACAAAAAAAGACATAAAGGCTTTATCATAACATACCCTCACTACAGTAGCTATATACCTCAGAAAGAAGAACCTTGAACACAGAAGGAAGAAAAGAGTTTCCAAAGGCAATAATGGGCAAAATAATTGGCAAACATAAGGTAAACCTAATCACATGCTAATGATATAAAAATGAGAATAATGATACACAATGTGGGGTTCATAAAAATAAAGTTAAAGTAAAAATCTTAGACAAATGGCATATAAGAGAAGAGGGGATAATCAGAATTAAAGTTTCTAAAGGCTTTGTAATATTTGAAAAGGTTGTAAAATTATGAATTCACTTTGGACTTTGTTCAGACAGGCATACATTTTAAAAATGAAATGGTAAATCATAAAAGTATAGAGATTAAATGTGTAATTTCCAAACCAATGATAGAAAAGAAACAATTAAGAAAAATAAATCAGTCTAATACTTGTTTTGAGAGAAAACCCAGATATAATATAAAAATCATAAAATAAAGTAATATAAATAAAAACTGCCAAAATAAAATAAATTTAAATGAACTAACCTCATCAGTTAAAAGATTCCAAGATTAGATTAAGAAACAGAATATAGCTCTTTAACATCTACAAAAGTTATATTTTGCCTTGTTCTGGTGGTATCAGTATGTTTGGGCTGCCATAACAAAATACCACAGGCTAGGGTGGCTTAAACAATAAACATTTCTTTTCTCATAGTTTTGGAGGCTAAAAGTCTCATATCAAGGTACTATCAGGGTTGGTTTCTGGTGAGAACTCTCTTCCTGGCTTCTAGACAGTCACCTTCCAGCTGTGTCCTCACATGGCCTTTCCTCAGTGTCTGCATAGAGAAAAAGAGGGTGAGGTTCCCTCTGGTATCTCTCCCTATAAGCTCACTAATCCTATTGGCTTAGGACCTCACCCTTATGACCTTATTTAATCTTAGTTACTTCCTTTGGCCAACTACAGCTACAATGGGGCTTTAACATGAATTTTGAAGAGACACAACCATTTAGTCTGTAACATTGGCCTTCCACAAAACAGAACACGAGGCAAGGATTAAGATGCTAACACTTTTTAGTAAATGGAAGCATGAAGCAGGATGAAGAGGAAAAAAAAAAAAAAGGGAAATAAGCCACTGAAGAAAAAGAACAAACTTGGAAGGTTCATACTACTTAGTATAAAGCAACAGTAATCAAGACAGTGTGGTACTGGTGAAAGAATAACAGATAAAGAAAACAGAATAGAGGTGGGTAGAGCCAAGATGGCTGAATAGGAATAGGTACAGTCTACAGCTCCCAGCGTGAGCCACACAGAAGATGGGTGATTTCTGCATTTCCAACTGAGGTACAGGTTCATCTCACTGGGGAGTGCCAGACAGTGGGTACAGGACAGTGGGTGCAGCGCACCGTGCATGAGCCGAAGCAGGGCGAGGCATCGCCTCACCTGGGAAGTGCAAGGGGTCAGGGAATTCCCTTTCCTGGTCAAAGAAAGGGGTGACAGACAGCACCTGGAAAATCGGGTCGCTCCCATCCTAATACTGCGCTCTTCCAACGGGCTTAACAAACGGCACACCAGGAGATTATATCCCATACCTGGCTCAGAGGGTCCTATGTCCACGGAGCCTCGCTCATTGCTAGCACAGCAGTCTGAGATCAAACTGCAAGGTGGCAGTGAGGCTGGGGGATGGGTGCCCGCCATTGCCCAGGCTTGAGCAGGTAAACAAAGCGGCTGGGAAGCTCGAACTGGGTGGAACCCACCATAGCTCAAGGAGGCCTGCCTGCCTCTGTAGGCTCCACCTCTAGGGGCAGGGCACAGACAAACAAAAGGCAGCAATAACCTCTGCAGACTTAAATGTCCCTGTCTGACAGCTTTGAAGAGAGCAGTGGTTCTCCCAGCACGCAGCTTGATATCTGAGAACGGGCAGACTACCTCCTCAAGTGGGTCCCTAACGCCCGAGTAACCTAACTGGGAGGCATCCCCCAGTAGGGACGGACTGACACCTCACACAGCCAGATACCCCTCTGAGACAAAATTTCCAGAGGAACCATCAGGCAGCAGCATTTGCCGTTCACCAATATCCGCTGTTCTGCAGCCACTGCTGCTGATACCCAGGCAAACAGGGTCTGGAGTGGACCTCCAGTAAACTGCAACAGACCTGCAGCTGAGGGTCTTGACTGTTAGAAGGAAAACTAACAAACAGAAAGGACATCCACACCAAAAACCCATCTGTATGTCACCATCATCAAAGACGAAAGTTAGATAAAACCACAAAGATGGGGAAAAAACAGAGCAGAAAAACCGGAAACTCTAAAAATCAGAGCACCTCTCCACCTCCAAAGTAATGCAGCTCCTCACGAGCAACGGAACAAAGCTGGACAGAGAATGACTTTGAAGAGTTGAGAGAAGAAGGCTTCAGAAGATCAAACTACTCCGAGCTAAAGGAGGAAGTTCAAACCAATGGCAAAGAAGTTAAAAACTTTGAAAAAAAATTAGATGAATGAATAACTAGAATAACCAATGCAGAGAAGTCCTTAAAGGACCTGATGGAGCTGAAAACCACGGCACAACAACTACGTGATGAATGCACAAGCCTCAGTAAACGATGAGATCAACTGGAAGAAAGGGTATCAGCGATGGAAGATGAAATGAATGAAATGAAGCGTGAAGAGAAGTTTAGAGAAAAAAGAATAAAAAGAAACGAACAAAGCCTCCAAGAAATATGGGATTATGTGAAAAGACCAAATCTACGTCTGATTGGTGTACCTGAAAGTCACAGGAAGAATGGACCCAAGTTGAAAAACACCCTGCAGGATATAATCCAGGAGAACTTCCCCAATCTAGCAAGGCAGGCCAACGTTCAAATTCAGGAAATAGAGAGAACGCCACAAAGATACTCCTCGAGAAGAGCAACTCCAAGACACATAATTGTCAGATTCACCAAAGTTGAAAGGAATGAAAAAATGTTAAGGGCAGCCAGAGAGAAAGGTTGGGTTACCCACAAAGGGAAGCCCATCAGACTAACAGTTGATCTCTTGGCAGAAACTCTACAAGCCAGAAGAGAGTGGGGGCCAATATTCAACATTCTTAAAGAAAAGAATTTTCAACCCAGAATTTCATATCCAGCCAAACTAAGCTTCATAAGTAAAGGAGAAATAAAATCCTCTACAGACAAGCAAATGCTGAGAGATTTAGTCACCACCAGGCCTGCCCTAAAAGAGCTCCTGAGGAAGCACTAAACATGGAAAGGAACAACCAGTACCAGCCACTGCAAAAACATGCCAAATTGTAAAGACCATCAAGGCTGGGAAGAAACCGCATCAACTAACGAGCAAAATAACCAGCTAACATCATAATGACAGGATCAAAGTCACACATAACAATACTAACCTTAAATGCAAATGGGCTAAATGCTCCAATTAAAAGGAACAGACTAGCAAATTGGATAAAGAGTCAAGACCCATCAGTTTGCTGTATTCAGGAAACCCATCTCACGTGCAGAGACACACATAGGCTCAAAATAAAGGGATGGAGGAAGATCTACCAGGCAAATGGAAAACAAAAAAAGGCAAGGGTTGCAATCCTAGTCTCGGATAAAACAGACTTTATACCAACAAAGATCAAAAGAGAAAAGGAAGGCCATTACATAATGGTAAAGGGATCAATTCAACAAGAAGAACTAACTATCCTAAATATATATGCACCCAATACAGGAGCATCCAGATTCATAAAGCCAGTCCTTAGTGACCTACAAGGAGAATTAGACTCCCACACAATAATAGTGGGAGACTTTAACACCCCACTGTCAACATTAGACAGATCAATGAGACAGAAAGTTAACAAGGATATTCAGGAATTGAACTCAGCTCTGCACCAAGCGGACCTAATAGACATCTACAGAACTCTCCACCCGAAATCAACACAATACACATTCTTTTCAGCACCACACCACACCTATTCCAAAATTGACCACATAGTTGGAAGTAAAGCTCTCCTCAGCAAAAGGAAAAGAACAGAAATTATAACAAACTGTCTCTCAGACCACAGTGCAATCAAACTAGAACTCAGGATTAAGAAACTCACTGAAAACCGCTCAACCATATGGAAACTGAACAACCTGCTCCTGAATGATTACTGGGTACATAACGAAATGAAGGCAGAAATAAAAATGTTCTTTGAAACCAACAAGAACAAAGACACAACATCCCAGAATCTCTGGGACACATTCAAAGCAGTGTGTAGAGGGAAATTTATAGCACTAAATGCCCACAAGAGAAAGCAGGAAAGATCTAAAATTGACACCCTAACATCACAATTAAAAGAACTAGGGAAGCAAGAGCAAACACATTCAAAAGCTAGCAGAAGGCAAGAAATAACTAAGATCAGAGCAGAACTGAAGGAAATAGAGACACAAAAAACCCTTCAAAAAATCCATGAATCCAGGAGCTGGTTTTTTGAAAAGATCAACAAAATTGATAGACCACTAGCAAGACTAATAAAGAAGAAAAGAGAGAAGAATCAAATAGACGCAATAAAATATGACAAAGGGGATATCACCACCGATCCCACAGAAATACAAACTACCATCAGAGAATACTATAAACACCTCTATGCAAATAGACTAGAAAATCTAGAAGAAATGGATAAATTCCTCGACACATACACTCTCCCAAGACTAAACCAGGAAGAAATTTAATCTCTGAATAGACCAATAACAGGCTCTGAAATTGAGGCAATAATTAATAGCTTACCAACCAAAAAATGTCCAGGACCAGATGGATTCACAGCCGAATTCTACCAGAAGTACAAGGAGGAGTTGGTACAATTCCTTCTGAAACTATTCCAATCAATAGAAAAAGAGGAAATCCTCCCTAACTCATTTTATGAGGCTAGCATCATCCTGATACCAAAGCCAGGCAGAGACACAACAAGAAAAGAGAATTTTAGACCCATATCCTTGATGAACATTGATGCAAAAATCCCCAATAAAATACTGGCAAACCGAGTCCAGCAGCACATCAAAAAGCTTATCCACCATGATCAAGTGGGCTTCATCCCTCGGATGCAAGGCTGGTTCAACATACAAAAATCAATAAACATAATCTAGCATATAAACAGAACCAAAGACAAAAACCACTTGATTTTCTCAATAGATGCAGAAAAGGCCTTTGACAAAATTCAACAACCCTTCATGCTAAAAACTCTCAATAAATTAGGTATTGATGGGACGTATCTCAAAATAATAAGAGCTATTTATGACAAACCCATAGCCAATATCATACTGAATGGACAAAAACTGGAAGCATTCCCTTTGAAAACTGGCACAAGACAGGGATACCTTCTCTCACCACTCCTATTCAACATAGTGTTGGAAGTTCTGGCCAGGACAATCAGGCAGGAGAAGGAAATAAAGGGCATTCAATTAGGAAAAGAGGAAGTCAAATTGTCCCTCTTTGCAAATGACATGATTGTATATCTAGAAAACCCCATTGTCTCAGCCCAAAATCTCCTTAAGCTGATAAGCAACTTCAGCAAAGTCTCAGGATACAAAATCAACGTGAAAAAATCACAGGCATTCTTATACACCAATAACAGACAAACAGAGAGCCAAATCATGAGTGAACTCCCATTCACAATTGCTTCAAAGAGAATAAAATACCTAGGAATCCAACTTACAAGGGATGTGAAGGACCTCTTCAAGGAGAACTACAAACCACTGCTCAATGAAATAAAAGAGGACACAAATAAATGGAAGAACATTTCATGCTCATGGGTAGGAAGAATCAATATCGTGAAAATGGCCTTACTGCCCAAGGTAATTTATAGATTCAATGCCATACCCATCGAGCTACCAATGACTTTCTTCACATAATTGGAAAAAACTGCTTTAAAGTTCATATGGAACCAAAAAAGAGCCTGCATCGCCAAGTCAATCCTAAGCCAAAAGAACAAAGCTGGAGGCATCACACTACCTGACTTTAAACTATACTACAAGGCTACAGTAACCAAAACAGCATGGTACTGGTACCAAAACAGAGATATAGACCAATGGAACAGAACAGAGCCCTCAGAAATAATGCCGCATATCTACAACCATCTGATCTTTGACAAACCTGACAGAAACAAGCAATGGGGAAAGGATTCCCTACTTAATAAATGGTGCTGGGAAAACTGGCTAGCCATAAGTAGAATGCTGAAACTAGATCCCTTCCTTACACCTTATACAAAAATTAATTCAAGATGGATTAAAGACTTAAATGTTAGATCTAAAACCATAAAAACCCTAGAAGAAAACCTAGGCAATACCATTCAGGACATAGGCATGGGCAAGGACTTCATGTCTAAAACACCAAAAGCAATGGCATCAAAAGCCAAAATTGACAAATGGGATCTAATTAAACTAGAGAGCTTCTGCACAGCAAAAGAAACTGGCCGGGCGTGGTGGCTCACGCCTGTAATCCCAGCACTTTGGGAGGCCGAGGCGGGCAGATCACTAGGTCAGGAGATCAAAACCATCCTGGTTAACACCGTGAAACCTTGTCTCTACTGAAAATACAAAAAATTAGCCGGGTGTGGTAGCAGATGCCTGTAGTCCCAGCTACTTGGGAGGCTGAGGCAGGAGAATGACGCGAACCTCCGAATGGGAGGCAGAGCTTGCAGTGTGCTGAGATCACGCCACTGCACTCCAGCCTGGCGGACACAGCCAGACTCCATCTCAAAAAAAAAAAAAAAAAAAAAAAGAAACCACCATCAGAGTGAACAGGCAACCTAGAGAATGGGAGAAAATTTTTGCAACCTACTCATCTGACAAAGGGCTAATATCCAGAATCTACAATGAACACAAACAAATTTACAAGAAAAAAACAACCCCATCAAAAAGTGGGCGAAGGATATGAACAGACACTTCTCAAAAGAAGACATTTATGCAGCCAAAAGACACATGAAAAAATGCTCATCATCACTGGCCATCAGAGAAATGCAAATCAAAACCACAATGAGATATCATCTCACACCAGTTAGAATGGTGATCATTAAAAAGTCAGGAAACCACAGGTGCCTGAGAGGATGTGGAGAAATAGGAACACTTTTACACTGTTGGTGGGACTGTAAACTAGTTCAACCATTGTGGAAGTCAGTGTGGCAATTTCTCAGGGATCTAAAACTAGAAATACCATTTGACCCAGCCATCCCATTACTGGATATATACCCAAAGGATTATAAATCATGCTGCTATAAAGACACATGCACACGTATGTTTATTGCAGCACTATTCACAATAGCAAAGACTTGGAACCAACCCAAATGTCCAACAATGATAGACTGGATTAAGAAAATGTGGCACATATACACCATGGAATACTATGCAGCCATAAAAATTGATGAGTTCATGTCCTTTGTAGGGACATGGATGAAGCTGGAAACTATCATTCTCAGCAAACTATCACAAGGACAAAAAACCAAACACCACAAGTTCTCACTCATGGGTGGTAATTGAACAATGAGAACACGTGGACACAGGAAGGGGAACATCACACACCAGGGACAGTTGTGGGGTTGGGGGAAGAGGGAGGGATAGCATTAGGAGATATACGTAATGCTAAATGATGAGTTAATGGGTGCAGCACACCAACATGGCACATGTATACATAAGTAACAAACCTGCATGTTGTGCACATGTACCCTAAAACTTAAAGTATAATAATAATAAAAAAAAGCCAAAAAAAAAAGAAAAGAAAACAGACTAGAGAGCCTGGAAAGAGACCCACACAATCAACTGATCTTTGACCAAGGAGCAAAGACAACCAAATGGAGAAAAGATACTCTTCCCAGTAAATGGTGCTGACATTAACAAGTGGACATCCAGATGCACAAAAAGAACACAGACATTTACTTTATTCCTTCCATAAGATATTAACTCAAAATTAATCATAAAGCTACATGTAAAAGAAAAAACTATGAAGCTTCCAGGAGAAAACGTGGGAAAAAAAAATCTGTAAACTTGGATTTGGTGATGAGCTTTTAGCTACAACACTAAAAACATGACACATGAAGGGAAAAAACTGATAAGTAAAATTTATTAAAAAATGTTTGCTTTGTGAAAAACCTGTCAAGAGAAAGAAAAGAGAAACCATATACTGAAGAAAAATTTGCAAATATTTGCAAAACATATATTTGAATAAGGACTTATATCTAAAATATGCAAAGAATACTTACAGCTCAACAAAAGAAAAGAAGTTAAAATGGGCAAAAGATCTAAACAGACACCTCACCAAAGAAAAGATGCAGATATACATATGTAAAATGTTCAACCAGATCTGCTGGTAGAAAATTGCATTAAAATAATGAGATACCAGTACATACCTATTAGAATGGCTAAAATAAAGTCGAAAAGAAAAAGTTGGCAATACTAATGGTCAGAGAAATTTCAGAGCAATAGGAATTTTTATTCATTGTTAGTGCAAATGCAAAATGGTGCATGCAGCCACTTTGGAAGACAGTTTGGTAGGTTCTTACAAAGCTAAACATAGTTTTACCATATGATTCAGCAATTGTTTCTAGATATTTAGACAATTAATTTGAAAATATACATCCATTAAAAACCTGTACACAAATGTTTAGTTTTATTCAAAATCCCCCCGCCCCCCAAACTGGAAGCAACCAAGATGTCCTTCAGTTGGTGAATGGATGAATAGACTGTGGTATATATACATAATGAATATTATTCAGCAAAACAAAAAGAGAGCTAGCAAGCCATGAAAAGACATGGAGCATTAAAAGTGTATTTAAATGAAAGAAGCCAGTTTTAAAAGGCTACATATTATATTATTTTAGTTATATGATATTCTAGAAAAGGTAAAACTATAGAGACAATAAAATGATCAGTAGTTGCCAGGAGTTCAGGGCATGTTTAGGGGTAGTGTTTAATGAATGAAGCACAGGGGACACTTTTTTGATGGTCAAACTATTCTGTATGGTGCTGTAATGGTAGCTACATGTACTATGCATTTGTCTGAACGCACAGAACTTCACAGCACAAGGAATAAGCCTTAATGTATGCAAAGTTTTAAAAAATCATTTAGATTTGAGGGGTCCAGATTGAAATTCAGAATGTGACAGAACAATCCAACAGTATTAGAATATGTACAACTTCACTGAAGAGCATGGGAAATAAAGGAGAAAAATCTAAGTAACATTGAAAATGACTGGAAAGTATAAGACTAAAAGCAAAAGAACTGTATGTAAGCACTGAACTCTAGTTGGTAAAGTTGTTTTCCATGGGGAAATGGGTTAACAGTTCTGACGCTGTTTTACATATATGCTGGATAATGGATAGTGGGAGCCAGATTTCTCACTGTTATAGTGGTAGGATATAGATAAGCAAAGGGAAGGCTGGAATGATCCATATGGTAATGGATTCTGGTTGGAGATATCAGTATGAACTCATGTTTAGCTTACTATTTACAGAGATTATTACAAGTAGAAATATTTGTAGCTATGTGTGTATACAGAGGTGAATATAACACACATATTTCCTTGTTCTGCCAGCTAAGAGGACCTGGAGGCAATGATGTCCCAGCAGTAAGGAACATGCCTGATTTCTAACACTATATTCCAATTAAAAAAACTTATCAGGGCTCCTTGGAGAAATGGCTGATTCTAGGATTTGGGCAGGAGGTATACAAGATGAGTCTGGAATATCTTGTGCCAGAAAATAAGGAAATGCTCCAAGTAAAAATTTATAGGATATGTCAAAGAAATACAGGAGACAATTGAAAGAATTCCCAATAGTCAAAACTGAAACAATTTAAGAAAACAAAAACAAAAACAAAGTGTTGCATTATAAATGAAAGTATAAGATAAAATTCATGAGTTCATATTGACATAAATAAATGATAGAATAAGTAAATAAAAGTGGGAGAAAACAAAACCCCCAGGAAGAATAATTCCAAATAATTTTTGCAGATACTCTGCCCTCAAGGGTAGGAGCATAATTCCCCACTTCTTCAGCATGGGCTATGCATAGGGACCTCTTTCTAAACAGTTCAGTGTGGAAAGGGGAAGAAGAGTAACTTAACTGTGGAGAAACCTGACAAACACTACCTCAGGTGATCAAGGTTAACATCAGCAGTGATAAACCATGCTGATAGTATGTACTTTTGATGACATATGATGAAAATAGCAATCTGTGGTCTATCTCCTCAAAAACATATAATTCTAGTCTAATCATGAGAAAAACATCAAATAAATTCCAACTGAGAAAGATTCTACCAATTACCTCAACGGTATTCCTCAAAATGGTCAAAGTTATTAAAACAAGTAAAGTCTAAGAAACTCTCTTGGTCAAAAGAAGCCTAGGGAGACATAATGACCAAATGCAAGGTGATATCCTAGGTAAGATTCTGGAACAGAAAGGGGATATTTAGATAAAACCTAAGGAAATCTGAATAAAGTATGGACTTTAGTTTTTAATAATGTCTCAATATTGGTACATTAGTTATAACAAATGCACCATAGTAATGTAAGATGTTAACAATAGGAAAAATTGGCATGGGGTGTATGGAAACTCTTTATATTATCTTTGCATACCTTTATAGACCTAAACTCTTCTAAAATAAAGTGCTTATTTTGAAGGACGTGAGGCAAAGAAAAGTGAAATACAAAGCAATGCAAGGTGTTCCTGCACTGGCTGCCTCCTTCTAATAAGGTCAAAGAGACTCAGCAGGTAGCTAGGCAGCCATGTTCAGTTGGTACACAGGTCTCCAGAATGGTATAGAGGAGGACTTGTACCTTTGAGCAGTTAACGGGAGAGAAAAAGAGGGAGAATTTGTCTCACTTCTCCTTTCCTCTTAATTCTCTATTAGTAATGGCTCACTCCCTTGGGAGCTAATTTCTCTACATGTATGGATGATATCATTTGGGCCCTCAGTGGCTACTCAGGAAGCCAGGTTCCCCATCCCATGGTGTATGGCTTCACCAAATGCCAAAACTGAAGAGGCAGCAGACTGTTGGTGTGGTGACAACCAAGAGCAATAAAGCAAGGAGGTTAAAGGAAACTGGAAAGACACTCAATGTCTGTGTTCCAATGAATACCTATAAAAAGAAGACACAGGAAAGTTTAGATAAACGGGAAGAAAAATACAATGGAAAAAATTATACATAATAAAAATTGTTCTGTTGATATTTGATAAAGTAGAATTTAAAATGAAAAACATTATTAAATGTAAATATGTGTCACTGGCTACTGCTAAAAATAAAAATTAGGAAGGAATATATAATTTTTCAAAATCGATATATAGATAATAGCATAACCTCCAGATATAGAAAGTTAAATAGGAATTGAAGAGAATATTTATAAACATCCATTATATTTGAATTAAAGTACATCTTTCTGAAGAGTTGGTTGATCATACATGCAAACAAAATTCTACAATATCTGAACTACAAAAATGAATTCTTATCTAATAAAAATTTATAGATCTCTGCAGTAGTAATTAGAGAATAAGAATTCACTTTGTGCTCATATGGACCATTATAAAATTTGCCTATGTATCTGACATAAGGCAATTGTCATCAAATATTGAAGCACTGATATCTAAACACCTTTTCCAATCACCATGCAGGGGTCTCGTTTCAAATTCTTCAGAAGCATACCTTGAGACAAGGATTTGATTGAAGGTGGTTTATTATTCCTGAATCTATGAACATTAGAAGGTGGGTGAGGAAGTGATACAGGAAAGGAAAGTCAGACAAGAAAGAATATCTTTTAAGACAGCTACAACAGTGGATAATTGGAGTTTAATTCAATTGAGAAACTCTGACAAATTGTGTAAATATGTCTCAAAATTATCCTACCCAAGGCGTGAGAGCACTGGGGTGTTTATGCACTAACTCCCCTTAGTCATTGGCTGGTGATAGTTCCTAGGGGATACTAATTATCCAGCACTTCCCTCCTGTATTTAAGCAGAACACTGTTTCATGGTTCCAGAAAAAACTCTCTGGCTCAGAGAAGCACATAATAGCAATTGGAAGTTGTCTGGAGTACAATGAAATAATAAGTCTAAGGAATATAGGTAGAAAAAATCAGCTATTGTAACAAAGCAAAAAAGCAATTTTAAAAACATAACAAAACCAATATGTTTATAAATTTTTTTATTTCCAATTTTTAAGTTTAGGGTTTAATGTACAGGATGTGCAGGTTTGTTGCATAGGTAAACGTGTGCCACGGTGGTTTGCTACCCAGCTCATCCCATCACCCAGGTATTAAGTCCAACAGCCACTAGCTGTTGCTATTCCTCCTGATCCTCTCCCTCCTCCCACCACCTGCCCTCCAACAGACCCCAGTCAGTGTGTGTTGTTCCCCGCAATGTGTTCATGTGTTCTCATCATTTGCACACACACATACAGACACATTAATTAATAACTCATAGGGCAAAGAAAAAACTTAAAACTTAAACTTGCAATTAAAGGCAAATTCTTGGAGATAGAAAATAGAATATACCAGGGACTGACAGGAAGGGAGAATGGGGACTTATTGCTTACTGGGTACAGAGTTTTCTGAGATACTAAAAAGTTCTGGAAGCGAATACTGGTAATAGTTTGTGACATTCCGAATGAACTTAATGTCATTGAACTGTACATTTAAAATGGTTAAAATGATGAATTTTATGTTACATATGTTTTACAACAAAATTTATTTTTATTGCAATAATTTTATTGCAATTAAAAATATTTAGAACACAAATAATGGAAATACTATATGTTAAAACTTTTGTAGTCAAGTACTGGTGGACTTAGAAATTTATAGTCTTAAATGAACATATTAGAAAATAAAAACATATCAAAAATTAATAAGCCAAACATATAACTCAAAAGATTACAAAATATTTGAATAATTTCTGTGACTGTACAGAAAAAGAAAAAATACTACTAAAAAGATAGTCCTAATTTGATTGTCCAAGAAAAAGGAAAGATGGCAAAAATCATAATACTGGAAATAAATGAGAGGTCAGAAATTAGGATTTAATACCACATGTTCTCACTTATAAGTGGGAGCTGAACAATGAAAACACATGGAGGGGGAACAACACACACTGGGGGCTGTCGGTGGGGGCGGGGGACAGAAGCGCATCAGGAGGAATAGCTAATGGATGCTGCACTTATTACTGAGGTGATGGGTTGATCTGTGCAGCAAACCACCATGGCACACATGTACTTATGTAACAAACCTACACATCCTGCACATGTATTCCAGAACTTAAAATAAAAGTTGATGGGAAAAAAAAGAAATTGAGGTTTAATAGAGACTTAAAATTCAGAAATAAAAAAAGTTTTGGTTCTGGCTGTAATAGAGTGGTAAGAATCACATTCATCTTTCCACTGTAAATACCTATAAAACAAACTATATGAAAAAGCTGTTCTTTGGCATCGTACAATAGACAACATAAGACTTTGATTCTCAAGAGAAGGGCTGCAGTTGTTATCGTGAGTCATGCCTGTAATACCAGAATTTTGGGAGGCCAAGGCAGGAGGATCGCTTCAGGCCAGGAGTTCAAGACAAGCCTGGGGAACATAGTGAGATCCCATCTCTGTAAAAATTTTTTTTTTTAATTAGCTAGATTTGGTAGTGTGCGCCTGTAGTCCAGCTGCTCAGGAAGCTGAGGTGAGAGAATCGCTTGAGCCCAGGAGTTTAAGACTGCAGTAAGCTATAAATGTGCCACTACACTCCAGCCTGGGCAACAGAGTGAGACTGTATCTCAAAAAAAGAAAGAAAGATACCGCATGTTCTCACTCAGAAGTGGGGGTTGAACAATGAGAACACATGGACACAGGGAGGGGAACAACACACACCAGGTCCTGTTGGGGACTGGAGGGTGAGGGGAGGGAACTTAGAGGACAGGTCAATAGGTGCAGCAAACCACCATAGCACACGCGTACCTATGTAACAAACCTGCACATTCTGCACATGTACTCCAGAACTTAAAATAAAAGTTGATGGGAAAAAAAAGAAATTGAGATTTAATAGAGACTTAAAATTCAGAAATAAAAAAAGTTTGGGTTCTGGCAGTAATAGAGTGATAAGAATCACATTCATCTTTATACTGTAAATACCTAAAAAACAAACTATAGGAAAAATCTGTTCTTTGGCATCATACAATAGGCAACATAAGGCTTTGATCTCATATTGTCTTTTTTTTTTTTTAGAACAAATTAAAAAAAAAGAGAGAGAGAGTAGGGATCCACATGAGGTGAACCCCACATTCACCCAGCTCTCTCCCTGAGGCACCTTCCCAATTGTAGCACAGGGAAGTAGGAACCTACCAGAGAGTAGAGGTCTGCCTGGTTCGAGCATGCACATATTAGAGTTTGGAGCTGCTGAGGCAACTGGGATTTGTGGGAACAAGGTACTAGGAGGAGAGAGCCGCATAAAGAAAGACTCCCAGAAATCTCCAAAAGGGTTCTCTGGACTCTTTGGCTGAATATTAAGCTATGCCTGCACAAAGCAAGACTCTGGAGGGCCAAAGAATAGCTTCTGGGGCAACCATAAGCAAAACAGAGATTCCGAGAGTGACACGGCACTGGGAAACAAACCACAGTGGGGAGACCTCACAAACAACCCAGGATCTCCGTTGAAATTCCAGAAATATGGTGCCTCAGGAGTAGAGCTACTGTGGCTCTAGGGTAGGGGCTGTTCTAGACTTATCCAAAAATGCCTAAAATCAATCTCAAATAGACTTAACCGTAAAATCCAACACTCCTTAAAAGAAGACTGCATAAGCCAAACTCTCACCAATGAAGCACCCCTGAAGTTGAGCATACAATAAAACAATTACTAGACATATAAAGAAGCGAGAAAGCATAAGCAAAACCGGGAGAGAAAACAGTCAATCAAAACAGCCAGAGGTGAGACAGATACGGGAATAAGCACACAAAGACGTTAAAACAGATAACAGTAATATGTTTAAGGTCTTAAAGGAAAAGCTGGACAAAAATCAGAGGATGGGTAGGCAAGCTAGCAGAAAAACAGAAGTTACAAAAAAGATCCAGGCAAATTCTAAAGTCAAAATGATACAATATCTAAAATTTTTAAAAATCACTAGAAATAAGTAGTTTGGAAACTACAGAAGAAAATATTAGTGAATCTGAAAATAGATTTAAAAAGCTATCCAAATTTAGACATAAAGTGGGAAAAAGAGCAAAAATAAGTAAATCGTGCCTATGAGATAAGAAGCAAACACATGTAACATTGGACACACAGCTAACCTACATATCATTGGAGATCCAGAAGGAAAGGAGAGGGGGATTGGGGTAGAAAAATCATTTGAAGAAATAATGACTAAAAGTTTTCCAAATGTGATGAAAATTATAAAGCGATATTTCCAAAAGGCTTTAAAAACCCTGAGCAGAATAAACACACACATACAAATCACACCTAGGCACATCACAATCAAGTGGCTAAAAAGCAAAGTTTAATAAGAATCTTACAGGCAGCCACAGGAAAAAAAAAAAAAAAACTCAGGGGAAAAATGATTTTTTATTTTTTATTTTATTTTATTTTTTAACCTATTATTATTATTATTATACTTTAAGTTTTAGGGTACATGTGCACAATGTGTAGGTTAGTTACATATGTATACATGTGCCATGTTGGTGTGCTGCACCCATTAACTCATCATTTAACATTAGGTATATCTCCTAATGCTATCCCTCCCCCCTCCCCCCACCCCACAACAGGCCCCGGTGTGTGATGTTCCCCTTCCTGTGTCCATGTGTTCTCATTGTTCAATTCTCACCTATGAATGGGAACATGCAGTGTTTGGTTTTTTGTCCTTGTGATAGTTTGCTGAGAATGATGGTTTCCAGCTTCATCCATGTCCCTACAAAGGACATGAACTCAGAAAAATGATTTTTTAAATACTTGGTAACATATTGGGACAGCTAAGATAATGGACAGCATTTTAAAGTGCTGAAAGAACAAACAAGAATAACACAGTCAACCTAGCATTCTCTATCAAGTGGAAATTTCATTCAGAAATAAAGGCAAATAAAGCCATTTTCATATAAAGAAAAGCTGAGAGGATTCATCACTAATACAGCTTTAGTACTATAGGAAATATTAAAGGACGTCCTTTAGGCCCAAGATATAATACGGGATGGAAATTTGGACCTTCATTCAGGAATAAACATACATCCTGAAAAATACATATGCACGTACAGAAGCTAGCCATATAACAGAGATGACATTTCCCTTAACTGAAGAAAGGATGGGAACTTCCCTTACTGGTGTGGTGTTATATATACCGGTAACACTAAATTACATATGTATCTCATATCATATACAAACATTAACATCAGATGAAGACAAATTTGATAAGTTAAACTTAAAATTATTAGATGAAAAATAATTTCATTGGAATAAGGAATTATCTCTTAGTTAAGATAGAGAAAAACACAAAGAAAAAAGAAAAAACATGACAAATTTGGCATTATCACTAATAATAAATAAAAGCTTCTTTTAATAATAATAAAATCTTTTAATGACAAAATGACTTACATGCTAAAAGAAAATATGTGCCACTTATTTATTAGACAAAGAATAAAGTTCTAGAACACATTTTTAAATATCTTTAAAAATGAGAGAAACAAAGTCAACCCAGTAGAAAAATAGTCAGTCTTGATCATGTGATTCACAGAGGAAATATAAGTGACCAGTGAGCTTGTGTTCAACCCACAAGTAATTAGTAAATATAAATTAAAACAATTGGTATTTCAAATTGGCATACCATTTAAAACTCCTCCAAAACATAATAACTAGCCTGAAAATACCAAGTACTGGCAAGAATGTGGGAAAATGGGAACTCTTTCACATTGTTTGTGGAAATTCAACTATTACAATCATTCTGGACAGTAATTTGACAATATATAGTCAGGATTAAGGTGTGTGTTCCAGTGCGCTGTCTTTGCCTTTCTAGATATTGTTGACTGCAGTAATTTTTTTTTTTTTTTTTTGATACGGAGTCTCACTCTGTTGCCGAGGCTGGAGTGCAGTGACGCAATCTCGGCTCACTGTAATCTCTGCCACCCGGGTTCAAGCGATTCTCCTGTCTCAGCTTCCTGAGTAGCTGGGATTACAGGCGCCCGCCACCATGCCCGGCTAATTTTTGTATTTTTAATAGGGACGAGGTTTCACCATTTTGGTCAGGTTGGTCTCGGACTCCTGACCTCGTGATCCGCCGCCTCGGCCTTCCAAAGTGCTGGGATTACAGGCGTGAGCCACCGCGACCGGCCCAGTAATGTTTTTAATAGCAAAAATGTGGAGACCATCTAACTGCCCTTCAGTAGGGGAATGGATAATAAGTTGGCTTATTCACAGATTGAAGTTACATATAGGAGTTTCAATAAATTTGATCTATATACATTAACATGGATAGATCTCAAAAATAATATTGAGTGATAAATGAAAATTACAAAAGGTACCTTATTGATATGCTGTATGAAACTGAGAAATAAAAATATTAGCCCAAATTATTTACGAATGTTTATATACAATAAAAGTACAAATACATGCACAGAAATGGTGACTAACATCAGTATAGTGTTTTCTAAGGATGGTGGGGTATAAAGATGGGAGTAGAACTCCGACTATGTCTAAAACATATTATTTACTATAAAACTATATATACAGAGAGAGATATAAAGTAAATTTCTTAGAATGATAGAGTCCATTTAATTTTGGGTTCAAAGGTGTTTATTATATTATTTTTACATAATGTCTTTCATTTGTTTTATGTCAAATATTTCCTTTTAAAATTTTTATTTAAGTATGACAATTGAAATTACACAAATTCTAATTCTATAGCTTGATGATTTACCACAAAGGGAGTATATCTGTGAGTCTGAAGAATGATCTGCTCAAGTTCTTTTTCAGAATCTACAGGCGCCTTTAGGAGCAAAGTGAACCCATATGTCTCTTCTCCCTCCCCTCCCTTCCCCTCCCCTCCCTTCCCCTCCCCTCCCCTTGCCTTCCCTCCCCTCTCCTGCTCTCCTCTTCCCTCCCCTCCCCTCTCCTCTTCTCCCTCCTCTTTTTTACCTCCTTCCCCTCCCTTGGCATCCCCTCCTCTCTTTTTCCTCCATTCCTTCCCCTTCCCTCTTTCTTCCCCTCTCCTCCCCTCCCCTCACTTCCCTTCTCATCTCTTCTCTTTCCTTTCCTTCCCTTCCCCAAATATTTTTCACTGACTTATTTTAATTTTCTCCAGCTTCTCTAGCTCTTCTTTTAAATTACCGCACCCATCCCCTCTCCATCAAAAACAAAAGGATATCTTTTATTGATACACACATGCACACACCTACACACACACTCAAATAGCAAATCCAACAATTCAAGACTCTAAAGGACACTGTTTGATGGGACTTTAGCATTGTGTTAAATGTTATAACAAAAATATTATAAAAATTTAGCCTAACACCAGCAATATCCATTGGAGGAATTAACAAAGTTGGACAAGTAATGTTATTAGTGTAATGTAGTAGCTGTCAGTGATTAATAAATTGATACAGGAAGACACATTGTAATGTAATCAAAGTACATAAAGTGTATCTCAAAGTAAGTTTTATCCCTAAAATAATAAAAGCCCTGAAATTCAGATGAAATACTAAAAACGCATAAAGAGAACTGGACATTAGAAATAAAAGTAGAACCACTGTTTTACCATGGCACATAGCTTCGCGTTAAAAGACTACATTTTTCAGCCGAGTGTGGTCATGTTACCACACTCATTTGGTTTGGGCCAAATGAACATGAATCAAAGTGATGTGTAAAGGCTCTGAAACCTGCCCTTAAAGAAAAGGGACAGGCCCTTTTCTCACCCTATTCCCTTTTTGGCTGGCAGGAAAGAGAATATGAAGGCAGGAGCTACGGTCGTCATTTTAGAACTCAAATGGACAGTGACAGTTGAAGATGGCAGGTCAAAAAATTAACAGTCCGGGTTGCAGTTACCATCTCCACTGTGTTCAAACTATTACACAAAAGGGAAACTCTTCTCTAACCTGTTTCAGCCATTGCTATTTTTGAAGTTTAGTTATAGAAGCTCATAAGTTATTTCTTATACCATGCAAATTACCTACATTTTTTTGCCATGACAGAGAAATACGTGAAGGTGAATGTCAAATAAAAATAGAAACAAGTAACAGGACACAATTGCCAAATACCTTTTAGGACCATGACCCAGTACTCATCAAACTACTCTGGCTTTTCATCATTTCAAGCTGAAGTTCTTGTCCCTGTGACCTAGTGAAACAGTGCTTATTTTCATTGTTGGTATGATTATGTCCATCTAATGATAAGAACATTGGAAATCTGCTTTTAAGTATTGTTGTTTTCCCAGTCTATCTCACACTTGTTTATCTAGCCTACAGCACAATAAAGAAACTAGAATCTATTTCTTCCCAAGGTACCAGATATTATGACTTTACTTTTGATTAGTTTGATGGTTTTTTTTCTTTTTCTCAGATATATCTTTGAATGATCATCAGAAAAATTATTACACTAACCTTACTGGTTTTTGTTTTCTGTGAAGAAAAGCATGGAATCCTTTCTGCACGACATTATCTGTCACTTTCCTTGCAACTTTGGGTTTGACTAAATATTTTTTTTTTAACCAATGGAAAATTTCTAGTTTAATATTGTACTATATATATATATATTTTTTAATTATTATTATTATACTTTAAGTTTTAGGGTACATGTGCACAATGTGCTGGTTAGTTACGTATGTATACATGTGCCATGCTGGTGTGCTGCACCCATTAACTTGTCATTTAGCATTAGGTATATCTCCTAAAGCTATCCCTCCCCCCTCCCCCGACCCCACAACAGTCCCCAGAGTGTGATGTTCCCCTTCCTGTGTCCATGTGTTCTCATTGTTCAATTCCCATCTGTGAGTGAGAACATGCGGTGTTTGGCTTTTTGTCCTTGCAATAGTTTACTGAGAATGATGATTTCCAATTTCATCCATGTCCCTACAAAGGACATGAACTCATCAATTTTTATGGCTGCATAGTATTCCATGGTGTATATGTGCCACATTTTCTTAATCCAGTCTATCATTGTTGGACATTTGGGTTGCTTCCGAGTCTTTGCTATTGTGAATAGTGCCACAATGAACATACGTGTGCATGTGTCTTTATAGCAGCATGATTTATAATCCTTTGGGTATATACCCAGTAATGGGATGACTGGGTCAAATGGTATTTCTAGTTTTAGATCCCTGAGGAATCGCCACACTGACTCCCACAATGGTTGAACTAGTTTACAGTCCCACCAACAGTGTAAAAGTGTTCCTATTTCTCCACATCCTCTGCAGCACCTGTTGATTCCTGACTTTTTAATGATTGCCATTCTAACTGGTGTGAGATGGTATCTCATTGTGGTTTTGATTTGCATTTCTCTGATGGCCAGTGATGATGAGCATTTTTTCATGTGTCTTTTGGCTGCATAAATGTCTTCTTTTGAGAAGTGTCTCTTCATATCCTTTGCCCACTTTTTGATGGGGTTGTTTGTTTTTTTCTTGTAAATTTGTTTGAGTTCATTGTAGATTCTGGATATTAGCCCTTTGTCAGATGAGTAGGTTGCGAAAATTTTCTCCCATTTTGTAGGTTTCCTGTTCACTCTGATGGTAGTTTCTTTTGCTGTGCAGAAGCTCTTGAGTTTAATTAGATCCCATTTGTCAATTTTGGCTTTTGTTGCCATTGCTTTTGGTGTTTTAGACATGAAGTCCTTGCCCATGCCTATGTCCTGAATGGTAATGCCTAGGTTTTCTTCTAGGGTTTTTATGGTTTTAGGTCTAACATTTAAGTCTTTAATCCATCTTGAATTAATTTTTGTATAAGGTGTAAGGAAGGGATCCAGTTTCAGCTTTCTACGCATGGCTAGCCAGTTTTCCCAGCACCATTTATTAAATAGGGAATCCTTTCCCCATTGCTTGTTTTTCTCAGGTTTGTCAAAGATCACATAGTTGTAGATATGCGGCCTTATTTCTGAGGGCTCTGTTCTGTTCCATTGATCTATATCTCTGTTTTGGTACCAGTACCATGCTGTTTTGGTTACTGTAGCCTTGTAGTATAGTTTGAAGTCAGGTAGTGTGATGCCTCCAGCTTTGTTCTTTTGGCTTAGGATTGACTTGGCAATGCAGGGTCTTTTTTGGTTCCATGTGAACTTTAAGGTAGTTTTTTCCAATTCTGTGAAGAAAGTCATTGGTAGCTTGATGGGGATAGCATTGAATCTATAAATTACCTTGGGCAGTATGGCCATTTTCACGATATTGATTCTTCCTACCCATGAGCATGGAATGTTCTTCCATTTGTTTGTATCCTCTTTTATTTCATTGAGCAGTGGTTTATAGTTCTCCTTGAAGAGGTCCTTCGCATCCCTTGTAAGTTGGATTCCTAATTTTTCCTAATATTTCTTTAACTACAGTTTGTAAAGCCCTTGGTCTGTCACTGGCACCTTTTTTTTTTTCACTTTATTCAGATTAACCAAAAGATAATGATTCTTTTTTTAACTAATGGTCCTGGATTATCTCTGTCAGTTGGCTGATGAGCTGAGGATGTGAAAAACACTATCCATTAGAATCTGGCTGGTGTCCCCAACAGAACAAAGGTCAGCTCCTGTAATGGAGAGCACATATTGCCATGAGTGATGCTTTCTACCCAGTCTAATCCAATTCCTCCCAGTGGTCAGGCACGTAGAAATCTCCAAAGCTCAGAAGAATCAAAATACTTGTAAAATTCATCTGAGTCAAAGTGACTTGTTCACCAAATGCACAATTTTTCAGTTAAGAGCATTTTTATAAAATGACCCTTCCTTCTAAACTATTTTCAAGCCACAAACTACAGCCTTTTTGTAAAGAAATTAAAATACGCCATCAGAAATTTGAGAAAATACACTCAAAAGCCACTGTCCTTCAAATGTCTGTGATCCCTTTTAAATCTTTGTTAAAGTACATGTCTAAACAGCCTCTATTAAAATAGCGCTCAACAATTCTAATTGCTTTATAATTGTAGAGAAACCACTAACAGCATGCATGTGTTTTCTTTACCAGAGAAGCACACCAGAGTTCAAGAATATAAAATTCTGAGACAAGGGATGTGTGGTAAAAGGAGACTGTGCTTGGGCTTTGTATTATACAGCTCTGCATCATTTCATTTCCAACTAGCACTGCCAGATCTTAGGGTAGAGAATCAAAGCCTTGTTCCCTCATTAGGACAGGCTTCACTGATTGTTTAATGATGCTTTTATTTTTCTTTTATTATCTTTTGCTTCTTTTCATAAAAGATCTTATAGTTTACTGGATTTTAGCAGAAATCCCAGCAATATTATTGTTTCATTTTTCAATATTAAAGAAGATTGCTGCATAAGAAAAGTCATCTCCTGAGATTTGAGTCCTGCTGCCAGTGCCAGTGCCTCTTCACTGAAACATTCATGTTTTCATTTCTGAAACAGCAGCAAATGCTGCGATAAAAATATTCTTCTTCCTTCAGTGGCTGGCAAAAATTTGCCAAGGCAGCTACGAGCTGAGACAAAGTTTTGAAAAGGAAAAGAACATTCAAGAGCCCAAGCATTCTTGAATTTTAATTCTTTGTCAAACGCAAAGTTTCAGAGCAAATAGAAACACCTCCTTAAGGTGTAATTAAGCATTTTCATGGACTTTAATTATCACTTATATCCTGAGGAAGGATAGGGGAGCATGTTTGCAGTTGTACACACTTTCTTTTACCGTCCACAGAACATTATAATCACAACTTAATGATTTAAGGGACACATTAAATCATTAAGAGGGACACATTTGCAATAGAACTGTCTATGTAAAAAATACTGGAGTCTCTGAAATAGCCCTAGCATCTTTAAAATCTATCAAGTAGGCTGGCGCAGTGGCTCATGCCTGTAATCGCAGCACTTTGGGAAGCTGAGGAGCGAGGATCACCTGAGGTTGGGAGTTCGACACCAGCCTGACCAACATGGAGAAACCCCATCTCTACTAAAAGTGCAAAATTAGCCTGGTGCAGTGGTGCACGCCTGTAATCCCGCTACTTGGGAGGCTGAGGCAGGAGAATCGCTTGAACCTGGGAGGTGGAGGTTGTCGTGAGCCAAGATAGTGCCATTGCACTCCAGCCTGGGCAACAAGAGTGAAACTCTGTCTGAAAAAAAAAAAATCTATCAAATAATCAGTGGGAATTTACTACGTGCCCTGAGCCATGCTCATCTCTGTTGATGAAAACATATAATCCTTTGTCCCTGAAGGAAGTGAGGAAACATGACACATATTAAAAATAAGAGAATAATGACAAGTCAAAGAGTCAAAGAGCTGTGTACCCAGAGAGCATTGTTCTGACCCAACTTACTTTTCTTGAATTAGACCCTGGATAGATGCCAGAAGTCTGCTTTGAGAGATTTCTGAGAAACAGCTTGAGTGTAATTCACTACAGTATTTCTTATACAGTTGTTAGAAATCATTTGCCTCAAATAAACAATCTAAAAATCACAGAAATAACAAACAAGGAGATGTTGTGAGATACAGATAAAATTGCTGAGGTTAAAGAAAAGTGAGGATACTCAAGGAAGTTTTCTTGGAAGAGATAAGGCTTGAGCAGTGCCTTTAAAAAAATTAGGTAAGTTACAACCATAAAAAGGGCAGGAGAGGAGTCAAGACTGAAAACATAGTCATTTATACATTAATTCAACACATATTTATTAACCCATGCCAAACTATGTACCAGCACTTAAAGTGCAACAACAAAAAAATGAACATCATTTCTGTCCTCAGGGAGCTTACTTTCTAGTGAAGAAATATAGGTAGCAAGATAAGACCATGAAATATTTAACTTTGGGCATGGCTTTCTTTCCTGCACTTCCCGACCATAGTATCAGGCAGAGCCAGGGGTATTCATACTTCCTAAAGGAAAAATAGGACTGTTATGGCAGAAAGAGAAGAAAATAAAGAGTAAACCTCTATGGTTTTTATTTTTTATTCCTTCCAAGCCAAGAAAATGAGAAGACAGTCCCCAAGGGAAGTGGAGTACAGGAGCTTATCACACGCATGTATACAAACACAGGCACACACCACAGAAAGAAGATAGACTCTAGATGGGGTTTACCTGTGCTGAAAGGAGAAAGAGAGGTCATGAGGCAGTACTTTAGAGGAGGTCAGATAGGGAGGAGTCAAGCAGAGAGGAGGCTGTTAACAGAATGAGCATATCAGGGACTGCCAGTGGTCAGAGCCAGAGACTACGTGGTACTGACCCAACACTCACAGACCTCTGGCTTTTGGACTGGGAATGCCCATTGCCACTGCGGAGGAGGCAGCTATTTTCATCATGGGAAGCAAAGGGCATCCCACTGGCAGTTCTTGCCCACACACCACCATGGATCATCACCGTGGATCATATGACTGATCCACGGTGGTATCAGTTGAGATTCAGTGTGCCTGTATCTCACTTGAGAATTAGCTGACACTCTGTGAATGACTCAGGTCACTTTTAACCTTCTGTCACACTCAAAAGAAAGTATAAGTTCTTGAATTCTGGAGAAGGGTTAGTGATAAGAGAAGATCCTAGTATTGGTTCTTGGATTTGCTGAATGGTGGGAAAAGCCATGCTTGTTACATAAGCTGCACTTTCACATACGTGTGTGTGTAGACACTTACCTATGGCTAAAGAAAGGGCTGTTAGATTCCAATAAAGTTTAACAATGGAATTTTAAAAAGTTAACCCTATGATGCCTGGTAATGTAATGGGATAAAGAATGATTGATGTTGATGTTTCCCAAACTTACCTAACTATAAGCATCACCTGGGGCGATTGTTTAAAAGGCCAGTTTCTAAAAGTAGATCTACCATTCAATCCAGCAATCCCACTACTGGGTATCTACCCAAAGGAAAAGAAATTGCTATATCAAAAAGACCCCTGCATGTGTATGTTTATTACAGCCCGATTCACAACTGCAAAGATATGGAATCAAACTTAGTGCCCATCAACTGATGAGTGGATAAAGAAAATGTAATACATATGTGTGTGTATCTATATATTACATATATATACACATACATACACTGTGGAATACTACTCAGCCATAAGAAAATAATGAAATAATGTCTTTGCATCAACTCAACTGTAATGGGCAGAGGATTATTTGCTCACTAGTTTGTTTCCAAGATTGTGTACAGCACCAAGCACAGAGCAGGTACTTGATGAGTATTTGTTAAGCGCTGAGGACACTGCTAGTGGTCTGGCCAGATCTCCTGGGCCCTAGGATCCTTGCAGTGTGTACCACCCCCCACACCCCCCACCCCACTTCTGTGTGATTTTGCTTCTAATGACCTACACCTTGATTTGCTTTGAGGGATAATCTGTGACATCTGGAGCCACATCATCCAGATATTCAGAAAGCTGGAGATGCTTGGGGTTTTATATCTCTGAAACTGGTCTTTAGGGAATGAGTGACTACTGACTCTGTGAGAATATGAAAGCCCAGCTCCCTGATCTTAAAGAAGAAAAACTTGGAGGCATAAACCGCACTCCTAAGTTTCTCTTTAGGGTCAGGCTGAAGCCAGCCTCCACCAGACTTTGCTTATAGTCACATCCTGGCTTGGCTCCTTCTCTTGCCCTCCTCTGCTGCCTGCATTCCTTTGCAAGTGTCTCCAGCATATCTTCAATCAATTCTTTGCACACAAATCCTCAACTCGGGGATTGCTTTTGGGGATCCCAACCAAGACATTCAGTAAGTTGAACAAACTGTTCCTGATACAGAGAAATTTTTATTCAGTTAGTATGGCCTCCAAGGCTCATGAAGAGTAAGGCTACAGGGGTGAGGTTTGTATTGTGTATGTTCTAACAGATACCAGGTATCAGCCAGAGATTCATCAATGGAATAGGAATACCCAAATAGCTCTTTCTACGGGTAGCAAATGTCTATGTGCAACAAGGGCAGAAGAAAATAAGAAGATGATAGGGGATTTTTAAGGTAGAAAAGTGAATCTCTATCAGGAGCATCTTCTCTCTGCTGATACACAGTACACTTGAGAGCACGGATTTCTTGGTAAATGGTTATTAAAAAGCTTTGGCCTTTAGCCAGGCAATGAAAAGAAATGCATATTTTTCTTAGGTGTGTCTGAGCTATTTTTTAAAACCCTTTGAAAAGCTGAGCTATAAAAACATGAGAGGAAATGGCCAAAGAAATTTCAGCTTTGTAACTGTGAAGGCTGCATGTAAAGAGCAGAGATATTTGCAAGCTGTCAGAAAAGACCAGGGTGTGCATGAGTGTGATTATAAGTGTGAATGTTTGCAGCGGATTATGTCCCTGTAAAAGTAGTTTATTTCTGACAGCAAAAGGAAAACATAGAATTTATTTAATGTGAAGCCATTTTGAATACAATTATGGAAAATTTCAGAGGGATTATTCATGAATTAAATCAGAATAGTGCTTCCTTTCATTTCTAGGATGAGAATAAGACATAAGATTCCTATATATGTGTTTATATATGGATACATATATATATAAACATCCATTTAAATGAAAGCTCCAAATGTAACTCATTCCTCTAGGCATAGCTAAAATTACTCACCATAGTCCTTGTGTTAGAAAACAAATTCTCCTGGTCTAAAATGCTTTTTTATATATTCTAAAGAATTTGGCACTCCAAATTTTGGCTGACCTGTAAAATATTCTATGGGAATATTACTTCCTGAATTCTGTTCTATTCTATTCTGTTCCATTGATCTATTTGTCTATCTTTATGTTTCTATGCCATCCAGCCTTGATTAATGAAGTTTTATAATAAATCTTAAAATCAGGTAGTAGTATTCTCCAATTTTGTTCTTTTTGAAAATCATTTTGGATATCTAGGCCCTTTACATTTCCAGATGAGCTTTAGAATTAGCTTTTTTTCTGTCAAAAGAATACCCTGCAAATATTTGACTCTTATGTTCAATCCTTTTAATTGAGGTATCCATTTTCATTTAGTACAGTTATTGAGGTGGTTAGATATAATTCTATCATGTTATTTTATATTAATCTCATTCATTCTTTATTCTCCTTTTCCTTTCTATCTCCCTTTTTTGATCAACATAGCATTTTTTATTATCTCATTTTATCTCCTATGTTGGCTTATTGGTTCTAACCCTTTGTTTTGTTTAGTAGGTACTTTATGGTTTATAGTATACATTGTTAATTTGTCACAGTCTATTTTCAAGCCATATTATGCCACTTCATGGATATTTTAAGAAGCTTTACAACAGTATGCTTTTATTTTTCTCTACAGAGCCTTGGTTCCACTGGTGTGTCTCAACATATTTTCATATCTTTTATAAACTGCATACTATATGATTAGTTTTGTTTAAATAGCCAATTTTCTATTAAAGTTATATAAATTACAGGAACACAGTCTTGTGTATTTACTCATATTGATCCCATTTTAGTGCTCTTTATTCCTTTGTATAAATCCATATTTTCAGGGATATCATTTTCCTTCTATCTGAAGCACATCCTTTCACATTTCTTATAGTTCATTTCTGCTGGTGATGAATTCTTTCAGCTCTTGTATGTTTAAAAATGTTTTTATTATGCCTTGGTGTCCGGAAGGTATTTTCCCATGGCATAGAATTCTATGCTGACTTTTTTTTTCTTTTGGATGTGGAACACTGTTTTCTTGCATTGTTTCTGATTTTAGAAAAATCTACTTTGTTTCTTATCTTTGTTTTTCTGTACATAACTATATCATTTTTTTCTGGTTGCTTTACAAATTTTCTCTTTATCACTGTTTTTGGGCAATTTTATTATGATGTGGTTTGGTGTAGCTTTTTTTTTTTTTTTCTTTTTTTGTGCTGGTTCTTGTGTAGCTTCTTGGATCTATGATTTGCAGTTTTCATCAAGTTTGGAAAAAGTGCTATCATTATTTCTTCGAATATTTTTCTGTCACCTATTCTCTTCCAGGGACTTCAATTACACATGTATTAGGCTGTTTGAAGTTGTTTCACAGCTCATGGACACTCTTTTTACTTTTTAAAATTATTTTGTTTCTGAATGTTTAATTTTGAGTGCTTTCTATTACTACATCTTCAAGTTCACTATTCTTCTGCCATTTCTAATTTGATGTTTATCATATCCAGTTTATTTTTTCACACTGGGCATTGTAGTTTCCATATTTTTAAAAAAATTGATTTGGTTCTTTTTTTATATCTTCCATGTCTCTACTTAACATTTTGAATATAACTGTCTGAAAGTCCTTGTTTGCTAATTGTAACATTTATGTGAGTTATGGGTCAATTTTAATTAATTGATTTCCTTCTCATGTTGGTCGTTTCCTTACTTTTTCCATACTTGGTAATTATTTATTGTATACCACAGATTGAGAATTTGACCTTCCTAGGTGTTGGATATTTTTGTATTTCTTTAAATATCCTTTTGTTTTTGTTGTGGGACATAGTTACCTGGAAACCGTTTGATCCTTTTGGGTCTTTCTTGTAAGATTTCTTATGCAGTACTAGAATTATGTTTAACTTGGGAGTAATTCTCCTCTACTACTGAGGCAAGACCTTTCTTTCTACTCTAAACAACTGCATGTGACTTACAAAGTTTTCCACTCTAGCTGATAGGAACAGGCACTTCCTGACCCTGTGTGAACAATGGGTGCTGTTCTCGCTAATGCTTGTGGTGGTCCTTTCTTCAGCTTCAACTCCTTTCTTCACATGAATGTGTTGATCAGTACTCTGCTGAACTCAAGAGGCAACCCCTGCAGTTCTCCAGAGTCCTCTCTCTATGAAACCCTTATTTTCTCCTACACTATTGTGAGCTTTAGCTGCCTTGGTCTCCCTGGATACTCAGCTCTGTCTCTTTAATTCAGGGAGTTTGCTGAACTACACCTGATTTCCCCTCTCTGCTCTAGTCCAGGAAATTCTCTCAAGGCATTAATCTGAGGCAGCCAAAGGTCTTACTTCATTCACCTCCAATATTCCAGAGGTCACTGTCCTTCATTATCTAATATCAAGTTTCTTAAAAGCTAATGCCTCGTATATTTTGTTCAGTTTTTCATTCACATCAGGCAGGAGGGAAAAACCAGTCTCTAAAACTCTGTTTTGACCATGAGTGAAATTCCTAGCATGGTGTTTAATTCAGGTTTATATTTATTTTCTAGATATGAAAACTAAGGCTTAGAGACGTTGGGTAACTTAATCAGCCTCACACACCTGGTAAGAATTGTAGCCAAAATTTGAAATCTGGTTGTCTGACAGAGTCTTTGTGTTTCTTCACTTCTTTGCTTTACCCTAATTCCTGGATATTTCAAATCTAGGCATAGATGACAATGGTGACTAAACTGCAACATATTATTAACCAGAGGACCTCATTCTCTAACCATACCAGTTAACAGAGCATTTACTGTAGGTCTTTGGTGATTTTTCAATACAGAGACCCCCTGCAGGGGTTCATGGCTTTAACTAATTTTCATATGTATTACTCCACAATGCAATGACATCCTTTCCTAACTGATCTTTCAAAAATAAATAGTCCACTGTGCCTATATAAAAAGCATTGTTCCACCAGATTATTTCACACTTGTCTTTGCCTTCCCAGTGCACAATGAGTGAATGTGACGGGAGGAAATTTACCATCTGCAACATAACACATGGCTCCTTTTTCTACAGTGACTGAGAGACTACAGCTCTTTCTCTAGATTGCAGAGAAAACAATGCTTCTATGCAGACATCCAGAATCATGTGCACAAACATACTGTTTGCAAAATAATCCTGGTCTCTTAGCCTCTGTCAGCAAAAGCAAAAGTGAAGTTTCACCGACTAGTCTCACTTCTTTCTCATCCTATGGTTTCATTGTTTTACTAAAATTTATAAAAGTTTATATTTTTCCTGAAAAATCTTAGCATTGAATTTAACCCATGGTTATTCAAAAGTTTAAATTCTTCAGGAGCCGTTCTAATATATATGGTATGTGTATATATCAGAAGTCTACATGCATATAATATATGTAATAATTACATTACTGGATTAAAATGAAGTGGTGAGTGAGCCAGGGTCCTTTTTCTTTTTGGTTATTTCACTTAGTAGGCTTTGGTGTCTGTAAGAAATGAGCAAGATTTAGGAGAAATCCATCTAGAGAACAGAGGAGGGTGGAGGCTGCCCACAACTAATAGAGTTATAACTATCAGCATATTTATGAGGTTACCACAGATATGACCTCTTTTAAACAGGCAGCATTGAAAGTGTTTCTTAGTCATATGTAAATAATTGAATGTATATTGCACACTACTTGGAGGAAGAACTGAAACCTGGTTTATCAAATAACTGAATTAGCTTCCTTTCTTGATGAGATTTTTCAAACATCTTAATTTCTATCTGCAAAAGGTTTGAGGTTTGCTGTTTTGGGGATCTGCATGTAAAACTGTTTCATCTCATTGACTGGCTGAGACATTTCTTCTTGGTTTAGCTTGATTGTATGTTCATATTGTTGGTTGTTATCATTTTAAAAGACACTGAGCCAAACTTGGATGCACTGATCAGAAGAATTCACTTAAGTAATTAAAAAAAAAACAAAATTCATGTACCTGCTAGATTTCAGATACCGATAAGATACACAATTCCATTTGGAATTCACTGGAGTAGAGCCAGTGTCTCCCATCATCACCAGGAGTCATTTTTTGGACTATGAAATGCTGCATGTGACTTAGGATAGTTCTGTGTGCTGAATTAGTTCCAGAGACTTGAATATACAGGTCAGTGAACACACAGAATCTCTTTTGGTTCTAAAAATAATAATGGTATTTTTTATTATTTTTGGAACCAAAAGAGACTCTGTGTTCACAGAATAATGGTATCTTTTATTTGCATATGGCGTTATAGTTTTGAAAACACAGAACTACATTTTTAAAGAAGTTTATAATCCAGCTTGGGAAACAAAACAAAAATATGTAGAACGATTAAGTGCTCAACTATAGTTCAGCTGATTATAGAAGCAAAGGAAAATAGAAGTAAAAATCTAAATAGAGTCATTGAAAGAAGCTTTCTATAGATTGCTTAGTAGACACAGGTGAGGAGAAAAGCTCTCACAAATCATGTAAAACAGCATGGGCAAAGGCAAGAAATAAGAGTATAATACATGAGGCTGGGCGTTGTGGCTCACGCCTGTAATCCCAGCACTTTAGGAGGCCAAGGCGGGCAGATCACAAGGTCGGGAGATCAAGACCATCCTGGCTAACACGGTGAAACTCCATCTCTACTAAAAAATACAAAAAATTAGCTGAGCGTGGTGGTGGGCGCCTGTAGTCCCAACTACTTGGGAGGTTGAGGCAGGAGAATGGCATGAACCTGGGAGGCGGAGCTTGCAGTGAGCTGAGATCACGCCACCGCACTCCAGCCTGGGCAACAGAGTGAGACTCCTCCGTCTCAAAAAAAAAAAAAAAAAAAAAAAAAAAGAGTCAGGAAGTGACTGTGAAGGGATCCTGTTGTGGGGGCTGGGAGACAAGTTGCTATCAGATGATGAACGGCCTAGAAAGCTGAACAGAATGTATATCTAATGCCAAATATAACAGGAAGCCACTGTAGGCTTTTGAGCAGATGAAAACTCTTAAGTGCAGTTTTGTGATTAGCCTGCAGTGATATGCAAGAGGGCTTGGGGGAAGATGAACTTAGAGAGACCAGCTTGAGCCTAGAGGAGGAGTTTAAATCAGGAGTACTACATCGGGGGATTTGGGAAGGGCCAGTTAACACTGTAAAGGAAGAAATGACAAGTCTTGAATATTCCCTGTCTCACTGTTCACAATTCCAATGGGACATTTCAGGAACGAGTAGTGGAGGTCAGAGGGTGTATATGATCATTTCTCTGATATCATCTTATGTAGGTATTTTGCTACTCAACTCCTTTGGATGCCATCTGTGTGAATAACTGATCTTTCTCCAAGAAAGAATAGAGTGTGGTGTGGTGTTTAAATGCATAAGTGCTAGGATATTCGTACTCTCTCCCCCGACCCCTTTATAGAAGAGAATGGAAATTTTAAAAGGTAAAATTGAGTAACTAGAAACAATTAAGAGAAAAATACTGGGAAAAAAGATTGCTAAGAAGGGAAAGGTAAGCAAAGGGGAGCCAGGGAATAAAAATAAAGAAAAACAGGAAAAGGAAGAGACAGAAACTGGACAAGAAGCAGACAGCCCAGCTTCTCAGGGTTCGAATTGCCTCAGTGAAAAGCCAGTCTCTAAGTGCCACCTGTGTCTGCCAGAAGAAAGGTAGAATTATACAGCTTACAGACTTTTCCCCTCCTTTTGATTCTGCAGATAACTGATGCCCAAAGAGGTCAAATGACCTGCACAAGATTAGATGACTATTGCCACTGGAGACAGGTTGAGAATGCAGGTCTGGAATAGAGTGTGGCATGGTCTTTATTCCAGTCCCACACTTCTTTGTCCAGAAAGGATAGTGCATAGTGTTAGGGACTGCCTAGTTTAGATAATACCATTCTGACCACCAAATTGTGCTGCTGTGGTCCATATTTCATTCAGATGTGAAGAAAGTAGAACATAAAAACTAAAGAAGAGAAGGTGCTATCATAAGAGAAAAAGAAACAAATAGGAAATAAAAGACGAATCAGAAATAAGAAACTAAAAGAAAAAACATTCCTCAAACAATCTTGAAAAAAGAGAACAAAGTTTGAGTTCTCACACTTCCTGATTTCAAAACTTATTTTATTACAAAGCTACAGTAACCAAAACAGTGTGGTACTATCATAAAGACAGACTTAGACCAATGGAACAAAATAGAGAGCTCAGAAATAATCTCTCACATATAGGATTAAATAACTTTCAAGGAGGATCCCAAGACTGTTCAGTGGGTAAAGGACAGTCTCTTCAACAAATAGTGTTGGGAAAACTGGATATCCATAAACAAAATAATGAAATTGGACCCTCACCTCACACCATATACAAAGATTAACTCAAAATGGACCAAAGACCTAAATATACGACCTAAAATTATGTAACTCTTAAAAGAAAATAGAAGGAATGCTTCTTGACTTTGGATTTGGCAAGGATTTCTTGGATATGACACAAGAAGCACAGGTAACAAAAATAAAAATAAATAAATTGGAATACATCAAAATTAAAAAATTTCTGTGCATTAAAGAGCAAACATGGAGTGAAAAAAGCAAATTGTGGAATGGGAGAAAACATTTGCAAATGATATAAAGAACTCCTACAACTTAACAATATCAGAAAACAAATAATCTATTAAAAATGGGCAAAGTTCTTATATAGACATTTCTCCATACATGATATTCAAATAACCAATAAACATATTAGAAGATGCTCAACATCACTAATCATTGGAGAAATTCAAATCAAAACCACCTCACACTCATTAGGATGGATGTTATAAAACTAAAACCAAACCAGAAAATAACAAGTGTTGCTAAGAATGTGAAGAAATTGAAACCCTTTTGCATCGCTGGTGGGAATGTACAATGGTGCAGTTGCTATGCAATTCCTCAAAAAATTAAATACAGAATTATCATATGATCTAGTATCCTCCACTTCTAGCTATATAGCCAAAAGACTTGAAAGCAGGTCTTGAAGAAAAATTTGCACATCTATGTTTATATCAGCATCATTCACAATAGGCAACAGGCAGAAGCAACCCAAGTGTCCATTGGTGGATGACTGAAAAAACAAAATGGACTGCATACTATTATATATACATAATATCAATACATATATACATGCATACATATATATGTATTTACATATATATACATATATACCAAAAGTCCATGGACTCACGTATGTGTGTGTGTGTGTGTGTATACGTATTATATATATATATACATGGTATACATGCACACACGGAATATTATTCAGACTTAGAAAGGAAGGAAATTTTGATACATACTACAACATGGGTGAACCTTAAGGATAATATTTTAAGTGAAATAAGTCACTTACAAAATGACAAATACTATATATACCACTTATATGAGGTTATCTAGAGTAGGGAAATTCACGGAAAAAGAAAGTAGAATGGTGTTTTCCAGGGGCTGAAAGGGGAGAAATGGAGAGTTGTTTAATGAATATTGAGTGCCAGTCTTGTAAAATGAAAAAGTTCTGGAGATTGGTTGCACACAAATGTGAATATATATAACACTCCTGAACTGTACAGTTAGAAATAGTTGAGATGGTAAATTTTATGTTATTTTTTTTACCACAATTAAAAATTTTTTAAAAATAAAATGAGAAATAAAAGTATTTAATGCCATAATCTGTTCATATCCTTATACTCTCCCCAGAAATGTTTATAAAACTAATGTAATTGAGAAAATTAACATCTCTTTTTTAAACATTTATTTGACCTATTCATGAGTAGACAAACATGTAGCTCATTCACATATAGATAAAAATATCTCATTTTAATTTTAATTAATTTTATTTTATTTTATTTTTTTATTATACTTCTTTAAGTTTTAGGGTACATGTGCACATTGTGCAGGTTAGTTACATATGTATACATGTGCCATGCTGGTGCGCTGCACCCACTAACTCGTCATCTAGCATTAGGTATATCTCCTGATGCTATCCCTCCCCCCTCCCCCTACCCCACGACAGTCCCCAGAGTGTGATATTCCCCTTCCTGTGTCCATGTGATCTCATTGTTCAATTCCCACCTATGAGTGAGAATATGCGGTGTTTGGTTTTTTGTCCTTGCGATAGTTTACTGAGAATGATGATTTCCAATTTCATCCATGTCCCTACAAAGGACATGAACTCATCATTTTTTATGGCTGCATAGTATTCCATGGTGTATATGTGCCACATTTTCTTAATCCAGTCTATCATTGTTGGACATTTGGGTTGGTTCCAAGTCTTTGCCATTGTGAATAGTGCCACAATAAACATACGTGTGCATGTGTCTTTATAGCAGCATGATTTATAGTCCTTTGGGTATATACCCAGTAATGGGATGGCTGGGTCAAATGGTATTTCCAGTTCTAGATCCCTGAGGAATTGCCACACTGAGTTCCACAATGGTTGAACTAGTTTACAATCCCACCAACAGTGTAAAAGTGTTCCTATTTCTCCACATCCTCTCCAGCACCTGTTGTTTCCTGACTTTTTAATGATTGCCATTCTAACTGGTGTGAGATGGTATCTCATTGTGGTTTTGATTTGCATTTCTCTGATGGCCAGTGATGATGAGCATTTTTTCATGTGTCTTTTGGCTGCATAAATGTCTTCTTTTGAGAAGTGTCTGTTCATGTCCTTCGCCCACTTTTTCATGGGGTTGTTTGTTTTTTTCTTGTAAATTTGGGTGAGTTCATTGTAGATTCTGGATATTAGCCCTCTGTCAGATGAGTAGGTTGCGAAAATTTTCTCCCATTTTGTAGGTTTCCTGTTCACTCTGATAGTAGTTTCTTTTGCTGTGCAGAAGCTCTTGAGTTTAACTAGATCCCATTTGTCAATTTTGGCTTTTGTTGCCATTGCTTTTGGTGTTTTAGACATGAAGTCCTTGCCCATGCCTATGTCCTGAATGGTAATGCCTAGGTTTTCTTCTAGGGTTTTTATGGTTTTAGGTCTAACGTTTAAGTCTTTAATCCATCTTGAATTGATTTTTGTATAAGGTGTAAAAGGAAGGGATCCAGTTTCAGCTTTCTACATATGGCTAGCCAGTTTTCCCAGCACCATTTATTAAATAGGGAATCCTTTCCCCATTGCTTGTTTTTCTCAGGTTTGTCAAAGATCAGATAGTTATAGATATGTGGCGTTATTTCTGAGGGTTCTGTTCTGTTAAATTGATCTATATCACTGTTTTGGTACCAGTACCATGCTGTTTTGGTTACTGTAGACTTGTAGTATAGTTTGAAGTCAGGTAGTGTGATGCCTCCAGCTTTGTTCTTTTGGCTTAGGATTGACTTGGCGATGCGGGCTCTTTTTTGGTTCCATATGAACTTTAAAGTAGTTTTTTCCAGTTCTGTGAAGAAAGGCATTGGTAGCTTGATGGGGTTGGCATTGAATCTGTAAATTACCTTGGGCAGTATGGCCATTTTCACGATATTGATTCTTCCTACCCACGAGCATGGAATGTTCTTCCATTTGTTTGTATCCTCTTTTATTTCCTTGAGCAGTGGTTTGTAGTTCTCCTTGAAGAGGTCCTTCACATCCCTTGTAAGTTGGATTCCTAGGTATTTTATTCTCTTTGAAGCAATTGTGAATGGGAGTTCACTCATGATTTGGCTCTCTGTTTGTCTGTGAGTGGTGTATAAGAATGCTTGTGATTTTTGTACATTGATTTTGTATCCTGAGACTTTGCTGAAGTTGCTTATAAGCTTAAGGAGATTTTGGGCTGAGACAATGGGGTTTTCTAGATATACAATCATGTCGTCTGCAAACAGGGACAATTTGACTTCCTCTTTTCCTAATTGAGTACCCTTTATTTCCTTCTCCTGCCTAATTGCCCTGGCCAGAACTTCCAACACTATGTTGAATAGGAGTGGTGAGAGAGGGCATCCCTCTCATGCCAGTTTTCAAAGGGAATGCTTCCAGTCTTTGCCCATTCAGTATGATATTGGCTGTGGGTTTGTCATAGACAGCAGTAATTATTTTGAAATACGTCCCATCAATACCTAATTTATTGGGAGTTTTTAGCATGAAGCATTGTTGAATTTTGTCAAAGGCTTTTTCTGCATCTATTGAGATAATCATGTGTTTTTTGTCTTTGGCTCTGTTTATATGCTGGACTACGTTTATTGATTTTTGTATATTGAACCAGCCTTGCATCCCAGGGATGAAGCCCACTTGATCATGGTGGATAAGCTTTTTGATGTGCTGCTGGATTCGTTTTGCCAGTATTTTATTGAGGATTTTTGCATCAATGTTCATCAAGGATATTGGTCTAAAATTCTCTTTTTTGGTTGTGTCTCTGCCAGGCTTTGGTATCAGAATGATGCTGGCCTCATAAAATGAGTTAGGGAGGATTCCCTCTTTTTCTATTGATTGGAATAGTTTCAAAAGGAATAGTACCAGTTCCCCCTTGTACCTGTGGTAGAATTCGGCTGTGAATCCATCTGGTCCTGGACTCTTTTTGGTTGGTAAGCTATTGATTATTACCATAATTTCAGCTCCTGTTATTGATCTATTCAGAGATTCAACTTCTTCCTGGTTTAGTCTTGGGAGAGCGTATATGTCCAGGAATTTATCCATTTCTTCTAGATGTTCTAGTTTATTTGCGTAGAGGTGTTTGTAGTATTCTCTGATGGTAGTTTGTATTTCTGTGGGATCGGTGGTGATATCCCCTTTATCATTTTTTATTGCGTGTATTTGATTCTTCTCTCTTTTTTTCTTTATTAGTCTTGCTAGCGGTCTATCAATTTTGTTGATCCTTTCAAAAAACCAGCTCCTGGATTCATTAATTTTTTGAAGGTTTTTTTGTGTCTCTATTTCCTTCAGTTCTGCTCTGATTTTAGTTATTTCTTGCCTTCTGCTAGCTTTTGAATGTGTTTGCTCTTGCTTCCCTAGTTCTTTTAATTGTGATGTTAGGGTGTCAATTTTGGATCTTTCCTGCTTTCTCTTGTGGGCATTTAGTGCTATAAATTTCCCTCTACGCACTGCTTTGAATGCATCCCAGAGATTCTGGTATGTTGTGTCTTTGTTCTCGTTGGTTTCAAAGAACATCTTTATTTCTGCCTTCATTTCGTTATGTACCCAGTAGTCATTCAGGAGCAGGTTGTTCAGTTTCCATGTAGCTGAGTGGTTTTGAGTGAGATTCTTAATCCTGAGTTCTAGTGTGATTGCACTGTGGTCTGAGAGATAGTTTGTTATAATTTCTGTTCTTTTACATTTGCTGAGGAGAGCTTTACTTCCAAGTATGTGGTCAATTTTGGAATAGGTGTGGTGTGGTGCTGAAAAAAATGTATATTCTGTTGATTTGGGGTGGAGAGTTCTGTAGATGTCTATTAGGTCTGCTTGGTGCAGAGCTGAGTTCAATTCCTGGGTATCCTTGTTGACTTTCTGTCTCATTGATCTGTCTAATGTTGACAGTGGGGTGTTAAAGTCTCCCATTATTATTGTGTGGGAGTCTAAGTCTCTTTGTAGGTCACTCAGGACTTGCTTTATGAATCTGGGTGCTCCTGTATTGGGTGTATATATATTTAGGATAGTTAGCTCTTCTTGTTGAATTGATCCCTTTACCATTAAGTAATGGCCTTCTTTGTCTCTTTTGATGTTTGTTGGTTTAAAGTCTGTTTTATCAGAGACTAGGATTGCAACCCCTGCCTTTTTTTGTTTTCCATTTGCTTGGTAGATCTTCCTCCATCCCTTTATTTTGAGCCTATGTGTGTCTCTGCACGTGAGATGGGTTTCCTGAATACAGCACACTGATGGGTCTTGACTCTTTATCCAATTTGCCAGTCTGTGTCTTTTAATTGGAGCATTTAGTCCATTGACATTTAAAGTTAATATTGTTATGTGTGAATTTGATCCTGTCATTATGATGTTAGCTGGTGATTTTGCTCGTTAGTTGATGCAGTTTCTTCCTAGTCTCGATGGTCTTTACATTTTGGCATGATTTTGCAGCGGCTGGTACCGGTTGTTCCTTTCCATGTTTAGTGCTTCCTTCAGGAGCTCTTGTAAGGCAGGCCTGGTGGTGACAAAATCTCTCAGCATTTGCTTGTCTGTAAAGGATTTTATTTCTCCTTCACTTATGAAGCTTAGTTTGGCTGGATATGAAATTCTGGGTTGAAAATTCTTTCCTTTAAGAATGTTGAATATTGGCCCCCACTCTCTTTTGGCTTGTAGGGTTTCTGCCGAGAGATCCGCTGTTAGTCTGATGGGCTTCCCTTTGAGGGTAACCCGACCTTTCTCTCTGGCTGCCCTTAACATTTTTTCCTTCATTTCAACTTTGGTGAATCTGATAATTATGTGTCTTGGAGTTGCTCTTCTCGAGGAGTATCTTTGTGGCATTCTCTGTATTTCCTGAATCTGAACGTTGGCCTGCCTTGCTAGATTGGGGAAGTTCTCCTGGATAATATCCTGCAGAGTGTTTTCCAACTTGGTTCCATTCTCCTCATCACTTTCAGGTACACCAATCAGACGTAGATTTGGTCTTTTCACATAGTCCCATATTTCCTGGAGGCCTTGCTCATTTCTTTTTATTCTTTTTTCTCTAAACTTCCCTTCTCGCTTCATTTCATTCATTTCATCTTCCATTGCTGATACCCTTTCTTCCAGTTGATCGCATCGGCTCCTGAGGCTTCTGCATTCTTCACGTAGTTCACGAGCCTTGGTTTTCAGCTCCATCAGCTCCTTTAAGCACTTCTCTGTATTAGTTATTCTAGTTATACATTCTTCTAAATTTTTTTCAAAGTTTTCAACTTCTTTGCCTTTGGTTTGAATGGCCTCCTGTAGCTCAGAGTAATTTGATCGTCTGACACCTTCTTCTCTCAACTCGTCAAAGTCATTCTCCATCCAGCTTTGTTCCATTGCTGGTGAGGAACTGCGTTCCTTTGGAGGAGGAGAGGTGCTCTGCTTTTTAGACGTTCCAGTTTTTCTGCTCTGTTTTTTCCCCATCTTTGTGGTTTTATCTACTTTTGGTCTCTGATGATGGTGATGTACAGATAGGTTTTTGGTGTGGATGTCCTTTCTGTTTGTTAGTTTTCCTTCTAACAGAGAGGAGCCTCAGCTGCAGGTCTGTTGGAATACCCTGCCGTGTGAGGTGTCAGTGTGCCCCTGCTGGGGGGTGCCTCCCAGTTAGGCTGCTCAGGGGTCAGGGGTCAGGGACCCACTTGAGGAGGCAGTCTGCCCGTTCTCAGATCTCCAGCTGCGTGCTGGGAGAACCACTGCTCTCTTCAAAGCTGTCAGACAGGGACATTTAAGTCTGCAGAGGTTACTGCTGTCTTTTTGTTTGTCTGTGCCCTGCCCCCAGAGGTGGAGCCTACAGAGGCAGGCAGGCCTCCTTGAGCTGTGGTGGGCTCCACCCAGTTGGAGCTTCCCAGCTGCTTTGTTTACCTAATTAAGCCTGGGCAATGGCGGGCGCCCCTCCCCCAGCCTCGCTGCCACCTTGCAGTTTGATCTCAGACTGCTGTGCTAACAATCAGCGAGACTCCGTGGGTGTAGGACCCCCAGAGCCAGGTGCGGGATATAATCTCGTGGTGCGCCGTTTTTTAAGCCCGTCGGAAAAGCGCAGTATTCGGGTGGGAGTGACCCGATTTTCCAGGTGCCGTCCGTCACCCCTTTCTTTGACTCAGAAAGGGAACTCCCTGACCCCTTGCGCTTCCCGAGTGAGGCAATGCCTCGCCCTGCTTCGGCTCGCGCACGGTGTGCGCACCCACTGACCTGCGCCCACTGTCTGGCACTCCCTAGTGAGATGAACCCGATACCTCAGCTGGAAATGCAGAAATCACCATCTTCTGCGTCGCTCACGCTGGGAGCTGTAGACCTGAGCTGTTCCTATTCGGCCATCTTGGCTCCTCCCTCAATTTATTTTAAATTACATTTTAAAATTTTATTTCTCAGAGATGTTAGAACATACTTCTTAACTCATGAAATCTGTTATCTTTGTGTGCATGGATGAAAAAAAAGCTATCCCATAACATTTTCCCCATACCCTTATCTCCAGCCCATCAGTAACATCTTTTCTAATCAGATTATAAAAGAGAGAAGATAAAATAAACTAACTGCATCTTGGAAAGAGTATGAGCATGAAGGCATTGTCTAACATTGTTACAGTAGCCTGTTGTCTCCATGTAGAAAGTGAAGAACCTGGATTCATTTGCTCAAAGAATAGAAAGCACTTTCTATTTTCAAGGAACTTTCAGTCTAGAGAGATATGATTTGCCACAATTGCATATGATTAATACATATCTATAAATAATCTCAGATAAGGAATATATAAGACATAGTCCTAGATGAAGAAAACACAAAAATTTGCATATAAAAATATATACCTTGTTATTTATATGTATGTATATACATACACACACATATTCCTTATATTTACACAGTCTTTTAAATATATTTATACAGTATTTCTATTAATTAGGGAATATACATGTATATATGCACACCATAGACATACACACCTTTTCTAAGGTGGATATTTTATTATCATCAGTTCTGTACAAGTTAATAATTTCATTTAAAATCCTAACAAACAGATATCTTCTTAAAAATCTGATAAAATTATTTTAAATTCACTTGAACATAAAAGGAAACATTCATGAATGACTAAAATACATTTAAGCATTAAAGCCAGGGTCCCCAACCCCCAAGCCATGGACTAGTACTGGTCCATGGCCTGCTAGGAACCAGGCAGCACAGCAGCAGGTAAGCAGTGGGTGAGTGAGTGAAGCCGAGTTTTGCCTCCTGTCACATCAGCGGAGGCATTAGATTCTTATAGGAGCATGAACCCTATCGTGAGCTGCGCATGCAAGGAACGTAAGTTACGTGCTCCTTATGAGAACCTAATGATAAATGTAATGCATTTGAATCATCCCAAAACCATCCACCACCCGACCCCACCCCTGTCCATGGAAAACTGCCTTCCATGAAATTGGTCCCTGGTGCCAAAATGGTTGGGGACTCCTGCATTAAAGTACAAGAGGAGTCATGTTCTATCAAGTGTTTTAGAATCAAGACTGTTACTTATTTTAAAATTTTCTTTCATATCATATTATAGTACTATAATAGTACCGAAATAGTTAAGTACTAAAAAATGTTTGCCAAAGTAAAACATATCATAGCACTGTAGTCCTTAAAACAATTCCAAAATAATTCTACTCATAGGAATTGATTTTGCAAATATTCTCACATAGTTTTGAATTCACATATGCATAAAGCTATTCACTGTAACATTGTTTTTGATAGCCAGAAAAGAGAAACAATCTTCCTGTCCATCAATAGGGAACATGTTTAATTAATTAGAACACATCTATGACTCAAATAATATATTGTTGTAATACTGAATGAAGAGGCTTTTTATCTGACTACATGGAAATATCTTCAAGATTTACTGTTAATTTCCAAAAAAAAAACCCACCAAAAAACAGAAACAAAAACAAAAAAATAACAGCAAAGTGCAGAACAATGATTATATTATGTTAGCATTGTGGAAAAAAAGTTTATTTTATTTATCTGCTGTATTTGTATATATTTTATGTATATCTAGGATAATGTATAATAGACTAACAATAGTGTTTGCCCGTAGGAAAATTAAATGGGCAAATAAAAATGACAGGGAACCATTTTTACTTTTGGACTTTTGAACCATGTGAATTTATATTATTTAAAAAATAATATAAAAATAAGAAACCAAAAACTCTAAATAGTGTACTTCTATAATTTACACAGAAAAATAAAGCAAAGATAGTTCTCACTCATAGGTGGGAATTGAACAATGAGAACACATGGACACAGGAAGGGGAACATCACACACTGGGGCCTGTTTTGGGGTGGGGGAAGCGGGAGGGATAGCATTAAGCGATAAGCGATATACCTAATGTTAAATGAAGAGTTAATGGGTGCAGCACACCAACATGGCATATGTATACATATGTAACAAACCTGCACGTTGTGCACATGTACCCTAAAACTTAAAGTATAATAAAAAATAATAAAAATTAAAAAAATAAAAAAATAAAAATAAATAAATAAATAAAAATAAAGCAAAGATAAACCGTAGTGTGTACAGTGTATGATAAGGACAGCATCAAAAATCAAAAAGAGGATCCTGATTTCCAGTCTGGCATGTAAGGAGCTTAGAAGTTATCACTTCATCCTAACAAGCAAAAAGCTGATAAAACTGAAAAATCAACAACTCTTCTTAGATATTTCAGAAAAAATGAGTTCACAGGGCAAACCACTGCCCCCAAAATTGGAGAGATGGGCAGATGCAGAAAATCACAACCTACCAAATAGGGAACCTTCCTACGAAACAGTCCTGGGTAGGAAAACCTGAACTCTGACAAACTGCTAAAAACTCAGTGTATTCTAGTCTGAGAGTTAAAAACTCAGGGGGCTCAAGTCATAGGAGGACCCCTAAGCCTTTGTGATTTTTACTTTTAGGGGCTCTAGCAGGATCTTGCCATGACCACCAGAGAGAAATCCCCTTGTTCCTCTGGCAGGGAATGGGAAAAAAGTAGGCATTTAAAATACATCCCAGAGCCTGTGTTCTTAACAAGGCCTGCCCTCAGGGGAAGCTATTTTACCAGTGCCTAACCTACTAGAGTTTCATCAGTTTATAAGAGCCTAAGTAGTCTAGTAGAATACCCAACTCCATCCTCCTCTGGCCACCCTGTCTTACCTAAGGAGTGAGTGAGGGGATTGAGAAGCACTTGTAAAGGTCACAGCCCAGGGCACAGGCTCACTAAAAGCCTGAAACCTAATCACAGGACTACAGAATGCTTTCTCTCCCTTCATACTTACCACCACACCACTAAAGGCCTATCTACAGCAGTTTCTTTTACACAGTACATCATGTCAAGATTTCTGTTGGGGGAACCCGCCCCAATATTTCAACGTAGGTTCTTTCTATAAGTGTCAGCCAGCTGAGAAATAAAGAGAGACAGTACAAAGAGAGGAATTTTACAGCTGGGCCGCCAGGGGTGACATCACATATCGGTAGGACCATGATGCCCATCTGAGTCTCAGACCAGCAAATTTTTATAAAGGGTTTCAAAAGGGGAGGGAATGTAAGAACAGGGAGTAGGTACAAAGATCACATGCTTCAAAAGGCAAACAGCAGAATTACTAGTAAGGGTCTAACAAAGATCACATGCTTCTGAGGGAACAGGACAGAGGGCAAAAGTAGAACTACTGATAAGGGTCCAACAAAGATCAGAAGGCAAAGGGCAAAAGCAGAACTGCTGATAAGGGTCTATGTTCAGCAGTGCACGTATTTTCTTGATAAACATCTTAAATAACAGAAAACAGCGTTCAAGAGCAGAGAACTGGTCTGACCACAAATTTACCAGGGCAGAGTGTTTCCCCACCTTAGTAAGCCTGAGGGTACTGCAGGAGACCAGGTTGTATCTCAGTCCTTATCTCAACCTCATAAGACAGACAAGTCCAGAGTGGCTGTTTATAGACCTCCTCCCAGGAATGCATTCCTTCCCCAGGGTATTAACATTGATATTCCTTGCTAGGAAAAGAATTTAGCGATATCCTCCCTACTTGCACGTCCATTTATAGGCTCTCTACAAGAAGAAAAATATGGCTCTTTTTGCCCAACCCCGCAGGCAGTCAGACCTTATGGTTGTCTTCCCTTGTTCCCTAAAAATCGCTGTTATTCTGTTCTTTTTCAAGATGCACTGATTTCATATTGTTCAAACACACATGTTTTACAATCAATTTGTACAGTTAACACAATTATCACAGTGGTCCTGAGGTTACGTACGTCCTCAGCTTACGAAGATAGATAACAGGATTAAGAGATTAAAGACAGGCATAAGAAATTATAAAAGTATTATTTGGGAACTGATAAATGTCCATGAAATCTTCACAATTTGTGTTCCTCTGCCACGGCTCCAGCCGGTCCCTCCATTTGGGGTCCCTGACTTCCCACAACAAATTTCAACAAGTAACTACTACAAAGCAAAAAACACATTTGAAGAGACACAGCAATCATAAGATCCAGATGCAGGCATGGCAGGGATGTTGGAATTATCTGACTGGGAATGTAAAACTGTGATTACTATGCTAAGGAATGTAATGGAAAAGGTAGACAGCATGCAAGAGCAGAGGAATAAGGTAAGCAGAGAAATGAAAATTGTTAAGAAAGAATAAAAAAGAAATCCTAGAGATAAAAAACACTGTAAGAGAAATGAAGAATGCCTTTGATAGGCTCAGTAGTAGACGAGATGTGGCTGAGGAAAGAATCTCTGAGTTTGAGGATTTATCAATAGAAACTTCCAAAATGGAAAAGTAAAGAAAAAAAATGGAACAAAATAGCCAAGGACAGTGAAACACCTACAAAATGTGTAATATACCTGCAATGGGAATACCAGCAGGAGAAGAAAGAGACAGAGGAACAAAAAATGTTAGAACCAATAATGTCTAAAAATTACCCCTAAATTAATGCTACACAATAAACCACAGATCAAGGAAGCTCCAAGAATACCAAAAAAATTGAATAACAAAAAAAACTATACATAAGCATATCATATTCAAATTGTAGATCATCAAAGATAAAAAAAAATCTAAAAAGGAGCCAAAGGTGGGGGAAAAACCCACCTTAACTATAGAGGAACAAAGATAAGAATTACATCTGATGTCTCAGAAACCATACAAAGCAAGGAGAGAATGGACTAAGATATCTAAAGTGTTTTGAGAAAAAAACTCACCTACCTAGAATTCTGGACCCTGAGAAATTATCCTTTAAAAGTGAAGGAGAAATAAAGACTTTCCTGGACAAACAAAAATTAGGAGATTTGTTTTCAGCAGACTTGCCTTGCAAGAAATGTTATCAGAAATTCTTCAGAGACAAGGATAATGATATAGGTCAGACACTAAGATTATGTAAAGAAAGTAAAAGCATTCGAGAAAGAATAAGTGAACCCTAAGTGACATAAGAGGGTGCATCCAGCCTGACACACTATAGCCAGCAGCACCTTCAAATGGAATGACCATGTGCAGGGTCACACAATTTCAGAGCAACATGGTAGGAGCCACTTGCAGGCCGGGCTGCAGCTCCCTGTAAAAGCGTCTCTTCTGCTTACATGTTCACTAGCCCAGTAACAAACCAAGCATACCTAAAAAACCTTCCCTGGAAGGAGGGGCAACCCACTGACACCCATTTGACTGAAGGGCTGAAACGAGGGAAATGAAATGTTAAAGCAATATCCTACAGATTATGGCCACTGCATTTGGTTGGTTTGTTCAGAGCTGTTCAGGAGGAAGTACATGCACAAAATCTCTTTGATGAAACATCTTGTGGCACACTGTGATAGAAAGGCCCCTTGTGCAGAACCAGGATGTTTTGGGGATGAGCTATGTTTGTCTTAAGCAGGGCCAGGCTGTGTTTGTCAGGCCTCTGAGCCCAAGCTAAGCCATCATATCCCCTGTGGCCTGCACTTATACATCCAGATGGCCTGAAGCAACTGAAGATCCACAAAAGAAGTGAAAATAGCCTTAGCTGATGGCATTCCACCATTGTGATTTGTTTCTCCCCCACCCTTAAGAAGGTTCTTTGTAATCTCCCCTGCCCTTAAGAAGATTATTTGTAATTCTCCCCACCCTTGAGAAGGCACTTTGTGAGATCCACCCCCTGCATGCAAAACATTGCTCCTAACTCCACCGCCTATCCCAAAACCTATAAGAACTAATGATAATCCCACCACGCTTGCTGACTCCTTTCAGACTCAGCCCGCCTGCACCCAGGTGAAATAAACAGCCTTGTTGCTCACACAAAGCCGTTTGGTGGTCTCTTTACACAGACACTTTAGACAGTGTTGATACTCCCTATGCATCCTTCTATCCTTTTGCCTGAAGCTGCACTGACCCCCTACTTCCTCCTTTAGTGTGCATTAGATAGCGCTGCCAGGTCTCCCTACTTTCAGCCAAAACCTTAGATAGCCATGAACACCTTAGTGAGAATAATCAGACAAGGAATTCATTCATTCACAGCAAAAACTAAGTACCTTTCCAAAAGGCACTTATTTCCCATATTAGGCTTATACTGAAGTGTGGAACAGCAGTATGCTCTGTTTCCGAGTTTGAGGAAACTTGGGGAGAGGCAGATGTCTTTCCATGGGCAGCTGAAATCACAGCATGGCCCATTCCTGACAATCCATGCTTAAGTGTCTGTAAGGCAATGGTGTCTCTTTATTCGGAAAAATTTCCCTAGAGACGTTCTGTGTATCTGAAAAGGACCCATCTTGTGTCCATCCAGCACTGTTCTTTGTAGAACTGAATCACCCCACCAAAGAGTTTCCATGACAAAAAGGTCAAAGGCCTGACTTTAGGTTTAGGCTACGGGAATGATAGCATCCTGGAGCACCCTGTTTCTGTGTATAAAGAACTGCAAGGTGAAAGTCAGCAGTCTCAAGACTTTCTAATAGCTCAAGGCTAAGAAAAACATCTTTTCCATGGTGACTCTCATGGCTTTGTTTATAGACACAGAAGCTAGCCTCCAGCCCCAAGCAGAAGTTTGCTGGAATTTATTTGTTGGAGGTGGTAGTATCTTGTTTGTATTGTTAATAAAGCAACTTCTTTAGAAGTATATATATACACACACATATATATATATATATATATATACGTATATATATACACACACACATATGTATGTGTATGTATATATACGTATATATATATATATATATATATATGGAAAGGGATGAAGTACAAAAAAATGAAGTTGGTGATGGTAATAATAATATGATGCTGATGACGATAATGATAGCTAACCTATCTAACATTCAGAATGTGTCAGACACTGCTCTCTGCACATTACATGTTATAATTCGTACTTACCTTACCAAACTTATGAAGTAGGTATTATTGTATTTAATTTACAAATGAGGAAACTGAGGTAAAAAGAGATTAAGTTCATAGTATATAGCTAGTACCTAGCTTAGTAGGTTATAGATTTAAAAATTAGTTTCTTGCCCATATCGTATACCAAAATAAATTCTAAGAGAATTTAATTTAAACAGTTAAATCACAAAATTAAATCAGAAAATAACTAGAAGAGAATTTTTTTGAATATTTATATGATGTCTGATGGGGTAAGATATTTTCCAAGCATAAATACAGTGAAAGAAATCATAAAGGGAAATCTCAACATCTCTAAACACCTACTTTTAACTTTGAAGTGTCTACAAGCACACAAAATTAAGAAGCAAAACATGCTCCTGAAAAGCAAAAAAAATACTCCTAATGGCTAATACCCTCAATACGTAAAGTGCTTATAAAAGTCAATAAGAAAAACAATAATACCTTGAAAGATAGATGATCAAAGAATAGGAAAAGACAATTCACAAAAGAAAAAAATAAACATTACTAGGGCTATATGAAAAATAATAATAATAGCTATTATTGAGTTTTTAATCTGGGCCAGGAACTGTACTAAATAATTTTATTAAATTATTAAATCTTCAAAACAGTTGTGTATGGTATGCATACCCAAGATCACAAAGTTAGTAAGTAATGGGAATAGGAACCCAGGTCTGGCCAACTCCAGACTCATTATTTAACCATTATAGTATACTTCCTCCCGTGGTGTGCAACACATTCCAACTTGCAAGGGTCCACTGAATACCTCTTCCCAACTCTATGTTCAGTCATGTTGTGTTGGTGGCTTGAAATGGGCCATGGTGGCCCATTTCAAAGATCAGTAAATGCTACAAATGAGCCCCCACCACCTCCCCAGACAGCTAGTTGTTAAATATTTACCATAATACAAAAAATGTGAACTAAAATTCCAGTTAGATACTATGTTTGCCTAGAAATTAGCAAGGATTAACAGACAATCACAGTAAACTAAATTTTGATGCTGAAGGCATGTAAATTAGCTCAACCTTTTTGGAAAAGTATTTGGTAGTATGTATCAAGAGTCTTTCAGAAGCTTATATATTTCAATCTTATAAATCTACTACTGAAAATCTAGAGGAAATAATCAGAGATGCATATAATGACCTGTGGGTGTTCATTTTAATATTATTTAAAGTAAAAATGTGAAAACTCCTAAAGTAGACAATATGAGGACTACAGTTAAATAATATGTGTAATAATCATATGATGATATATAACAAAGCTATCAGAAAGTTTTGTTTTTAAGTGGAGGAAGATGGCAGATAGGAGACAGGGCTAACATGCAGCTCTCACCTGGACAGACAGAACAGCATGTGGGACTCACACTGTGGACTTTTGCTCTAAGAATCACCACAGGAATGTACCAGGAAAGCCAAAAGAATTCACAGAATCCTTTGAAAGGAGTGACATGCCAACCAGGCATGGTGGCTCACGCCTGTAATCCCAGCACTTTGGGAGGCCGAGGTGGGCAGATCACCTGAGGTTGGGAATTCAAGACCAGCCTGACCAACATGGAGAAAGCCAATCTCTACTAAAAATCCAAAAAAAAAAAAAAAAAATTTGCCAGCCATGGTGGCACATGTCTGTAATCCCAGCTACTTGGCAGGCTGAGGTAGGAGAATCACTTGAACCTGAGAGGGAGAGGTTGTGGTGAGCCAAGATCGCACCACTGCACTCCAGCCTGGGCAACAAGAGCAAAACTCCATCTCAAAAAAAAAAAAAAAAAAAAAAAGGAAAGAAGTGACATGCCACTGCAAGTTCCACGAGACAGGTGATAAACTGAGTTCCCGAAGTGCGAGATGGGGAAAGCCTGACTCTAAACACATATCCGCACTGGGGAACCTGAAAATCCAGATTACAGGAGAAGGATTTAACCTTACCAAGAGTTGAAATGGATTTAGCATGAAATATAAAAGTAGAAGCAGCAGTGGGAAGAGCCTTGTAGGCACTCCCATTCTCCAGCTCAAGCCCAGGGAAGCCATGCATGACTATACTCATGGGGGCCCTTGGGGAAGGCAACTGGCAGGATTTGGGAAGGGTCACAGGGTGAAAGAAGCTTCCAACTGAACATTGAAATAATTTTGACTGGATGCAGTTTATCTTGAGCAGAATCCAGGGGTCAAACTGGAACTGCTGCAGAAAGAAATGCAGGAGCTGCGGCCAAGAATGTGGGCAGCGGGGGAGGGGTGAAGCCTGAAAACTATGCTTGCTTTCTCAGCAGGGAAGCTTATAACCTGGGGGCAAGGTCTGAGTCCCACCTGCAGGCTGCCTGCAGGGAGAGAGTGAGACTGGCCTTGTCAACTGCATGGGATCCATGGGAGAACTATGGTGACAGAAGCAGCCATAATCCCCTCTGGAACATAATCCTGTTGGCCTGAGAACCACTCCCCATCCCCCACAGTTGCCATGGCAAGCCCCACCCAAGGAGAACCTGAGCTCACAGAATCTATTTCACTTCCCTGCCACCTTCACCAGGGCAGGTGCTAGCATCCACAGCTGGCAGACCTGAAGACAGATCACAACACAGGACTCTTTACAGACAATCCTGGCACTGGCCCATAGCCTGGTAGCCCTGCTGGGTGGCAGGATCCAAAAGAGCAATAACAATCACTGCAGTCCAGCTCCAAGGAAGCATCCCTAGGGGACGTGGGAGAGTACCACATCAAGAGATCACCCCGTGGTGCAAAATAATCTGAACAGCAGCTCCTGAGTTCCAGGTTTTTCCACTGAAATGGTCTACCCAAATGTGAAGGAATCAGAAAACTAATTCTGGTAATATGACAAAACAAGTGTCTATAACACCCCTAAAAGACCACACTACCTCCCCAGTAATGGATCCAAACCAAGAAGAAATATCTAAATTGCCAGATAAGGAATTCACGAGGTTGATTATTAAGCTACTCAAGGAGACACTAGAGAAAGGTGAAAAACAACTTAAAGAAATTAAAAAAAAAATACAGGATATAGATGAAAAATTATCCAGAGAAATAGCATAAAGAAAATACAATCGCAACTTCTGGAAATGAAAGACACACTTAGAGAAATACAAAATACACTGGAAAGTGTCAAAAATAGACTAGAAAAAGTAGAAGAAAGAACTTCAGAGCTCAAAAACAAGGCTTTCAAATTAACTCCATCAGACAAAGACAAATACAAAGAAATTTTAAATAATGAACAAAGCCTTCAAGAAAGTTTGGGTGTTCCTGAGGAAGCAGAGAAATCCAAAAGTTTGGAAAACTTGTTTGAGGGAATAATTAAGAAAAACTTCCTTGGCCTCACTAGAGATTTAGCCATCCAAATACAAGAAGTTCAAAGAACACCTAGGAAACTCATCATAAGAAGATCATTACCTAGACACATAGTCATCAGGTTATCTCAAGTCAAGAAGAATGAAAGAATCTTAAGAGCTGTGAGGCAAAAGCATCAGGTGACCTATAAAGGAAAACCTATCAGATTAACAGCAGATTTCTCAACAAAAACCCCATAAGCCAGAAAGGACTGGGGTCCTATCTTTAGCCACCTCAAACAAAATAATTGCCAGCCAAGAATTTGTATCCAGCAAAACTAAGCTTCATCAATGAAGGAGAAATAAAGTCTTTTTCAGACAAAGAAATGCTGAGAGAATTCGCCATTACCAAGCCAGCACTACAAGAATGCTAAAAGGAGTTAAAAAGTCTTGAAACAAAACCTCTATATACACCAAAATAGAACCTCCTTTAAATCTCACAGGGCCTATGAAACAATAACACAATGAAAAAGAAATCAAGATATTCAGGCAACAACTAGCATGATGAATAAAAGAGTATCTCACTTCTCAATAATAATGTTGAATGTAAATGGCCTAAATGATCTACTTAAAAGATACACAATGTCAGAATGAATAAAAATCTACCAATCAAGTATCTGCTGTCTTCAAGAGAATCACCTAATGCATAAGGATTCACATAAACTTAAGGTAAAGGGGTGGAAAAAGATATTCCATGCAAATGGACACCAGAAGTGAGCAGGAGTAGCTATTTTTATATCAGACAAAACAAGTTTTAAAGCAACAGGAGTTAAAAAAGACAAATAGGGACATTATATAATGATAAAAGGATCAGTCCAAAAGGATAATATCACAGTCCTAAATATGTATGCACCTAACACTGGAGCTCCCAAATGTATAAAACAATTTTACTAGACCTAACAAATGAGATAGACAGCAACACAATAATAGTGTGGGACTTCCACACTCCACTGATAGCACTAGACAAGTCATTAAGACAGAAAGTCAACAAAGAAACAATGGACTTAAACTACACCCTAAAACAAACGGACTTAGCAGGTATTTGCGGAACATTCTACCCTGTAAGTGCAGCATATACATTCTTTTCATTAGCACATGGAACATTCTCCAAGATGGACCATATGATAGGCCACAAAACAAGTCTCAATAAATTTAAGAAAATTGAAATTATATCAAGTACCATCTCAGACCACAGTGGAATAAAGCCAGAAATTAACTCCAAAAGGAACTCTCAAAACTATACAAATACATGGAAATTAAATAATCTGCTCCTGAATGATTCTTGGGTTAACAATGAAATCAAGATGGAAATTTTAAAAAGTATTTGAGGTGAAAAATAATAGTGACAAAATTTATCAAAACCTCTGGGATATAGCAAAGGCAGTGCTAAAAGGAAAGTTGATAACATTAAATGCTTATATCGAAAAATCTGAAAGAGCACAAATAGACAATCTAAGGTCACATCTGAAGGAACTACAGAATCAACAACAAACCGAACCCAAACCCAGCAGAAGAAAAGAAATAACAAAGGTCAGAGCAGAACTAAATGAAATTGAAACAAAAAATACAAGAGATAAATGAAATAAAAAAACTGGTTCTTTGAAAAGATAAACAAAATTGATAGACCATTAGTAAGATCAACCAAGAAGTTAAGAGAGAAGATCCCAATAAGCTCAATTAGAAATAAAACAAGAGTTATTACAACCAATACCACAGAAATAAAAAAGATCATTTGAGGCTACTATGAACATCTTTACACACACAAACAAGAAAATCTAGAGGAGATGGATAAATTCCTGGGAATATATAACTCTCCTAGATTAAATCAGGAAGAAATAGAAACTCTGAACCAACCAATAACAAGTAGTGAGATTGAAACCATAACAAAATATTGCCAACAAAAAAGTCCACGATGAGATGAATTCACAGCTGAATTCTAGCAGGCATTTGAAGAAGAATTGGTACCATTCTTACTGAAACTATTATAAAAAATAGAGAAAAAGAGAATCCTCCCTAAGTCATTCTATGAAGCCGGTATCATCCTAATACCCAAACCAGGAAAGGACATAACAGAAAAAGAAAAACCACAGACCAATATCCCTGATGAACAAAGATGCAAAATTCCTCAACAAAATACTAGCTAACAAAATCCAACAGCATATCAAAATAATAAAACACCATGATCAAGTGTGTTTCATACCAGGGATACAGGGATTGTTTAACATACACAAGTCAATAAATGTGATCCATCACATAAACAGAATTAAAAACAGAAATCATATGATCATCTCAATAAATGTAAAAAAAGCATTTGACAAAATCCAGCATCGCTTTATTATTAAAACCCTCAGCAAAACTGACATAGATGGGCCATACTTTAAGGTAATAAAAGCCATCTGTGACAATCCCACAGCCAACGTAATACTGAATGGGGAAAAGCTGAAAGCATTCCCTCTGAGAACTGGAACAAGACAAAGATCCCCATTTTCACCACTGCTATTCAACATAGTACTGGAAGTCCTAGCCAGAGCAATTAGACAAGAGAAAGAAATAAAGGGCACCCAAATCAGTAAAGAGGAAGTCAACCTGTCACTGTTTGCCAGTAAGATCGTATACCCAGAAAACCCTAAAGACTCATCTAAAAAGCTCCTAGATCTGATAAATGAATTCGGTAAAGTTTCAGGATACAAAAATCAATGTACACAAATCAGCAGCGCTGCTATATACCAACAGTGACCAAGCTGAGAATCAAATCAGGACTGAAACTCCTTTTGCAACAGCTGCAAAAATAAAAACAAAAACAAAAACCAACTTAGGAATATACCTATCCAGGGATGTAAAAGATCTCTACAAGGAAAACTACAAAACACTGCTGAAAGAAATCATCAACAACACAAACAAATGGAAACACATTTGTTTCCATGCTCATAGATAGGTGAAATCAATATTGTGAAAATGACCATACTGCCAAAAGCAAGCTACAAATTCAATGCAATTCCTATCAAAATATCACCATCATTCTTCACAGAAATAGAAAAAACAATCCTAAAATTCATATGGAACCAAAAAAGAGCCCACATAGCCAAGGCAAGACTAAGCAAAAAGAACAGATCTGGAGGCATCACATTACCTGACTTCAAACTATACTACAAGGCCATAGTTACTAAAACAGCATGATACTGGCATAAAAATAGGCATGTAGACCAATGGAACAGAATAGAGAACCCAGAAATAAAGCCAAATAATTACAGCCAACTGATCTTTGACAAAGCAAACAAAAACATAAAGTGGGGGAAGGACACCCTATTCAACAAATGGTACTGGGATGATTGGCAACCCACATGTAGAAGAATGAAGCTGGATCCTCAACTCTCACCTTATACAAAAATCAACTCAAGATGGATCCAACACTTAAATCTAAGACCTGAAACCATTAAAATTCTATAACATTCATAAAACTGCTCTAGACATTGGCTTAGGCAAAGACTTCATGACAAAGAACCCGAAAGCAAATGCACCAAAAACAAAGATAAATCGATGGGACCTAATTAAACTAAAATGCTGCACAGTGAAAGAAATAATCAGCAGAGTGAACAATCAAGAGAGTGGGAGAAAATATTCACAAACCATGCATCTGACAAAGGACTAATATCCAGAATCTACAAGGAACTCCAATAAGTAAGCAAGAAAAAAAAATCCCATTAAAAAGCGGGCTAAGAATATGAATAGACAATTCTCAAAAGAAAACACACAAATGGCCAAAAAACATGAAAAAATGCTCAACATCACTGCACATTAGGTACGGTGTACACTGCTCGGGTGATAGGTGAACCAAAATCTCAGAAATCATCACTAAAGAACTTTTCCATGCAACCAAACACCATCTATTCCCCAAAAACTATTGAAATTTTAAAAATTTAATTTAAAAAATTGTTTTTAAATTCAAAAACATTGTAAAACCATAAATGAAATGATTCATATATTATTTAATATATATGCTTCTATACATATATACTATATATATTACTCAGGTACATGGGTCTTTTTTATATACTTTAGTTGAGTTTTGTATTTTTCTTCATGTAAAACCTATATATATTTTATATATGTCTGTGTGTGTATAAATGTATATGTGTGTATATATATGCATATATATGGACCTATTTTAAAACACTAAATATATATTTGAAATCTATATACTTAAAGCACCAAATAAATTGAAACATATTTCATGCTTATGAGTGTGAAGACTGAATACTATAAATATGACAATTCTTTAAAAACTAACTTATAATAGATGGCCGAATAGGAACAGCTCCAGTCTACAGCTCCCAGCATGAGCAACGCAGAAGACGAGTGATTTCTGCATTTCCAACTGAGGTACTGGGTTCATCTCACTGGGGAGTGTCAGAAAGTGGGTGCAGGACAGTGGGTGCAGCACACCGAGCGTGAGCCAAAGCAGGGCAAGGCATTGCCTCACCTCGGAAGCGCAAGGGGTCAGGGAATTCCCTTTCCTAGTCAAAGAAAGGGGTGACAGACGGCACCTGGAAAATCGGGTCACTCCCACCCTAATATTGTGCTCTTCCAACTGGCTTAACAAACGGCACACCAGGAGATTATATCCCGTACCTGGCTTGGACGGTCCTACGCCCACGAAGCCTCGCTCATTGCTAGCACAGCAGCCTGAGACCAAACTGCAAGGTGGCAGCAAGGCTGCGGGAGGGGTGCCCGCCATTGTCCAGGCTTGAGTAGGTAAACAAAGCAGGTGGGAAGCTCACTGGGTGGAGCCCACCACAACTCAAGGAGGCCTGCCTGCCTCTGTAGACTCCAACTCTAGGGGCAGGGCACAGCCAAACAAAAGGCATCAGAATCCTCTGCAGACTTAAATGTCCCTGTCTGACAGCCTTGAAGAGAGTAGTGGTTCTCCCAGCATGCAGCTGGACATCTGAGAACAGACAGACTGCCTCCTCAAGGGGTCTCTGACCCCCAAGTAGCCTAACTGAGAGGCACACCCCAGTAGGGGCAGACTGACACCTCACACGGCTGGCCGGGTACTCCTCTGAGACAAAACTTCCAGAGGAACGATCAGGCAGAAACATCTGCTGTTCACCAATATCCGCTGTTCTGCAGCCTCCACTGCTGATACCCAGGCAAACAGGGTCTGGAGAGGACCTCCAGCAAGCTCCAACAGACCTGCAGCTGAGGGTCCTGATTATTAGAAGGAAAACTAACAAACAGAAAGGACATCCACATCAAAACCCCATCTGTACATCACCATCATCAAAGACCAAAGGTAGATAAAACCACAAAGATGGGGAAAAAACAGAGCAGAAAAACTGGAAACTCTAAAAATCAGACCACCTCTCCTCCTCCAAAGGAATGCAGCTCCTCGCCAGCAATGGAACAAAGCTGGACAGAGAATGACTGACAAGTTGAGAGAAGAAGGCTTCAGACGATCAAACTACTGCACGCTAAAGGAGGAAGTTCGAACCCATGGCAAAGAAGTTAAAAACCTTGAAAAAAGTTTAGACGAATGGCTAACTAGAATAACCAATGCAGAGAAGTCCTTAAAGGACCTGATGGAGATGAAAACCAAGGTATGAGAACTACATGACGAATGCACAAGCCTCAGTAACCGATGCGATCAACTGGAAGAAAGGGTATCAGTGATGGAAGATGAAAGGAATGAAATGAAGTGAGAAGAGAAGTTTAGAGAAAAAAGAATAAAAAGAAATGAACAAAGCCTCCAAGAAATATGGGACTATGTGAAAAGACCAAATCTATGTCTGCTTGGTGTACCTGAAAGTGACGGGGAGAATGGAACCAAGTTGGAAAACACCCTGCAGGATATTATCCAGGAGAACTTCCCCAATCTAGCAAGGGAGGCCAACGTTCAGATTCAGGAAATACAGAGAATGCCACAAAGATATTCCTTGAGAAGAGCAACTCCAAGACACATAATTGTCAGATTCACCAAAGTTGAAATGAAGGAAAAAATGTTAAGGGCAGCCAGAGAGAAAGGTCGGGTTACCCTCAAAGGGAAGCCCATCAGACTAACAGCGGATCTCTCAGCAGAAACTCCACAAGCCAGAAGAGAGTAGGGGCCAATATTCAACATTCTTAAAGAAAAGAATTTTCAACCCAGAATTTCATATCCAGCCAAACTAAGCTTCATAAGTGAAGGAGAAATAAAATACTTTACAGACAAGCAAATGCTGAGAGATTTTGTCACCACCAGGCCTGCCCTAAAAGAGCTCCTGAAGGAAGCACTAAACAAGGAAAGGAACAACTGGTACCAGCCACTGCAAAAACATGCCAAATTGTAAAGACCATCAAGGCTAGGAAGAAACTGCATCAACTAACGGGCAAAATCACCAGCTAACATCATAATGACAGGATCAAATTCACACATAACAATATTAGCCTTAAATGTAAATGGGCTAAATGCTCCAATTAAAAGACACAGACTGGCAAATTGGATAGAGTCAAGACCCATCAGTGTGCTGTATTCAGGAAACCCATCTCACGTGCAGAGACACACATAGGCTCACAATAAAGGGATGGAGGAAGATCTACCAAGCAAATGGAACACAAAAAAAGGCAGGGGTTGCAATCCTAGTCTCTGATAAAACAGAGTTTAAACCAACAAACATCAAAAGAGACAAAGAAGGCCATTACGTAATGGTAAAGGATCAATTCAACAAGACGAGCTAACTATCCTAAATATATATGCACCCAATGCAGGAGCCTGCAGATTCATAAAGCAAGTCCTTAGAGACCTAGGAAGAGACTCAGAATCCCACACAATAATAATGGGAGACTTTAACACCCCACTGTCAATATTAGACAGATCAACGAGATAGAAAGTTAACAAGGATATCCAGGAATTGAACTCAGCTCTGCACCAAGTGGACCTAATAGACATCTAAAGAACTCTCCACCCCAAATCAACAGAATATATATTCTTCTCAGCACCACACTGCACTTATTCCAAAATTGACCACTTAGTTGGAAGTAAAGCACTCCTCAGCAAATGTAAAAGAACAGAAATTATAACAAACTGTCTCTCAGACCACAGTGCAATCAAACTAGAACTCAGGATTAAGTAACTCACTCAAAACTGCTCAACCACATGGAAACTGAACAACCTGCTCCTGAATGACTACTGGGTACATAACGAGATGAAGGCAGAAATAAAGATGTTCTTTGAAACCAGTGAGAACAAAGACACAACATACCAGAATCTCTGGGACACATTCAAAGCAGTGTGTAGAGGGAAATTTATAGCACTAAATGCCCACAAGAGAAAGCAGAAAAGATCTAAAATTGACACCCTAACATCACAATTAAAAGAACTAGAGAAGCAAGAGCAAACACATTCAAAAGCTAGCAGAAGGCAAGAAATAACTAAAATCAGAGCAGAACTGAAGGAAATAGAGACACAAAAACCCTCCAAAAAATCAATGAATCCAGGAGCTGGTTTTTTGAAAACATCAACAAAATTGATAGGATGCTAGCAAGACTAATAAAGAAGAAAAGAGAGAAGAATCATATAGATGCAATAAAATATGATAAAGAGGATATCACCACCAATCCCACAGAAATACAAATTACCATCAGAGAATACTATAAACACCTCTATGCAAATAAACTAGAAAATCTAGAAGAAATGGATAAATTCCTCAACACATACACCCTCCCAAGACTAAACCAGGAAGAAGCTGAATCTCTGAATACACAAATAACAGGCTCTGAAATTGAGGCAATAATTAATAGCTTACCAACCAAAAAAAGTCCAGGACCAGATGGATTTATAGCCAAATTCCACCAGAAGTACAAGGAGGAGCTGGTACCATTCCTTCTGAAACTATTGCAATCAATAGAAAAAGAGGGAATCTTCCTTAACTCATTTTATGAGGCCAGCATCATCCTGATACCAAAGCCTGGCAGAGATGCAACAAAAAAAGAGAATTTTAGACCAATATCCCTGATGAACATCGATGCAAAAATCCTCAATAAAATACTGGCAAACTGAATCCGGCAGCACATCAAGAAGCTTATCCACCATGATCAAGTGGGCTTCATCCCTGGGATGCAAGGCTGGTTCAATATACGCAAATCAATAAACATAATCCAGCATATAAACAGAACCAAGGACCAAAACCATATGATTATCTCAATAGATGCAGAAAAGGCCTTTGACAAAATTCAACAACCCTTCATGCTAAACACTCTCAATAAATTAGGTACTGATGGGACGTATCTCAAAATAATAAAAGCTATCTATGACAAACCCACAGCCGATATCATACTGAATGGGCAAAGACTGGAAGCATTCCCTTTGAAAACTGGCACAAGACAGGGATGCCCTCTCTCACAACTCCTATGCAACATAGTACTGGAAGTTCTGGCCAGGGCAATCAGGCAGCAGAAGGAAATAAAGGGCATTCAATTAGGAAAAGAGGAAGTCAAATTGTCCCTGTTTGCAGATGACATAACTGTATATCTAGAAAACCCTATCGTCTCAGCCCAAAATCTCCTTAAGCTGATAGGCAACTTCAGCAAAGTCTCAGGATACAAAATCAATGTGAAAAAATCACAGACATTCTTATACACCAATAAGACAAACAGAGAGCCAAATCATGAGTGAACTCCCATTCACAATTGCTTCAAAGAGAATAAAATACCTAGGAATCCAACTTACAAGGGACGTGAAGGACCTCTTCAAGGAGAACTACAAACCACTGCTCAAGGAAATAAAAGAGGATACAAACAAATGGAAGAACATTCCATGCTCGTGGGTAGGAAGAATCAATATCGTGAAAATGGCCATACTGCCCAAGGTAATTTATAGATTCAATGCCATTCCCATGAAGCTACCAATGACTTTCTTCACAGAATTGGAAAAAACTGCTTTAAAGTTCATATGGAACCAAAAAAAGAGCCCGCATTACCAAGTCAGTCCTAAGCCAAAAGAACAAAGCTGGAGGCATCACGCTACCTGACTTCAAACTATACTACAAAGCTACAGTAACCAAAACAGCATGGTAGTGGTACCAAAACAGAGATATAGACCAATGGAACAGAACAGAGCCCTCAGAAATAATGCCACATATCTACAACTATCTGATCTTTGATAAACCTGACAAAAACAGGAAATTGGGAAAGGATTCCCTATTTAATAAATGGTGCTGGGAAAACTGGCTAGCCATATGTAGAAAGCTGAAACTGGATCCCTTCCTTACACCTTACACAAAAATTAATTCAAGATGGATTAAAGACTTATATGTTAGACCTAAAACCATAGAAACCCTAGAAGAAAACCTAGGCAATAAAATTCAGGGCATAGGCATGGGCAAAGACTTCATGTCTAAAACACCAAAAGCAATGGCAACAAAAGCCAAAATTGACAAATGGGATCTAATTCAACTAAAGAGCTTCTGCACAGCAAAAGAAACTACCATCAGAGTGAACAGGCAACCTAGAGAATGGGAGAAAGTTTTTACAATCTACACATCTGACAAAGGTCTAATATCCAGAATCTACAATGAACTCACCCAAATTTACAAGATAAAAACAAACAGCCCCATCAAAAAGTGGGCAAAGGATATGAACAGACACTTCTCAAAAGAAGACATTTATGCAGCCAAAAGACACATGAAAGAATGCTCATCATCACTGGCCATCAGAGAAATGCAAATCAAAACCACAATGAGATACCATCTCACACCAGTTAGAATGGCAATCATTAAAAAGTCAGAAAACAACAGGTGCTGGAGAGGATGTGGAGAAATAGGAACACTTTTACACTGTTGGTGGGACTGTAAACTAGTTCAACCATTGTGGAAGTCAAGTGTGGCGATTCCTCAGGGATCTTGAACTAGAAATACCATTTGACCCAGCAATCCCATTACTGGGTATATACCCAAAGGATTATAAATCATGCTGCTGTAAAGACACATGCACATGTATGTTTATTGCGGCACTCTTCACAATAGCAGACTTGGAACCAACCCAAATGTGCTACAATGATAGACTGGATTAAGAAAATGTGGCACATATACACCATGGAATACTATGCAGCCATAAAAAATGATGAGTTCATGTCCTTTGTAGGGACGTGGATGAAGCTGGAAACCATCATTCTCAGCAAACTATCGCAGGGACAAAAAACCAAACACCGCATGTTCTCACTCATAGGTGGGAATTGAACAATGAGAACACATGGACACAGGAAGGGGAACATCACACACCGGGGCCTGATGTGGAGTGGGGGGAGGGGGGAGGGATAGCATTAGGAGATATACCTAATGTTAAATGACAAGTTAATGTGTGCAGCACACCAACGTGGCACATGTATACATATGTAACTAACCTGCACGTTGTGCACATGTACCCTAAAGCTTAAAGTATAATAAAAAAAATTAACTTATAAGTTTAATAAAATAAACATAAAATATAAAACACAATTCCAGTAGAATTTTTTTAAAACTTGATAAGATGATTCTATAATTTATCTGTACAATTGTGTGGAATTATGAATTATTTCCTTATTCAGGAATTTTACATACCAAATTTTATATAAAGATATGTAATATAGCACTCTACATCTGAAAAATACTTGATATAGTAATATAAATGTTTAATTCATATTAAACAAACAGTAGAGATTTTATAATATGTTTAGTTTTTTTATATATGTAGATCTTATGATGGGGAACACACGAGAAGTATAAACCAAGTGCAATCGATATCAAAAGGAAGAGATTTCTTCTGTTTGGGGACATGAGGAGTAAGGAACATCACTATCATCCACGTAAGTGGTGAGTGTTTGAGAAAAACAGTCTAATCAGAATTATAATCTGTTCACTTGAAATCAAGATGACAAGCTTTTTGAAGTTCCATTAGTGATATCACTCTTTATTGTAAATTGACTGGAAATACCCTCAATTCATGGCGGTTTTATAGCTCCCACTCATGGAGAAGCTATAGTTTTGGTTGTATAGCTTTGCATTCTCTTAGGGAAACTGTTGCTTTCAACTTTGGTAAGACTAAAAATTAAATGTCTGATAATATGTGAGCTCTAAATCTTAAGAATTGTGACAGTGGCCTTAGGATTCCTGTCTGGATTCATTTATTTTTTCCCTAGAATAAACATTAAAACCAAATATAAGTTTTGCAATGGAGGCAACCTTGTGTACAGGGAATAGCATGGAATTTGAAATCCAAAGACCAGTGCTTAGAGTCATATCTCCTCTTTTGCCTAACTGAGTAATATTGAGCAAGCCAATTAACTATACATTTTTCTTACATCATTCATTCACTGAATCAATCAACAAATATTTACCACTCTACTAACATACATCAAACACTGATCCACACTACAAATCAGTAAAGACAGACAAAGCCTGTGCTCGTATGAATCCTGCGTTGTAGTTGCAGACACAGAAAGCAACACCAACATAGCCCAATAAAGGCTAATGTAATTTTTAGATAGTTAAAAGTGCTTGAAGAAAAATAAGACAGAGTAGGATGATAGAACGTGTAGGGATAGAGATGGGTGGATTGGAAGAGTAGGCTGATGAGATGGTCAGGGAAAGCCTTTCTGGGGTTGTGGTGTTTAAGAAAAAACTCAACTGGGGATTTAGCTCTGCGAAGAATGTGGGGAGAACTTTGAGGCATGAAGCACAGTTGTAAAGGCCTAGGGGTAAGGGAAGAACTACAAGAAGGCCAGTGTGGCCAGGGTGGGTGAGCAAAAGGAGAAAGGTGGTAGGAGATGAGATTGGAGTGGTAATACCAACCTCATCACCACAGGGGCCATGGAGATTAAATGAGATACAGGTGTGAGGATACCCACAGTGTTAGTCCACAATTCACTCTATAAATACTAGAGGATAGTAAGAAAGGAGGGCCCTGGCATCTTTATCATCATTTGTGGTTTGACCAAGCCATAGAGGTTGTGATTTAGACAGAAGGCAATTCAGCAGGTAAGATTTTCCTCTGGAAGTCTTACCAAGGCCAGTCCATCTGGGGCTCACTGGAGGCCACATTTTGTTCTATGCAACATGTTCATTTCTTCTGAAGAACCCACCATTGGCCAGCACCAATGGCTACCTCCTTCATGCTGCAGATATTTGGCACTGAGTGTGCACTGCTGCCACTCACTCTTGCAATGTCATATACAAGAACAACTATCTGGTAACACAAGAAATGGTTAGGGAAGCTTTGACAATGCATGGCACAGTATAAAGAGGACGCCTTCAAGGAAAGTTTCATTTCTAAATGTATGCAGTTGTATGTGGGCAATATTTACCATCTTACCTTTATCAGGCCCTTTCTATCTGGGCTCAATTACATGTCTTGTAGCCAATGTAGTCTCACTTAACATTTGGAGAGGTATGATCGCTAGAGAATGATGTGGAAAACCACACTCAGTCATAATCCCCTTTTCCCACAGTCTAAAAGGGAGTAAGATTCACTTGGTTTAGCATTTGACAACATAATGCACGGTTGTCAGATTTGCCCTTCTTCCCAGACCATCACCTCCCTTCTGCTACTCTGCTATTACTTTTGACCTCGTTGCTCATTCTCCTGTCACTGCTACTCTTCCCACCTCATCCTGCTGTGTCAGCACATGTTACACTCTCCTGGGGCAAAATCTCTGTCCAGAAGTGTGGGAAGAAGAGGGAGAGGCTGCTATGCTCATTTTCCAGGGTGACAGTTGTCTCAATATCTTGGTGTAGAAATACCTGCCTATCCACAAGCCTCCAGGCACCATGGTCCTAGAACACACACTCTTTCATAAGCCTTGGGATCACAGAGTGCATGTGAAACCTATACAAGTTCAAGTGGACTTAAAAGTTTTTCAAATATGCTTTTTGTTGTTGATCCTCACATTCATCTGTACATCTGGCTTGGAAAATCTGAAGCCACAAGATCAGCTCTTCTTGACTGGTTTGCTGCTGTAATAAAGCCAAACACAAGCATGAGGCTCTAAAAGGCAACTCCCCTTTTGAATGAATGCTCTCTCCTCTATCCAGAGTTCATTGTGGGGTTTTGTTGTGTTTCAGTTACTTAGATAACATTTAAAGAGGTGTCTCCATAAAGTGAGAGATGGAACATTAGTCACATGCCCTAGGCCCTTCAAACTCACATTGCCTTGTATGTGCCCCGGAACATAAAATAAAAGCCAACTTTGCCATTAGGCAAAGGCCATGTAGGCAAAGTCTTTGGTGCTGAGCAAGAAATGAAAACTGCCAATTGAATCTTCCAGGTCCCATTGATTCCTCAGTAGAAAATAGAAGGCTTTCACACTGTGGGTTTGAGTTGCTACTTGAAAAAGTCATCAGAAAACTTTCTCAAAACTGTCATTGGATAAGTCATTTGGCCTCTACTTTCAGCTCCTTCTTTTCTTCATACTGGGACTTGATGTGTTGATTTCCTAAGGGCTGGCTTTGTTTTAATTATAAAGAGAATCAGGTTTGTCTGGACTTTGGAAAATTATACTCCTTGAACTTGCAATTATTTTCTACAGGAGAAATCTCATAAAACAAGTTGTAATGGTAGAATTAAGGGCCACATGCTTCGGAGGGACAGGAATGGGAGAGTGAAGGGTCTAGATTTCAGGCCGCTGGTGCGGGCACCCCATGTGTTCACAGCTGATGTCAGTCTCTCCCTTAAGATTTTTTTAAAATGCCTACAGCTTGTGGCTACTTTCTTTTCTCAATCTCATTCTGCACCTATGTTATTGCTTTATTGTCATTTCAGCTCCTTGGTCTACAGTGAAACAACCAAGAGTCTAATCTCTGATTTTATAAGTATAAAGGCTTCCAACCCCAGTCCTTATAGACACTTCCTCTTGCTCAATTTAGTCCAACAAATGTTTACCAAAAGCCGGCTGAAATCAGCAGTGGAATTACAAAGATGAATAAGTTTCGGTCCCTGCATTAGTGAGTGTTAGAGTCCTTAGAGTCTAGTAGAAGAAACAGACACTTAGTAGATAATTTTAATAATTTCAATACAATACATTAAGTACTGAGCTGGAAATCTTCCCCTTGTGCTACGGAAATACAGAGCAGAATGACCCTAGTTCAGCCTAGAAGTTCAGACAAGACTTCCTGTGAGAGGCTATAACTAAGTTGGGTCTTTAAGGATAAGCAATATTAAAATAAGTGGGAAAGGTGTTCCAGATGGAAGGAACAGCACAAGTGAAAGCAGAAATTCCTAAGATAGCATAGGGTCTACAGGGAATCATAAGCAGTTGATATTATTTTGGCCTGAATAGGTATAAGTTAAGAGGTTAGGAAGAAATGAATTTATAGAGGTTAATCTGTGGCTGCCAGGTGCTAAGCGCCTTCCAGGTCCCCCAGAAGAACTTGAATTCTATAGGCGATGTGTAGTCTTTGACTGTATTTAAATGGGGACTGATGTGGTCAGATACAAATTTAAGGTAGATAATTTTGGAAAATTTTTCAAGTATGGATTCCCAGGGGATACTACTGAAGACATGGAGATGAGTCATGAGGCTACTGGGTCCAGTATAGAGATGATAAATGGGGATGGAGAGAAGCGATACAACTGAAAGATTCTAGACTTGGTGATTGACTGATTGATTGATTAGATGTCGGGGAGGTAAGAAAGAAAGATCAACTGAAGGTAACTAGGGTTTCTTCATTGTGATGGGGTGGTTAATAGGGCTGTCATTGGATTAAGCACTATAGAAGAATGAGATTGTTTGTAGATGTGATTGCCGTATAAGAGGCAGTGAAGCACACAGCACCCGAGTAGTCAGAGTGCACGGATCCTGTATCCAGTAGTGATTTGCAGGGATGGCATTAGAGATTTCAAGGACAGGATTTTTCAGGTGCAGAAGGAGCTCACCCTGGGCTGAGCTAAGACTTCTGAAAAGAAAAAAAAGTGAAAATATCCAAAGAAAAATTCTGATTTGGAAATATTGTAAGTGGTTTTCTTCCCCTATCTCCCACCTTCATCTCTTGACATGCTGTAGCCACCATTATAGTGTTTTTCCTATAAGTCAAAAGTTCCATGTACCACCATTTCAATACCATAACAGTTTATTCTTAGAGCATTTCTCTCTCATTTCCAATATTTCCCATAAAGTGTCATGAAAAACTGGTCAGAACGCAATTTCTGTTTCCATTTTATGGTAACTTCTGCTTGTTTAAATCTCTCTGTGATTCCATCAGTAACTAAATACATATATCACTTGAGAATTAGAACTACACATTTCGAGACTATAGTAAGAAGCATTTGCATTTGCTTGTTCATGGGGAATGCTTATTGGCTGGAGGCTTTTGTCTCTTTTGGCTTCTCTTCTCAACTTCAGTTACCTTTTGAAGATTTAGGTAATTCTATCTGAAAACAAAAAAGCATACTTGAAAGAGAAATATTAAGATTTACTGCAGAGAAACAAGTAGGCAGATGGATTAATTGTAATAGTTTAAGTCAAAACTGCCTTTTGAACCACGACTATCAAATAAAATACAATGCGAGCCACACATGTGTGCAGTCTTGAATTTTCTAGCAGTCACATTACAAAAGTAAAAAGAAGAGGGTAAAATTAATTTTAGCAATATACTTTACTCAACCCAGTATATCTGCAACATTATCACTTCCTCATTTAATCAATTGACATGTATTAATGAGGTTTTTTCACATGAAGTATTTCGAATATGGCATGCGTTTTACACCTACAGCCTATCTCAACTCTAATACTAAATTTCCATAAAACACACTTATTTGTACTTAGATTTCATAAAATCTGAGTTGTAAAGTTACACCTACCCACTTTGTTCCAAACATACTTAATATTTCCTCAGGTGCATTCACCAAACTTTAAGTGTTTGACGTTCTCCTGCAGGTACTGTGTTGGACAGAGTAGCTGCAAGACTTTTAAAATCTTTCCTTTCACCCAAATCTTCTGATACTGCAAATGAGCTTAGAGCAACTGAATATTTCAGGAAGATATATATGAACGTTTTGCAAATCACCTAAGCCTTTGAGATCTTACCTAGAAGCTCTAGTTAATGGAGATATCAAAGTAGCTCAGCCGGGCTTCTAAAGATCTTTAGAGGAAGGTGTGAAGCTTGATGCAATGGAAAAATAACAAAAAGCAAAAGCATTCGACTAAGGCAGGCAGAAAGGTGTCTGGCAGTGTCCTGTAAATATATCTGTGAAAGTTTTAAAACACTTATTTTATTGTGAAATCTTTTTATAATGTTAAAGTAGCCTTCAAGGTTAGTTTTAAATGTTGACATAAGTTTTCGTTTTTGTTTGTTTGATCTTTTTTCCAAATACACTATCTTAGAAAATTCACTAATTACCATGTGCTCCAATGTAAACCTAGTTACCATCAGAAGTTAAGAATTCTGGCCAGGCATGATGGCTCACGCTTGTAATCCCAGCACTTTGAGAGGCTGTGTGTACTAGTCCGTTTTCATACTGCTGATAAAGACATACCAGAGACTGGGTAATTTAAAAAGAAAAAGAGGTTTAGTAGACTCACAGCTCCATATGGCTGGGGATGCCTCACAATCATGGCAGAAGGTAAAAGGCACGTCTTACATGGCAGCAGGCAAGATAGAATTGAGAGCTAAGTGAAAGGGGAAACCCCATATAAAAACATCAGATCTCATGAGACTTATTCACTACCACAAGAACAGTATGGGAGAAACTGCCCTCATGATTCAATTATCTCCCACAGAGTCCCTCCTACAACATGTGGGAATTATGGGAGCTACGATTCAAGATGAGGTTTGGGCCGGGACACAGACAATCCATATCACCAAGGCAAGTGGATCACTTGAGGAGTTTGAGACCAGCCTGGCCAGCATGGCGAAACCCCGTCTTTACTAAAAATACAAAAATTGCCTGGGCATGGTGGTACACAGCTGTCATCCCAGCTACTCAGGAGCCTGAGGCAGAAGAATCACTTGAACCCGAGAAGTAGAGGTTGCAGTGAGCTGAGACAGTGAGCTGAGATTGCACCACTGCACTCCAGCCTGGGTGAAGAGCAAGACTCTGTCTCAAAAAAAAAAAAAAAAAAGAAACAAAGAAAAGAAAAAGAAAGAATTCTTATTAGTAAAGTAAATGTGGTTCAAGGTTAAAGCTCACTGCCCACCCCTGCCTCTGGCCCAAACACATACATAGGGACCTGTGTGGCTTCAGAGCAAAAAACCTCTAACAAAGGCCAGCAGCAGAAGTGTTTGGACAATGTTGTACGCAGTGTCAGAGTTCAGCAGTTGGAAAGATTGTTTCTTTGCCATCAAATATTTTAAATTTCTGGCAGGGGTGGAGTGAGAGGTGGAGAAGCAAGGAGTCATTCCCTGCTTCTCCTTTCTGCCTGGTAAACTCTGGCAGGGTGAGCCTGGAAAGCACTCAGCCTGTACCCTGTACCTGCACTGAACATGAGCCAACGTGTGGGGTCTAGAATGGGAGTGAAGGCAGAGGAGGTGATGGGTGGGGCAAATCCAGGCTCCTTCCTGGCTGCAGCAACCTCCGGGCTTACCCCTCTACCTCCTACATCTTTTGTGCTCAAGGTTCACTTCCCTTTAGTGACTATTTAGCAGATCTCTTATCTTCAGAGTCTTATGACACATTCCAGGAAACACTGGCCTTTCATGCCATCCACCTCTTGCGACATTTTAGACTAGTTCTCAGAGCATGATGTCTGCTGTCCTATCTCCCCTTCCTCTAACTCACCATTTTCTACTTTTTTTTTTTATCTTGAGCTCGCATTGTGTTTAACATTAACATTTAGACAAAGAGAAACGTTTCAGCTTTTTGACTGCAGTTATCAGGGTTTTGAACACAAGTCAGTTAAACTTAGTAATCATTTATGGAACACCTGCCCTATGCTAGGAGCCTCAGTAGGTGCTCTGGTGTCAGATGTACCACATAACACTCAGGTGGGGGAAAAACAAACTAGAAAATGCTGGCCTTTCTTCCACGTACAAACTGGGTGACATAAATATTTAAATGGCCAGATATTCCTAAAAGACAAATTGGTAACAGAGTATATATAAATTTTTCTTTGTTCTCAAAAGTCATGCTGGTGATCTATTTGCATTCTGATCCTATTACACCCCAAGTGGACGTTTGATAAAAACAAAGCCAAGAATAAATGGAAATCACAAAAAATCTTGCCAGCTCTTTGCTTCAGATCTCTGGCTACTCATCTTACAGTGATGACTTGGGCCAAGGCTTCCTTCTGAGACATTTTATTAAATGTGTTCAGTAATTCACTTTTGCCCCATTAGAAGCATGGATCCTGAGATTTAATCTATCTTACTCATAGAGAATATTTGACCATTAAATACCTAAAAGTGATCTAGGTAGAAGAAAACAGGAACCATTGAAAATACAACATGAACATAATTTCACATTAAATCTGAGATGGATTTGGGTGGGTATTTGGGAGGTCGGGAGTGGCTGGTGCCAAAGGAAGAAAGGGAAAAAAGAAGAAAAAGGATGGTTTCTAACCTCCTGGTTAGAAACAAAAACCCTGGAAGGGAGGGACACATATCCATCTAACCAGCTTCTGCCTGTGCCATCTCTATCACCCGTTTCTAAATTCTCTCCAAAATATTCACGCCTACTTTTGGTGTGAGACTTGTGTAAGAAGGTTATGTTTACCATTTTATTTTTACTCTGTGAGAAGGTTATTTTACCTTGTGTGACTGACACAACAGCTGTCAGTGCTCTGGAAGAGGCAGACGCCTTCCGTGACAAGTTAAATGGCCACCTCTGGCCATCTAATCCACAGTCCTTTCCTGACAAGGAAACATCACGGGTAGCTAACGAGGTGATCAGAGTAGGAGTTGAATAACAGTAAGAAAGAATTGGAGACAGTTTAGGGGGATGGAATTGACTTGTAAGACTTAAAGATATGGATGCAAAAGAAGAGAATCTTTTGCAATGGAGAATACAGACATAGTTTGCTCCTGAGAGAAACACAGCTGAAGAGGAATTATAAATGATTGACTAGAGTACCATAATGATGTGAAGCAGCCCTGGCAGTCAGCATGGAAAGAAGGAAAGGAACCGTAGCAGCATTGTAGGAAAAAAAAAAAAAGGATTCCAAAATAGGTTCCAATATGGCTCTCAGGGTCTGATGTGGCTCCTTTCCTAGCTGTGTGATCCTGGAGAAATCATTTAGCCTCTCTGAAATTCACTCAGCTTCAATATTTTCATCCACAAAATAAGAATACTAGCTGGGATAATCTTTCAGCTACCTTCAACTCTAAAATTATTATCTTCCTCTTACCTTTTATGATTCTAAAATCTTGGGAGGAAGAGTTGGGAAAGTATTCACTAAAATCTAAAACTAAACAGCTTCAATTTTCACCAGTGATCATTTACACAGTACAGGAGGGCAAGAGGGAGGGTGTCTGCATTGAGTTAGTTTTGTTGATGCAATGAACAGTGCAGAGGGCAGGGGAGCAGGTAGGATATTCCTTCCTTCCACTATCTTTAAAAATAATAACAATACTACCTTATAGTTGTATTCTGTGTTATTCTTTTAGAAATTCTTGCAAATCCCTTGCCGTCTTTGATATTTATAGCAATTAGGTGAAATGGGCAAGAAAGTTTTTTCGTTTTTGTTTTTGTTTCACCAATGACAAATTCAGAGAGTTTAAATGAGTTTCTTAGAGTTGTAGAGCTGGTTAATGATAGGGCTGGGACTAGATTTTTGGTCTCTAGAACACTGGGGTTGGGTATTTGCTTTTGGGTACCTTTTGGAACAGTCTTCCCAGCAGTATCCAGAAACATGAGGAAGCTGCCTGGTTGTCACAATCCCAAATGACCTCAAAAAGAGGATGCAGCTTCTCAGATTGGACTGTATTTGTCTTTGGTCAACTCATAAGTATCTTTTGGTAAGAGCCTCCAAAATAGGGTGTAAACACCCTGGAGGTATACAAGGTGATGCATTAGGGTGCAGAGGAAAAATACTAAGAAAATTGCTATTTGCATTCATTTTTCATCTTTTTAAATCTAATTTTTGTGTGTTTTATGTTACATAATATATTAGCATAAAGTATCAGAATAGGCAGTACATGAGGATAACTTACAAATGGGGTATATGTTGTACTGATTTAATCCATGATCAAAACTATTTCAAGACTATGTTTTAGAAAATTGAGGGAAAGGCCTGAAGGGTGAATCATATGGCTGTTAACAGGAGTCTTCTCTTGCTCTTATCCCCTAAGATGACTCAGGGAAAATGGGAAAGGTTGTGGAAAAGACCAGGTTCAATCAGAATCTTGAAGAACATCCAGAGAAGTAGATGAGCAAATGGAACAGCTCTGACCAAATTAGGGCGGCCGGTCACATGCTTCCCACCAACACAAAGGTCTCTTTGTTTTCTGCACACACACTGCAGTTCTTTGTCAATTATAATCAACGATTCCATTCAGCTCTTCTTGCCACCACTTCTCTCCTGTCTTTCTAGTCTGCTGGGCAATAAATGTAAGGTAAAACTTCACAAGACCTTTAAAAGATAAGGTTGAAAGAGAAAAATACATCCTAATCAATGAACCTACCCAGAGGAAATAACTGGGGGATTATTCATAACTTACAACTTAGTTGCCAACTAATTTTTGGTGTTGAAGATCATTGTACTATACTGGGTAAGTTTACAAAACAGAAAAGGAATAATGGTGAGGAGAAAAATTATTACCTCTTGTCTATGGACTCCAGGAAGTGCACCCAAGATTATTAAGTTATTAACACAGAGACAAAGAAGGAGTGGTATGTAATATCAGATAAGTAAGTACTCTTTCTACAGTGGCAAGTAGAAAGTCATCTCTCAGGGTTAATATTTGGGACTTTTCAAGGAAAGAGAGAGCTGTAGAAGGGGTAAAAGGTTTCCTTACACATACAAATATTATAGGGCAAAAGGAGCCAACCTAAGGATTTTGCTCACAGTATGCCTGTGTCATTAAACCACTTTCTTTACTTGCAATTGTTGGCAGACATCAAAGCCACTGGATCACTGTTATGATATTTCATAACAGCACAGACCATAGGCGTCGTCTCATGCAATTCTGGTGTGCCTAACACAGTCCTGCCAGGAAGGCATCTGAAGGCTTCCAAGCCTGAGCTTTCTGAATTTTGAGTGTGGTACTGTGGAAAGTGCTGGATTTGAGGGGTGAAGGGAGGCCAAGGTCTTTGGTTTCTTGTTCCACTTCTGTCATTAAATTCCTTGGGTGGACTTCTTAATCTCATTTTATAGAGCAAATTCATTATAGAGAAAATTATGAGAAAGTTTCTTTCTCATCTGTGGCATTTATTTATTCATCAAACATTGTTGTATTTCCTATGTTTCAACACAATATTAAATGCCAGAAATACTAGTATTTAAAAAATACTTTTTCTCAGAGGGCACACAGTCTAAATAAAAAGATAAGACACATACAATTATGGTTAACTCAGTATAGAGCAATATATGAATGAAGACAAACAAGTGATATCTTAGTAAATGCTATTAAACGTCTTAAAGGAAAAGAAAAAGTTATCTTGTAATGCAAAAAAAAAAAAAAAAAACCCCACAAAGTTATCATGGTTTCCCTCTGGCATCCTCTTCCGCTTTGCTTTGTTCTGGCACCCATCTTTGCTGGATCCCATTGGCGTACAGATGAGAAGAGTAGAAAAGAGCACACAGCTTAAAATCACAGAACTGTGACTTCTCCTTTTTTCTCTATTCTAGAGTGTGCCTGCAGCATGCATTCATTACTGCATCTGATGGAAGCACAAAGGGAGAGACAAAGATGCAGAGAACAATGGTAAACAATTGGTGAAATGTGTTGGCAAATTGAGTCCAATGCTGTCTGTAACAAATGGCAGCTATTTTGTGTGTGTGTCATCTAAATAAAAATAAGGTGGATTAACAAACAACTGTATCTGGCCGAGGGAAGACTGCCGCCATTTTCTTAATAAATCAGTTATTGTGTGATTTATAATAAACTATTTGGACTACTTTCCTACCATGTATTTCCAGTAGAGGGATTTAGAAAGCTAATTTTAAGGCCAGGCATGGTGGCTTATGCCTGTAATCGCAGCACTTTGGGAGGCTGAGGCGGTTGGATCGCTTGAGGTCAGGAGTTTGAGACCAGCCTGGCCAACATGGTGAAACCCCATCTCTACTAAAAATACAAAAATTAGCTGGAAATCACTTGAACCTGGGAGATGGAGGTTGCAGTGAGCTGAGATCATGCCATTGCACTCCAGCCTGGGAGACAGAGCAAGATTCAGTTTCAAAAATAATAGTAATAATAGTAATAATAATAATGATAATAATAATAATAATAATAAAGGAAAGCTATTTTTTTTTTTTTTGAGATGGAGTATCACTCTGTCACCCAGGCTGGAGTGCAGTGGTGCTATCTCAGCTCACTGCAACCTCTGCCTCCCAGGTTCAAACGATTCTCCTGCCTCAGCCTCCTGAGTAGCTGGGATTACAGGCATCCAACACCATGCCCGGCTAATTTTTGTGTTTTGTATTGTTGGTCAGGCTGGTCTTGAATTCCTGACCTCGTGATCTGCCTGCCTTGGCCTCCCAAAGTGCTGGGATTACAGGCGTGAGCCACCGAGTCTGGCCAAGGAAAACTAATATGAACAATCACTATGGTGACACTATTTTCTAACTAAAATATGCTGATACATGGTTTAATAAAACTCACTTTTCTCTGGCCTTCAACTCTGTCTATACACAGTATCCTCTAAAAGTCTAAGGGTTAAAACCTACCTGGTGAATTACATACCTGAAAAGACCAAAACTTTCTAAAACGTATAATATCTAAAAATCTAAGACATGGAGTATTATTCTTATTACTCTTTGCATTTTTTAATTTAATGTAGCCTAAATCAATTAGAATTCTGATAATTTGAAAAGAAATGTGAATCAGTCAATTATTGTTATGTTGTGTTGTTTGTTTCTGATTGTATACATGTATGAAATTTTCATTATTACCTCCTTTCTTTTCCTTCATTTCTGGATTGGATTCATTTATTAAATTTCTGTTCTTTTAATGGTTGTTTTCAAAAGCTTAGCCTACAAACTTAACTATAAAATCTTATCAAAGCCCGAGTTTATTAAATATCTTTACCCTTCTCCCAAATCAAGCAAAAAACTAGCTACTAAACAACTTCTACTTACTACCCTCCATTTTTCTTCTATTATTACTATAATTAATATTAGTTACCAAAATCTTCTTAATAGTAGTTAAATATAATAACTGTTCTACAAAATATAGTGCTATAAAAGTTTCTCCAAAACTTAGTGGCATAAGAAATCAGTATTTTGTTCACGGATTCTGTGGGTTAAGAATTTAAGCAGAGCATTTTAGAAAGTTTTGTGAGTCAGTGCATGCATGTATCTGTGTGTGTCTAATATTTGTGGGTACATAGTAGGTGTATTTATTTATGGAGTATATGAGATATTTTTATACAGGCACACAATGCATTTATCCTTTTTTGTGTGTTACAAACAGTCCAATTATACTCTTTTAGTTACTTTAAAATGTACAATAAATTATTGTTGACTATTGTCACCCTGTTGTGTTATCAAATACTAGATCTTCATTCGATCTAACTAATTTTTGTACTCACTAACAATCCCTACTCTACCCTGCCTCCACCACCCCACTATTCTTTCCAGCCTCTGGTAACCATCATTCTACTCCCTATCTCCATGAGTTCAATTGTTTTAATTATTTAGCTCCCACAAATGAGTGAGAACATGCAAAGTTTGTTTTTCTGTGCCTGGTTTATTACACTTAACATAGTGACCTCCAGATCCATCCATGTTGTTGCAAATGACAGGATATCACTGTTTTTTATGGCTGAATAGTACTCCATTGTGTATATGTACCACATTTTCTCTATCCATTCATCTGTTGGTGGACACTTAGGTTACTTCCAAATATTAGTTATTGTGAATAGTACTGCAGTAAACATGGGAGGGCAGATATCTCTGCAGTATACTAATATCCTTTCTTTTAAGTATATACCTATCAGTGGGATTGCTGAATCGTATGATAGTTCTAATTTTAGTTTCTTGAGGAACCTCCAAACCGTTCTGTATAGTGGTTGTACTAATTCCCACCAACAGTGTGCAAGGGTTCCCTTTTCTGCACATTCTCGCCAGCATTTGTTATTGCCTGTCTTGGATAAAAGCCATTTTAACTGGGGTAAGATAATAGCTCATTGTAGTTCAATTTGCATTTTTTCTGATGACCATTGATATTATATATTCTGGTTATTAATCCTTTGTCCCTGGATACTTTGCAAATATTTTCTCCCATTCTGTGGGTTGTCTCTTCACTTTGTTGATTGTTTCCTGCCCTGTGCAAAAGCTTTTTAATTTGATGTGATCACATTTGTCCATTTTTGCTTTGGTTGCCTGTGCTTTTGGGGTACTACTCAAGAAATATTTGCCCAGCCCAACATCCTGGAGAGTTTCTCAATGTTTTCTTTTAGTAGTTTCATAATTTGAGGTCTTAGATATAAGTCTGTAATCCATTTTGATTTGCTTTACGTATGTAGTGAGAGATAGGGTTCTAGTTTTATTTTTCTGCATATGGATATCCAGTTTTCCCAGTACAATTTATTGAAGAGACTGTCCTTTTCTGAATATCTGTTCTTGGCACATTTGTTGAAAATGAGTTCGCTGTAGATGTACAAATATTTTTCTGCATTGTCTGTTCTGTTCCATTGGTCTATGTGTCTGTTTTTATGCCAGTACCATGCCATTTGGGTTATTGTAGCTCTGTAGTATCATTTCAGTCAGGTAATGTGATTCCTCTAGTTTTGTTCTTTTTCTCTGGATAGCATTGGCTGTTCTGGGTCTTTTGTGGTTCCATATGAATTTGAGGATCATTTTTGCTATTTCTGTGAAGAATGTCATTGGTATTTTGATTGAGGTTTCATTGAATCTGTAGATTGCTTTGGGTAGTATGGGTATTCTAAGTAGGGAGAGTTTATCTCTGTCCCACATTTTAAAAGGTCTCCTGGGAATGTGGCCATTGGCTGAGGGCCTCAGTTTCTCTTTTTGTATTTTTTTCCATGTAGTTTCTCTGTGTAGGCTACTTTGGGCTTCCTCACAGCATGATGGCTATGTTCTCAAGGCAAATGTACCAAGAATGAGACAGGCAAACAGAAGCCGTATTGCCTTAGCCTTGAAATTCATACAGTACCACTTTCATAGTGTCCTACTCATTAGAGCAGTTCCATAGTCTCCCAAACTTCAAGGCTGGAGAAAATAGACTCAATCTCTTGATGTGTATGTGACAAGGTTCTACAATAGCTTAGACTGAAAATGTTGCTGTGATGGCATTGGTAAAAACTACTTTAAAGTTCATATGGAACCAAAAAAGAGCCTGCATTGCCAAGTCAATCTTTTTTTTTTTTTTTTTTTGAGACGGAGTCTCGCTCTGTCGCCCAGGCTGGAGTGCAGTGGCGGGATCTCGGCTCACTGCAAGCTCCGCCTCCCGGGTTCACGCCATTCTCCTGCCTCAGCCTCCCAAGTAGCTGGGACTACAGGCGCCCGCCACTACGCCCGGCTAATTTTTTGTATTTTTAGTAGAGACGGGGTTTCACCATTTTAGCCGGGATGGTCTCGACCAAGTCAATCTTAAGCCAAAAGAACAAAGCTGGAGGCATCACGCTACCTGTCTTCAAACCATATTACAAGGCTACAGTAACCAAAACAGCATGATACTGGTACCAAAACAGAGATATAGACCAATGGAACAGAACAGAGGCCTCAGAAGTATTGCTGCATATCTACAACTATCTGATCTTTGGCAAACCTGACAAAAACAAGAAATGGGGAAAGGATTCCCTATTTAATAAATGGTGCTGGGAAAACTGGCTAGCCATATGTAGAAAGCTGAAACTGGATCCCTTCCTTACACCTTATACAAAAATTAATTCAACATGGATTAAAGACTTAAATGTTAGACCTAAAACCATAAAAACCCTAGACGAAAACCTAGGCAATACCATTCAGGACATAGGCATGGGTAAGGACTTCATGTCTCAAACACCAAAAGCAATGGCAACAAAAACCAAAATTGACAAATGGGATCTAATTAAACTAAAGAGTTTCTGCACAGCAAAAGAAACTACCATCAGAGTGAACAGGCAACCTACAGAATGGAAGAAAATTTTTGCAATGTACGCATCTGACAAAGGGTTAATATCCAGAATCTACAATGAACTCAAACAAATTTACAAGAAAAAAACAACCCCATCAAAAGGTGGGCGAAGGATATGAAGAGACACTTCTCAAAAGAAGACATTTATGCAGCCAAAAGACACATGAAAAAATGCTCATCATCACTGGCCATCAGAGAAATGCAAATCAAAAACACAATGAGATACCGTCTCACACCAGTTAGAATGGCAATCATTAAAAAGTCAGGAAACAACAGGTGCTAGAGAGGATGTGGAGAAATAGGAACACTTTTATACTGTTGGTGGGACTGTAAACTAGTTCAACCATTGTGGAAGTCAGTGTGGCGATTCCTCAGGGATCTAGAACTAGAAATGCCATTTGACCCAGCAATCCCATTACTGGGTATATACCCAAAGGATTATAAATCATGCTGCTATAAAGATACATGCACACGTATGTTTATTGCGGCACTATTCACAATAGCAAAGACTTGGAACCAACCCAAATGTCCATCAATGATGGAGTGGATTAAGAAAACGTGGAGGTGGAGCCAAGATGGCCAAATAGGAACAGCTCCAGTCTACAGCTCCCAGCGTGAGTGACGCAGAAGACGGGTGATTTCTGCATTTCCATCTGAGGTACCAGTTCATCTCACTAGGGAGTGCCAGACAGTGGGCGCAGGACAGTGGGTGGAGAAGAGTGGATGCAGGGCACCGTGTGTGAGCCGAAGCAGGGTGAGGCATTGTCTCACTCGGGAAGTGCAAGGGATCAGGGAGTTCCCTTTCCTAGTCAAAGAAAGGGGTGACAGACGGCACCTGGAAAATCGGGTCACTCCCACCCTAATACTGCACTTTTCCCATGGGCTTAAAAAACGGCGCACCAGGAGATCCTATCCCGCACCTGGCTGGGAGGGTCCTACACTCACGGAGTCTCCCTGATTGCTAGCACAGCAGTCTGAGATCAAACTGCAAGGCAGCAGCAGGGCTGGGGGAGGGGCGCCCGCGATTGCCCAGGCTTGCTTAGGTAAACAAAGCAGCCAGGAAGCTCCAACTGGGTGGAGCCCACCACAGCTCAAGGGGGCCTGCCTGCCTCTGTAGGCTCCACCTCTGGGGGCAGGGCACAGACAAACAAAAAGACAGCAGAAACCTCTGCAGACTTCAATGTCCCTGTCTGACAGCTTTGAAGAGAGCAGTGGTTCTCCCAGCATGCAGCTGCAGATCTGAGAACGCGCAGACTGCCTCCTCAAGTGGGTCCCTGACCCCTGAACCCTGAGCAGCCTAACTGGGAAGCACCCCCCAGTAGGGGCAGACTGACACCTCACACAGCCGGGTACTCCTCTGAGACAAAACTTCCAGAGGAACGATCAGACAGCAGCATTGGCGGTTCATGAAAATCCGCTGTTGTGCAGACACCGCTGCTGGTACCCAGGCAAACAGGGTCTGGAGTGGACCTCCAGCAAACTCCAACAGACCTGCAGCTGAGGGTCCTCTCTGTTAGAAGGAAAACTAACAAACAGAAAGGACATCCACACCAAAAACCCATCTGTACATCACCATCATCAAAGACCAAAAGTAGATAAAACCACAAAGATGGGGAAAAAACAGAGCAGAAAAACTGGAAACTCGAAAAAGCAGAGTGCCTCTCCTCCTCCAAAGGAACGCAGCTCCTCACCAGCAATGGAACAAAGCTAGACGGAGAATGACTTTGACGAGTTGAGAGAAGAAGGCTTCAGACGATCAAACTACTCCAAACTACAGGAAGAAATTCAAAGGCAAAGAAGTTGAAAACTTTGAAAAAAATTTAGACGGATGTATAACTAGAATAACCAATACAGAGAAGTGCTTAAAGGAGCTGATGGGGCTGAAAGCCAAGGCTCGAGAACTACGTGAAGAATGCAGAAGCCTCAGGAGCCAAGGCGATCAACTGGAAGAAAGGGTATCAGTGATGGAAGATGAAATGAATGAAATGAAGCGAGAAGGGAAGTTTAGAGAAAAAAGAATAAAAAGAAACAAAGAAAGCCTCCAAGAAATATGGGACTATGTGAAAAGACCAAATCTACGTCTGATTGGTGTACCTCAAAGTGAAGGAGAGAATGGAACCAAGTTGGAAAACACTCTGCAGGATATTATCCAGGAGAACTTCCCCAATCTAGCAAGGCAGGCCAACATTCAGATTCAGGAAATACAGAGAACGCCACAAAGCTACTCCTTGAGAAGAGCAACTCCAAGACACATAATTGTCAGATTCACCAAAGTTGAAATGAAGGAAAAAATGTTAAGGGCAGCCAGAGAGAAAGGTCGGGTTACCCACAAAGGGAAGCCCATCAGACTAACGGCAGATATCTCGGCAGAAACTCTACAAGCCAGAAGAGAGTGGGGGCCAATATTCAACATTCTTAAAGAAAAGAATTTTCAACCCAGAATTTCATATCCAGCCAAACTAAGCTTCATAAGTGAAGGAGAAATATCCTTTACAGACAAGCAAATGCTGAGAGATTTTGTCACCACCAGGCCTGCCCTACAAGAGCTCCTGAAGGAAGCACTAAACAAGGAAAGGAACAACTGGTACCAGCCACTGCAAAAACATGCCAAATTGTAAAGACCATCGAGGCTAGGAAGAAACTGCATCAACTAACGAGCAAAATAACCAGCTGACATCATAATGACAGGATCAAATTCACACATAACAATATTAACTTTAAATGTAAATGGACTAAATGCTCCAATTAAAAGACACAGACTGGAAAACTGGATAAAGAGTCAAGGACCATCAGTGTGCTGTATTCAGGAAGCCCACCTCACGTGAAGAGACACACATAGGCTCAAAATAAAGGGATGGAGGAAGATCTACCAAGCAAATGGAAAACAAAAAAAGGCAGGGGTTGCAATCCTAGTCTCTGATAAAACAGACTTTAAACCAACAAACATCAAAAGAGACAAAGAAGGCCATTACATAATGGTAAAGGGATCAATTCAACAAGAAGAGCTAACTATCCTAAATATATATGCACCCAATACAGGAGCACCCAGATTCATAAAGCCAGTCCTGAGGGACCTACAAAGAGACTTAGACTCCCACACAATAATAATGGGAGACTTTAACACCCCACTGTCAACATTAGGCAGATCAATGAGACAGAAAGTTAATAAGGATACCCAGGAATTGAACTCAGCTCTGCACCAAGCAGACCTAATAGACATCTACAGAACTCTCCACCCCAAATCAACAGAATATACATTTTTTTCAGCACCACACCACACCTATTCCAAAATTGACCACATAGTTGGAAGTAAAGCTCTCCTCAGCAAATGTAAAAGAACAGAAATAATAACAAACTGTCTCTCAGACCACAGTACAATCAAACTAGAACTCAGGATTAAGAAACTCACTCAAAACTGCTCAACTACATGGAAACTGAACAACCTGCTCCTGAATGACTACTGGGTACATAACGAGATGAAGGCAGAAATAAAGATGTTCTTTGAAACCAATGAGAACAAAGACACAACATACCAGAATCTCTGGGACACATTCAAAGCAGTGTGTAGAGGGAAATTTATAGCACTAAATGCCACAAGAGAAAGCAGGAAAGATCTAAAATTGACACCCTAACATCACAATTAAAAGAACTAGAAAAGCAAGAGCAAACACATTCAAAAGCTAGCAGAAGGCAAGAAATAACTAAAATCAGAGCAGAACTGAAGGAAATAGAGACACAAAAAAGCCTTCAAAAAATTAATGAATCCAGGAGCTGTTTTTTTGAAACAATCAACAAAATTGATAGACCGCTAGCAAGACTAATAAAGAAGAAAAGAGAGAAGAATCAAATAGACGCAATAAAAAATGATAAAGGGGATATCACCAATGATCCCACAGAAATACAAACTACCATCAGAGAATACTACAAACACCTCTACACAAATAAACTAGAAAATCTAGAAGAAATGGATAAATTCCTAGACACATACACCCTCCCCAGACTAAACCAGGAAGAAGTTGACTCTCTGAGTAGACCAATAACAGGCTCTGAAATTGTGGCAATGATCAATAGTTTACCAACCAAAAAGAGTCCAGGACCAGATGGATTCGCAGCCGAATTCTACCACAGGTATAAGGAGAAACTGGTACCATTCCTTCTGAAACTATTCCAATCAATAGAAAAAGAGGGAATCCTCCCTAACTCATTTGATGAGGCCAGCATCATCCTGATACCAAAGCCAGGCAGAGACACAGCCAAAAAAGAGAATTTTAGACCAATATCCTTGATGAACATTGATGCAAATATCCTCCATAAAATACTGGCAAACCGAATCCAGCAGCACATCAAAAGGCTTATCCACCATGATCAAGTGGGCTTCATCCCTGGGATGCAAGGCTGGTTCAATATATGCAAATCAATACATGTAATCCAGCATATAAACAGAACCAAAGACAAAAACCACGATTATCTCAATAGATGCAGAAAAGGCCTTTGACAAAATTCAACAACCTTCATGCTAAAAACTCTCAATAAATTAGGTATTGATGGGACATATCTCAAAATAATAAGAGCTATCTATGACAAACCCACAGCCAATATCATACTGAATAGGCAAAAGCTGGAAGCATTCCCTTTGAAAACTGGCACAAGACAGGGATGCCCTATCTCACCACTCCTATTCAACATAGTGTTGGAAGTTCTGGCCAGGGAAGTTAGGCAGGAAGAGGAAATAAATGATGTTCAATTAGGAAATGAGGAAGTCAAATTGTCCCTGTTTGCAGATGATATGATTGTATATCTAGAAAACCCCAATGTCTCAGCCCAAAATCTCCTTAAGCTGATAAGCAACTTCAGCAAAGTCTCAGGATACAAAATCAATGTACAAAAATCACAAGCATTCTTATACACCAATAACAGACAAACAGAGAGCCAAATCATGAGTGAACTCCCATTCACAATTGCTTCAAAGAGAATAAAATACCTAGGAATCCAACTTACAAGGGACGTGAAGGACCTCTTCAAGGAGAGCTACAAACCACTGCTCAATGAAATAAAAGAGGACACAAACAAATGGAAGAACATTCCATGCTCATGGGTAGGAAGAATCAATATCATGAAAATGGCCATATTGCCCAGGTAATTTATAGATTCAATGCCATCCCAATCAAGTTACCAATGACTTTCTTCACAGAATTGGAAAAAACTACTTTAAAGTTCATATGGAACCAAAAAAGAGCCCACATTGCCAAGTCAATCCTAAGCCAAAAGAACAATGCTGGAGGCACCACGCTACCTGACTTCAAACTATACTACAAGTCTACAGTAACCAAAACAGCATGGTACTGCTACCAAAACAGAGATGTAGATCAATGGAACAGAACAGAGCCCTCAGAAATAACACCGCATATCTACAACTATCTTATCTTTGACAAACCTGAGAAAAACAAGCAATGCGGAAAGGATTCTCTATTTAATAAATGGTGCTGGGAAAACTGGCTAGCCATATGTAGAAAGCTGAAACTGGATCCCTTCCTTACACCTTATACTAAAATTAATTCAAGATGGATTAAAGACTTAAATGTTAGACCTAAAACCATAAAAACCCTAGAAGAAAACCTAGGCATTACCATTCAGGACATAGGCATGGGCAAGGACTTCATGTCTACAACACCAAAAGCAATGGCAACAAAAGCCAAAATTGACAAATGGGATCTAATTAAACTCAAGAGCTTCTGCACAGCAAAAGAAACTACCATCAGAGTGAACAGGCAACCTACAAAATGGGAGAAAATTTTCACAACCTACTCATCTGACAAAGGGCTAATATCCAGAATCTACAATGAACTCAAACAAATTTGCAAAAAAACAAACAACCCCATCAAAAAGTGGGCAAAGGACATGAACAGACACTTCTCAAAAGAAGACATTTATGCAGCCAAAAAACACATGAAAAAATGCTCACCATCACTGGCCATCAGAGAAATGCCCATCAAAATCACAATGAGATACCATCTCACACCAGTTAGAATGTCAATCATTAAAAAGTTAAGAAACAACAGGTGCCTGAGAGGATGTGGAGAAATAGGAACACTTTTACACTGTTGGTGGGACTGTAAACTAGTTCAGCCATTGTGGAAGTCAGTGTGGCGATTCCTCAGGGATCTAGAACTAGAAATACCATTTGACCCAGCCATCCCATTACTGGGTATATACTCAAAGGACTATAAATCATGCTGCTATAAAGACACATGCACACGTATGTTTATTGCCGCACTATTCACAATAGCAAAGACTTGGAACCAACCCAAATGTCCAACAGTGATAGACTGGATTAAGAAAATGTGGCACATATACACCATGGAATACTATGCAGCCATAAAAAATGATGAGTTCATGTCCTTTGTGGGGACATGGATGAAATTGGAAATCATCATTCTCAGTAAACTATCGCAAGAACAAAAAACCAAACACCACATATTCTCACTCATAGGTGGGAATTGAACAATGAGAACACATGGACACAGGAAGGGGAACATCACACTCTGGGGACTGTTGTGGGGTGGGGGGAAGGGGGAGGGATAGCTTTAGGAGATATACCTAATGCTAAATGACGAGTTAATGGGTGCAGCACACCAGCATGGCACATGTATAGATATGTAACTAACCTGCACATTGTGCACATGTACCCTAAAACTTAAAGTATAATAATAATAAAATAAAAAATAAAAAAAAAATTTAAAAAAAAATGTGGCACATATACACCATGGAATACTATGCAGCCATAAAAAATGATGAGTTCATGTCCTTTGTAGGGACATGGATGAAGCTGGAAACTATCTTTCTCAGCAAACTATTGCAAGGACAAACATCCAAACACCGCATGTTCTCACTCATAGGTGGGAATTGAACAATGAGAACACATGGATAAAGGAAGGGGAACATCACACACCTGGGCCTGTTGTGGGGTGGGGGGAGAGGGGAGGGATAGCATTAGAAGATATACCTAATGTTAAATGATGAGTTAATGGGTGCAGCACCCCAACATGGCACATATATACACATGTAACAAACCTGCACGTTGTGCACATGTACCCTAAAACTTAAAGTATATTAAAAAAAAAAAAAAGAAAAAAAAGGAAAATGTTGGTGTGATGCTACTGAACAAATACAATCTGTCACACTAGCATACTTTACTCATTTCCACAATTGCCCTTATTGTTCATGTCTCAAGCTTTTCCTCTGGATTTCCTTTTCTTCAAGAAGCATGTCAATTAGTGGTTATCAACAATGGTTACGAATGATAAAGCATTTTAAACGTTATGTCTTACACTTGAATAATAGCTTAGCTTATCATAGAATTTACATTGGCAGTTATTTTTATCATCAACATCAAAAATATTCCATTGATTTTAAACATCTACTAATGTTGATAGAAGTCTACTTTTATTCTAATTGTCATCCAGTCTTCATTTTATACTTGATGTATAAAATATCAATTGAATTTTAAGATCTGGATTTAATTCTTCCTACACAGGGCATTTTAAGTCTAAGAAATAATGTATTTATTTAATTCTGGACAGTTTATTTTTATTTTTTGTTTTTTAGTATTGCTTCTCTCTCATTTCTTCTCTTCTCTCCCCTTGGGGCTCCTGTTGTATATTATAAAACCCTCACAACTTATCCTATACATTTCTCAACTGCTCTGGTACATTTTTAATGAATTTTTCTCCCTGTATTGTGTCCCAGATCAATTTCTTAGCACTGCGTTTAACTTACTAATTCTCTGTTTGATTGTTTTTGTTTAGTATTTGAGGGAGGAGGTATTCTTCCTTTCATTATCACTTTAAGCTTCCTCAATGCACTAATTTTAAACTAAATTTCAGATTGTTGTAGTGTTTTAGTCTTTAGGTAAACTTATCTCCCAGTTGCTGATTTTGTTAGCATTTGTCTTTATCTTATGTGTAGGATTTTTGTTTGAAGACTCATTTTGAGTGGCAGTATATTTTTTTTTCCTTCTTTTGAAAAACTATCCTGCCCTGTCTACTAGTTTCATAGTCACTTCTACCTTTCCTCAGGATCCAGAATTTATATCGGGCTTTCTATTGGATACCCAGGTCATGTGTGCTCAAAAATATTGAAAACATTACCTATCTAGGCCTTGAGCTAGTAAACAGTTTTGCTTAACTTTTAGCATTGAGATTCTATTTCTCCCTCTCGTCTCTCTATGCACTTAGCTTTATAGATGCTGTAGCCCAAGACAACAGTAGCAGTTTTATTTCACCCCTTGTGTACATTTGAGGCCCACCTATTCCAGCCTCTGACTTCAGGAAGTAGCCAGGCTCCAGCCTCCTATCTCCCAGGCTTAACAATAGGCAATTTTAGTTCTCATCTCCCCACAGGCATCAAGACCCTTAGTGCCCTCTGCTAGTTACTAGATTCACAGCCCCAAACATCCCCAGCTCAATGCCTCTCAACTTTAGCTCAGCTATTCTAATACTTCTGGTCCATGAAAATGTCTCACATTTTTAAATCATAACTATGTTTTCAAAATTTTTTTATCATTGTTACATGTTTACAATATTTGGAATGACAAAATTACGAATCTATAATTCTATCCTGACTGGAAACATGAGTTTACCTTTAATGCTCTATCTTCTTAATTCATTAAGCAGTCACCAGAGATAACACAAGTAAATATTAAGGCAAAAAAGAAAAGATGAGGATCATGTAAGCAGTGTAAACCCAACATCTCAGTTATTTTTATTCTATCCCTACTCTCTCATAATAGCTGAAGAAGAACAAGATTGCATAGCATTCTTTACATTAATTGTAGAATTATGTAATTCATGTGTCATATACTAAATTCCCAAGAAGAGCCCAATGACACGATGAGAATTCATGTCTAACTAGTTCTCCACCAGGGAAACATTCACGCTGGTACTAAGTACTTTCTTGTATTACAAATGCTTTTAATCCTTATAATGTATTTTGGGATTTTCTATTTCTAAATTTTTTCTGTTACAAATTATATAAGCCGAGTAGGTAAAATGGCAGAGACTGAGTCAATTCTTTAGGTTTAGATAGGTTTATTTTCTCGATGCAAGAGATACTGAATATTCAGATTTCTTCTTTATTTCTTCTGAACTCAAAGGTCTAAACCAAAAATAAAATTCTAAGCCCCTCAACAACTGAATGGACTCCTCTTCTCATCCAAGGGGATTCCAAAAAACAGGAAAAACTAGTTCAGGCCATGACATAAGATGGGGGTCGGACATGCCTTACTGTACTCTCTCCATTGTGGAGTTTAAACACAACTGACCAGCATTAAAATTAAAATAGAAATTCTTAGACTGATGGAACAGACTCTTTGTAGCAATGAGATACCAACTCCAACCTGACTCTGAGTCCCCATCTCAAAGGTCCCCAGTGCAATGGCTCTGGTGTAACATCACATGACAGATAAAGAAGGAAATCAAAATATTTTACCTCAAAATATGTTTCTTTGCCCTATTCTTAAATGACCCTGCAAAGTTGTCCTTTGTGGGGAAAATTTGCATCTGTAAAGCATTTCTATTAACTAGATCTTTCCCCTTCCAGGCCCTCCCAATCCTGAAGAAATTAACTAGAGTCTAGCACTTTTTAAAGGTCTAAATAGAAAACATTTGCATCTATTGTCTCTTATGGTGACCACCTATGGGACTTCCTATGTATAATAAGAACCTTGGTCTCCATAACACTTTATCTTAACCCAGACACTCCTTTCTATTAATTCCAGATCCTTAGGTAATAACTTAACTCTTTCAACCAATTGTCAATCAGAAAATCCTTGAATCCACCTATGACTTGAAGCCCCCATCCTCTTCTGCTTCGAGTTGTCCCACCTTTCAAATACCTCACATGTATTGAATAATGCCTTATGTTCCCCTAAAATGTATAAGATCAAGCTGTAATCCAACCACCTTGGGTATGTGTCCTCAAGACCTCTTGAGACTGTGCCTTGGGCCATGGTCACTCATATTTGGCTCAGAATAAACCTCTGTAAATATTTCACAGTTTGACTGTTTTCATTGACAATGGAAAGCTAGTATACACATTTTTTGCTTGGTAGGAAAATAAAGTTTTGTTTTTTTCTGTTTTTTAAGCAATATATAAACGTAATTTTAAAAATCAAACAGTAAAATAGATTACAGATTGAAAACTAAATCTCTCTCCCACCCTAGACAGCTAGTTCCTCTCCTTATAGGCCATATTTCCTTACCTTGCTTTTCCACTTTAATATATTTAGAGGGTTTTCTATATCAACATATATAAATCAACCCTCTTATTTTTAATAGCTGTAGAGCATTCTGTTTTACAAGTGTACTGTAATTTATTTCATCTGTCTCTTATTTATAAGACTTTAAGATTCTTATAAATTAGGTATAAGATACTTTATTTCTAGACTTTTGCTACTACAAACCATAATGCAACAAATATCCTTGTAGATAAAATTTTGCTCACATATGCACATTTATTGAGAAGTGCTAAGCCAAACTGCCCTTTGTTGAGGCTGTACTGAAATAAATCTTTTAAAACAAATGCATCGTTTTCCTAAACTGGAAACGTTAAAAATTTGGCACTATTGCCTAAATCTACAACCAATTCTATTTCCACTTTCTTCAAGTTTGTAACAACCATATTTGTGCATGTGGGACTCAGGTCTGCATCTGGATTTTGAGGTAATATTTAAAAGATTTTAAAAAGATAATTTATATTAAGTATTTTCTGAACAACTTATTTTATTAAAAAAATAAAATCTTGGTCAAGTATACACAATTTGATTGTATGGGAGATGATCAGAATTGGGATTAACCTTCTAAATATATTTGCCCCATAGTTTTGATGGTTGGCCAATCTCTGGCCTCCTTATCCATTCTTATGTTTATATATTTTAGAACTTCCAATATTTTCTTCAGACTACTGGAGTTACTTGACACAAAATGTTTTTCCCTTTTGATGCAGCTCAGAATGGCTGTATTGCACACAATCCTCTTCTGAGGCCCCATTCCTGAAAGAAAGCAGGCCATGCTGGTCTCAGTATTTGCATGGAAGGTGAGCACTGACTTCAAGCCTGGGTGAGGTATGCCAGTGCCCTGAGAAAATGCCTGAATCAGCACCTCTGTGACAGCACTGCCCCAATCTGGTCGTCGCTCAGGAAGCCTGCATGTAGGACTTCAAGAAGAGAGTCAGCAGGAGTGGCAAAATCTCTGGCAACAAAGAGGGTGAACAAGTCGCTGAGTATTGGAGGAGTAACCAACATATACCTTATGCTAGGAGAGTTCAGGTCATGGGGCCGGTGCTGTGGCATCTTATGAACAACTCTCTGGTCCTTGTGGCCTGGCTGGGGAGCTCATAGGGTGGTCTCTTATTCTCTCCTAATATGCTCAATAGGTAAATTAACTTAAGCATAACTGTGTTCCTGCAACCTGAAGGGAACTGGCTCAGTACCCTTAGCAAACAGGAAAACATTTAATCACTCAACAGACAGCAATTAAGTGCCTGGACGTGCAGGGTGTTGGAGACCCATAAGTGAATAATTCATGTGTCATGTACTAACTGCCCAAGGAGAGTCCAATGACATGATGAAAGTCCACATCTAACTAGATATCCTTCAGAGAAATATTCACTTTGGTACTTGCAAATGTTTTTAATGCTTATAATATACTTACAAATTTTCTATTTCTAAGTTCTTCCTGTTACAAATTATACAAAACAAGTAGGTAAAATGGCAGACAATGTCCCTAATCTCATGGAACTTACAATCTTATGAAAATGGGAATAATTTTTTAAAAAATTTAAGAAAAATTCTAAATAGTGCTAAGTGCTTATAGATAATTAGAAGGTGGTAATGAGACAGTAACTGGGTGACTACCTGAGATTAGTGAATCAGGTAAATCTCTATGAAGAGGTAACACCTAAACTGAGACCCAAATGACAAGAGGGATCCATTTGAGAATTAAGGGAAGTGTATTCTAGAAAAAGAGACCAGATATCAGAAAAGCCCTAAGGTAGGAATGTTTATGTTGAAGAAACAGACAGTTGGGTAAAGGGCAAGATCTTATGACAGGAGGTTGAAAAACAGACTGGGACTGATTTTATAGGGCTTTGCATATACCACTAGGGATATACTACTTGGTGAGAAGCTATGTGACATTTATAAGCAGAGGCTGATGTGGTATGATTTATGTTTTCAAAAGCTCATTCCTCACTCAAAAGTGCATGGAGACCTGGGGAGACAATCATGGGAAGAGCAGGTAGATCAGTTATGAAGCTACCACAATAGTCCAGGTGCAAAATGATGGTGCCTTAGGTGAAGGTGGCTGCAGTGTGGGAAGAGAAACATTTGGGATCTAGGATATGCTTTGTAGGGAGAATCCTTAAGACTTGTTGCTGAATTGACTGTTGGGAGATGAATTGTAAATTTTCTGAAAGGATCAAGGGAAAATACACACTGAAGTCTAATTTTTCCTGGACGCTTTAAACCAAAGAATGTCACTTTCTTTTTTATTGAATCACTACATCCCATTGAGAAACAGGTGTAAACACACTGAACCCATTGTTAAGCAGTATTCTCCTAGACTTGGCTTTCTGAAGCAACAAGGAAAGATTAGAATATGTACAATGCATTTTAGATTAGAAAGCACTTTATCTTATATGCCAGGTGTCTGAATGTATCTATCCCATGTGCCTTATATCTCATTGAGTGTAAAATGGTAGACGTGAGAGTGGTAAGGGCAGAGAGTTGGTTCCTGTAAGTCTAGGAGAAATTTAGGGGCATTTCCATAGGTAAGATAATGTGAGTTCTTCTATCAGCCTCTATTTCACCATTTTGTACTTTACTGGGTTGTCTGTGCTCTCTCGTCCTGTGTCCTATGAGAACTGCCTGAAGACAAAGCTTGAGTGCATTTTATTCACCATGAGTATATGTATGCGGTGTTGCTAAATGAGTGAGTGTTTGAGTGAATGAGTGAGTGAGTGAATGAATCCTGAGTAGCTAGTCCTTGGTCAATTCTTTCCTTTGAACAATACAAGTTCTCTAACCTCAACTCTTCTTCTTTGTTCTGAGATTGGCCTTTTGCCCCAAATAACTTTTCAGCTATTGGCTCTAAATCTCAGTTTCTGCATGTTCATTCTTAGTCTGAGCCTCCCCTTAATTACTGCACTTTTTCCTGCTTCCATCATGGTGGATGTCCATATAGGATGGACATGCACATAGAACGTTTGTGAAAAATCCAACATTAAGATAGGAAACATTTGTTCTCAGAAAGTTTTCAGGTTAGACACTCTAAATTCTACCATTATTAGCACATTGGGATGAGGGTCGCACCACACTACTTGTGATGCTGTGCAAGACTCTACCAAGTCTCTTTTCAGCTTCAGAGTTGATCAGAAGCCATTAGTTCTGTCTATCTGGGGAACCAGATATCATATTTAAACATGCATCCTGCAGAGCAATTCAGAGAAGAGTACAATGTATCAGTTGAGTACTAAACATTGGCTATTTGTATAATGAAAAAGTACAGAGAGTTCCATTTATGTTTGTCCTTTTATTGAAAATTGCTACAACCTGGTCAAAAAATTCTCTCTGTGTGGCAGGATATCTGCCAGTGAATGAGTCTGTTGAAATCACCACACCAAATTCAACATTAAGGGCCAACCCTGACCACAGCTGAGCCGTGTGAAGAGGCTGACAGCGGCGTGGCCACCACCCAGGATGGAGAGAAAGGCACTGTGAGGTGTTAATGGAAAAATCCAACTTCCTTTTCTTCCAAAGATGATGACTGAAACCAAAGTGGAGCTTTCCCTGTGAGTTTTAAAAGATAACTTTCTTTTTTTTTCAGAATAGAAATATTTACCAGGCTTTAGTATATTTGTCTTTTTATATTCCTCTCTGTATAATAAGTGCCTTTTTAAAACCTCATGTTTGCTTAGCAATAATTACTTCTTTTTTGTTTTGTTTAATGTGAGGGGTTTAGCAGTCACCATATACTGCACTGCACCCTCCTGGTGGTCTGTGTCTGTGTCTTATGACCTGGGAGGCCAGGCATATGGATGGAAACTTAGTACTCAGTAAGTTATAGTAGAATGTCTTAGAATGATGGCACAACATCACCTTCAACAGAGCCCTATGACCTAGGGCCAAAAAATACAACGAGGAGCAGGATTTGATTACAACTAAATTTCCCTTTTGAAGCCAAGGCCTTGTATTTGCACAACTCTTGGTTGATTCTAAAGTTCTTCAATTCCAAAGAAGTCTTCATTTCCTAACATGTTACATAGTAGAAATTCAGCATTGCCTGTCATTCTAATAATTATCATAAACTTTTCTGCACTAAATAGCTGGAGTAAGGAAAAGCCCTGGTTTTTCACCACTGGACCATGATCCTCTTTAAATTATATTTTTTTATTTAAAAATATTGGCTTCAAAAAGCTGCTCTGATACTTAATGTAGCTTTACAATGATAACATTTAAACACATTGACTGGCTTTGTGAATTCAATTAAGCACTCCTGAGTGCATTGCTGCCTTTGTTAAAAACAAGCAAAAACACATCTGACAAGCCTTTTTTTTTCTCTAAGATTCTATTTACCTATTATTGAGACCGCAGAAAACCAAGAGCTAGATAGACTACCCTGGATACCATGATTAATTAGTTACTCAGCGCAGAGTTACTCTATGTAATTTGGTTGATTTTTCATTTGGTTTTCTTTGGAAATGACTTTACTACTCTGAAACAATTCCTTTCAAGCCATTTTTCTTCCTTTTAAAAACATGAGTTCTGTGATTCACCCTGTGTAAGATAAAGGTTGCAGATGCCCTTCATTTATCATGAAATACAATATATTTCTTTTATTTGGGGGGTGAAGCACCCTTAAAGGCTTTGCAAGCTTTTTTATTTTCCTTAAGAGTGAGACACTTCATGATGTGAAGATACTTGCAAACACAGATCTCAACAGGAAAGAATCACTCATTAATCTGTGAAACAGACAATTGGTACTGAGAAATGCGGCTGTTATTAGAACGGATGCCTGTAAAAGTAGAAGCAGCTTTGGAACTGGGTAATGGTAGAGGCTAAAAGCATTTGGAGAATCAGGCTAGAAAAAGTCTGTATTGCAGTGAAGCATTAAGGATGTTTCTGGTGAGGGTTTGGATGAAAAGGAGAATTATAAGGAAATTTGAATTTTCTTAGAGATTACTTAAGTGGTTGTGACCAGAATGTTCGTAAAAATATGGGCAGTTAAAGGCCATCTGATGAAGCCTCAGACAGAAATAAGAAACGAGGTATTGGAAACTAGAGTAAAAGCCATCCTTGTTATTAAGTAGCAAAAAACTCGGTAAAATTGTGTGTATGTTTGAAGGCTTTATAAAATGTAGAACTTAAGAGCAATGACAGAATATCTGCCAGAAAAAATATCTAAGCAGCAAACCATTCAGGCCACTGCATGGCTACTTTTAAACACATATAGTGACATGTGAGAGGAAAAGAATGACTTAAAGATAGAATTTATAATTAAAAGAGAAGCAGAATGGAAAGATTTGGAAAATTCACAGCCTGGCCATGTAAAGAGTGAAAATACATCTTTAGGAGAGCAAATCAAGGGTGTAGCCAAGCAACTATTTGGTAAAGAGATTCCCATGGACAGAGGGGAGCCAGCTGCTATTAACCAAGTCAATGAGAGAAGGACTCTGAAGGCACTTCAGAGCTCTTAGAGGCTGCCCTCCTATCACAGGCGCAGAGCTCTAGGAAGGAAGAATGGTTTCAGGGGACAGGCCCAGGGAACTCTTCGTGGGCTCTCTCCTCAGAGCTTACTCAGGTATCTGCTTCTCCCTGTATTTCAGTGCAGTTCTCCTTGACTGCCCTAGCCAGGGCTCAAGCAGGCCAAGGTATGGTATAGGCCACTCTGGAGCATGCAAGCAGTAATCCATCCTTGATGGCATCCATGTGGTGTTCAGTCTGTAGGTTTGCAGAATGCAAGAGCTTTGGGGGCATGGCTACCTCCACCCAGATTTCAACAGATGTCATGAATAATCTGGGGGCCCCAGGCAGAAACCTGCTGCAAGAGTGGAGTCACCACAGAGAGTCTCCACTAGTGTGATGCCTAGTGGAGCTATAGGATTGGGACGGCCACTGAGACTCAAGAACTGTAGAGCTGTCAATGTGCAATGTTAGCCTAGGAGAGCTGCAAGCATGAGACTCCAACGCCTGACAGCTGAGTGGGCTAAGCCCAGCAAAGGCCTGGGGGTGGGGCTATGTGAGGCCCTGGGGGCTCAATTCCCACCCCAGTGTATTCAGGAAGTGGGACATGGAGTCAAAGGAGATTATTCTCCAGCTTTAACATTTAATATTGTTTTCCCTGTTGGGCTTTGAACTTACTTGAGACTAGTTACGCCTTTCTTCTTGTCTATTTCTTCCTTTTGGAATGGGAATGTCTATCCTACGCCTGTCCTATCACTGTATTTTGAAAGTAGATAACTTGTTTTGATTTCACAGGCTCACAGCTGGAGGGAATTTGCATCAAGATGAATCATGGCTCTAGAACCATGAGCCAAATAAATTTCTTTTCTTTATAAATTACCCAGTCTGTGGCATTCTGTTATAGCAGCAGAAAACAGACAGAGACAGTCATTCATAATCCATTTCACTTCCCTAAATCTTGGGGCGGGGGGTGGTTATTCAATGTCAAATTCTTATTTACCCATGATGACATCAGTGTCTTTGAAAAATTACACTAGATCAGAGGATAAGTTACCAACTCTTCCAAATGTTTGGTTAGAGATCATTGATCAGTAGTTAGGGTTGCATACTGGACATGTACCAGCCTGCTCACTTTATCGCTTTTTCATGCCACCCTCCTCAGCTCAACCCCCTTCAGGCTTTCAGCCACACTGAAAATAAGAATGTGTTCGAGGTGTTTCACCAAGAATCACTTATTCCTGACATCCTGGTAGATCACCCACTTTAGCCAATCCCTTTAAGCTTCTCTTTTTCTTTTTTCTTTTCCTCTTTGGAATGAGTGCCTAACTATGTAATGGTTATTGGATGTATGTAGATTTCCTGAAAGTGTTTCATGTTTTGAATGACGAAGAACATTCTGGGGGATAATATGTTTTAAAAACCAGGGAAACCCGAAAGATCTGGGAGAAGCCACTTAAACTGAATCCCAATTTGAGAAAACTGAAAATAAGAAAAGAGGATTATTTGCCTATAGCAAGTGGAGGATTGAATTTTCTCAAGGAGAGGATTTTTATGCAATTTCCTTGTGGAAAATGATAGGAGATGTAGATGCTTCTAAGATGCCTTCTGCTTTCCACTTAGGTCTAATTTTTTTCTTTAAGCCTGTACATGCAGTCTTAAGATTATTTTTATGATGCAATTAATAGCTATTTAAACACTTTAAGTTGATTCTTTTCAGATATTATTTACTCTAGTCCATTTACATGTGGTAAGTCATTATTTCATTGTGTTTTTTTAGTTTTCGTTTTGTTTTTCTATGGAGATGTTTTTTAAATGAAGAAATTTTAAATGAAAGACTTTAGCCTCTCTTCAAAAGAACAGTAAAAATGAATACTCTCTTTGCTAGGATGCATATGATGGCATGAGTTTAAGTTTTAGATTCTCTGTTGATGTCAAAGTTGCAAACATTTTTTGTATCTGGGCACCATGATGGTATGGCACTCCATCTGTGATTTACTCTACTCAGAGAGGAATGAAGTGTAGTTAACAAGAATCAAACTAATGGAAAACAGGATTTTGGTGTTGCTGGAACATGTAGAAAAAGGTGGAGTCTAAGAAAATATTTCTCTAGCCAAGACAGTATTGAAGAAACTCATTATTTTCCATCTGCTTGTTCCTTGTTCCCAGTGTGAAGTGAAAGCAAAGTTTTAAAATTTTTTCTCCTCTGCAAGAAAATATATTTCAGAAAATCTCTATCTCAAAAATGAAGCAATTAAGAACTGTCTGGCTGTGAGGATCTGGCCTCAACTTGACTTAAAGCAACAACTTCAGTTACATATCAAGATGTGCGTGAGAATGAACCTGCTCTGCTCAGCCAACGTGCTGAGTGACTTGATGTTTGTAATAAATAAATAAATAAACAACAAACAGGTTGTCATGAAATATCCTTTGTAATTATAAACACAGGAAACTTTCTGAGATGCAAGTGGGTGTTAAATGGTTCAGCAAAGCCAAGCCAGAGCAGTTGGTGTGCTTTGAAATGAAGCAACATTGGAAAAATGAAATCTACTGAAAGATCACTACGTGTTTCAAAGGTTTGACTTTTTAAAAATTTTCTTCAGTTTTCTATTTTGAAAAATACAAAGAGGTTTGCATTTGTTTGTTTTTATATAAGCAGCATGTGTAGGCAACCATCTAATATTTGGCAACTTTAAAAATTTTTGAGCAAAAGCAACTGTTTAGGAGTTTAACCATTACTTAAAAAAAGATACATGAAAGTTATTATGTGTATGTTCCTGCATGGTACATAGGAAATTACTAATTGCTAGTTAGTTCAATTTACTTAATTAGGTATTTACTCATTGGCTATTATGTGCCCAGTTTCGGGCTATGTAATATTTTAAAAATTAGCATTATATATGTTGCCCTATCTACACTTTCTGGGGAGCAAAATTTTGAAAATCATTTGATGTGGAAACCCTTTAAAAAGAACTAGATTGCAGCATGTATTCGAATTCAAAATTGATTTTCATCAAGTACTAAAATGTGATACAAGCCAAACAATAGGAATTTTCAGGAATGAGAATGGTTGTGCTGTCAAAAAAGATAAACAATATGGATGACTTATGAATATTTATGTCCTATTAAATTTATTGAATTTTGGAAGGCAGAGATTGCTAAAGCGGAGATAGTTGACAGCAGAGAAGAGCTACCAGTGAATTCACGAATTACATTCTGGATTATTCTTTTTGAAAGAATATATATTTGGTGCATTTGTCATTAGTAAAGTTAATTAATCAGTTAATGTCTTGAAGTAGTAGTAGATTAATCCTTTCTTGATATGCATGATGTATTAGCCTGTTTTCACGTAGCTGATAGACATACAAGAGACTGGGAAACTTACTAAAGAAAGAGGTTTAATTGGACTTACAGTTCTACATGGCTGAGGAGGCCTCACAATCATAGCGGAAGGCAAGGAGGAGCAAGTCACATCTTACATGGATGGCAGCAGGCAAAGAGAGAGCTTGTGCAGGGGAACTCTCCTTTTTAAAACTATCAGATCTCATGAGACTTATTCACTATCACGAGAACAGCACGGGAAAAACTTGCCCCATGATTCAATTACTTCCCACTGGGTCCCTCCCACAACATGTGAAAATTCAAGATGAGATCTGGGTGGGGATACAGCCAACCCATATCACGTGTTATCCTAGTTGTTGCCATAGTCAGTAAGCAACTGTTCTCACTCAGGGCTGTTAATATATAAAAGGTGATATTAGATAGATAGTATTTTTCTACACTTGTTCTCTCTATACTTCTGGCAGAATTACCTTTGTGGGGTCCAGTGTAAAATGAATATAGGGTCATCTTGTTCAAAAATTATTATGAATTTGAAGAGCACTAAACCAAGTATGAGGTCCTTCTAAGCAAGGAACCTTTTGTAACTGCATAAATCTCACAAGTCCCGTGAATCTAGTTCTGTCAATGAGGATAGTCAAATTAGTATAAATGAAAGATGTTTATTTAAGGCAATCTTTAAATCCAGGCACAATCTACTAATGTGCTTATCATAGATGAGTAACCAGTTAATGATCATTAATCATGATAGATATAGACATTTGTATGCATACATTTGTAGAATATTTATCTAGCATTATATTTGCACAAACACATATATGATTAAAATATGTAAAACAGACTTCTGAAAATCTCTAGTATGGTAGCCTTTGCAAGATTAACTAGAAAAAGATGACTTGTCACAATCCACAGATCCTATTATACATCATCCAACAAATATTCTCTGAGTACCTAGTCCATACCAGATATTATTCATGGTGTAAAGATATAGCAGAGAACAAAATAAACAGAGTACTTGCTCCTAGAGGGTTTTCATACTATTACATTTCTGAAATTTTGACTGATTTGCCCAGGCTTTAGTTTGTATTTGTTTGTTTTTTGTTTTTTGTTTTTTTTTTTGGCTAAAACCCCTGTCTTCCTGACTTTATTAAGAACAGAAGCAAAACTTAGCTATTCTTGTCACTGTTTAGAACTGACTAGAACCAGAACTCTTCAGAAAAGAATGTGCTAAAGGTTTGTCCTTGAGAAGTTTCCAAGCCAAGACACTCCTAGGAGCACTTCCCATTGAGGCCGAAAGGCTCATCCACTTACAGCGATTCATGGGAAAAGAGGACAGCACCCTCATCTTTGGTCCAAGAACACAATCCTGAGTGACACAGGATTGCCCTGAAAGTCAACAGCATCCGTCTTACAAAAATCAACAACACTCGCTTTTCAAACTTCCAAAGAATTTACTGGTCTGGTTTGGCCTTTTGGTGCCACATTCCATTCCAGAACCCCAGCTAAAATGTTCTCAAGGGCTGACCAGAGATTCCTCCTCCTTTCTCTGGGCTGGTACAACTTGACCGCTGCTTGACATCAAGGTCAACTGGAGACTGGGAACAGTTATGTAACTGTGTTGTAAATTGAATTAGAGCTGTACATGAGCCCAGACCAAGTAACCAGTGCAGCTCCAGGCAAGAGCAGCAACATGTCCCCCAGAGACAGCATTGGAGGAACAGCTTACTGGGGAATGGAAAAAGGGTATCACAGGGTAAAAAAGAAACCGTCTCTTTCCAGTCCTTCTAAAGTCTGGGCAGTTGGCTGCCCCATCACATGTGGAATAAGAGGGGGGCATTAAGTGCAGAGGGAGCTGGTGTCAGTATGGCAGGCAAACACTGAGGAAAAATCAGCATACATAGTATACACAAAGAGAATGAGAAAAAAATATTTGTAACACCAGAACAGACACCACCCAGATGAAAGAAATAAGAAGGCTTACACGTGGAGAGGAAAAAAGCCTCTGGCAGTGGTCAGTGGACTGTAGAATGAGCAAGAAAGGCATGACCATCCTCCTACCAGTGACTGGTCATTCTGGAGAGGATACATGTGCACAGATCTGGAAAACCAGGGCTGAAAAGCCTTTTGACACCTTTGGTGACCTAGGACATGGTCCCCCAATGTAAGACATCATGCTAGATAGAGGGGAAAATAGTAAGTTTTCTTCAAAGGCAAATGAATACAACTTGAGATAACTTTTGAAAAGAAAAAAGGTACTGGGACCATGGCATGACTTTGATCTGTGCTAACATGACCGCCTGCAGAAGCAGATGAGGAGAGGCAGAATAATGTAAAGCTGAAAGCTTGGAGTCACCAAACCATAGATAGCTTCACCTCTTACCAAGTGCTTGATGTGTGGCTAGGTTCTTAAATCCCCTACAAGTTCCAGCTTCCTCATCTGTAAAAAACGAGCAAGTTAAGACTGGGTGAGTTAATAGATGTAAAAGTACTTAGTACAGTACTCTACAAATAGTAAGTGCCCAATAAATGTTAACTGTTATTATTATGTATTCTGTCCTTCACTATGTTAGGCCCTGGGATGTAGTGGTGACAGGCAAGGCTGCTGCTCTTGTGGTTCTTACATGAAACAAGGGAACAGGGAAATAAACAAAATAAATGCAGACTATGAAAAGTGCTAAAGAATAAATAAATAGAGTAATATAATAGAAGAAAATGCCTCTCTGAGGAGGTGACAGTTAAACTGAGACTTGAGCAATCATCAGGGGCACAGGGTTCCCAGAAGAGAAAAAAATAAGTGCAAACTCCCTGTAACACAAAAAAAAAAGAGCTTACTGTGTCCAAAAATTAAAACGAACCCTAAAGTGGTTTGAGAATAGTAACATGGGCTTTGGTTAGGCTGGAGCTAGGGCTCACCTAGTAGAGTATAGAAAGGCAACACCCCATCTCCTGCAAATCTATTTTCATCCATTAATTTACACGGCATCTGAAGAACATGCTGAATTAAAGCCTGTTAACCCTTGGGATACAGTCATCAAATGTATCAGATATATTGAGATAACCCCAACAGAGGGGATAAGTCTTTACAAAGTAAATCTATGCATTTCAGCATTTCTTACAATTGCCAAAATATGGAAGCAACCTAAGTGTCCCTCAGGAGACGAATGGATCAAGGCAATGTGGTATGTACACAGCGGAATACTGTATAGCCTTAAAACGAAGGAAATTCTGTAATTTGTAATAATATGCATGGAACTGGAAGATACTGTGCTAAATAAAGTAAGCCAAGCACAGAAAGACGAATATTGCATGATCTCATAGGTGGAATCTAAAAAAGTCAAATTCATCGAAGCAGAGAATAGAAAGGTCGTCACCAGATGCTACGAAGTGGGGGGAAAGGGAGGGAAAAGGAAAGATGTTTATCAAAGAGGACAGTTTCAGTTAAACTGGAGTAGTGATCTATTGCAACTGCATGGTGACCAGAGTTAATAATATGTTGTACATTTCAAAATTACTAAAAGAATAGATTTTTAACATTCTCACTACACACACAAAAAATGGTAAGTTGGCGAAGTGGTGATAAAGTGTTAACTAGTCTGATGGAATCTTGCCACAATGGATACATAGATCAAAACATTGCATTGTACCCCATAAACAGACACAACTAGTATTAGTCAATTAAAAATAAATTTAGAAAAAAAGACTGCACTAAAAGAATAAATAAATCTAAATCAGAAGCAAGCCTGAGAATTGTAGGTGAGTAAAGGGTCTAAATTAAATGTGGTGGAGGATATCATAGACATCCTGATTCTGGCATCCTACCATTGTGTTTGCTCACCTAGAAAAAAAAAATAAGCATATCTATTGAAGTATATCATAGTATTAAATACTATGGCACACTGGGAACAGGAATCCTTACTGGGATTCCTTCCTCAGTACCCAGCTAAGCTTAAAACTGGAGTGTCCCCTACTCACTTTATAAGGGCAGTGGCAAGATCTCTCATCCTGAGGCACAGCTATCATGCTCCAGTTCCATCATATTGGGCCCCATTAATTTGCAACTCTGTAAAAGTAGGCTGTCACAGTGAAAATATAGTTGTAAGAATAAAGTTTTAACTTCAGAGATTCCAATATATTGAACTAGCTGGCCAGCACTGGCAAGATGGAAAACCCTGGCTTAGGCACATATGTGTGTATGCTCATAGATTCCTAGAAATAGTTAAAGAGGGATCTGTAAGACTGGTCTTCTCACTGTGAAACAGGTGGGAGTCTAGAACCAATAGACACATTTGTGTATTAATGTTAAAAGGCGATGGGACAATTTAAAATATATCTGTATATTCATACTTGAACTAAGAATCATTAGATGAATAAAAACCATAGGCCATCCAATACCCCTTTGAAGTCAAAGTGATTTTCTAATCTCAATTTCAGTTTTTCTAATTGGACTTCCTAGAAAGTGATAATGAAAGAAGAAAGACTGACATTTAGAAAGTAGACCACAAGCACAGGATCTGAACTCTCAAAGTTCTGAGTTAGTTATACAGAGATGACCAGAATAGGTTGTATTAGACCATTTTCACACTGCTGATAAAGACATACCCGAGACTGAAAAGAAAAAGAAGTTTAATTGGACTTACAGTTCCACATGGTTGGGGAGGCCTCAGAATCAGGCGGGAGGCAAAAGGTACTTCTTACATGGTGGCAGCAAGAGAAAATGAGAAGGATGCAAAAGCTGAAACCCGATAATCGCAGGAGATCTTGTGACATTTATTCACTATCACAAGAATAACACGGGAAAGACTGGCCCCCATGATTCAATTACCTCCCCCTCAGTCCCTCTCACAACATGTGAGAATTCTGGCAGATAGATACAATTCAAGTTGAGATTTGGGTGGGGACACAGCCAAACCGTATCATAGGTATTTACTTTGCTTCTGATAGAAACTCTTCCAACCCTCCACTCACTCCTGTACTTGTTTTCTGGGCACCAAATCTGAAAGGAATTTAACCTATGAGACTGGCTATTTCTATTGCCCTTGCTTTTAAAGTTGCTTCTCTAGGCATCATTTACCAGTTACCCTTGGTCCCCAGACCTCAGTGAGTATGCTTCCCCTCATAAACAAGCACACACACAGATGGTTATTAGATTAGATTATTAAATTTTTGAGAGCTGAAGTCGGCTTCATTCATCCTAGTGTCAAGTAATGTTTGCGGAATGGATGTATTTATTTCACATTCTACATTATATTTACAAATCCCTTTCATTATCTTTTTTTGACCTTCTCAAATACTGCGTAAGACAAGATGACAAACAAGTATTATTATCCTGGTTTAACAGATGAATAAAATTTGACTCAGAGAGGTTAAGGAACATGCTAAAAGTCTCGCTAGTAGGAAACGGCAGAGCCAGAATTGAATCCAAATTTTTGGTTACAAAATTCTCTGTTTTTCGCCACGGGGTTCAGACACTTGTCACCTACTCAATGAAAATGGCCACCACAATTCACCTAGAAGTAACCTGGGCTGCTCATCACAAACACCATTCAAAGATATTTGCATTTTGTTCTTGACCCCTTACCTTCCTGCTCCTTTCCAAAACAGAACACCACACTGGCCACTAGACAAAACATAACAAAGATAGCTCAGAGCTAAAAATAAGGAGATTTAGGTTTTTCTACAGTGTCTTCATAGCCAGAACTAAAGTACAGGATGTGTCATTACTCCCAGAGGAGCTTACAGTCTAATCTTCTCATTGTGTAGGGACCGAATAAAGCAAACTCCTTTGGCTGCCTCAAATACTGGCCAGGTCAGTGATAGGCTCTCCAGAAATAAATTGTAGTCAAAGTGAGCCACACCAATCTGAGTATGTTTTCTCATCTGTGAATTCATCTGGTCCTAAATTGAACTGAATCAATGAATTTATAAATCATGTCTTACATTTCTTTACTGTTTCCATGTGATGGATAATTTTTTTATGTTACATTGATTGGACTAGAGGGTTCCCAGGTATTTGATTAAAGATTTTTCTTGGTGTGTCTATGATGGTGTTTCTGAGCTGGGAAATAGGTTTTCTCCTGCCTTCGGACTTGGACTCAGACTGAAACCATTGGCTCTTCTGTTTTGCAGGCCTTCAGACTCAGACTGGAACTGCACCGTTGGCTCTCCTGGGTGGGTCTCCAGCTTGCTGACCACAGACCTTGAGACTTCTCAGCCTTTAGAATCATGGAAGCCAATTCCTTATAATAATATATATCCTTTTCCTAGTCTGTGGACTTTTCCCAGCTCCAGACAGACAACCTTCTATAAACTCCAGGATGCTCCATCAATGCCGTCTGGACTCTACAGATTTTGACCCTGAAGTAAAGTAGGAAAGGCTATGAGGACATGTTAAATGTTGTACTACCGCCTGAAGCCTTTTCTTCTTTAAATTTTTCAACAAGAGTTGAATGCACACGTGGAGCTTAATTGGACAACAACTTTTCTCCTCTTCTGTGGGATCCCGTCAGTGCTTTAAGCAATGAGAAGGCAGCTCATTTCCAAGTTTGTGTGGTAAATTTGGGGCAAGTGGGAGAAAAGAAAGAAAGGCTGAGTCTTATAGGGTGTGATTTGGTTCTAGACATGCTTATGTTACTTTTTATAAGATTATCCATTTGACTAGATTTCTTTCCTGCTGACAAAAGAGGCAATTTCTACATATAAAATAAATCTGATTAAAACTCTTTCTCTGTTCCTGTCAAGGTAATAGATGCAGACCCCAGGAACAGAATATATTTGGATTCCTAGTGTGTGCAAATGATTGTTTATGTGATATCTGGTGCCAAGACCCACAGACGGCTCCTGTACTGCCCTGTAAAAATAACGGGAATGGAAAGCTTTTCCTTAGGCATAAAAAGTTAATTTTATTTCTTATTCTCTTTCACAGCGGTAACTATTACTTTGTAATTTTCCTGGTATTTTGTTGGCAGCCAAAAATAACACAAGTAATAGTCCTTGCCTACAATATGCAGCTCCGATTCATTTTGCTTAGCTCAAGTTGCCTCCTATAATAAAGGTGGTGGCACTAGACCTTAAGCATAGGTCTAAACTAGAGCAAATTTCTTAAGCCCGTTTTTAATCAGAAAGGCAGAACAAGTTCAAATCCTTTCCATTCCTTTATCCTAGTAGGGTTTTTAGAACACACCAAATAGCAAGAAATGAATGCAGCTTTAGTAATTAACATTGATAACTCTTCTCAGCCTCCAACTGAGTGAACAGCCTCTTTCAGGCCAGTCAAGAACCATTCTGTATAATCCTATCTGCATGTTATCTTGACAGTGGGAGATAGTGAGTCATAGACAAAGGCCAAGGTGTTGGGCCTGAGCTAACCAAGTGCGTTGAGAATGGAGGCAGTCTCCCAGGATCTGGGACAGGTGTGAGGAGCCACCAGGAGCCAGGGACCATTAAGTGGATGGGTTAGTCAAAGCATTACTTCATAAATCCAGGCGGCCACAGAGGTCTGCGTATTTACAGACACCACTTGTCAAGAGAAGTGGCAGCCTTGAAACCAGAAGGCACAAACACTGAAAAATCAGGTGGTTCAGGCTGCTAATGGTCCTATTAGGCAGTCACGCATCAGAGGACCCATGGTAGACAACAGAGCACCACAAAGGCCCCATGTGGGGCATGGCTTCTATGCTAGAATCCACCTCTATGCAGACAAAGGACTATCATGTGCTTCTTCTCTTAAACAAAGAAATCCATGTGTGGCTTGTCCAGGGCATTCAGATGCAAACAAGCAACTTAGACCACCAAAAAGGGATATGGCATTGGCCAGGGATATGCATTCCTGAAAATGTAAAACATTACTTTGTGCCTCCTTTACTTAAAGCAGTTAGTGAGTAACTAAGTTACGGAGAAGCTTAGAAACTAAAACACTCTGGCTTGCTTTGAATGTGGCCATTTTTACAGGTAAGAAAGCTGGGACCCAGAAAAATGCACTGATTTACCCAAGGAAGCAGAGCTGGGAACAGAATACGAGGCTTCTAATCTACTGATCATTTCACTGTGTCACACTATTTAAGATGTAGAAACAGCTGAATTCATCTTGTCAACTCAGAATCCTTTAGTATCTGTGTCCAGAGGAGGATTTGCCTCCACTCTAAGGGCTTTGGGTTTGTCTGGGAAGGGCTTATTTTTCACTTGCTTTCTTAGGTAGGAAATCAGGGTGGGAGATCTCAGTCAGCATCAGTGCCTTCCTTCCTGTGGATCTGGATGTCTTTTAATGCACTCATGAGCCTAGTGTGAAGCCTGGCCACAGAGATCCTGAGAATTGTACTCAAGAGAGTTTGAGCTTCAGATGTCATGGGTGCTCCCTGTTCTAGAGATAATGGTGTAAAGTGACACAGACACAGCATGTGCTGGCTGGAGGACAGATAAAAATAACAAATAGTCTTAATTGAGTACAGTGATTCAATTTTGCAAGACAGGCAGCAGCTAAAGAGATCTATTGGCACTTTATAGGTAATGTTGAGCGATAAAATAATAGTGATGATTATGCAGAGGACGAAGAGTAGCAAAAATTGCAGTCTCTGTGTCTTGCACAGTACTTAGCCCATAATTAATATAAATTATGTATCTTAGCCGACAGTACTTAGATGCATAATTAATATTACGGAATCGGATAAACTGAACTGATGACTATGACCCATAATCCATAATCATGACCCATGACCATGACAGGGATGGTGCAAGATTAGTGTGAATTCTGTTTCAGTAGGTGAGGACTAGCACAGACTGGAGATAAAACTGTGGTTTGGCATTCTTCCATTTTTACCTTGCTCATTTTTTAAGGCAGGCAGTTTGTACCTCATTGATTTTCACTGCTCATCAAGTCCTATTAGCCTATTCATTAGTGATGGCTTCATTCCCTTCCCACAGTCTGTCTCCTGAATGACACTTCCTTGTGTTAAGGCTGTGCTTAGCCCTAGCCATGATTGCTGGGTATCGACAGAATGTGGCATGACCAGCAGGGCCTGCTGGCTGGCAAGTAGCACCCTTCTCCAACAACACATTGGTACCCACAGAAAGAAGGTGGCAATTTCCATTACAAGGAAGATCAGGTTGTCAACTGATATTATAGTTCCAGTCTCTCTCTCTCTCTTTCTGTCTGCCACCCACACACCTTCACACTCACTTGTCTAAATATAAATATGAACACATTATCATAACCCCAAGCCTGTTCTTGCAGCTAAATTTATTTTCTCACTGGAACCACAGTTCACTTGTCAGCCAAACTAGAGGCCCAGAGTCATCTCTCTTTGTTTTGCTCTTCCCCACATCTGATCAGGCACCAAGCTCCAACCATGCTTCCTTAGACACCACTCTTGAGACCTCCCCTTCTCTGTTTTTCCACTTCTATTGCTCTAGTATAGTTACTATATTATACTGTCATCTTTCACCTGGACTTAAAGACTCCAGATAGTTCCATCTTTCTAATTCCTCTTCCCCAGTGCAAAGTGAGGATGCAGAGTACCTGTGGAAAGGCTAAGGGAAGACAGACTCCAGGCATGAGAGAGAGGAATACCAGCAAATATGTATTGAACACTTAATGTGCCAGGGCATTGATTTACTAATATTTACATTTGTTTTTACTTAATTCTCACAAAAACCTGAATGTACATACTATAATTATCTCCATTTTATGGATAAGAGACTCAAGGCTAAGAAATTTTAAGTGATGTATAAGATCGTATATAAGGAAGTGGCAGAGCTGGACTCAAACCAGGGGTCCAGTTTGTCTAACTCTTAGGTCCGTGTCATTGTCATCACCACATTCTACCTTTCTAGTTGCTCTATACTAGAGGTTATCACCTAAGGGGTTTGTTAAAACTGTGTTTTAACAAACACAGATTACTGGACACAACCCCCCAGAGTTTCTGATTCAAGTCTGGGATGAGGCCTGAGAATCTGAGAAGTTGCATGTTTATCAAAGTCCCAAGAGATGATGATGCTGCTGAACCAGTGACCACACATGAAAGCCTTCGCCCCAGCCTTTGGCATTTATTTTTGGCACTTTCTCCTCAGGCACAGCACAAGTGGTTCAAACTTCAGGCTTACATATCAGACCAGTTTGAGTCCTGGATCTGCTACTCAGTAGCTCTGTGTCTGTGGGCCACTTTATTTAACCGCACTAAGCCTCAGCTACCCCTTCTACAAAATGGGAATAGAACCTACCTTGCAAAGATGTTTGAGGACGGGGAATCATGTATATAAAACTCAGAGCTCTATGATTTGCACAGATTTGAACTTAATAAATGTTAGCTGTTTAGGAATTTACAAGTGTAAGAATTTTATTTTTTTTATTTCATTTAACTTTTATTTCTGTTCGTTTCTCTCTGCCTTTTTTGTTTCTCTCACTGCCTCAGATGGCTTTGCATTTGATTTTCCTTACATTTGGAATTTTGTTCTCCAGACCTTTGCATAGCTCACTTCTTCTCACCACTCAGGTTTCAGCTGAAATGTACCAGTTAAGGAAGGCTTTGAGCCTAGATGAGGGTACCCTTCTCCTATCCGCTACCCACGGCACTTTCTCATTGTATGCTCAGTGGGTGGATTTTTACATTGTGATCCAATTTCTGGAATAGTAATAGACATTTTCAGGTTTTCTACTTCTTCTACAATCAATTTTATGTTTTGGTTTTATAGAAAATTGTCCATTTTATCCGTTTTCAAATTTACTGTCATAAATTCATTCTGTGACATTAACTTCTTCTTATTCTCTACGATATCAGTCTTGTACCCCTTTCACTTTCTAATATTCTTCGCACCTTCTCTCCATTTTTGTTGATCATTCCTGCCAAGGTTTGTCTATTTAACTAGGCCTTACAATGACCCACTTTCTGATATGTTTGAATTCTCTTTATTATATCCTTGTTTTTACTTATTTCTATGGTTTATTTCCTTTCTTTCTTCTTTCTGTCTTCTTCCCCTGACTTATTAAGTTGTATACTTAGGTCTTTAATTATTGATGTTTCTCCATTTATTCTATGAGCATTTAAAACTGTCAACATTCTTTGAATCTCAATCATGGTGGCATGTTTCTTATATGACTTTCAATACGTTTGAGCTACTTGAGCAAGTAAAACCTGTTGGAATTCAGAAGGCCCTCAGTTCAGACTCAGCAGAGGATTTTCTTTGGCTTTGGCCAGGTGCCCAGGCACTGCCAGACTGGGACTACTGTGTTAATTTCTCGGTTTAGGGTTTCCCAGCTCATGCAGGTGTTATAAATTTAAACCTCAAACCCACACAAGGGCAGGGCTGTGGTGATGAATTCTCGAGAGAGACAATTATTTTTTTCTTCCTCCTAGATTTAAAACAAAGAAACAGTTCTCTCGTCATCTCCTTAAAGGCAGTTTCACTGAGAGGGTAGCACTTCAGGGCCCTGAATTTATGGGACTTTCCCCTTCTCACGCTTCTCCTTACACAGGCTCCATCTTCTGCTCCATCTTCGCCTCCTCTCCTGGGTGTTGCCATTACAATTCCATATTGGTAGATGGCCTCAGCGAGATTCAGTGTGAAGTATTATTCTAAATAATTGTTTAGTTTTTATCTTTTGATTTTTAGGATTTTCCTTACTTTCTTGCTAGTTTGGCTGTGCATTCAAAAAAACTCTCTATTCTTTCTGAATTGTATGTTGGGATAGTACAAAAGAGCTTATTTTGAGACTATTTAGTCTGCCATCTTACCAGAAATTGAAGTGACTCTCATGACTCTTTAGCACATCACTGTCTTTTATCTCCTCTATAGGCTCACTAATGCCTGAATTTATTTTACTTATTTATGAGTTCATTTTCTGTTCCTCTGTTGCCAAGTTAAAAGTAAATAACCTGATGACAGGGTCTCCATTCTGTACACTGGTATAGCCTCAGTATCTAGAAAAGCTGTTGGCGTGAAGTAAGACTCAATCAAAATTTGTTGGTTGAACGACTGATAAGTAAATCATGGAGTATACATATGTGGACTATATCCTATGCGAACTTTAAAAGTAACTATTTATAAAATATCTCTGACACAATAAGGTAGAAAGTCAGGTTATTTAATAGCATGTGTAACATAACCTCTATTATAAAACACGTGTGTGCATATGTGTGTTTATGTTTGTATTTAAAACTATCTGGAAGAATATGCACAGAATATTAACTGTTTATCTCTGGTTAGTGAGACTTTTCATAATTTTTCTTTCATCCTAATACTTTATACTGAACACATATTAGTATTTTTTGTAATAATTAGAGGAGGGAAAAAACATCTTATAAAGGTCTGGGATATTTGCTACCTTAATTTCAAGGTGCATATTACAAATAAAGCTTCATTTTATCTTTCTTCCTAAGGACTCAGTCATAAGTTACTTGTGTTTGTTTCTACTTTTCTTGGAAGTAAAAATAAGCCATTTTCAGGCTTCTTCTCTACTATTATTCTGCTCAGTATAGGATGGTTTTTTAAAAACAACACTAATATGTGTTAATTTATCACTACAGGCACCAGGATTATGCAAGGATCAGCTAGAACCTCTATTCTGGATTTGATACCTTTAGCAACTTTAGTTTTGTTACTTTGATGTAAGGAAAGAGAGGACACCAAAATACGTCCCACACTGGCCTGGGGAGAGGAAAGGAGTGTTAGAGATCCTTTTTCTCCTCTACCACTACAGTTTTTGTCAGCATAAATTTGGACTATGTTATATCTTTATGCTAGGTGTCACCTATTCTTGCTTAAGGAATAGTCAGCAAGACTGTTAATTAATCCTCTTCCTTCTCAGCTGCCTGCCATTTATATCAATGATAATGTCAGGAGCTGAGGACACAAAGGTGAGTAACAATCAGACCCTGCCCTTGCATCCCACAGTGATGTCAAAGAACATAATAAGGATGTCGTGTCATAAGTGTTATGTATGAAGTACTTTTGGAATTCAGAAAAAGCTCTTGTTGGGTGAAGACGAAGCAATCATCTGCCTCCTGTATATTTTTCAGCCTTGTTCATTACACTTGCCTCTTGTGCTCTAGCAACACTATTTCTCAGTTTCCACAAACTACAGGCCAGGGTTTTTGCTCATATTCATACTGTATCCTCTACCTGGAGTTTCCCTTTTTTCATTTTCCAGGCAAATTCCCACTTAACCTTCACAACTTGCATCAGGCACCAACTCCTTCAGGAATCTTTCTTTTTTTTCTTTTCTTTTCTTTCTTTCTTTTCTTTCTCTTTCTTTCTTTCTTTCTTTCTTTCTTTCTTTCTCTTTCTTTCTTCCTCCCCTCCCCTCCCCTTCTTTCTTCCTTCCTTCCTTCCTTCCTCTCTCTCTCTCTCTTTCTTTCTTCTCTTTTTTTTCTTTTATTTTGAGATAGGCTCTCACTCTGTTGCCCAGGCTGGAGTGCAGTGGTATGATTACAGCTCACTGCAGCCTCCACCTCCTGAGCTCAAGCAATCTGCTTGCCTCACCCTCCCAAGTGGCTGGGACTACAGGCATGCACCACCATGCCCAGCTAATTTTTGTATTTTGTAGAGACAGGGTCTCGCTATGTTTCCCAGGCTGGTCTGGACCTAATGGGCTCAAATGATACACCTGCCTCAGCCTTCCAAAATGTTGGCATGAGTCACCATGCCCAGCAGGAAACACTTTCTAATTCCCCATCTCCAGATGGGTTGGTTCTATGCATTCACCCATTCATTCAACAGGCATTGTTTGGACTCCTATGACCCATCAACATTACTGTGCTAGACCCAGATAGACAGTGGTGAAAACAAAGCCCACATTCCATCCAAGAAAGTAACTCTCCTTCGAGTTTGCTCCAGCTCATTTTAAAACATGATCCTGAATTCTTCTCTCCATACCTGAAGGAGAAGCAAAACTAACTCAACCCAGTTGACAATGTGTCTGCCATGCCCATCTCTAGCCTCTTTTTGAACCAACACTTTGGTTCTTCCTTGGAACCCTGACTCCCATGCATATCCCATATGTATTTGGAACTAGGATGTACACTACAAAGTATACCAGTAGAATCTGAACTATCCAGCATTTCTCAGGCATATTTATCACATTAAACAATCAAACTTTTAAGACTTCATGATCAAGAACCCAAAATCAAATGCAACAAAAACGAAGATAAATAAATGGACTTACTTAATTAAACTAAAAAGCTTCTGCACAGCAAAAGAAATAATCAGCAGAGTTAACAGACAACCTACAGAGTGGGAGAAAATATTCACAATCTATACATCCAACAAATGACTAATATTCAGACTCTGTAAGAACTCAAACAAATCAGCAAGAAAACAAAACGATCCCATCAAAAACTGAGCTAAGGACATGAATAGACAATTCTTAAAAGAACACATACAAAGAGCCAGCAAACATATAGAAAAATGGTCAGCATCACTAATTATCAGGGAAATGCAAATCAAAACCACAATGCAATACCACATCACTCCTACAAGAATGGCCATAATAAAAAAATTAAAAAATAATAGATCTTGGCAGGGATGCAGTGAAAAGGGAACACTTTCACACTGTTGGTGGGGATGTAAACTAGTACAAACACTATGGAAAACAGTGTGGAGATTCCTCAAAGAACTAAAAGTAGATCTACTGTTTGATCCAGCAATCCCACTACTAGGTATCTACCCAGAGGAAAAAAAAGTCATTATATGAAAAAGATACTTGCACGTGCATGTTTATAGCAGCACAATTTGCAATTGCAAAACTATGGAACTAGCCCAAATGCCCATCAATCAACAAGTGGATAAAGAAAATATTATATGATATATATATATATACACACACACATGCATACACACACCATGGAATACTACTCAGCCATTAAAAGGAACAAAATAAGGGCATTCACTGCAACCTGGATGGAACTGGAGACTATTATTCTAAGTGAAGTAACTCAGGAATAAAAAACCAAACATTGTATTTATTCATTCATACCTTGGAGCTAAGCTATGAAGACGCAAAGGTATAAAAATCATACATTGGACTTTGGGGACTAGGGAGAAAGTGTGGGTGTTGGCGAGGGATAAAAGACTACACATTGGGCATAGTGTACACTGCTAGGGTGATGGGTGCACCAAAATCTCAGAAATCACCGCCAAAGAACTTATTCATGTAACCAAATATCACCTGTTCCCCAAAAGCCTATTGAAATAAAAAATAAAAAATTAATAAAACAAGTAAATAAATAAAAATAAATTCTAAAGGCCATTTCTTTGAATTCTGGAGAGCAGCTCTGCATGGAGGTAGACATCCACAGTGAGTCTGAAGGCAACAGGGTTTGGTGTGAGTGATATGTCTCAGTTGCTCCCTAGGTTGCTGCTTGCATTGCTGAGTAGGTAGTATTGTCTAAGATAGGGACACTGGGAGAAGACTTGCTTTAATTAGGGGTGTTGGAGAGTGGAATTCATAAGTTCAGGTTTATCCTGATTAAACTTGAAATGTCTCTAGGAATTCAAAAGAGGGTGTCAAGCAAGCAGGCATGTATATGAGCAGAAGTATGTAGCCTGGAGATAACAAATGTGTGCTTCATCTGCAAATGGGGATAACTGAAGTTATGAGCTTGGGTGGTGTCTGAGAAGAAAGTACTGAAGAACAGAGGGTCTAGAGCCCGACATGGAGAAATCCCAACATTTAATGTCAGAGCAGTACAGAATAAGCCTGCCAAGGAGACAGAGAAGAAGGATCCTAAGAAGCAGGCGAAAAGCCAGGAGAGTATTAGCGCCCAGAAGCCAAAGGAAGAGAATGTATCAAGGAATGTGTGGTTAAATTCAAAAGCTGCTGAAAGGTCGGATAAGATAAGGAATAAAAAACATTCATTGGATCTAGAAAGATGTAGGTCACTGGTGACCACAGCAGAAGATGAGAAAAAAATGATGGCGCTAGAATTCATATCGGAGTGGACTGGAGAGTAAGTGAGAGGTGAGGAAATGAAGCCAGTGAAACTAGACAACTCTTTCTACTACTTTGGCTATGAAAGGGCATGAGAGCAATAGGGAAGAAATGAATTGAGATGAGGAAGAGAATATTTTTGATTTTTGCTTGCTTTCTTTCTATTTTTGCAATGTGAGAGACTAGATTGTGTCTAAAAATATTATTCCAATATTTTGAAAGGAGATTACTGGGTGTACTTTCAGTACAGTGCTAGGGTGCACTTTTTACAACAATTTACAACTCTGTAACAGCCAACATGGACATTTTTATTACTAGAAACATAAATAAATTTAATCCAGAGTAAATAGACTAACAGTGTGAACCAACGGACCTGCTGGACATTAACCAGTGTTGTGCCTAACCCAGAAATTATATCCTAACATTTCTTTGTTGAATTGACTATATATGTCACGTTTCCAGTGCTTTTTGGGCTGGTTTTACTGTTTTACCTGCCCCCTCCATTATTTAATGAATTAAATAAAATCATTGTCATGTGCTTGTTTTGCATTTGCCTGAGAATCATGATTTTTACCATTGTAAAAACTATACTTTCATACTTGCCAAACCAATTTTAAGAAGGAAGTGGAGAGATCAGATCAAGCACCAGCTTCATGAAAATGAAAGAAACATATTCAGAAAAATGCAGGCTGCAGAACAATATAAAGAAGAAGGAAGTAGGCAACAGTAGAGCTGAGAAAATCCTAGGAAGGACACGAACTTTCAAAACATAAAGCCATAACTATTTAGGGTTTTAAGTTTGAGGCCTACAGAATTTGCACTATGAGTTCATAAACAATTTCTGGTCAATACTTATTTTAAGTGAATAAACTAGAAAAGATAGAGACTTTTACTCAGAGAGTGAAAGCTGAGTATTGTAAGGGGCTTTTGGATGCATTTGTGAATGGGAATCCAAATGCAATGGATTGGTTTAACTGGTAATATCTTTACATTTCCAAATTCAGATGTTTACTTCTGGGCAGAGTTCAACAAGCATCATCAGAGCATCTCACTAGTTTTGGTGCCTTACCACCTCTTCACGGCTGCTCACCCGGCACTAATGTAGATGATGTTCCACACAGCCCAGGAAAGAAGTGGTCATTATGGAAATAAGCACATGTGGTTAAAGACAGCAGCACACTCTGCCCCGAGCTCCCAAAATAAACTTGCTTACATAATATACAAAAACCTCCCAATCACTCCCTTGAGTTCCCTTGGCAGAACAGCCCATTTCCACCAAGAGGAACTATTCCATTATCCACGATAAGGACTCTACTCACTAACATTTTTGTCACTCTTACAATAAGGCTTTTTGAACTTTTATCAGAAAGGTCTTTGCTGGCCCCTTTTGCTGCACAGAAATGGTAGTTAAGGGCATCAAACTGGCTCAGCAAAAATAAAACATTAATCAACAGTAACCTTCTGTTTTATCTGTTTTCCTACCCAAGGCCTGATTATCTCGTGAACAGTCCATTCTAAGAAGTCATTGTGACACTGCTTATTTGAGCAATATGTTTATTCAGAGTTGCTCACCTCTTACGGTGATCTTCACAGTGTAAATTTGTTTGAAGCAGGGATCTGACTGTTCCCAAATTTTGCCTAGTGCAGTGCTTTTTCAAACAGAAAACAAAATTCATGTATTTTGATCACAGGGATAATACTGATAATGATGACGAGAAGGCACAAAGGCCTGTGGGGAATGTTCTGAGGCAGCACAGAGCAGCAGAATGTTCATAACTATGGCTAGTTCCATGGCACAGTTACAGAAGCAGCATCAGAAACGATCGATTGGTTTTGGCACCGCTCACCTGGAAGACAGGCTCTAGCTGACTAAATTTCTATGCATTACAAATGACTGGTTAGCAAAGAAATGTGGTTACAATGTCTGACTCATTAAAAGGAGAGAGAAAGAGAACACTTTCTCACTGGCTTTTTTTTCTATGTAGAATTCATATGTCCTTACTATACTTTATCACTTGCTCTCCTTATTTGTGATAAATATAAGAAGGTCAAATTGTTACCTGTCTTGCTACATAGTATTAAGAGGGGAAAAAGCCCTGGTGGACACCTTTTGCTGCAGCCAACAACATGCCCATTACCCCATCCTACAGAGCAGTTAGAGGGAGGAAGAAATGCTTCAGTGCAGTTGACTGTTCCTCCAAGGATGTGCAAGACCATAGGCAGGAAATAGGATCCAAAACATTTTTATTTGCTGCAGAAGAAATGGCTCATGATCAGTCCATCATGTTTTGCCAGGCAAAGCTCCAATCACCTCCTACAACTGGGGCAAAGCAAGGAGGGGAGCAAGCACAGAGAAGGAAAGTGTAAGGAGATGGCCTGAGGGCTCATTTCCACTCCTGTCCCAGAGCCCCCTTGGTAAAAAACAGAACAATGGCCACCATTTATGAACATTTAACATGTGCCAGACTCTGAGCTAAGTACTTTCAGTATACCAGCTAATTTAATCCTTCCAACACCCATTATGAGGTAGGTATAATTAACTACTCTTTACTCTTTCAGAAACTGAGCCTTTAAGACATTAAATAACTTGCCTCAAAGCATACAACTGCCAGGTGTTGGAGTCAAATCCCAGGCCCATCTGACTCTACAACCTTACCCTCAATCATTATGTTATGTTAATGCCATAGAAAACTAGACGTCATTAAGCCTCCTCTAGTCTAACCTTTTACTGAGTGCACAAATTCCCTTGATAACATCCCAAACACATGGCCATCTATGGCTCTGTAACCTCCGCTAAAGGAGCAGTACTGCATAGCCTGGCATTTCTCGAACTGGTACCTGAATCCTCAAAGCAGATAGATTCTTAACACCCATTTGTACCCAGAGGACATTCAAAGCCATAGTCTAACCATGCCCCCTCTCCTAGAGGGTCAATTATACTTAAAGAGATGGAGGAGCAATTATATTTTTTATTAAAACAAACAATACAGCTAAGTCCTCACTTAGTGAAATGCCAAAAAACAAAACCAATTTTATTGTAGGCTAATTGATATAAATAACAGTAATGGCCTATTTCCGTTCACAAAAACATCACCAAACTTCTAAAGAAAAACCAAAACACTTCTAATATTTAACACTGAAATAAATGTGAGCTATATGTACATTTAAGAAAGATTAATAAAAACAAGAAAATCATTATTTACCCACTGCCTCAGAGTCCCCACTGCCTCAGAGTCCCCACAAGGAAAATGCCTGGTGGAGGCCGCAGAAGCAGGGCCACCCACCCTCCAGACCCTAGAATATTAGAGCCACCAGCAGTGCGCAACCTCAGCGTGGAGAAGCTGCAGGCATTTGACTGCAACTCACAAGAGCAGCCAAGTGGGCCGAGCCTGCGAAGCCACAGAGGCAGGGCTTCCTCGGCCTTGGGAACCCACCTCTCACCGGTGTGCCCAGGATGTAGGACATGGAGTCAAAGGAGTTCATTTCTGGAGCTCTAAGACTTACTGTCGCAAGATGGCCGAATAGGAACAGCTCAGGTCTACAGCTCCCAGCGTGAGCGACGCAGAAGACGAGTGATTTCTGCATTTCCATCTGAGGTACCGGGTTCATCTCACTAGGGAGGGCCAGACAGTGGGCGCAGGTCAGTGGGTGCGCTCACCGTGCACAAGCCAAAGCAGGGCGAGGCATTGCCTCACTTGGGAAGCGCAAGGGGTCAGCGAGTTCCCTTTCTGAGTCAAAGAAAGGGGTGACAGACGGCACCTGGAAAATCGGGTCACTCCCACCCGAATACTGCGCTTTTCCGACGGGCTTAAAAAACGGCGCACCACGAGATTACATCCCACACCTGGCTCGGAGGGTCCTACGCCCACGGAGTCTCGCTGATTGCTAGCACAGCAGTCTGAGATCAAACTGCAAGGCGGCAGCGAGGCTGGGGGAGGGGCGCCCGCCATTGCCCAGGCTTGATTAGGTAAACAAAGCAGCTGGGAAGCTCCAACTGGGTGGAGCCCACCACAGCTCAAGGGGGCCTGCCTGCCTCTGTAGGCTCCACCTCTGGGGGCAGGGCACAGACAAACAAAAAGACAGCAGTAACCTCTGCAGACTTAAATGTCCCTGTCTGACAGCTTTGAAGAGAGCAGTGGTTCTCCCAGCACGCAGCTGGAGATCTGAGAACAGGCAGACTGCCTCCTTAAGTGGGTCCCTGACCCCTGACCCCCGAGCAGCCTAACTGGGAGGCACCCCCCAGCAGGGGCACACTGACACCTCACACGGCAGGGTACTCCAACAGACCTGCAGCTGAGGGTCCTGTCTGTTAGAAGGAAAACTAACAAACAGAAAGGACAGCCACACCAAAAACCCATCTGAACATCACCATCATCAAAGACCAAAAGTAGATAAAACCACAAAGATGGGGAAAAAACAGAGCAGAAAAACTGGAAACTCTAAAAAGCAGAGCACCTCTCCTCCTCCAAAGGAACGCAGCTCCTCACCAGCAACGGAACAAAGATAGACGGAGAATGACTTTGACGAGTTGAGAGAAGAAGGCTTCAGACGATCAAACTACTCCAAGCTACAGGAAGAAATTCAAACCAAAGGCAAAGAAGTAGAAAACTTTGGAAAAAATTTAGAAGAATGTATAACTAGAATAACTAATACAGAGAAGTGCTTAAAGGAGCTGATGGAGCTGAAAACCAAGGCTCAAAAACTACGTGAAGAATGCAGAAGCCTCAGAAGCCAATGCGATCAACTGGAAGAAAGGGTATCAGCAATGGAAGATGAAATGAATGAAATGAAGCGAGAAGGGAAGTTTAGAGAAAAAAGAATAAAAAGAAATGAGCAAAGCCTCCAAGAAATATGGGACTATGTGAAAAGACCAAATCTACGTCTGATTGGTGTACCTGAAAGTGACGAGGAGAATGGAACCAAGTTGGAAAACACTCTGCAGGATACTATCCAGGAGAACTTCCCCAATCTAGCAAGGCAGGCCAACGTTCAGATTCAGGAAATACAGAGAACTCCACAAAGATACTCCTCGAGAAGAGCAACTCCAAGACACATAATTGTCAGATTCACCAAAGTTGAAATGAAGGAAAAAATGTTAAGGGCAGCCAGAGAGAAAGGTCGGGTTACCCACAAAGGGAAGCTCATCAGACTAACAGCGGATCTCTCGGCAGAAACCCTACAAGCCAGAAGAGAGTGGGGACCAATATTCAACATTCTTAAAGAAAAGAATTTTCAACCCAGAATTTCATATCCAGCCAAACTAAGCTTCATAAGTGAAGGAGAAATAAAATACTTTACAGACAAGCAAGTGCTGAGAGATTTTGTCACCACCAGGCCTGCCCTAAAAGAGCTCCTGAAAGAAGCGCTAAACATGGAAAGGAACAACCGGTACCAGGCGCTGCAAAATCATGCCAAAATGTAAAGACCATCAAGACTAGGAAGAAACTACATCAACTAACGAGCAAAATAACCAGCTAACATCTTCATGACAGGATCAAATTCACACATAACAATATTAACTTTAAATGTAAATGGACTAAATGCTCCAATTAAAAGACACAGACTGGCAAATTGGATAAAGAGTCAAGACCCATCACTGTGCCATATTCAGGAAACCGATCTCACATGCAGAGACACACATAGGCTCAAAATAAAAGGATGGAGGAAGATCTACCAAGCAAATGGAAAACAAAAAAAGGCAGGGGTTGCAATCCTAGTCTCTGATAAGACAGACTTTAAACCAACAAAGATCAAAAGAGACAAAGAAGGCCATTACATAATGGTAAAGGGATCAATTCAACAAGAAGAGCTAACTATCCTAAATATATATGCACCCAATACAGGAGAACCCAGATTCATAAAGCAAGTCCTGAGTGACCTACAAGGAGACTTAGACTCCCACACATTAATAATGGGAGACTTTAACACCCCACTGTCAATATTAGACAGATCAATGAGACAGAAAGTCAACAAGGATACCCAGGAATTGAACTCAGCTCTGCACCAAGCGGACCTAATAGACATCTACAGAACCCTCCACCCCAAATCAACAGAATATACATTTTTTTCAGCACCACACCACACCTATTCCAAAATTGACCACATACTTGGAAGTAAAGCTCTCCTCAGCAAATGTAAAAGAACAGAAATTATAACAAACTATCTCTCAGACCACAGTGCAATCACACTAGAACTCAGGATTAAGAATCTCACTCAAAACCACTCAACTACATGGAAACTGAACAACCTGCTCCTGAATGACTACTGGGTACATAACAAAATGAAGGCAGAAATAAAGATGTTCTTTGAAACCAATGAGAACAAAGACACAACATACCAGAATCTCTGGGAGGCATTCAAAGCAGTGTGTAGAGGGAAATTTATAGCACTAAATGCCCACAAGAGAAAGCAGGAAAGATCCAAAATTGACACCCTAACATCACAATTAAAAGAACTAGAAAAGCAAGAGGAAACACATTCAAAAGCTAGCAGAAGGCAAGAAATAACTAAAATCAGAGTAGAACTGAAGGTACTAGAGACACAAAAAACCCTTCAAAAAATTAATGAATCCAGGAGCTGGTTTTTTGAAAGGATCAACAAAATAGATAGACCGCTCTCAAGACTAATAAAGAAAAAGAGAAGAATCAAATAGATGCAATAAAAAATGATAAAGGGGATATCACCACCGATCCCACAGAAATACAAACTACCATGAGAGAATACTACAAACACCTCTACGCAAATAAACTAGAAAATCTAGAAGAAATGGATAAATTCCTTGACACATACACTCTCCCAAGACTAAACCAGGAAGAAGTTGAATCTCTGAATAGACCAATAACAGGCTCTGAAATCGTGGCAATAATTAATAGCCTACCAACCAAAGAAACTCCAGGACCAGACGGATTCACAGCCGAATTCTATCAGAGGTACAAGGAGGAGCTGGTACCATTTCTTCTGAAACTATTCCAATCAATAGAAAAAGAGGGAATCCTCCCTAACTCATTTTATGAGGCAAGCATCATTCTGATACCAAAGCCTGGCAGAGACACAACCAAAAAAGAGAATTTTAGACCAATATCCTTGATGAACATTGATGCAAAAATCCTCAATAAAATACTGGCAAAACAAATCCAGCAGCCCAACAAAAAGCTTATCCACCATGATCAAGTGGGCTTCATCCCTGGGATGCAAGGCTGGTTCAATATACGCAAATCAATACATGTAATCCAGTATATAAACAGAGCCAAAGACAAAAACCACATGATTATCTCAATAGATGCAGAAAAGGCCTTTGACAAAATTCAACAACCCTTCATGCTAAAAACTCTCAATAAATTAGGTATTGATGGGACGTATTTCAAAATAATAAGAGCTATCTATGACAAACCCACAGCCAATATCATACTGAATGGGCAAAGACTGGAAGCATTCCCTTTGAAAACTGGCACAAGACAGGGATGTCCTCTGTCACCACTCCTATTCAACATAGTGTTGGAAGTTCTGGCCAGGGCAATTAGGCAGGAGAAGGAGATAAAGGGTATTCAATTAGGAAAAGAGGAAGTCAAATTGTCCCTGTTTGCAGACGACATGATTGTATATCTAGAAAACCCCATTGTCTCAGCCCAAAATCTCCTTAAGCTGATAAGCAACTTCAGCAAAGTCTCAGGATACAAAATCAATGTACAAAAATCACAAGCATTCTTATACACCAACAACAGACAAATAGAGAGCCAAATCATGAGTGAACTCCCATTCACAATTGCTTCAAAGAGAATAAAATACCTAGGAATCCAACTTACAAGGGATGTGAAGGACCTCTTCAAGGAGAACTACAAACCACTGCTCAAGGAAATAAAAGAGGATACAAACAAATGGAAGAACATTCCATGCTCATGGGTAGGAAGAATCAATATCGTGAAAATGGCCATACTGCCCAAGGTAATTTACAGATTCAATGCCATCCCCATCAAGCTACCAATGACTTTCTTCACAGAATTGGAAAAAACTACTTTAAAGTTCATATGGAACCAAAAAAGAGCCCGCATTGCCAAGTCAATCCTAAGCCAAAAGAACAAAGCTGGAGGCATCACACTACCTGACTTCAAACTATAGTACAAGGCTACAGTAACCAAAACAGCATGGTACTGGTAGCAAAACAGAGATATAGATCAATGGAACAGAACAGAGCCCTCAGAAGTAACGCTGCATATCTACAACTATCTGATCTTCGACAGACCTGAGAAAAACAAGCAATGGGGAAAGGATTCCCTATTTAATAAATGGTGCTGGGAAAACTGGCTAGCCATATGTAGAAAGCTGAAACTGGATCCCTTCCTTACACCTTATACAAAAATCAATTCAAGATGGATTAAAGACTTAAACGTTAGACCTAAAACCATAAAAACCCTAGAAGAAAACCTAGGCAATACCATTCAGGACATAGGCATGGGCAAGGACTTCATGTCTAAAACACCAAAAGCAATGGCAACAAAAGATAAAATTGACCAATGGGATCTAATTAAACTAAAGAGCTTCTGTACAGCAAAAGAAACTACCATCAGAGTGAACAGGCTACCTACAAAATGGGAGAAAATTTTTCGCAACCTACTCATCTGACAAAGGGCTAATATCCAGAATCTACAATGAACTCAAACAAATTTACAAGAAAAAAACAAACAACCCCATCAGAAAGTGGGCAAAGGACATGAACAGACACTTCTCAAAAGAAGACATTTATGCAGCCAAAAAACACATGAAAAAATGCTCATCATCACTGGCCATCAGAGAAATGCAAATCAAAACCACAATGAGATACCATCTCACACCAGTTAGAATGGCAATCATTAAAAAGTCAGGAAACAACAGGTGCTGGAGAGGATGTGGAGAAATAGGAACACTTTTACACTGTTGGTGGGACTGTAAACTAGTTCAACCATTGTGGAAGTCAGTGTGGCGATTCCTCAGGGATCTAGAACTAGAAATACCATTTGACCCAGCCATCCCATTACTGGGTATATACCCAAAGGACTATAAATCATGCTGCTATAAAGACACATGTGTATGTTTATTGCAGCACTATTCACAATAGCAAAGACTTGGAACCAACCCAAATGTCCAACAATGATAGACTGGATTAAGAAAATGTGGCACATATACACCATGGAATACTATGCAGCCATAAAAAATGATGAGTTCATGTCCTTTGTAGGGACATGGATGAAATTGGAAATCATCATTCTCAGTAAACTATCACAAGGACAAAAAACCAAACACCGCATATTCTCACTCATAGGTGGGAATTGAACAATGAGATCACATGGACACAGGAAGGGGAACATCACACTCTGGGGACTGTTGTGGAGTGGGGGGAGGGGGGAGGGATAGCACTGGGAGATATAACGAATGCTAGATGACGAGTCAGTGGGTGCAGCGCACCAGCATGGCACATGTATACATATGTAACTAACCTGCACAATGTGCACATGTACCCTAAAACTTAAAGTATAATAATAAAAGAAAAAAAAAAAAGACTTACTGTCTGCCCTGCTGGGTTTTAGATTTGCTTGGGACCTGTTTTTCCTTGCTTTTAGCCCATTTCTTCCTTCTGAAATAGAAATGTTTACCAAATGTCTGTTACACCATTGTGTCTGGAAAGTAAATAATCATTTTCGATTTTACAATCCTAAGTCTCAGGAAACTTGCCCTGAGTCTCAGTTGAGACTTTAGGCTTTGGACTTTTAAGTTGGTACTGGAACAAGTTAATCCTTTTGGGACTATTGGGATGGAAAGATAGTATTTACATGTAAGGACATGAGTTTTTTGGGGCCAGGAGCAGAATGCTGTAGTTTGGAGGTTTGTTCCCTCCAAACCTCATGTTGAATTTTGGGGCCTAATGGAAGGTGTTTGGGTCATGGGGGTGGATCTCTCATGAATAGATGAATGCCCTTCCTCAGGGATGAGTGAGTTGACTTCTTGCTCTATTGGTTCTTGTTAAAAAGAGCCTTGCTCCTCCCGCCTTTTCTCTTGCTTCCTCTCTCACAGTGTGATCTCTACATATGCCACCTCCAGCTCCCCTTTACCTTCTGCAATGAATGGAAGCAACCTGAGGCCCTCACCAAATGCAGATGTCAGTGTCATGCTTCTTGTAGAGTCTGCAGAATGATGAGCCAAATAAATCTTTTTCTTTGTAAATTACACAGCCTCAGGTATTTCTTTATAGCAACACAAAACAGAATTAAGATACCCACTTATTCCAGTTTAGGGTCTTAAGTGGCCACAGCCTATCTCAGCACCTCAGGGAACAAGGTGGGAACCTGGCCTGGTCAAGATATCATTCCATTGCAGGGTGCACTCACATCCATGCCCACATTCCCTCAGACTGGGCAATTTAGACATGCCAATTCACCCAACATGCCCATCTTTGGGAAATGGAAAGAAACCAGAGTACTCGAAGAAAACCCATGCAGACATGGGAAAAAATGTGCAAACTTCACACAAACAGTGGCTCTGGCCAGGAATTGATTATTTTTCTCATCAGTATTATAACAAAACAACATTGAACAAAAACAATGTTATGTGAGGATCAACTGTATACTGTGGAATTAATCGCAACATCATCATTTATGAAACCTTAAAAATTAGCGCTTGCATTGAACAATTACATTCTACAAGACCAGAAGCTGCAATCCCATGTGACTCCCCACCCCAAACTGATACTACTACCAGGTTCAAATTCTGTCTGCTATACTTAGTAGTACTTCAATGCAAAAGAATGAGAGGAACTGGTTTAGTGGACTAAGTATAATCTTTGGAATCTAAGTCCAAAGTTCATATCCCATCACTACTTCTAATCTGCTATCAGCTTAATCATGAGCAAGTTACTTAATCTGTCTGAGCCTCAGTTTCCTTATCCACAAAATGGGAATGATATTGCTCACTTCTTAGAGTGGTTGGGGGGATTAAATAGACAAGTACAAGTGTCCAGAATAGTTCCTGGCACATCAGAAATTATCAGTATGGTTTCCTTCCCCCTCATTCTCTGAAATCCACTCTAAATTAGTATGTTTAGCATAATCGACCCTCCCAGCATCACAGAGGGGCTCCTGCTTGTCACTGAAGCTTCCTGAACCTCTTTTTATACTACCCTTGACAAGACTCAGTTAATGAACATTGCTAGAGATTAGCTGGTGTGAATCACAGGCTCCGTCTCTATTTCCTTCCTCACCTCCTGTCTAGCTTTCCTCACTGGAGAGCTGCCATTCCTCCCACCTGCAAGATGTGAGTACTGCCTGTACACTACTAGGCCACATCTAGTCACCTGTAATCTCAAAGCAATGGTCATTTGAAGTATCTGGATAGGAACACAAAGATATCTAAAGCTGCAAGAGGATCCGGGTTTCCCTAGAAAGACAACCTTATTATCTCAGAGGAATTTGCAAAGTGCACAACTTGGGAGGAAGAAGGGACTTCTTCCTTGGGGCTACTGAAAATTGTTCACTTTGGTTTTATAGAGACCTCCATTTCTGACTCAGGCTAGGGGGAACCATTCATCAATAACAGAGAGGTGGAAAAGGGATTTGCAAACAAGGATCCACACTTAATCAGCAGGTGCCAGAAATTGCATCCCAGTGCTGTGAGCTCTCCTTACACTGACAGAAGTGGCAAAGGGAACAAGGGGTCCAGGTGCGCCCCAGGCTGTGTCCCAGTCTCACAGCTGATAGCTCGGCTCTTGAAACCCCAGGGGATGGCTGGCTGGGGTGGTATTACAGGGCTGGTAAAGTGTTGCTTTTTAAAAATACACATTTTATTGTGATAATGGGATGTTAAAGAAAGAAAGAGAAAGGCAGGTGCCCCTTGGGAGTCATTCAACAGCGTTACCACATGTGATACCTAGGGAAGCATTTCCCTTTTTGCTTAGAAACAACCAGCTACCCAGGTGGTGCCTGGGTAAGGTTTCTTAGCCAGCACCTCTTTGACCTGGTGAGGAAGCCAGTAACAATTTAGCTCTCTTTGTTTCTTCCAACCGCCATCTAATTCATGGGCAGTGGTCTGACTTCTTCTTTATGCTTTTCCCTGGAGCAGCAGGGTCATTGCTCTTTGAACTCAGCTTTCTGAACTGGAAGGAACGGGCCCAAACCAGGCTGTCATGCGTCCATCCCAACCCACTGTGGGCTCAGGGGGTTTCCTCTGTTTCTGTGAGAGCAAGGGCAGGGACAGAGTGTTGTGGCCAGGAAGGTCTGATGAGCAGCTACTCTGTCTCGCTCAGCTTCACAACTCTCTACCAATCAGCTAAGTAAACTGATGCCTCTATGTCTCTCAACTGAACCACAAGTTAATTGGAAAGTCATCCTGCAAACCTGGGTATTGGGGAGTGAATAAAATCCTCTCTCTCTGACAAGGCTAGTAGTTCCTTTAGCCAGTTGCTGGTTGAGAAATTCTTATCAGTAGTGCCCTTTATATACACAGTTGAAGTTGATATGCCTTTAAAATTCTCTTATCATACGGATTTTTACTTCTTAGCACATTATAAACCCAGTAGGACAAACTGTTAAAAAAAAACTGTTAAAAAGGACTGTCTACAAATCTATTAATCCTGGGATACAAAGTGTAGGATTTTCCATCAGCCAAAGTTATTATTGTTCATTTTGTGCTCTGAAGGTGCTTTTCCCTTTGTTTAATGAGCTAAAGCTTCAGGACAACCCTGTTAGAGGGGCTGATGCCATAGCAGTCATTATCTTCATTTTCTGCACAAAGTGTCAAGAAAGGAAGTGATATACTAGAGGTCCTGGAGCCTCTGCTTGAACTAGGACTTGAACCCTTATAATCCAGAGCAAGAGGCTGAGACTTGCCCCTCTAACTTTTACCACCACTAAACTAGCCATCCACCCCCTGAAGGGGGCTGCCCATTTTAACCTTTCTTATTTACACATCTGTTTATTAAATCCCACTTTAGAAGAGATGAGAGGCAAAGAGAGAAATTAAGAAAATATTCATATCATAAGTCATTGTGTCCTCACCAGATGGAAGAAAAATAAAGAAAAATTTAGCAATTCTTTCAGATGAGTTTAAGGAATGTCCCTGTGTGTCTTGAATGGCAAGAGAAGGAAAACATTCCCCTTTCAATGGGTACTTCCTCTGCTTTAAACTGGCAAGAAACACCTCAATAACGGGTTGTACAGAATGTTACTTCAAAGACCTCAAGTTGGCACTTTGGATGCTCTTGCCACAAACTGTATCCAAAAATGATTTAACTTCCCCCAGCCAGTGATGCGTACAAATGGCGCACACACCACTAACCACACATGCACGCAACATATGAATTCCCATATTCCTGATTTCTCATTCCAACTTAAGAATACTTTTTCCAGAGCTAAAAAGACATGAATCGAGTTCGTAAAAGGATATGTGAGAAAATGCCAAAAGAAAAATGAAAATCAGATGCTTTTAAAGGCAGAGCCTGAAGTGCTTTGCTGAGATGTTCTGCACCCTAAAGGCCACCGAATCTTGTAGACCAAAGGGTCATAGGGTATGGCAGCAGGAGGAAAGTAGTTTAGTAGTTCTTTAAAGTAGTTATAAAATACTTAATCTTCTGAAGGAATGGTATTTCTGAGTAGTTCTTATGGGCATAGCATCCCTGCAACTCAAAATACTTTTCTGTATCATTGTTGCTATACTTTCAGCTGGTGGGATTCTTGAGAATGAAAGAAGTCATTTCCACCAAAATGAATACCCTGATAGCATGACTGGGCCTAGAAAAAATAACAGCAGCATAGTTTTTCAGCCTAGTGCATTCATAGACTCAAAAGATTTATTGGGAATATGGAGTGGTGGGAAGGTAATATTTTACATCATAGTTTTTATTTTTGTTAAACCCCTGAGGTGAATTCCTATGTTCTGAGCCAGCTTCTCATCAACAGAATTAAAATGTTCTCTGCCATTCCAGTCATAGCATGATATTGATCACAATACATTGCAAACTCAGCCACCTTCTCTGGAAATTGCTGTGCATGGGACTAAGTGGATTTACTGAGAAGATAACTGCCAGCCTTAGAAATATTCTGTTGATGGTGACCTGGCAGATTTTATTTATGCCACTGCTTAAGAGTTCCCATATTGGATAAAATTTAGAAAATTTTATTGCCCAGTAGGATATCAAAAATCCAGACAAAACATTCATCAGAAACATAACTTACGAATGCCCTCTACTCTGTATGGTTTTTATATTTTTCTGAAAATCTTGATTTGAACAGTGCTTAACTAAGAGCATGTCTATACTATGTGGCAATTGTCATTTTTTTATTTGAATGGGGCATTATGATTATTCAAAGGAAAGACAGATTTGAATGGCATCACGGAGGAGGAAATGTGATAAGTAGCTAGAACAATATGTTAGCCATATAGATATACAACAGTCCCCACTTTCTCTAAGGAATGGCAGTGTTGACAAATACTAAGCCATGCCCTTTCCATGATGTACATGTCAATAATTTCTGCTTGACTGAGACTAATTAAAGCAGAAATAATAACTTGGATAAATACAGAAACATGGAATTTAAAACAACTGGTACCACACAAAAGACTCCATCTCTCCTTTTTTGTTCTCCCCAGAATCACAATACCAAATATTGACAAGTCTAGTTCTGGTCAATGAAATATTCTTATAGTGTGATTTCTGAGAGAAATATTGGGCCTGCAATATATCATCTAAATTATGTCAAGTTGCTTTTAGAACTGCCTTTATCCATCTTTAGTCTTATAAATACTGAGAGAATCCTAAAAAACAAGAAAAAAACCACATTCTTCCTGATTTTCAAATAATTCCTTTTTCATTATATCCGGCATAAGTGGTCAGGGTGTAGCATACTTTGAGGTTTGACCCTAGAAACAGTATTAGTGGGCAACTGAGAAGAAACATCAATCATCAGCATTGGGCCAAAAACTAACAATTTAATGCAATTTTAAATTGGGTTAAAAAAAGAAATATTAACAGTCAAAAGCTTTGGGTAGTGTCTAACTCTTTGCCATCGAGCTCTAGCTTAGAGAAGTTACAAGAGCCCCCTTGTGTCTTTAGAGAGTTGCTTTATTGTGTTGGTTTTACAGATGAGAGCTCAAGTTCAGAGAAGTTAAGTGGCTTGTTCCAGGAGTTATAAAGGAGAACTTGTCTCATACGCAGATACGTTTCTTAATAGAGTCTAACGTTCTCCTTCTATGTCTATCCTTTACTAAAATCCGTCCTGAATTTTCTTTGACATGATCCCTCCTACTATGCAAGAAATCCTCATTGTTTGAGTGGGGGTATGGAAGGCAGGATGTCTGGCATATGCTTTTCCATAACATTGAGGTACAATATATACAAAATGTACACATTACCTGCAAAAGAGCAGAACTAAAAGTTTTTTACAATGCTATACTATGTAAGATATTACAATCATTACATCTTCATTTGCAAGATGCCATCAAATGTAAAATATATCACTGATTAAATAACATTTTAAGGAAAAAAGAAGTCTACCTGAAATGCACAGATACATTCCACTGTAAGACGTGTGAAAAGATAAAGATTATATGTGTTGGAATAAAGGAACAGGGAATTACCATTATATCTTCCCTACCAAAGCGTGTGTTCTTTTTAAGATATTCAATTTTCAGATCAAACAATATATAGTCCTCTCTGTAACTAGCATTATTGCATCTCTTAAGAAAAACTTTTAAATAATAGAAATGAAAAAGAAGGGGTGATGTCTCTAATAGTTAGAGGTCCTCAGAAGTGGGGCATTCCCTGCCTCTAAAAATATAAAAGCAAAATTTGGATCATCAACCTTCAGCATACAGTGGGAGAAAGAGTATGATTTCTTCCAACTCAAAAATTCTGTTGTTTCATTAGAATTAAGAAGAAAGTAAAAATGTTTCAATTGACATAACTAACCAATAATAATAGCAATACTAGTAATTACTAACACCATGGCTCATCTCAAGAAATAAAGAAACACTAATCAACAATCTCAAATGGAAGTGGATGGAAGAGAGGAGCTGATGGTAGTTAAATCACTTTCTCCCCCTCCATTATTTTTAGTTAAATCGTTTTACATAACCAACAGACCTTTCTGCTTAGTAATCCACTAAGAAATTAAAGGGTTTGTCTAGAGTTGACAGAAGCCATCATCAGCCACAAATAATTAGTTCAGTGATGAGTTTTTTTCATCCTTGAAAATGCCCAGATTTTATTAATCAAAACTGGCTATAGACTTTGTAAAATCATATCCAGGTCTGACAAAGAGAATTGTAAAAAATAATCATGAAATACAAATTTGGAAAGAGCAATAAGAAAGCAAACAAGTTGTTGAACTGTTAGAGCAATCTGGAGATGAACTCTGGGAAGAACTTGGTGTCCCCATTATCTGGAAGACTTGGGCTTGGTAATGAGGTAAGCAGGCTGCTGCAAGCTGAAATCTGAAAAGTCCATGTGCTCCTCTCCACCCTTTGGCTACTAGGGCCAGCTAAAATGACAAGTCCTCCACCCTCCCTTCCACTGAGATGCTAACTCTTACCTCAGAATTATAAACCTGGGGCCCTGGCTTCATATTGGCTATGTTTCCTGGAAGAAAATGACAGTCAGTTGCTTCTATTTGGAGCTTAAGAGCACACTGAAAACATTCAGATTGTGTTGTTATTGAGGAAGATGGTTGTGCAGTGGACAGGGAGAGAAATGAAAAGAGAAAGAAGAAAAACAGCTTTGCACCATCCTAATGCATATCTAATCTGTAACTCTATGCCAGGGGCCCTCACACCAGGGTGCTGAAAGGATGTTCTAATTGCCTAATGCGGAAGGCCCTGCCATTGTCCTTGGCCTTTTTATCAGAAACCCAGGTGCAAACCAGAGAGCTGTCAGGTAGCAAGAGTGTCTTGTAGAACAGCAGAAGGCAATATGGAAATGAAGGTAACTTGGCCTGTCAGCTAAAATTACAAGGAGCAGAAACAAAAGTCAAATCAAATGTTATTGTTTCCTTGCCACTGCCCAGTGCAACCAAGCATATGGAAAGCTTGAATTCTCGCTAGTCATGAAAGAGAAGAAGGAAAAATATGATTCCATCCGACTAAACCCAATCTTCTCACAGTAGAAAATGGCTCTTTTTTTCTTCCTTCTTTTTGCAGATTCTTAGCAAAATCTATTAAAAAGGGACCTTGGAAATTTAGATTGGGGATCTGTGTTTAAAGGCCTATTAGCCAGATGAATCTTGGTCCAAATGATTGATAGCTTTTGGCTTAACATCTTTCTGGAAAAGTCAGGTTTTTCTTCTTCTCAGGCTTGTGTTTGTTCTTTTTTTTTACTGGCCAGTTACTTGCAGTGGCTTATAAAGAGAAAAGCAGAGGAATGGCGAGTGGGGGGCGGGGGGACGGTTAGGGGTCCTGGGGTCTTTCCCCATTTCTGTAATGACCTTCAGGAAAGTTGGTGACACTTCCTGAGCCTCTATTTTATCACAACTCAGAGGAGGAATCTGAACTTACAATATTTAAGCTTCTTTGCTGTTCTAAAGCCCTGATTCTTTGATTTATTAACCCTCACTTTGAACGCCTCCTTACTGACATCTTTATCCTCTTCATAGGGACCATTATGTTGGATTTTTCTCTCCTTCTCCAGCAATATAATTCAAATTTTTCTGCCTGTCTTCCCAGGGATGGTTTCTGTAACTTTAACAACTTTTGCTGCTCTCCTCTGCACCTTTCTAAAGTTACATCTTGATGGTAGCAAACATTCAGATTGTATTGTTATTGAGGAAGATGGCTGTGCAGTGGACAGGGAGACTGCAGTGCACAATCTGAATGAAGAGAGGCTCAGATGAAAGTCTGACCAGTGCCAACATAGGAGAATCACCCTATGCACCCTTCCCCATGTTTGACAGATTCAAGCATCTGATCCCACGTGCTGTGCTCTGCAGAGTGCAAGTAGAGAGATCAGTCTGGTCCTAGACTGACTCTGCCACCACACGCAGTGACTTTGCTCCAGCAGCATCCCCTCTTTGGAGTTCAGCTTCTTCCTCAGCTAAAGAAAGGAGGGGATCATCTGACTGAGCTGTCTTCCAGCTCTGTGATAAATTATTCTGAGATGATCAGAGCTCTTATACCCATGCTTGCTCCAAGCAATCCCAATTGTATTTCCTGTTTATGTAGTTCGTTTTTATTTCTTATCTTAAATATATTACCAAAACAAAACAACAACAACAACAACAAAAACCTCTCCTTTTGAAGACCATCCCAGACGTATCCTACTTCATTTACAAATGGTTAACTTTGTGTTTAAATTTCATCTCCCAGAGAAGAGCTATTAACATCCACTTGGTTGTCAGGGCCCCTCTTCCATTAGCAGGTCATTAATAATCAAGTTAGTAATAACAGGCTGACACTGTATTTTGTAGAATTCAATATGTACAACCAGGCTCATAGTAACTCATTGATAAGTGCAGATTTCATTCATTTTGAGTAAAATAGATTTTTTAAAATGTCGATATGATTAGGCGGTGAGAATTGGCAAAATTGAACCAGTAGAAAATCTGAATGAATGAATGAATCTGAATAAACTGATTTTTATTTCCTAGGAATAACAAGTTTTAAGTATCTATTATGTGCCAGACTTTATTCTAAGTGTTTTATATATAACACATTTACTTTAGTGATGGTTAAGGTAGGACAGGTGGCTAAAAAAGGACTCCCTAATATATTCTATTAATGCAATGAAGCCTCTAGGAGTCCTTAATCTTTGCCAAGGATCACAAGCTCACATGCCTCCAGAATCTGGGCCACTCACATAAATAAATGAACAGAGCTGAGTATGAAACAATAGGAAAGAAAGGAGACTGTGTAGAACAGGAGAGTTCAGGCTCCAACTGGTCATTGCCTTGCTGGAATGCTATGTTGTACCTAAATTGTGACATTTTATTCAACAAAATCCAGAAATCTTCATGTAAATGTGGTATTCCCCTCTTGTTTCTAAAACACTGGACAGGCTAAACAAAATGCATCTGAGAGATACATGTGCCTCCCTTGCCCCTACTCATGGCCTTTGCATTTGTATACATCACACACTCCTGTCCTGTTAAAGGCAACCTCCTATTATGTACAGTGGGAGACCCTGGCTTTGGAATGCCTCATGTAGGAGCTGAGTGACCTCTCTGACTAGGGATTCAGTTTCCTTCTGTGTAACTCCTTACCTCCTTTGCAACCAGAACTTTCCCTTAGTAAGCAGTTCAGCTATTCCATCCTCCTTGAGATGGTTTTCCTCTCCTACATTTCTTCCTTATTGTATCATGCCCAGTGACGGCAGAGGGTCAACAGGCTTGCCTTGAAGATGCAGGTTCTTCATCCCTGGATGACTTCCTGCAGCTGAAGGCCATAGCCATCACTACCACTTATGAAGGACCTCATAAGCAGCCTTCCCATTCTCCAAGACTTCACTTTCAGAGCACACTTACAGAAGATTTGAACCCCTCTCTGAATCTTGCAAGAACTATACCTCAGTCTCTTTTCCTACTACCTGGGATCCTCTCTCAAGAACCATAAATTCCCATTTCCTCCTGCTTGGAACTCTCAGTTTGGTTTCCTTCCCTAGTGTTTGAGACAGACAAGTCAAAGTGTGTTACAGCCAGTGAAAATGTAATGGAGTAGGGATGATGGTGATGCAGACCCCTCTCTGTGTAATCAATGTCTGATGCAATATTGTCCCATAGCAACAATATTAAACTTAGAAAGTTAGTTCTGAAGTACTGTTGTGTGCATACCACCATGAAACTGGATGAGAGATGATTAGATTTTTCCACATAAGTGTCCATTAAAGGACAGGGGTTGTATATCCCACCATTTCCCCAAGCCCCATCTACCCTCTGTGAAGTTTTTGTGAAGACGTATGATTTATCTTGAAAGTTTATAAGCATTTTTGCATTCCGTTCCTTGTTATATTTACTTAAATTTTAAAATATCTTAGATTATTTATATACATAAAAGTAACCACTCTCCAAGATGTAAGCTATATTTATTCTGGGCTTCCAGTATACCCCATATGCTATATGCTATTATATATACTTGGTAATATACGAACCCTAGACTGAGAACCACAGACCAATATAATGGCTTAGACTAAACTTTATAGGCAAGCCTAAACATTTAATTACTTTCATGTGCAAAATTATTTCCATGGAGTTGCCTTACAAGTTATAAATACAATTTGAGGCATGCCTTTTTCCAAATTTGAGACTTATTACAAATGGCCTATCTTCAACATTCATACTTTCCATATACATTTGTTGAAAAGGTAAAGAAAATCCATCTCAATTGGTGGCCAAGAATATGCTATGTACAATACTTTCAAACTTCAAAGTAAGCTTATGAAGTACTAAAAGGAAAACCTGTTTTTCTACTCACATATTTCTGACACCAAATGTGTGGGTTTTCCACACTAAGCAATTCTCCAGTTCCCTGTGGATACCAAATGAGTGCCATACAATTTTAATTCAATTTTGACACTAACTTAGGGCAGACCCTGCAGGTTAAGGGCTCAGTTTCACAAGATGGTTCCCCACTTCAGACACCAATCACAGCACTGGGTCCTCAGGTTGCTCTCGCTACTGTCCAACTGAGCTATGAGGTGGGGATTCCCATGACCTCCTCCTCAGGTTTGATAATTTGCTAGAGCAGCTCACAGAACTCAGGGAAACACTTTACTAATGTTTACTAACTTATTATAAAGAACACAGATGGGCAGCCAGATGAAGAGGTACACAGGGCAAGGTCTGGAACTGTCCTCAATGCAATAGGTTTGCCCTATGGAAATGGGATGTATCACTATCTCAGCAGGTGGATGTGTTCACCAACCTGGAAACTCCCCAGATCCTATTGTTTAACATTTTTATGGAGTTTATATTACATAGGCACAACTGATTAAATAATGATTTAATTGGTAATCAACTCAATCTCCAGTCCTTCTCCCATCCCCTCCTCAAGTCACATGGTTTGCTCCTCTGGCAATCCTAGCCCTCACCCTAAGCTACCTAGAGGCCCCTAGCCACCAGCCATCTCCTTGGCACACGAAAAGACATTCATCACACAGAGATCCTAAGGGTGTTAGAAGCTCTTGTGTCAGGAACTAAGGACAACTATTATAATAAAAGATACTCTTATCACTCCAATCATTCAAGAAATTACAAGGGTTTTAGAAATTCTGGGTTAGAAACCAGGGAAAGAGACAAAATACATATTTCTTATTATGTTACAAATACTATTGGTATTCATCATTTTACAAATTAAAACAGAATGGGGTGGTCAAACTGCTAATGGGGGCCCTGATCACAAAGCCAGCAGAAAGAAGCAGTAGAATAGATCCTAAAAGAAGGGAGGAAGGTCCCTTGGAATGAATGTTGTCTGTACCCAAGGCAGGCATTATACAGAAGTAAACCAAAAATGTGTCTAAGACAGGTCTCAATCAATTTAGAGGTTTACTTTGCCAAGGTTGAGGACACACCTGGGAAAAAGAGACACAAGCTATTGTAGGATCTGTGGCCAGCACTTTTTCCAAGGAGAGTTTTGCGGGCTTCAGTAGTTAAGGGAGAAAAAGCAGACAAGAAGGGAAGGAGGAAGGGAAATAAAGGGAAGGGTAGAAAAATGAGAGAGTGGTTATATTCTTTTGAGGCTTTGATTAGTGCTCACTGAATCCGTGTGTTGCATGTGAAAATCAGGGGGTAGAGGAATAGTTTTCATCTTGTGCTCAGTCTGTACGTTCCATAAGATAATCTTATAGTAGTGGAAGAAATCAAACATACATTTATCTCGGGGTGGGCAGATGGGTGATTTCTAGTTTCCTCTCATCCCATACTCATGAAGGTAAGCTGTTAATTTACATTGTCAGGGTAAGGAAGCCACTTGGGGAGATACCTGGCATTCTATCATGTAGCTATCTGTTTAGGAGCAAAAGGAAAGGCAGGGTTGTTTTGCATGACTCAGTTTCCAATCTTAACTCTTCCTTGTGGCATAGTATGTTTAGTGTACCAAGATTTTATTTTCCTTTAACACAAGATAGTTTAAAAAGGTTCCCAACCAAAACTGGCTAACCATGTGTAGAAAGCTGAAACTGGATCCCTTCCTTACACTTTATACAAAAATTAATTCAAGATGGATTAAAGACTTAAATGTTAGACCTAAAACCATAAAAAACCTAGAAGAAAACCTAGGCAATACCATTCAGGACATAGGCATGTCATGACTAAAACACCAAAAGCAACGGCAAGAGAAGCCAAAATTGACAAATGGAATCTAATTAAACTAAAGAGCTTCTGCACAGTAAAAGAAACTACTATCAGAGTGAACAGGCAACCTACAGAATGAGAGAAAATTTTTACAATCTACCCATCTGACAAAGGGCTAATATCCAGAATCTACAAAGAACTTAAACAAATTTATAAGAAAAAATCAAACAACCCCATCAAAAAGTGGGCGAAGGACATGAACAGACACTTCTCAAAAGAAGACATTTATGCAGCCAACAGACACATGAAAAAATGCTCATCATCACTGGCCATCAGAGAAATGCAAATCAAAACCACAATGATATACCATCTCACACCAGTTAGAATGGCGATCATTAAAAAGTCAGGAAACAACAGGTGCTGGAGAGGATGTGGAGAAATAGGAACAATTTTACCCTGTTGGTGGGACTGTAAACTGGTTCAACCATTGTGGAAGTCAGTGTGGTGATTCTTCAAGGATCTAGAACTAGAAATACCATTTGACCCAGCCATCCCATTACTGAGTATATACCCAAAGGATTATAAATCATGCTGCTATAAAGACACATGCACACATATGTTTACTGCAGCACTATTCAAATAGCAAAGACTTGGAACCAATCCAAATGTCCATCAATGATAGACTGGATTAAGAAAATGTGGCACATATACACCATGGAATACTATGCAGCCATAAAAAAGGTTGAGTTCATGTCCTTTGTAGGGACATGGGTGAAGCTGGAAACCATCATTCTTAGCAAACTATCGCAAAGACAGAAAACCAAACACCGCACGTTCTCACTCATAGGTGGGAACTGAACAATGAGAACACTTGGACACAGGATGGGGAACATCACACACTGGGGCCTGTTGTGGGGTGGGGGGAGTGGGGAGGGATAGCATTAGGAGATATACCTAATGTAAATGATGAGTTAATGGGTGCAGCACACCAACATGGCACACGTATACATATGTAGCAAACCTGCACATTGTGCATGTGTACCCTAGAACTTAAAGTATAATTAAAAAAAAAAAAGTTCCCAACCAAAAAATAAGATTTGATAAAATGAAAGCAGAGAGTTCTGAAAAACCGGAGCTTAGAAAATGCAGACAAACATATATTGTTGGAACGAGTAAAGGACAAATAAATGAGAAATGAAGTAAAAGAATGTCTTAGGTTTCAAATGTGCTCTTTTTCAGCTCTGTTTTATATGTGTATTCAAAAGAAATGGAAAAAAAAAATCCCAGAACATTTTTCTTTTAAGAGTCTTCATTCTTGAAGTGTGCTAAAAAATCAAAAACATTTTAATTTAAAAGAAAACTTTCTCCAACAAGAAAAGGGAAAGTTTTGGTTTATAAAAAGATTGCACTATTATTAAAAGGTATAAGTTGGTTTCCAATTGCATTTGTTAAATTGGAACTGTCTTCTAGTGAACCCATAGGCTCTTTATTCCAGACATGATTTTTGGATGGAAAGAACATGAACACTTTTAAGCTTCCATCTAGAACCTAAGAAGCTAAAGCAAAACAAAACAAAATTGCACATCGCTGAGGCTTGAATGGCAGTGGCATAGTAAATGTGAAAGCAGCTTTATTGGGGTATAGTTTATATACCATAAAATTCACTCTTTGCACATGCACAATTCAAAAATTCGTAGTAAATTTGTAGAGTTGTGCAGCATACCCCAAAGTCCAATCTTAGAACATTTCTACCAATCTCAAAGTTCTCTCATGCTCGTTTGCAATCAGTCCCAGCTTCAACCTCTAGTCCCAGGGAAACACTGCTTTCTTTCTCTATAGATTTGTATTTTCTAGAAATTTTGTTTAAATGGAATAATACAATATGTAGTCTTTTGAGTCTAGCTTCTTTTGCTTTGCATAATATTTTTGAGGTTCATTGATGTAGCATGTATCAGTAGTTCATTTCTTTGGGTTGCCAAATAGTATTACATTGTTCACACATACCATATTCTGTTTATGAATTTTGATTGCATTGGATATAGTTTTTGGCTAATATAAATAAAGTCACAATAAACATTTGTGCACAAATTTTCAGGTGGACATATGTTTTCATTTCTCCCAAGTAGTTACCCAAGGAGCTGAATTGCTGGGTCACATGGTAAATATATGTTTCAATTTTATGAAAATGCCAACATTTATAAAAATGGCTACACCAATTTACATTCTCACCAGGAATGTATGAGGGTTTGAATCTTTCCACATCCTCTCCAACACTTGGTATTGTCAATTTTTTTGTATTTTAGTTATTCTAGTGAGTATGCACTGGTCTCTCACTGAGATTTTAATTTGTATTTCCCTGCTGACTAATGATATTGATCATGTTTTTATGTTCTGTTTAGCCATTCATAAGCCTTCTTGGGTGAAATGTCTTTAAATCTTTTAGCTCCATTATAATCAGGCTGTTTATCTTCTTATGAAGAATGTTTTTAAATTTTAGAGACAAGTCTTTCATCAGATATATAATTTACACATTTTTTTCATTGTGTATGGCTTATGCTTTCATTTTCTCAGTGATGTTTTTGGAAAAGCAAAAGTTTTTAATTTTTAAATTCTTACTTGGGAAGCTGAGGCAGGTGGATTACTTGGGCCCAGGAGATCAAGTGTAGGTAGCATGGGCAACATAGTGAGATCCTGTCTCTAAAAAACAAGGTTTTAATTTTGAAGAAGTTCAATTTATAATTTCTTTTTCTCTTTAAGATCTTGCTTCTCTTTAAGATCTTGCTTTTGGTGTCACATTAGTGCCCATGGTGACAAAAATTTTAGATTTTCTGCTAGTAGTTTTATAGTTTTTGCTTTTACATTTAAATTTGCAATTGATTTTGGGTAATTTAGTTAATTTTTTATGTGATGTGAGAAAAAGATAAGTTCATTTTTTTGTATATGAATATTCAATTCTTCTGTAACCATTCTCGAAAAAGGCTATCATTTCTCCCACTGAATCACCTTGGTACATTTTACTGTAAAGCAGTTGATTATAAATATAAGAGTTTCCTTCTGGGACTTCCTGTTCTATTCCATTGATCTGTCTATATGTTTATATTGCAATACCTGTCCCATACCTGTCAAGGTAAGCTGCCTTGATTAGTGTTACTTTATAGTAAGTTTTGAAATCAGGAAGTGAAAAGTCATCCACGTGACTATCACAAATCTGCTGTTGATCTTCTCTAGCTAATTTTCATTTAAGTTATTTTACTTTTCAAATCTAGAAATTCCATTTGTTATAGTTTTTATATCTCTGTTGAGATTCCCCCCTTTTGTTTTTTTAATCTTCTAACTTTACAAGTTTTAGATTTATAGAACATTTGCAAGAATACTGTAGAGCTCTCATGTAGCCCAAACCAAATTTTCTATTGTTAACCTATTGTATTTGTAACAACTAATGAACCAGTTTTGATCCATTATTATTAAAATGCATACTTTACTCAGATTTCTTTAGTTTTTACCTAATGTCCTTTCTCAGTTCCAGGGCCCCATCCAGGATATTACATTATATTTAGTCATTATTTCTCCTCAGCCTCCTCTAGACTGTGACAAATTCTCAGGCTTTTTGTGATTTTAATGACCCTTGACGGTTTTTTAAAGTAATGATTAGGTATTTTGTAGACTGTCCTTTGATTTTAATTTGTCTGATGTTTTTCTCATGGTTAGGGTTAGACTGAAATTATGGGCTTTTGGGAGTAAGACTGCAGAGGTATAAGTACTATCCTCATCACATAATATCCAGGGCACATACTATTAACCCGACTTATCACAGATGACATTAACCTTGATCATCTGGCTTTAGAAGTATTTGGTTTCTCCACTGAAAAGTTGTTTTTTGTTCCCAGTTTTCCATACTGTATTCTTCAGAAGGAAGCAATTATGCACATCTTACACTTAAATATAGAGAGTTACCTCCACCTCTTTGAGGTGAGAGTATTTACTAAATGATTTGAAATTCTTCTGTACAGGAGATTTGTCTATTTTCCCTTATTTATTCAATAACTTACTCCTATTAGTAGGGAGATGGATATTTCTTTTTACTTTGGGCTATAATCCAATACTACATTATTTATTTTGTTGCTGAAATTGTTTCAGATTTGTCCATTGGGAGCTCTTTCATTTAGATCTTGTGTCCCTTTGCCATACCTCCACTATTACGGTTTTTTGAGCATTTTCTTACTCTATGACACTGTAAGTCACTCCAGGGTCATCTTGTATATCCCTGCCCCAGCCATTTCTTCAAGGACTGCTGTGTTCCTCCAGTGGAGAATAGTATTAGAAACTAAAATCTGAGTGCTGGTGTCCCTATTTGTTTTCACACTGTCATTATATTTTCCTTTAATTCTTTGAATGTATTTATAATAATTATTTGGCATCTTTGCTGATGCCAACATTTGGACCTACTAGATTTCATTTCTAATGACTGCTTGCTTTTTCCCTGAGTAAGGCTCACACTTTCCTATTTCTTTGAATGTCTCAATTTTTTGTTGTTGAAAATTAAATTGTGATAATTTTAATAATTAAATTATAACAATATACTATAGCAAATCTGGATTCTGATTTCCCCCCATGGAAATTTTTCTAAAACTCACCTGGATTTAATTTATGGAATCCATCTCTGCAATGGTGTGAAGCCATTGATGTCTCTGCTTAGATATTTTACTCTTATTTTTACTTTTCATCTGACTTGTTAGGAGGTTGCTCCCAAGTCTGCATAGTATCTCTTGCTTATTATTCAGGCAGTGATGGAGAAGATGCTGTCCTTAAAAAGTTCCATCCCTAAGGCATCCACCTCTCCCAGTGGACCTGTGTGCAGGTTGGGAAGTGTATTACAAGTTCAGGCTTTTATGAATTCTGTCTCAGCTTCTCCCTTCTACCAGGACTCTCAGATCTCCCTTGCACATGTCAGTAATTTTCCAGTTAGGCAGAGACATATGAAGGGCTCATACATTCCTTCTCTGACTTTCTTTAGTATCTCCGTGTTAAACTCATGGCTGGTCCACCACTCTCACCAACTGGGACTGCAATCTTTTGCTAGCAGAGCTGTGGATTTTCTCTTTTATTTTCTACCAAAGGTATTACTTTTATTGACAGTGCTGACAGGTATGGATTTTCCTTTTTGCTCCAAATTGAGTCAGCCTCCCATGGCAAGGAAGCTGCTGTTTGTCATGGTTCACCCAATTCTGATACTACCATAGCACAAAGTGAGCTGAGGTAGCAGATGTAGATGGGTATAGCCCCAACCAAAAAGGCTGAAGGTTTCTACCGTTCTTTCCTAAATTTCTGGGTTTCTTTTTTTCATGAATAAACACCTTTCAATTTTTCATTTGCCTTTGCTTTAGTCAATTTTCAGAGCACTTATATGGTTTTATGGGTTTTTTTTAAACAGATTTATGTTTTTTGTTGGGGAGAATATTAGCGTATCTCTTCACTTCACTATAGCTAGAAGTCTGTCTCCTGCAATTTCTCAATAATTATTTATTTTAATAAAACAATTATAGTCTCATTTAGCATATAGCACTAACAGATATGGACTCGGTAAATGCATTGTCCTGTTAGCACTAGATACCAGAAACCTAATTATCTGATATTTTACAGAATAAGTGACTTCTGCATGGGAAACTTAGGAAAAGAGGTAGTGGGTGTGCAAAAGAAATGTCTTCTCTAATTTTTTTCAGTCTCAATCTAGTTAGTAATTTCCTTGTTATATTCCAGATAAGCATCTGACAAGAGAAGCCCACACTCCTCCACTGGTTCACCAAGAGTTTCTAAACCCCTAGTCAGTTACTCCTTTTCAGGGTTGTCGAAAAGGGCACTCTAAATCAATCTTATGTCTGAGCCAAAGAAAAGTCACAGAATGGATAATTGGGGTCCTGTCCTCTAATGGGGAAATCCAGAGGCTCTAAGATTTTGCATATCAAAAACACTTTTCTATTTTTTAAAAATTAGAATTTTTACTTTGTCAATTAAGACATTTTTTAAAAATAGCCATACTGGCCATCAACCATCATCATCATTATGATAGCAGAAAGACATCCTCTCACCCCTAAACAGGGAAAGTTTGCTAGCTAACAATGTTTGTAATTTAAACATTTTTTTCTATATGACGGGATTTTTAGTTTCAAGTATTATACATCACTAGGAGGGGCATAGTAACATATCTGGGGATTTCACAGCCTGGGCTGATGCCTCAATACGCTGCCAGATGGCTCCATCTGAGCCCATCCTGCCCCTGAGGGGTACAGGCATTGCAGTTTACATTTCAGACGCTAGGCAAACTACTCACCAGGCCATCAGCTGCAGCTCCCTTTAAAACAGGATTTCTTAGTCATACTTCTGTCTTATCCTGGGTTTCCTAGAAAACAGAACCTAAGGAAGAGCTTGCATGCTGATGCTTTAGGGGTTGGTGTAATCCCAGAGAAGCAAAAATAAATAAGAAAGGGAAGAAAAACAGGAAAGAAGTACATTACTGATCTGGCTGCAATTTCACACACAAGAAAACTCAGCTAGTTATTTAGATGTGTAGGATGTCTCCAGAGAGGTTGTCAACAATCCCTGTGTCTTACAAAATTCTTTGGTGGCAGGGAAGATGGTTGATTTATCTGCTGGTTCCTTCTTTGGTTAAAGGTTGTCTCATGAGATACTGGGGCTTTGCTACCTGTACCTTCCAGGTAGCCACTAGGAAGCCAGAGTTGCCATGGGTCTGGTAGGTTTGAGTCCTGGAGCTGTTGCAGCACTCACCAAGGTGGGTAATGGAACACATGCTGCACTCTGCAAAGGATCAGGGTGTGACCTGATGGACCCTCGCTTCCTGTACATCGCTATGTTCACCAACCAGGAAGCTTCCTGAGCCCATTCTTCAGAGTTTTTATCTAGGTCTCATTATGTAGGCACAATTGATGAAATCACTGGCCATGTTGTTGAACTCAACCTCCAGCCATCCTCTCACACTTCCAATCTGTCATTAGTTTTCCTGGAAACTAGCCTTCATCTTGAAGCTATGCAACCCCTTTCCTTACTCCCCCTAAGAGTTATCTCATTAGTATAAACTCTGGTGTGATCCTTAGGGGCTCATTATTACTAACAAAGGACCCTCCTATCTCTCAGGAAATTCCAAGGGGGTTTGAAGCTCTATGTCAAATACTAGGAGAAAAGACCAAATTCTTTTTCAAATCACAACACAACTGAGTGAATCTAGGGAGAATATATAAACCATGTCCAGTACGATTGCTAAATGGCTTTCCATGACACCTGCTTCTTCACGGTAGTTGCTTACAAATAGAAATCACAAAGTACCTCTAGGTGTATGAAGACAAGTACTCAAAAATTAACAAATTACCCCAGGATGAGACATTTTTGCAAACGTGTTAATTGTTCACTACACTGTGAACCACTAAATTTTTATTATAGAGGAGCCCAATACTGCTTTTTGAAAAAGATCATTAGATTAAAAATTTTTTCTAGAAATCATTTTGTAGTCCCTGTTATAGAGCATGATCCTTTTTTGTGTCATTATCAAAATGTATTTCATGCCTTTGGATGGGATTGCAATGCAGTTGACATTTCCTTAGACCTAAAGTTTAAATTACCTGAAGAAAAAGAATAATACTATTAATTTGTTAGTCTAAGTGTAGACTAACAATCTCTGCACTTAAGGGAAGAAAGGGAGTATAAACAAAATAAATAAATAAAGTAATTTGTATCTAAATATTAAGCCCATATTCCATGGTAATTTAGTCAGTATCTAATAGGCGTCAGCAATTTTATTATATGTTATCCTAACAAATACAGTAATTCTGGGAGATAGGAATCTTTATTCTAATTTTATAAGTGACAGAATTGAAGCTCTGAGGTTAAAAAATTGATCACGTAGATGCTGCATGGAAAAACAGAATTAAAATCCAGGACAAGCAACTTCAAGGTTGGTCATCTGTTTCTTCTATCTCTGCTGCTTTTTAACATGTAAAGTAGCTTTTCAATACTCCAGGAATCTAAAGTTTTGAAGCTCCCTTATGTTTTTTACAGAATCAATAAAATACTCTCAAGAGGAAAATAATCCTCCCAAAAGCTGTGACTTTTTCAGGAGGCTAAAGAAGTACTCCTTCCCCGAGTTTAGAGCAGAATGGTTCCAAACACCTCTTTCCTTCTGACTTGCACTTGTTGAACTGTTACCTTTCTTGTTCTCATCAGCATTCATATAGAAACATTTACTAATCTTAGCCATATTCTGGGCTTTGTACCAAATAATTCTCATTAAATCTTTCTTTTCCAGTTCATTTTGGCCCCTGCCCACATGCTACTTTATGGGAAGATTGAATTGTTTAGGATGTGTTTTGCTCATCAATTAGATGGTATGGTCCTGGAGAGAATGGACTTATTTTGTTACCAGTGTTAGCCAACAGCTCGCATTTAACTGATGCTTTTTGAATGGAAATTCAGACCATTCAATGAATGCCGGGAAGCAATGGCCTCATCTGGGAATGATCTGTGTATTGCCGTCTTCCTCACACAGTGAATCTCTTTCATGCCATTTCCTCAACATGAAGATGGAGTCACTTGTCAATAATGCAAATAACAGGAAGGTGTTTGGTGAAAGAAAGGGTGCAAACAGGGTCACAAGTGAACTCTTTTGACTTGGAATAAGTAGGCAATTTGGGCCTACAATAATGGGAAGGTGGTTTGGCACTGGAAACATATTGCTTTCAGCGTAACTGTCCCTCTCACAAGAGAACAGAAGGAACATTGTAATTAATGAGTTCTTTCGAAGAAAACAAATGTAAAGAATTTATCAGAGCACCTTAATGTTGCTTGTGGCTGCATCTGTGAAAAACAAGGAACAGGTTTTTCTCCTGGCACTTGTCAGGGGTTAGTTGCTTTCAGCTTCTTTTTGACTTTCTCTACAACAATGTTGATCATAACCATTTTGGTTCTTGAGTGTGCACACTATCTAAAAGCAATCTCTAACTCTTACAAGGCTCTTATTACCCAAAATGGTTATATGTAAGGTGAAAGCTGCTCCCAGGGTAATTTTAATTGGGGTGTCCAGCTTAGAATTGCCTAGCACTAATGTGGAAGTGGGGAGCATAGTGTGGAATAGATGCAATGGCTGCAAGGTCAAGGCTTTTGGGCTGAACACACAGGAAGACACCTGGCAAGGCAAAGGATGGTTTCAACATCTCCATGGAAACAGAGCTCAGGTCCACTTGGTCTACACATCACCTTTGAAAAGCAAAGATAACAAAGCAAGGCCAGTGATTTTTCTCAGTAAATATGAGAATTCAAAAATCTGTTTGAGGGAGCCAAGCCAATTCAATGAGGAAAGAATAATCTTTTTAACAAATGGTGCTGGGACAACTAGATATCTACATGCAACAGAACAAAGCTAGGTTTCTCCTCAGAACAAACATAAGAATAAAAATGTAGGAGTAAATCTTTAGGACCCTGGATTAGAAAAAGCCTTCTCAAATATGACATCCAAAGCACAAGAAACAAAAGAAAAGAGAGATAAACTGTACTTCATGAAAATAAAATAATTTTGCTTCAAAGGAAACCACCAAGAAAGTGAACAAGCAACCCAAAGAATGGGAGAAAATATTTGCTATTACAGCTCAATAATAAAAAGTCAAGTAACCCAATTTTAAAATGCACAAAGGATCTGAAGAGATATTTTTTCCAAAGAAGATGTACAAATGGCCAATAAGCACATAAAAAGATGCTCAACATCATTAGCCATCAGGAAAATACAAATCAAAACCACAGTAAGAAACCACTTCGCCTGCACTAGGATGGCTATAATCAGACAGATAGATGATAAGTGTTGGTGAAGATCTGGAGAAATTAGAACTGTCATCTCTTGCTGGTGGGAATGTAAGCTGAGCAGCTGCTTTGGAAACATTGTGGCCGATCCTCAAATAATTAAATATAGAATTTCCTTAAAACCCAGAAATTGTTCCTGTATGTATACCCAAGAGAAATGAAAACATACAACCACCCAAAAATGTGTACACAAATGTTCATAGTAGCATTGTTTATAGTAGGCAAAAAGTGGAAATAACCCAAATGTTCATCAATGAATGAATGGATAAATAAAAGATTATATATCCTACAATGGAATATTATTCAGCAAGAAAAAGAAATGAAGTATTGACACATGCTACATGTGTCAATGTATCTAGATGAATCTAGAAAATATGCAAGTGAAAGAAACCAGTCCAAAAAGACCACATATTATATGACTCAATTTATTTGAAATATCCATAAAGGTAAATCTGTAGAGACAAAAAGTAGATTAGTCGTTGCCTAGGGCTGAGCAAGAGGGGTAGAGAGACTATAGGGAGTAACTGCTAAAGGATATGAGGGTGAAGGGGTGATGAAAATATTCTAGATTCTGGTAATAATGTAATTGTGGTAAGGGTTGCACTATTCTGTGAATGTACTAAAAAACGTGCTGCACACATCAAATGAGTCAATTGTATGTTATGCAAATTATATCTCAAGTGCTACTTAAAAATCTGTTTGAACTCACTAGAATAATTCATAGCATAACTAAACAACCAGCTTTAACAGGAAGGTTTATTTATATATTTTATTTTGCCAGAAATTGTTTTTAAAAAGTTATTGAATATAATTTTCTTAACCTAATTTAATAATATTCAACCTAAATAATGCTTCAAATAACCATATTATTAAAAAGTCAAGATAGAAGTAAATGTATTTGATTTGATAATTTATTATGTTTGTACAGATTAATATGCATTTATTAACATATTTAATTCTTCTTGAATATTAACTTCAAATATTGGTTTATCAGTATTATTTATTACTTCATTAAATATTGAAATATTTCAGATGAAATTAATAAAATATAATATGTACTATATGTTTTAATATAGGAATATATTTTCTAAAAATATACATATTTATAAACATAAAAATATAAATGCATTTTAATAAGCATATTAAAATGTGTATATTCTAATAATGTCTTACTGACAATAACTTATCTCATGGATTTTTAAATACACTATTACTACATTTAGTAATAGCAGAAGACATAGAATGCTTATTTGAAGGCAAAAATATTCTCATGTGAATATTTTGTGCTGTAAAATAAAAAATACAATTTCTAGAAGCAATGAAACTTTAAAAAATTATTTATTGTTTTGGTCATTGTTTTCTATTTGTGTTATCTTAAGAATGCAGATATTGGTATGGAGATTTTCACAAGGCTCTGTCCATCTACACAAAAGGCTTAGCTGGAACCCTCTTATTGCCTTAAAAGCCTTATAATGGCAAGAACTGTGTTTGTCACACATTTATTTTACATATGAACCCTGGTGTAGTCACATAATAGATGTTTAAATTTTTTTTAAATTAATTCAATTTCTCAGCTCAAATCCTTGAACTATACTCATAATAGCTGGTAAAATTGTAAAATTAAGCAGACTTTATGGAAAGCAATCAAAATGCATATGGTAAAAGCTCTTAAAATATTTTAAGAAGATAAACAAAAAATGTATGTTCAAGAAAATTCCTAGCAGCATTATCTTCTAATAGTTAAAAACACCTGGAAATTCACTAAATGGGTCATTAATAAAGAATTGGCTAAAGTATAGAACATCCATATAATGGAATATTATACAGTTGCTAAAAGTCATGTTTGTAAATAATTTAATTTTTTTAAAAATACGACTTCTTGTAAAGAAATGAAGGCTAAAAAATTACATAAACAGTACAAACTCAATTATAAAATATATACAGATAGAAATGTAAAAAGAAAACAGTAGAAGAAATTAAATAAACATGCTACTAAATTTATTGTGGTACTAGTGTAAAAATAAGCAGGCAGATACATATAGAACAGAATAGAGAGTCTGCAGGTAGATATTTGTATATTTAAAAAATTAATATGTGGGAACACTAACATCTAAAATTGGTGATTGGAAGCATAAGTCAGTTCATAAATAGTATTAGAAAAATAGTTATCTAACTATGAATAAAATTCAAGTTAAATCCCCACCTCATACCCTATACCATATAAATTCCAACCATATTAAACATTAAAAGGCTAAAAATGTTATTTAAGGACATGAGAAATAAGGAGTATACAATTTGAGCTTGAAGGACTTTCTGAGCATAACTCCCAGCAGAAGCCATAAAAGGAGAGATCGATAGACTTGACTACATTTAAACATTTAAAATGTATGTCTCTGTGAAATAAACACAATTTTTAAAATAGCAAACTACAAAAAATAATTTTGAATTATAACTGTCAAAGTTTAATATATTATTAAGAATACTATAAAAATCTTAAGAGAAAAATGTTACAAGAACATACAGAAAGTGATTAACAGAAAAACAAACAAACAACAAACAAAAACCTCCAACAGACAAAACAACAAAGATTTAAAACTTTCAGCTCTAACCATGATAGGGTAGATGAGTATCAAATCACCCTCCAGTTATGAAGAATTATAAAACTGAATAAATATATATTAATTACTGTTTTCAGTCATTAGATATCATATGGCATAGAGCTGTAATACTTGATAGAAGGGAAACACCTGGGAGTCTTGCCTGAAGGTTCTTTCCTAACAAGGAAGGGCAATCACCCAAACCCAGAGCAAAGATCTCATTAAGATTCAGATCATCATTCGGGAAAAAACAGAGATCAAATTTTGAAACAGCCAAGGTGCCTGCAACTTCCGGGGCAAGATATTGGAGGTGAGAGAGTTATACAGAGAACAATCTGACCATAAGAGTAACTTTGAGTTTTTAGATGAATACTAATGCACTGGTTGAGATGCCATGAGTCCTGAAAAAGAAGCTACAGGTTGTGAGTTAAGCACAGACTTTGGAGGTTATACTCATTGGAAAAAATTGGAATTTTAAACAGCTAGGGTAGAGTCATTTCACTAAATTATCTGGCCATTCAGTTGCATTCTCAATAAAATCATGCCTTAGCAGTATGATTGTAGAAGCTTAGAAGGTTACTCTAACTGCAAAGTAAATGCTATTCTACACTCAGCCTAATAAAGCCTAAAAAATATACCTTCACAGGATAAAACTGATCTGCCAATAAACTAGCTGGCTTACAGAAAGATGCTCAATAGTTGATATGGTTTGGCTGTGTCTCCATGCAAATCTCACCTTGAATTGTAATAATCCCCACGTGTCAAGGGCAGGGTCAGGCTGAGACAATTGAATCATGGGAGGAGTTTCCCCATACTGTTCTCGTGGTAGTGAATAAGTGTGATGAGATCTGATGGTTTTATAAATGGGAGTTTCCCTGTACAACCTCCCTCTTTGCCTGCCGCCATGTAAGATGTCCCTTTGTTCTTCCTGCATCTTCTGCCATGATTATTGAGGGCTCCCCAGCCATGTGGAACTATGAGTTCATTAAATCTCTTTCCTTTATAAATTACCCAGTCTTGGGTATGTCTTCATTAGCAGCATGAGAACAGACTAATACAATATTCTAGAGAACAACAACCAAAATCTAGACTCAACAGTAATATCCACAATGTGCAAGCATGCAATCAAAACTGTTACTAAATAAGAAGAAAAGAAGGAAAAATGTGACCATAATGAGAAGAAAATGATCAATAGAAACACTCAGATACAGCACAGACGTTAAGACAGCTATTATGAATGTAAAGTATGCAGATGGAAAATCTCTGCAAAAGAAAAAATAAAACAAACTATAAAAAAGAGCTAGATGAACATTGTAATTCTGAAAGATAAAATAACTGAAAAGAAAAATGCCCTGGATGGGTATAACAGCAGATTGAACCCTGCTGAAGAAAAGATGAGTGAACTTGAAGGTGGGGCAATGAGAGCTATCCAAATAAAAGTACAGAAAATAAAAATAAACAAAACTTCGGTGACCTGTAGTACAATGAGCTACATACCTATAATTAGAATCCCATAAGAAGAGAAGGGAAAAACTGGGGAAGAAAAAATACTGGAAAATATCACAGGCAAATTCTTCACAAATATAATGAAGACTATAAACCTTCATATCTAAATAGTTCAGTGAACCCCCACGGATAATGGACCCAATGAAAACTGCACCTAGACATATCATAGTCAAATTGCTAAGAATAAAAATAAGGAGAAAAATATTAAAAGCAGCCAAAGTAGGAAAAATCATGAAATATATTAAATATAATTTTACATATAGGTGCACAACAATAATGATTACTAATTTCTCTCAGAAGTAAGGCAAACCAGAATATAAAATCCCATCTTCAAAACCCTGAAAGGGAAAAGTTCAATATTAAGTTAAAAAATATTTTACAAGATTGAAAGAAAATAAAGACACTTTAAATCAGGCCGTGCGCGGTGGCTCAAGCCTGTAATCTCAGCACTTTAGGAGGCCAAGACAGGCGGATCACTTGAGGTCAGGAGTTCAACACCAGCCTTGCCAACATTGGGAAACCCTGTCTCTTCTATAAAAATTAGCCAGGAGGGGTGGCAGGTGCCTGTAATCCCAGCTACTTGGGAGGCTGAGATGGGAGAATTGCTTGAACTCTGGAGGTGGAGGTTGCAGTGAGCCGAGATTGTGCCATTGCACCCCAGTCTGGGCTATAAGAGCAAAACTCCATCTCAAAAAAAAAAAAAAAATTAAAAAAATAAGTTAAAATAATTCAGATAAAATTCAAGAGAGTTTCTTAAAAGCAGAATTACTCTACAGGAAATGATAAAGAAAGATCTTCAAGCTCATAGAAAATGACAGCAGTAAAATACTCAGATATATGTAGAAAGAAACAAATTGCACATAAATGGTATATGTAAATATAGAAGACTTAAACTTTAAAAAATTCTTCAAAAGACAATTGACTGTTTAAAGCAAACAAAAAATGTATAGCAGGGCCTATAATCTATGAAGAATAAAAATATAAACAGCAATAAGACTAAAAATAAGTAAAAATAAACCAAAGAATAGTGTTGCAAAGTTCTTATACTATAAGGGAAATGGTATAATATTAATTCAAATTACACTGTGAATAGTTAAAGATGCATTTTGCAATTCCTAGAGCAAGCACACACACACACACACACACACACACAAAAGAGTGTAATAAAAGAGACAACAGAGGAAACAAAATGGAATAATAAAAAATAATTGATAAGAGGGAAGGAGACGGGGAATGAATTAAAAAGACAGACTGGACAAATAACAAATAAATAGCAAAATGATATTAATTACTGTTACTTAAATACAATCATATCAATGATTTTGTAAATGGATAAAGGTTTTCAGTTAGAAGGGAGAGATTTTGAGGCTGAATAAATTCTGTCTATATAGTGTTTATAACAGGCGTACTTTAATTACAAAGATATAGATTAAAAGTAAAAGATTTGAAAAAATATACCATGCAAACACAAATCATAAGAAAACTGGAGTGCTACATTAATATCAGCTAATACATACTTCAAGACAAAGGTTACTTTTTAGAAACAAAGATAGAGGCTAAGAAGACATCAAAATCCTGAATGTGGCTGCACCTAATAACAAAGCTTCAAAATATATTAAAAAACTGACAGAGCTAAAGGGAGAAATAGGCTCATCCACAACATTCACTGGAGATATTTAACGCTACTTTGTCAGTAATTGCTAGAACAAGTAGACAAAACACAAACAAACAAAAAACACCATAATAGTATTTGAATAACACTGCTAAAAAAATTGACCTAACTAATACCTATAGACCACTAATAACTGCATAATACACATTTTTTATGAACTTGTTTCTTTCCATGAACATTTATTTTTTTAAAATGTTCATGTAATATTCACAGATTGACCAAATTCATAATAATAAAATAATACCCAATAAATGGCAAAGGATTGAAGTCATACAGAGTATGTGTCTTATCCCAATATAATTAAATTGGAAATCCATATAAAAAGTCTGAATAATCTCCAAATACATGCAAATTAAACAACATACTTATAATCTTGGGTCAAAACAAAATCTCAAGGGAAATGCAAAAATATGTTAAAATAAATAATAATGAAAACATAACTTCTCAAAATGAATGGGTTGTAACTAACAAATTGATTACATAAAAATTCATATCAAAATGCATATATTAGAAAAGAAGATTTAAAATCAACCATCTCAGCTTTCATGTTAACAAGGAAGAAAAAGACAAGCAAATTGAAGCATAAGTAAGAGTGAACTAATAAAGTAGTAAGTAATACTAAGTACTAATAATAAAGTAGTAAGTAGTAAGAGAAGAAACAACATGGAAAATAAAGAAAATAAAACAAAAATTGACTGTTTAAAAAGATTAATAAAATTGACAAGCGCTAGATAGCAGAGAGAGAGACAGAAAAAGAGATAAAGAGAGGAATGAAAAAGATCATTGCCACTTGTCATCCATAAATTAAAAAGATAGTTAAGAGGTTATAGAAAAGTTATGCCACTAAATTTGCAATTTTAGATAAAAAATAAATTTCATTGAAAAAAACACGTCCCAAAACAGACACAATAAAATATGCAAGGAGAAATAAGAAATCTAAATACCCTATATCTGTTACAGCAATTGAATTTGTAAGACAAAAAAACTTCACAAATAAGACTTCACACCGGGCTGGCTTCCATGATGAATTGTAAACATCTGTTTTTTAAAGAAATGATATAATTTTACATATACCCTCTTCAGAAAATTGTGAAGGGAATAGCTCCCAACTTATGTAATGAGGTCGGCATAACACTGATATTGAAACCAGACAAATATATTTCAAGAAATGTGAACATACAGATGTAAGAATCCACAACAATATAGTAGCAAATTGAGTCTTGCAATGTATAACAAAAATAATGCATTAAGACTAAGAAGGATTTCTCTCAGCAATATAAATTTGATCTAACATGTAAAATTCAATCAGTTATTTAACATATTAAAAGAAAAATAAAATTTGATCATCTTCATAACTCTAAATTCACTACCCATTTATGATTTCTTTTCGAGTAAGCAAACTAGAAAAAGAAAGTGTATTAGTCCATTCTCACACTGCTATAAAGAACTGCCCAAGACTGGGTAATTTATGAAGGAAAGAAGTTTAATTGACTCAGTATTGCAGGGCTGGAGAGGCCTCAGAAAACTTACAATCATGGCAGAAGGGGAAGAAAACACGTTCTTCTTCACATGGCAGCAGGAGAGAGAAATGAGTGCCCAGCAAAGGAGGAAGCCCCTTATAAAACCATCAAATCTCATGAGAACTAATTCACTATCGCAAGAACAAGAAGGGGGAAACCACCCTGTGATTCAATTATCACCACCTGGTCCTTCCCACAACATGTGGAGATTATGGGAACTACAATTCAAGATGAGATTTGGGTGGGGACACAGCCAAACCATATCAGAAGAGTAACTTCAAAAGCCAATAAAGGGGTCTACAATAAATGTTATAGCTAACATCACATTTATTCATAAATAACTAAAGATTGTTTTCTCTAAGATTGGGAATAAGATAGGAATAAAGTCTTCACTATTTCTACTCACAATTGCACTGAAGATTCTGAAGTCCATAAAACAAGAAAAACAAACTGCATTAGTAAGAAGAAGTAAAACTTTTTACTCATAGGCAATATGCTTGTACAGGTAAAAAATCTTAAGGATTATACAAAAGAAAACAAAGTTTGCTAGAACTAAGAAGTGAGTCTAGTATTTATATGGGTTATAAGGCCAATATACAAAAATAAAATGTATTTTATAAACGAGGAACAAGTGACAATAAAATAAGTAATTTCATTTTAAAAACCTAAATACACAGGAAAAAATGAAAAAGCATAGGAACTGACATAGTGTGGTAACTAAAAATATTACTGAGAGAATTTAAAGACTTAATTAAATAGAGGAATAAAGTATATTCATGCACTGGAAGACTCAAGACTGTTTAGATGGTAATTCATGTCTAACTCATCTATATTTCAAAAAGTCCCCAATCAAAATTTCAGCAAACTTTTTGTTTTTCTAGAAACTGGCTAATTGCAAGCTCATGCTGGAAAGTTGAAAGATCTAGAATAGTCAAAATAATATTGAAAAAAAAAGAAACAAGTTGGATGACTTTTTCTATCTGATTAAGTCAGGCAGGTCTTTATATTAAGTTAGGTCTTTAAGATTTAATGTAAAGCTACAGAAATTAAGACAGTGTGGTAATGGTGAAAGTAGACGGTAAATGATAAAGTAGAAATAAATCATTGCAACAGTAGGCAGAGTCCCAAAATGGACCCACCCATGTATGTTAAGGTAGCCATCCTTTAAGACGGCCTCTAATGATCCCCACCCCCTGTATTCACAACTGTCTGTAGTCCCTTCTCACACCACATAAAGATTGGTTCATGTGATTAATGGAATATGGCATACTTTGTCTGCCATGTCAACTTCTGTTTAAACCATTTAGTGATTTTTTAAAGTTCGTGTACATTTTAGCTTAGAATATCACTTGTCACTTGTTTTCCTTCCATAGCTTCTGTTTACTATTTACTGTTTCCCTTTAATTCTTTGAACATATCCTAATAGCTGCTTTGAAGTTTTTGTCTGCTAAATTCATTACCTGGACTCACTCAGAGTCAGTTTCTACTGATTTCTATTTTTCTCCCTGGAGAATGGACCACCCCGTCATGTTTCTTCATATATCTGGTAATTTTTTGTATTGAAAATTGGACTTGGTGGATAATAAATGTAAAATTATACAATCTATTTTGTTATTGTGAGGTTTGACTTTTTTTTATTTTAGTAAGTAATAAACTTTCCCTAAACTGCAAAATCTGTCTCCCCTGTAATATGTAGACACTAATGATTCTGCTTAATACTTGGGGGGTGGTGTGTGGGGGCATTTGAGTTCAATAAAGATCTTCCCAGCAACTGTATTGCTCGGCAGTCAGCCAATTATTTGGGCAGAGGCTATGTTCAGACACATCAAGCCTGTGAGGCCCTACCTTCTGCTGCCTGAACTGTGTGTGGGTTGTGAATTACAACTATCTAAATTGTGTGTGGGTTGAGGAATGCCGCAAATAGAAAAGTTTTCTGCAAATGTACCCCATTCCCCTGTGCGAGAATTGCTTGAAATGGAACCAGAAACTACCAAATTTAGCCCGGCTGTGAGAACTTACAAAGGGAAGGTCAGAGTCACCATAGAAGTAGCAGGACAGGAGAAATTTAAAGGTGTTGGTCGAAGTAACAGGATTGCCAAATCTGCAGCAGCAAGAAGAGCCCTCCGAAGCCTCAAAGCTAATCAACCTCAGGTTCCCAACAGCTGAAACCCCTTTTTAAAATTCAAAAAAAAAAAAAAAAAGGCGGGGGGGAAATTACTTAAATTGGAAGGATGACTTAAAGTTGATATTGAGCTAAATGCATTGAAGGCAGAATTTAAAGTTTGTTTGATAACAAGATAGCTAACAGAATAAAACATTTAGCATATGTATGCAATTTTGGAACTAATTGTAGTTTCAGTTTTTGCACAAACACAATCTTGTCTTCTTTCCTCACTTCTGCTTTGTTTAAATCACAAGAGTGCTTTAATGATGACATTTAGCAGGTGTTCAAAATAATTGACAGAGTTTTTTTGTTGTTGTTTTTTGTTGTTGTTGTTTTTGAGTTTAATTTATGTCAGCTTTGCTTAGTGTTAGAAGGCCATGGAGCTTAAACCTCCAGCAGTCCCTAGGATGACGTAGATTATTCTCCATCTCTCCATGTGTGAAGTAGTGCCAGGCCTGCATTAGTTGATAAGAATAGAATGATTGAATAGAATGATAAGGTTTTCGAGAAGAGAAGTGCACCAATGTTGTCTTTTCTTTCCACGTTATACTGTGTAAGGTGATGTTCATGGTCGCTGTTGCACCCGACAGTAAGGGATAGATACTTAATGAACATTGGCTGACATGTTGGTTAATCACATTTTAGTTTTCTGATGCCACATAATCTTGCATAAAAAAGATTCTTGCCTTAACAGTAAAACCTTCATGGATATTCTTTAATCTCTGATCTTTTTGGAAAAATGTTTTACATTCCCTTCATTTTATTATGCATTAGACGTTGAGACATCGTGATACTTACAACTCACCAGTATAGTTGTAACTTATTACAGGATCATACTAAAATTTCTGTCATGTATACTGAAGACATTTTAAAAACCAGAATATGTAGTCTATGGATATTTTTTATCATCAAAAAAATGATCTTTGGCTAAATACCCCATTTTACTACAGACCTCCTGCTACGTAATTCCACTGATGGAAATGTTTTGTGACAAATAATTTTGCCTTCTAGGCTGTTGCTCTAACAAAATAAACCTTAGATATATCACACCTAAAATATGCTGCAGATTTTATAATTGGTTGGTTACTTATTTAAAGAAGCAAAACAGAGCACCTTTACCCTTAGCTTCCTCACATAAATTTCTTACTGTACTTTTCATAATGTTGCATTCCTATTTCACCTACCAAGCCATGCTGTTAATGCCATGAAAGTTTAACATTTGTGATAAACTGCTGTAATTTTGATACATCTGTGATTTAGCTCATTAATTTAGATAAACTAGCTTATTGTTTCTGTGTTTGGGAAAGGAAAAAAAGACTTTTTTAGGCATTTGCCTAAGTTTCTTTAATTAGACTTGTAGGCACTCTTCACTTAAATACCTTAGTTCTTGTTTTCTTTTGCATGCATTTTTCCCCTAGTTGGTGCTATGTTTATGTATTATGCTTGAAATTTTAATTTTTTTTGTACTGTAACTATAATTCCTCTTAGTTTACCTTTTTAAAAGTTGTGGGTCAGTCTTGCACTCCCATCAACATACCAGTAGAGGTTTGCTGCAATTTGCCCCGTTAATTATGCTTGAAGTTTAAGAAAGCTGGGCAGAGGTGTTTCATATTTCCCAGCACATGATTCTGAAGTTGAAGCTTCATGGAATGCTGCATGTATGTGTATGTGACATTTGAATACTGTCCTTCCTGCTTTATCTGCATCATCCACCCACAGAGAAATGCCTCTGTGTGAGTGCACCCACAGAAAACTGTCAGCTCTGCTTTCTAAGGAACCCTCAGTGAGGGGTATATTATGCTTCTCCAGTGTTTTTTGTTGTCTCCAATCTTAAAATTAAATTGAGATCTAAATTATTAAATGAGTTTTTGAGCAAATTAGTTTAGATGACTTGTTTTAAAAATATTTAATTCTGATTTGGAACCTTAGATATCTACTTGATTTTTTAAAAAACCTTAATGTAACATATGGCCAGTTAAAACAAAATAATTCTTGAATTATGGAACTATAAAGGTGTACAGTGAACAAGTAAGGTTGGATGTGAATTTTACTGTGAGGGTTATTTGTGATCAAGTTTAATCACAAATCTCTTAATATTTATAAACTACCTGATGCCAGGAGCTTAGGGCTTTGCATCGTGTCTAATGCATCCATCCCAGTGTTACGGGATTCTCTTGATTCCTGGCACCAAAATCAGATTATTTTCACAGTTATGATTCCCAGTGGGAGAAAAATGCCTCAATATATTTGTAACCTTAAGAAGAGTATTTTTTTATTAGTACTAAGATGTTCAGACTTATAGACATGATTAGGTCATGCATTCTCAGGGGTTCAAATTTCCTTCTACCATTCAAAATGTTTTATCAACAGCAAACTTTAGCTCTTTCACTTTTTGTTGGAGAAAAAATAGTGGATTTTAATTTGACTCACAGTTTGAAGCATTCTATGATCCCCTGGTTACTAAGTTAAAAAATTTTTAAAGTACAGGTTAGACATATGAAATGGTTATGAACGCTTTTGTGCTGCTGATTCTTAATGCTGTAAAGTTTTCCTCTGTTTAGCTTGTTGAAATGTTTTGCATCTGTCAATTAAGAAAAAAAAATCACTCTATGTTGCCCCACTTTACAACCCTTATGCCATTCTTCTGTTCCTGTGATTGCAATGTGAGACTGAATGTAATATGCAAAACCTACTAGTGGGGTGTGGTTGTGCTCTGAGCACATGTGTAAAGGACTGGGGAGGTGTATCTTGAAAAAGCAACTGCAGAAATACCTTGTGATGATTGTGTGCAAGTTAGTTGACATGAATCTTCATTTGTAAATTTTTTAAAATATACTTTCCGCAGTCCTAACTACGTTGCGTTTTATAATAGCTTTTTCCCTTCTGTTCTGTTCATGTAGCACAGATGAGCATTGCACTTTGTACCATGCTTTACCTCATTTCAAGAAAATATGCTTAACAGAGAGAATAAAAATGTGGTTTGGCCTTGCTGCTGTTTTGACTTATGGAATTTGAAAAAGATAATTATAATGCCTGCAATGTGTCGTATACTCACACAACTTAAATAGGTCATTTTTGTCTGTGGCATTTTCACTGTTTGTGATATGAAAAAGATTTGTTAACTGAACTCTTAATTACGTTTTTAAGATGTTTGTTACATTTCTTTTCCTTTTTCTTTTATATTACGTGAAGTGATGAAATTTAGAACGACCTCTAACACTCCTGTAATTGTCTCTTAAAATACTGATATTTTTATTTGTTAATAATACTTTGCTCTCAGAAAGATTCTAATACCCTGCCTTGACAACATGAAACTTGAGGCTGCTTTGGTTCATGAATCCAGGTGTTCACCTGGCAGTCAGCTCCTTCAGTCGCTCCCTGGAGGCAGGTGGGGACTGCAGAGGATCACTGGAATCCAGAATGAACGCAGTTCATGCACAAAGCCCCATTGATTTAAAATATTGGATCTTGCTCTGTCAGGGTGTCTAATTCCTTTACAAAAAATTTAAGCCACCAAACTGAGACCTTGATACCATTTTTTAACTGCATCTGAAATTATGTTGAGTCCTTAACCCGTTTGCATTATCTGCAAAAGAGAAACTCATGTCATGTTTATTACCTATATGGTTATTTTAATTACATTTGAATAATTATATTTTTCCAAGCACTGATTACTTTTCAGAAATTTAATTATTTCCAGATAAATTTCTTTATTTTGTATTGTACATGAAAAGTTTTAAAACTATGTTTAATACCAAGACTATTAAAATGATTTTAAAAGTTGTTGGAGATGCCAACAGCAATATCTAGGAAATTTGCAAGGAGACCACTGTATTTTCCACTAGCAGTGAAAATGACTTTTCACAACTAACTTGTAAATATATTTTAATCATTACTTGTTTTTTTTCTAGTCCATTTTTTTTTGGATATCAACCACAGACAATTTAAATTCTATAGATGCACTAAGAATTCACTGCAGCAGCAGGTTATCTAGCAAAAATGCAAAGGTGAACAGGAAGTAAATTTCTGGCTTTTCTGCTATAAATAGTAAAGGAAAATTACTAAAATCAAGTAAAACTAATGCATATAACTTGATTGACAATAAAATATTTACCATCACATGCTGCAGCCGTTTTTTAAGGAACATGATGTCATTCATTCATACAGTAATCATGCTGCAGAAATTTGCAATCTGCACTTTATGGATCACAATTACCTTGAGTTTTTTTTTGTAATAATTGTAGCCAAGTAAATCTCCAATAAAGTTATCGTCTGTTTAAAAAAAAAAAGTAGGCAAAAGACATGAACAGACACTTCTCAAAAAAAGACATGAAAGCTCAGTGTCACTGATCATTAGAGAAATGCAAATCAAAACCACAATGAGATACCATCTCACACCAGTCAAAATAGTTATTATTAAAAAGTCAAAAAATAACAGATGTGGGCAAGGTTGCAGAGAAAAAGGAATGATTATACACTGCTGGTGGGAGGGTAAATTAGTTCAACCACTGTGAAAAGCAATATGGTGATCCCTCAAAGAGCTAAGAGCAGAAGTACCATAACACCCAGCAATCCCATTACTGCGTATATACGCAGAGGAATATTGATCATTCTACCGTAAAGACACACGCATGTGAATGTTCATTGCAGCACTGTTCACAATAGCAAAGACATGGAACCAACCTAAATCCCCAACAATGATGACTGGATAAAGAAAATGTGGTACATATACACCATGGAACATTATGTAGCAATAAAAAAGAATGAGGTTATGTCTTTTGCAGGAACATGGGTAGAACTAGAGGCTATCATCCTTAACAAACTAATGTAGGAACAGAAAACCAAATACCATATGTTCTTACATATAAGTGTAAGCTAAATGATGAGAACTTAGGAACACAAAGAAGGAAACAACCAACACTAGGGTCTACTTGAAGGGGAAGGATGAGAGGAGGGAGAGGAACAGAAAAGATAACTGTTGGGTACCGGACTTAATACCTGGGTAACGTAATAATATGTACTACAAACCCCCATGACATGAGTTTATTTATGTAACAAACCTTCACAGGTACCCCCAAACGTAAAATAAAAATTAAAAAAATAAAGAGAAAACAAACTAAGTCATTTCCAAATCTTTATGAATCCCAAGTTTACATCTCTAGCTAAATCTCTCCTCTAAAATCCAGATATAATTGATATTTAATATCTTTAATTGGACAGGACCTAAATCCAAGATAAACAAAAGGAATCTCATTTTTTTCCTAAGCTTGCTTTTCTCCTGATTTCTTATTCTTGGAAAATGGTATCAAGACTCACCCAGTTACCCAATCCAAAAGCCTGAGATGCTTCCTTTAGTCTTCTCTCTTTATCATTTCTTATTTATTATTGGTTACCAGTTATATACATTCTTATGTATTCTTTTTTCCTGATACTCTCCAACTCTATCACTTCCTTCCCAATGCTAGGACTATTGTCTCATTCAGAATTTTCTTCATCTTTTTTTTTTTTTTTTTTTTTTTGAGACAGAATCTCGCTCTGTCGCCCAGGCTGAAATGCAGTGGCGTGATCTTGGCTCGCTGCAACCTCTGCCTCCCTGGCTCAAGCGATTCTTCTGCCTCAGCCTCTCGAGAAGCTGGGACTACAGGTGCGTGCCACCACACCCGGCTAATTTTTGTATTTTTAGTAGTGACCGGGTTTTGCCATACTGGCCAGGCTGGTCTCAAACTTCTGAGCTCGTGATCCGCCCACCTCGGCCTCTCAAAGTGCTGGGATTACAGGCATGAGCCACCGCGCCCAGAATTTCTTCATCTCTTAATTGGAATACTCAACAGCTCTCTAACTGGTCTCACTAACTTCAGTTTCTTATACCTTACTAATTTTTAAATTAAGTAATGCTTTACATACACATAGATCTTAAATTCATAAATCATTAAGTGTATAGTTAGATCAGTTTTGACAAATACATGCACTCAGATATCTGTCATCTCTAGCAAGAAAAAAAACCAGAAAAACATTTCCATTACTCTAAAGAGTTTCCTTGTACCTCTTCCCAGTAAATTATCCCACCACCAGAAACAAGCACTGATCTGATTTCTATTATAATAGATGTTTGTCATGGTTTAGAACTTCGTATAAAAGAAATAACATACTATATACTTTTTTCTGTCTGACTTATTTTACTTGGCATTATGTCTTTAAGCATCATTCATCATGTTGTGTTCATCAGTACTTCTTTTTTGTTTGTTTGAGCAGTCTTCCATTGAAAGGACACTCTATAATATGTTCATCCAAACTCTTTAAATGAACATCTAGACAATTTCCAGGGGTGTTTGTGTTATTATAAATAGTATTAACAAAGCTAATATGGGCATTCTTCTATAAGACTTTTTGTTGATATAGGTTTTCTTTTTTGGAGAGGAGACAAAGATCTAAGATTGAAATTGCTGGGTCATACACTGGATTTTCATTTACTTTTTAAAAAACTGCCAAAGAATTTTCCAGTGTAGTTGCACACTTTATGTTCCCATTTATAATGTATAAGAATTCCAGTTGCTTCATGGCCTCTTCGATATTAGGGGTTTTTTTGTTTTTGTTTTTTTTAGGTTAGCCATTCTATTAGAAATGTCGTTTTTAAAGTGGATAAAGTGTTTTCCGTATTTCATTTGATATCCTCTATTGATTGTTTGCTGTGGCTCTTTGTGTTAAATTTTTTTAGTGGTTACACAGGAGACTTCAATACACATCTCTCACTTATTAGAGTAAAGCTTCAAAAATGTTCAAATATTCCACAAAAATATGAGAACCTTACTACAGTACACTTTCCATTAAAACCCACCCACCCTTTGTGTTCTTTGTCATATACTTCATTTTCATATATGTCACAAATACTGCATTGCATCTGAAAAGTTTAAAGTCAGTAGTCTTTAAAGCTTATCATTGGTATATAAAGATATGAATACTTTTGTAAAGCTCCTTTCTATTTTGCAACATTTCAGTCTTCCTGGTACTCTTTCTTTCTTTCTGCAGAAGCAGGTTTCTACCTGGTATCATTTCTGTTCAGCCAAAGAACTTCTTTCGACTTTTCTTGAAATTTGAGTCTGCTGGATATAAATTCTTTTGATTTTTGTCTTTCTGAAAATGTCTTTTTTCTTTATATTTGAAGAATTTTTAATTAGAAAGAGTGTATATCTACAGTTTTCTTCTTTCATCACTTTAAATATTAAATATATTCTTCCATTGACCATTAGCCTCCATTTTTTTTTTAATTTTTTATTTCCGTAGGTTACTGGGGAACAGGTGGTGTTTGGTTATATGAGTAAGTCCTTTAGTGGTGATTCGTGAGATTTTGGTGCACCCATCATCTGAGCAGTATACATGGCACCCTATTTGTAGTCTTTTATCCCTCACCCCCTTCCCACCTTTTCCCCCGAGTCCCCAATGTCCACTGTATCATTCTCATGCCTTTGCAGCCTCATAGGTTAGCTCCCACTTATGAGTGAGAACATATGATATTTGGTTCTCCATTCCTGAGTTACTTCACTTAGAATAATAGTCTCCAATCTCATCCAGGTTGTTGCAAATGCCATTAAATCTTTCCTTTTTATGGCTGAGTAGTATTCCATTGTGTGTGTGTGTGTGTGTGTGTGTGTGTGTGTGTGTATATACACATATATATGTGTATTTATATTCATACATATCACACGTGTATATATGTGTATATATACATACATATCACACGTGTATATATGTGTGTATATATACATACATATCACACGTGTATATATGTGTGTATATATACATACATATACATATATACACATATATACATATATACATATATACACATATACATATATACATATATATCACATATATATATGTATATATACACACACATATCTCACAGTTTTTTTAATCCACTCATTGATTGATGGACATTTGGGTTGGTTCCATATTTTTGCAACTATGAATTGTGCTGCTATAAACATGTATGTGCAAGTATCTTTTTCGTATAATGACTTATTTTCTTCTGGGTAGATACCCAGTAGTGGGATTGCTGGATCAAATGGTAGTTCTACTTTTAGTTCTTTAAGGAATCTCCACACTGTTTTCCATAGTGGTTGGACTAGTTTACACACCTATCAGCAGTGTAGAAGTGTTCCCTGTTCCCTGTTCACCACATCCACACCAACATCTACTGTTTTTTGTTTTTTTGATTACGGCCATTCTTGCAGGAGTAAGGTGGTATCACATTGTGGTTTTGATTTGCATTTCCTAATCATTAGTGATGTTGAGCATTTTTTCATATGTTTGTTGGCCATTTGTATATCTTCTTTTGAGAATTGTCTATTCATGTCCTTAGCCCACTTTTTGTTGGGATTGTTTTTTCTTGCTGATTTGTTTGAGTTTATAGCAGATTCTGGATATTAGTCCTCTGTCATATGTATAGATTGTGAAGATTTTCTCCCACTCTGTGGGTTGTGTGTTTACTCTGCTGACTATTCCTTTTGCTGTTAGTGTAATTAAGTCTCAGCTATTTATCTTTGTTTTTATTGCGTTTGCTTTTGGGTTCTTGGTCATAAAATCCTTGCCTAAGCCAATGTCTAGAAGGGTTTTTCCAATGTTATCTTCTAGAATGTTTACAGTTTCAGGTCTTAGATTTAAGTCCTTAATCCATCTTGAGTTGATTTTTGCATAAGATGGGAAATGAGGATCCAGTTTCATTCTCCTACATGTAGTGAGCCAATTATCATAGCACCATTTGTTAAAAAGGGTGTCTTTCTCCCCACTTCATGTTTTTGTTTGCTTTGTTGAAGATCAGTTGGCTGTAAGTATTTGGGTTTATTTCTGGGTTCTCTATTCTGTTCCATTAGTCTATGTGCCTATTTTTATACCAGTACCATGCTGTTTTGGTGACTATGGCCTTATAGTACAGTTTAAAATCAGGTAATGTGATGCCTCCAGGTTTGTACTTTTTGCTTAGTCTTGCTTTAGCCTTCATTGTTTTTGACAAGAAGCCTGCACTCATTCTTGTCAATTCTCTATGTGAAGTATCTCTTTTCTATGACTGCTTTCAATTTTTATAGTATAATCTAATAGAGAAATTGCTAAATGAGAGATATTTTTATTTTTCCATTTTTAGTTCAAATTTGCAAATATTTCAGCACTCATTTTCTCAGAGGTATGATTTTTTGTTCCCATTTAAGGGCTTTCTTTTGACAAACATGCTAGTGAAAAATTATCAAATAATTTGTCTCTATTATATTTTGGATATAGGTAATAGAAGATCATATGCTTTCTCATTTTATTATTTTGCAATGGAAAATATAAATTTATCCAATTATATATAGGCATTCCAACAAAAGAACCTTCCCCAAAACTAAGATAATATAAAATGCAACTATGAAATTTTGAAACTAAATCTTGAACCCTGTTTTAACTCTCAACATTTAATAAATTTAGACCCCCCCATTTTGTAGTGATAAATTTCCTGGTTTTGTTTGCTTCTTTGAAAACATTTGATACTCCATTGTTGAATATATTGATTAAAGAATTCCCAATTATTTTGAATTAAATCCAACCAAAATGCAGAAAACTTTGTAAATACCATTGTAAAATAGGTATATGGGTACTGCTTTCAATTTTTTTCTTTATCTTTGGTTTTCAACCATTTAACTATTATTTGCCTAGGTTTGTTTTCCTTTGCATCTCTCATACATGTAATTCACTAAGATTCTTGGATCTGGGGTTTGACATATTTTATGAATTTTAGAAAATTCTCAGACATTATCTCAAAATATGTTTTTCTGTCTACTTTCTTTCACTTTTCTTCTGGAACTCCAAGGCCAAGTATGTCAGATTATTCAATATTATCTCAAACATCTTGGATGTTCTGTTCTGTTTCTTATGATATTCCCTCTTGTATTTGATTTTTATAATTATTATTGACTAGTCTTTACGTTTGCTAAATCTTCAGATTACCTAATCCAGTCGGCTGTATAGTCCATTAAAGAAATTCCTCATTTTTTTATTTTAAGTTCTAGGGTACATGTGCACAACATACAGGTTTGTTACATATGTATACATGTGCCATGTTGGTGTCCTGCACCCATTAACTCGTCATTTACATTAGGTATATCTCCTAATGCTATCCCTCCCCCATCCCCCCACCCCATGACAGGCCCTAGTGTGTGATGTTCCCCTTCCTGTGTCCAAGTGTTCTCATTGCTCAATTCCCACCTATGAGTGAGAACATGCAGTGTTTGGTTTTTTGTCCTTGTGATAGTTTGCTGAGAATGATGGTTTCCAGCTTCACCCATGTCCCTACAAAGGACATGAACTCATCCTTTCTTATGGCTGCATAGTATTCCCTGGTGTATATGTGCCACATTTTCTTAATCCGGTCTATCATTGATGGACATTTGGCTTGGTTCCAAGTCTTTGTTATTGTGAATAGTGCCACAATAAACATACATGTTCATGTGTCTTTATAGCAGCATGATTTATAATCCTTTGGGTATATACCCAGTAATGGGATTGCTGGGTCAAATGGTGTTTCTAGTTCTAGATCCCTGAGGAATTGCAACACTGTCTTCCACAATGGTTGAACTAGTTTACAGTCCCACCAACAGTGTAAAAGTGTTCCTATTTCTCTACATCCTCTCCAGCACCTATTGTTTCCTGATTTTTAATGATCTAACTGGTGTGAGATGGTATCTCATTGTGATTTTGATTTGCATTTCTCTGATGGCCAGTGATGATGAGCATTTTTTCATGTGTCTGTTGGCTGCATCAATGTCTTCTTTTCAGAAGTGTCTGCTCATAATCCTTTGCCCACTTTTTGATGGGGTGGTTTGTTTTTTTCTTGTAAATTTGTTTGAGTTCTTTGTAGATTCTGGATATTAGCCGTTTGTCAGATGAGTAGATTGCAAAAATTTTCTTCCATTCTGTAGGTTGCCTGTTCACTCTGATGGTAGTTTCTTTGGCTGTGCAGAAGCTCTTTAGTTTAATTAGATCCCATTTGTCAATTTTATCTTTTGTTGCCATTGCTTTTGGTGTTTTAGACATAAAGTCCTTGCCCATGCCTATGTCCTGAATGGTATTGCCTAGGTTTTCTTCTAGGGTTTTTATGGTTTTAGGTCTAACATTTAAGTATTTAATCCATCTTGAATTAATTTTTGTATAAGTTGTAAGGAAGGCATCCAGTTTCAGCTTTCTACATATGGCTAGCCAGTTTTCTCAGCACCATTTATTAAATAGGGAATCCTTTCCCCATTTCTTGTTTTTGTCAGGTTTGTCAAAGATCAGATGGTTGTAGATGTCAGGTATTATTTCTGAGGGCTCTGTTCTGTTCCATTGGTCTATATCTCTGTTTTGGTACCACTACCATGCTGTTTTGGTTACTATAGCCTTGCAGTATAGTTTGAATCAGGTAGTGTGATGCCTCCAGCTTTGTACTTTTGGCTTAGGATTGTCTTGGCAATGCGGACCCTTTTTTGGTTGCATATGAACTTTAGTTTTTTCCAATTCTGTGAAGAAAGTCAATGGTAGCTTGATGGGGATGGCACTGAATCTATAAATTACTTTAGGCAGTATGGCCATTTTCACGATATTGATTCTTCCTACCCATGAGCATGGAATGTTCTTCCATTTGTTTGTGTCCTCTTTTATTTCGTTGAGCAGTGGTTTGTAGTTCTCCCTGAAGAGATCCTTCACATCCCTTGTAAGTTGGATTCCTAGGTATTTTATTCTCTTTGAAGCAATTGTGAATGGGAGTTCACTCATGATTTGGCTCTCTGTTTGTCTGTTATTAGTGTATAAGAATGCTTGTGATTTTTGCTCATTGATTTTGTATCCTGAGACTTTGCTGAAGTTGCTTATCAGTTTAAGGAGATTTGGGGCTGAGACGATGGGGTTTTCTAAATATACAATCATGTCATCTGCAAACAGGGACAATTTGACTTCCTCTTTTCCTAATTGAATACCCTTTATTTCTTTCTCCTGCCTGATTGCCCTGGCCAGAACTTCCAACACTATGTTGAATAGGAGTGGTGAGAGAGGGCATCCCTGTCTTGCACCAGTTTTCAAAGGGAATTCTTCCACTTTTTGTCCATTCAGTATGATATTGGTTGTGGGTTTGTCATAAATAGCTCTTATGATTTTGAGATACATCCCATCAATACCTAATTTACTGAGAGTTTTTAGCATGAAGGTCTGTTGAATTTTATCAAAGTCCTTTTCTGCATCTATTGAGATAATCATGTGGTTTTTGTCTTTGGTTCTGTTTATATGCTGGATTACGTTTATTGATTTTTCTATGTTGAACCAGCCTTGCATCCCAGGGATGAAGCCCACTTGATCATGGTGGATAAGCTTTTTGATGTGCTGCTGGATTCAGTTTGCCAGTATTTTATTGAGGATTTTTGCATTGATGTTCATCAGAGATATTGGTCTAAAATTCTCTTTTTTTGTTATGTCTGTCAGGCTTAGGTATCAGGATGATGCTGGCCTCATAAAATGAGTTAGGGAGGATTCCCTCTTTTTCTATTGATTGGAATAGTTTCAGAAGAAATGGTACCAGCTCCTCCTTGTACCTCTGATAGAATTCGGCTGTGAATCCGTCTGGTCCTGGAGTTTTTTTGGTTGGTAGGCTATTAATTATTGCCACGATTTCAGAGCCTGCTATTGGTCTATTCAGGGATTCAACTTCTTCCTGGTTTAGTCTTGGGAGTGTGTATGTGTCCAGGAATTTATCCATTTCTTCTAGATTTTCTAGTTTATTTGCATAGAGGTATTTATAGTATTCTCTGATGGTAGTTTGTATTTCTGTGGGATCGGTGGTGATATCCCCTTTATCATTTTTTATTGTATCTATTTACTTCTTTATTAGTCTTGCTAGTGTTCTATCAATTTTGTTGATGTTTTCAAAAAACCAGCTCCTGGATTCATTGATTTTTTGAAGGGTTTTTTATGTCTCTATCTCCTTCAGTTCTGCTCTGATCTTAGTTATTTCTTGCCTTCTGCTAGCTTTGGAATGTGTTTGCTCCTGCTTCTCTAGTTCTTTTAATTGTGATGTTAGGCTGTCAATTTTAGATCTTTCCTGCTTTCTCTTGTGGGCATTTAGTGCTATAAATTTCCCTCCACACACTGCTTTAAATGTGTCCCAGAGATTCTGGTATGTTGTGTCTTTGTTCTCATTGGTTTCAAAAACATCTTTATTTCTGCCTTCATTTCGTTATGTACCCAGTAGTCATTCAGGAGCAGGTTGTTCATTTTCCATGTAGTTGAGCGGTTTTGAGTGAGTTTCTTAATCCTGAGTTCTAGTTTGATTGCATTGTGGTCTGAGAGACAGTTTGTTGTAATTTCTGTTCATTTACATTTGCTGAGGAGTGCTTTACTTCCAACTATGTGGTCAATTTTGGAATAATTGTGATATGGTGCTGAGAAGAATGTATAAGGAAATTCCTCATTTCTTATATTATCTGTTCATTTCTGGGATTTCCACTTCAATTTTTTTTATACTTACCATGTGTTTGCTGAAATTTCTTCACCCATGAGGGTCAGTCACCTTTTTGTCTAGGTACTTTAACATATTTATGACAGTTATGATAATTTCAACATTGAGGCCATCTCTGGATCTGGTACCATTGACTCTTTCCTTCATTGTCAATGGATCATTTTGTTTTCTTGGTTGTTTTTGTGTCTTGTGACTTTTTATTAACCACCACAAATATGTAAAAACAGCATGGTCTAATGCAGTTATATTTATATACAGAAAAGGGTACATTTCTGTTTCTTTCAGGTCATTAGTATTGAGGTTTGAGTCATTCTAGTTGTGTTTAGTTTGAGTATGAGTTTTTGCTTAAGTTACATTCAGTTCACTTCAGGTTTCAAAATATTTGAGGTTGGGATCATTACTTTAGCAGGGTTTGGGCTCTTAATGCCTAAAGGGTTTGCCTAAGTTCCCCTGCCCTAACTTTAGACTTCAGCAAACTCCATACTTCTGTATCTCAGGGCTTCTCTCTCAGCTCTCTTATCCCTTCTCTGGAGTCAAGGGGTCTCTGCCTCAATCAGCAGGCATCCCCTGGGTAGTTGCTTTTAAGTCTCTTGCTCTTCCTAAGGATAGAGGAGACCTCATGAGCCCATACCTGAATGGGTCTTGCTCTGCTGCTCTGCCCTTTCCCCAATGGTAGATCATCTTTGCCTGATATTCAGTGTAAGGTTTTGAGTATGAGAATATTTCTCTGTTTTTGTGCTTCACTCTCAAAGTACAGCAGAAACACTGCTTGCACTTCAGAGGAGTTTGTTCTGAATAGTTCTGCCCCGATCACAATCTTTCACATGAGGATATTGTGAAGACTTGTGTAAAATACCTTATAGGGTAGGCGTGGACTCCTCTTTTGTCTGGGGTTCTCAAGGATCCTAAGCTCTAATACTCAGTTCACACTCAGCCTCCACAAGTTCATTAAAATTCAGCTATTTTTTTCTTACCCACATCCATGAATGTGTTTTCCTCCTCTCTCTGTTCTGCCAAAGATGAAAATAGCCATGGTTCCCATCTCTCTTAGGAGGGACTTGACCCCTCTTGGATTTTAGTTCATTAGATTACTTTACAATCTTAACTTCCTGGCAGGGTTAAAATGACAATGGTTTTGTAAATCATCTGGCTTTTTAATGACTTTCTACATGCTAAATAAAGATTAACTCTCTCTAAATGTTTAAAATAATTCTCACATTCTTGTCAAAGTGATCATCTAAAATCCTACCATAAAGGTTTTCTGCTGGAATCTTCTTCATTCACTTATTTGCAGGGAAATTCTTAATCCTTTTTCAAAACTACAGTCACTTATCACTTTTTCTAGAATGTATAACTAGGGATTGCTCAATATCACCACGATTGACATCTGGGGCCAGAAAATTCTTTGTCATGGAGCTTTTTCTTTGCATTGTAGGATGTTTAGCAACAACTCCGATCTCTATTGCTAGATGTTAGTTTCGTATTATATCACCTCTCTAATTGTGACAATTAAAAATGTCTCCAGACATTCTAAAGTGTTGAGAACCATTGCTGTAACTTGATCTCTTTTCTGGGCTTAGGATGAGGGGTTGCTTTTGTTAGTTTTGGTCTCATATTATCCTGTGTCCACCTGTTATATTTTCACTTATTATATTTTCTTGTATTTTTCTGTCCTTCTCTCTCTTTCTCTCTCTCACTCTCTCTCTCCCCCCCACACACACACTCACAGACAGACACATGCACACACACACTTGTGCCTGGTTAGAATCCTCTACTGCACTGAGAAGGGTGAATGCTAAGAAGTAGAAAGGTGGGAAGAGAGTTGATCACTGTGATGATGCAAATAATTTGTAAAATCTGAAAAGGAACTATTAGTGTTTGTATTAGAAAAGGGAAAGATACAGGGGAAGGGGTTAGTGTGGGGGTGTGTGTGTGTGTGTGTGTGTGTTGGCATGGAAGTGCCATTGAGAGTAGATACCCATCCTCGAAAAAAAAATGAGTTGGAGACAGAGAATTGGGAGAGATTCGTGGGGAAATGGTTGTGAAGAAAATAAAATTTGGCAATTGAAGCAATAATGTCAGGAAATTAGAGAGGTCTAGCTGGGATTCTTGTTGCATTTTGCCATATAGTATACAATTATTTAACATTCTTCTCACACTACCTGAAAAATGTTCATCATTGTGGAGTTGGGTTTGCTTTTTAAGTTTACAAGACAAATGTCAAGTTCTGCCCTGAGGTAGACAAGATATTGATGAGAGTCTGAGGTGGGAATGAGGTGTGGTATATAGTCCGCTGTTTTTCTTTGTTTTCTGTGGTTTCTTCCTGTTCCATTGTGAGTTGCTTGAGGGCCAGGCATATGTCTCATATAGAGCAGAGTTTATGGCACATAGTAGACTCACAATATCTGTTGTATAGGTACCTGGATGAGAATTACCTTCTCTATTAAGGGTGATTAAATGATCAGTGACCATTATTGCCTGAGCTTATGGAGAAAAGTAATAACCTGGCCATGCAACCTGGGGAAAGGATATTCTGAGTATTTCTCATGCTCAGATGCCAGATGAGGACTGTTAGTCTTAGGACTTAAAGCAGGAGTTGGAAGAAGAGCAGGAGGAGGGGAAGGAGAAAGAGGAGGAGATAACATTTACTGAAAGTTTACTAACATTTTCCATCAAATGTAAAAGTCAAAAATGCCAATTATAATTTCAATGTCATTCATTACTTCTAAGACACATACTAATTTCACAGATGTCTGAATATAAAAGTTAATATTAAAACTGAAATATGGCACATGCCATGCAGTCTTCAGGGTGATCTGAATAAGTGAAGTCATTCAGTCTTCACCACTATCCCATGAGGGCCCTTATCATTAGATGGCAGAAGGCCCACTAAGTTCTAGTCCTTGTTTTATCCCAGTTTATGATGTACCTGGAAAGCCAAATTTTCCAGATATGATGATACGGCTCTTGGTTTTCTAATGAAAAACTGTTTCTGAAAAGATGTAAGGACAGAAGCTCGTCAAAAGGATTTAAGAAAGGATAACCAGTGGTAAGCCTAAAAGTGCATGTTCTAGAAATGAATAAATGGATATCCTGTTCAAATTTATTCCATGATGTTAATATAACCAACAAAGTGTGGGGCAGGAAACACTTTAGATTGTTTAAAAGTTCTTCTTGTCCCAGGACAACAGTTTGAATATCTGCTGTACTCTTTGAATACTAAGCAAGGCTATGTTCCCTTTGCTGTACAGCTATGGAAAGAGGGATATTTCTATAGGAAGGGTGGGAGAATAGGAGAGAACACAGAAAAAGTTTACTATTCCTGAAAGAACAGACACCTTAGCATCCTCACCTCTATTCCCACCCTATGTAATCATGAGAACATGACGATGGGGGTGGCCAAGAAAGAAAAGATCACGGAGGCTTAAGAGGGAAAGCAGACTAGGGAGATGTAGCCATCTGGATAAGGAATCTGAGCAGGGTGGTTAGAAGTGTGGATTCTGGAACTTAATAGCTTGTGTGTGAAACCTGGCTTCATTCATTACCAGCTGGTAACTTGGGCTAGGTACTTAGCATCTCCAAGCCTCAGTTTTCTCATCTGTGAAATGTGGATGATAATATTATTTATCTTGCTGTCATTGTTGTAAAGATTGTTAACCTAGTGATTGGCACATTAGTTAAGTGCTCATAAAAATTAGCTATGGTTATTATGAGACTTAAAAATTATTATTATGCCATAAATACAGATATAGATAGATATAGATATAGACATAGATATAGATATAATCCTGTGTTCATGGCTGAGAAATGGTTTATATAATCAAGAAAGGAAGGAAGGTAGCTAAGCTCAAGAGAAAATATTACTAGAAATATGTTGACATGTGAGCAAGAAGCAAAGGCAAATTTCCCTAAAACAAATTGTGGCAGTACACACTGGGATGTCATGGATAGCAAGAGGCAGAATTACAACTGGCTCCCCAGCAATTGCTTATAACCTGATAGGAATGCATTTCAAATGTGGACGTTATCCTTCAATGGTGCACCTGCCAACATCACTGTTTTAAAGAAGTGATTTTCAACTTTGTTTGCACAACAGAATCATCTGGGGAGCTTTTAAAAATGTACAGATTTCTAAATCCCACTCCAGACCAGTCGATTCAGAATCTTTGGGAGATTCAGACACTCATATCGAATGGACAGCCAGGACTAAGAATCATTGCCTTGGAGCAATGGTTCTCAAACTGGAGCATGCATCAGAATCACACAGAGAGCCTCTGTAAACACAGATGGCTGGACCCCACCCCTGGGGTTTTAGATTCAGTAGATATGCAGTGGGGCCCAAGTGGCAATGCCCTTCAGCCCAAGACCACCAGAAACACAGCTGTAGTTAACCAAGTTGGTCTTATTATTTGTTGTAGCCAGGGACAGCACACCATGGGAAATATGAGTGTCCCAGTAAGGTGTGAATAAGATCCTACAATAGGATTTGGGCTTTGGTTGAGTGATTTGAAACTTTAAGAAAGCAAGTGTTTGCTCTAGATTGGGTGCTGCTGGAAAGTGGATACCATTCTATGATTGGCTGTCTAAATAAGTTTTATCTATAAAGAGCAGAGACTAGCAAGAGGATAAGCTGTACTTGGTAAACAAGTGGCAGCCACTCATTGTGGCCAAGAGAGGATGTTTGGCAGTTTGTAGGCTGCACAATGACCTTATTTTTATCTGTGTTTAGATAAAATTATGAAGTAGACTTGCTTTGTCTCATTTCTCATGGTCTGCAACCTTGTTTAGGGTTGGTGTTCTGTGAGACTGTTTAGTAGGAGAATGGCATGGCCTACTGTGGGTGCTTTAAAATGTCAGGAACTGCCCTCCTCTTCCCATTTCCTATCCTGCCTGTTCCCCATGATGCTAATACTGCTAATACAGAGACTACCACACTTCGAGAACCACTGCCTAAGAGGATGAAGTGACCTGAGAACTACTGTTTGGAACAGGTGCAAAAGAAAAAATATACAAGTAAATACAATCTTGAAAAGCAAGGGAACAGAACTTCAAGACTAAAACAAAATAAGAATAACAGATCCTAGCAGACAATGTACCCTGGGCAAACTGAGTAGATTAATGTAATGCACAGCTTTAAATGGATGGGATATGGCTGGCATCATCTGGTCATACCCCTCCTCTCCAGCTCCCAGCTGCCTTTCTTAACCAACTTCCAATTAAGGCCTTTGTGCTTTCTATGTCCTTTGCCTAGAACTGGTGCATTTTTCACCTGCTTCTTACTCATTCTTTATGTCTCATTTAAAAACGTCTCTTCTTCCAATAGGCCTTCTCAAAACCCACTCCCTCTTAGTAAACTAACTTCCCTTTTAGTCACTATCATATTTTCTTTTTCTTTAATGCATCAATCATAATTTATCATTAGATATTTATTCTTATGATGGTTGATTCCATTTGTCTGTCACTTCCACTAAACTGTGAGCTCCCTGTGAGTAGGAACCATACCTATCTTGGTGACCACTGTCTCTTTCACTTTTAGAAGAACACTGGAAGGGAAGGACCCACTTCCTTCCTCCGCATGCATCGAATGTCCAGTGAGTCCCTATTTTCCTGTATCCAGTATAATACACACTAGATCTTTAAAAAATTCTCGATTGCTTTGGCTTACAATGACACTCTGTTTTTCATTGCTTTTATAAATCCCAAAAAACACTTTATATTTTTATTTTATTATTTCAATAAACATTACAAAGTATGTGATGGAAATCTATATACGCAATGAAACTTGAGTTTCACACCATAACAGACCATGATTTGTTATCAAGACCTCTTTGCCTTGATTCAATCTGATGGTTGCTCTTTTAGTTGTTGTTTCATGCTCACTATTAGAAAGCTAATAGGGACTAACATTAAATGAATTTTTTTCCTTTGGGCACTTCACTTGTTTGAGATATATTTCTTGGGTTTGTTGTTTCAATTAAGTGTTCTGACACACTTCTCTTAACCCTTCTTCTGGGGCTGGGCTTGATACAATAGCCTTCTTGGCTGTGAATCTGGGATGGGAGAAGATATTTCGCCAAGAATGGTATCCAGCAAGGTCTCAGGAGTTTTAAGCTTCAAGCTAAACTGTGTCCTGTTCAGATCTGGTTTAGTTGACTCCCTAATACTGAATTCAAATGACTCAAAATGCTCGTAAAATGGTAACAGAAGATTCTGTGTACATCAAACAGCTCTTACTGAACATCACTTTAATGAGTTCAGTGTAAATGAAACAGAAACATATGGATTCAATTGTCCTAAAAATACACAGGGCTTTAAAATAAAGGCAAATAAGGAAGTTCCATGGTGACATGTGTTTTAAGGTTTGCTGAACCAAAGATGTTGGAAAGCTCTCCAAAACGCTCATCAAGACTAAAATGCAACTGGCTTCACCCACTCCCTCATGTGTGGCCAATGACAAGTATGCCTACTCTTCCCTTGTACTCTCGAAGCAAATAGCTCTTTTCCTAAGATGGGGCCCAGCTCACTGTCATTAGTATATGCAGATGTGAACAAGTTCCATGCCCCCTCAGCCTCAGGAAACATGTGTTCCCCAAGCAAAGTGGGAAGAGGTACTTCCTCTTCTCTCCATCCCAATCCCTGTCCTATATTCTCTTCTAGAGTCTTGCCTCTTCTCTCTTCAGCACCAGAGGGGTGATCAGCTGGCATCCTAGGTGGAGCTCAGCTCCAACACAAGCCTGCCAGTCTCAAAAACTTGCACTGGGTTGACAGTGCCGATTCCTTCAGGCCACAGTACAGACTTTTGAGTATTCTTTAACTTTAGACTCTTGAAGCCAAGCATGCACACTGCTGTCACAGGAGCCTCTCCTTGGCTGTCCCTTGCCTTTCCAGTACCCATACTTGTACATGAGAAAAGGGCTTCCTTCTATAATTATCCACTGGACCAGAAGCTTCTTGGGTGGGAGAAGCAGGTAGACTATCATTTTGCCTCTAGTCTTGCTCTTCTTTTTTTACTTTTTGCATGAGCCTGGGCTTTATTTTCCTGTAGCATGTAATATATTTACCATGACAACACAAAAACAGTTCTGCTGCCTTTGTCTCAGACACTCATCAGAGAATCTTTTGGCCACATTCTGTAGGCTATAAAAAGTACTAACCCCAAAAAGCTTCAAACAAACCATAGTCCCTTCTTTTAAAGGGGTAAAATAGACATATGGGAATCTATAGAGGCTGCAAAGTATCTGTTTCCTCATGACTTTTCAGTTTCTCACAACTCCAGCAAGCAACTCTACCTTAGCCTAGACTGAGTGCTATAGTTTGGATGTTTGTCCCCTCCAAATCCCATGTTGAAATTTAATCACAAGTTTTGAAGGTGGGGACTAATGGGAGGTGTTTTGGTCACAGGGGCAGGTCCCTCATGAATGACTTGATGCTGTCCTTCTGGTAATGAGCAGGTTCTCACTCAACTAGTTCCCCGCAAGAGCTGGTTGTTAAAAAGAGCCTAGCACCCCACCTTTCTCTCTCGCTTCCTCTCTTGACATGTGACCTCTGCACATGTTAGTTCTTCTTCACCTTCTGCCACGAGTGGAAGTAGCCTGAAGCCCTTGCCAGAAGCCAATGCTTGTGCCATAGTTCACGTACAGCCTGCAAAACCATGAGCCAAATAAACCTCTTTTCTTCATAAATCATCTAGCCTCAGGTATTCCTTTATAGCAACACTAAACGTACTAAGACACCAAGGAACCAAGAGGTCTGTGTATAATGTGGTCCCTGGAGAAGCCTTTTGGTAAAGGTTCACTGGCTTTGCTTTTTCCCAGGTGAACAAACCAAAACAAGCAGAGGGTCTTCCCTTACCTAACTGAAGTGAATACCTAGAGGTAGTCAATGTACATTTGAACATTCTTATACAATTCGTTTTGCTTATGAGGATGGGTCAGTCATCTGATGTGAGAAAAATGTCTTTGATTTCTATAGTTTTTTTTCCCTTGATTTAATCTTTTATCCTTCTGCTCGACTATTTCTTTTTTCCTAATGTTTTGCGGCTTATTTTCAGAAATGTATTAAAATTTTACTTGAATCAAGAAGACTAAGCAAAAAGGAAAGTGTGTCAAGGTGTGAGACAAAGGATAAAATGCCAGTTCTGGTGAACAAGAGGACAGTTGTCACTCAGGGGAAGTCAAGAATGACATTTTGGTCCTGGGGTCCTGACCAGCTAGTAAGATCAGACCCATGCTCCAATTATGTCATAGATAACTATAAAAGGGATCTCGAATATATTTAAAAAGCAGAAGATGTTGACTTAACTGGGTTTCCTGGAGCTTCCTTGTCTCAGCTTCAGTCTTTGGTCAGCAAATAAAAGAGGGATTTGCATGATGGGAGTAAAGGGAAGCTCTGTCTATGGTGGCTAACTTTATGTGTCAACTTGACTGGGTCATAGGGTGCCCAGATCATTGGTAAAACACTATTTCTGGGTATAACTATAAGGGGTTTCCTCACATTTGAATCAGTAGACTGAGTAAGTCAGTTTGTCCTCCCCAGTGTGGGTAGGCATCATCCAATCCTTTGAGAACATGAATAGATCAAAAAAGGTGAAGGAAGAAAGAATTCACTCTCTGCCTGACAGCTTGAGCCAGGACTTTGGCCTTCTCCTTCCCCTGGACACCTGGTTCATTATCAGTGCTCCCAGGTCTCAGGCCTTCAGACTTGGACTAAAACTTACACCATCAGTTCTAGTTCACAGATCTTCAGACTCAGACCAGAACCTCACCACTGGTTTTCCTGGGTCTCCAACTTGCAGACAGCAGATCATGAACTTCAGCTTTCATAATTGCATCTCTCTCTCTCTCTCTCTCTCTCTCTCTCTCGGTGTGTGTGTGTGTGTGTATGTGTGTGTGTGTGTATCTATATCTATATCATCTATATCTGATCTATTCATTATATTTCTCTGGAGAACCATGACTAATACACTCTCTATCTAATACAAGTACATTGGAGAAAAGAATTAACGAAGAAACATTTATTATTAACATAACCTGATTCCTGCTAGCAAAGCAGGCTGAGATTTCCAGGAGTAAAATTCTGTCACACACACAAAATATGTCCAGAGTCTGCCTCTGTTACCTCTGTTACCATGTACTCCTAAGCTTTCCAAGGTCTCTAAAGATTTTCGGAGGACATTCACATAACCTGCATTTCCTTGTTATTTCCTGCCATTTTCTGTTGTTACTACTGTGGCAACTTCTTTCGCCCTCACCCCAGCCCCTCACCTCATTCTCCAGTTGTACATTAGGTTCATGGCCAATGACAAATTCAATTACTATGAAAAAAACGAAAAAATGAAATTCAATTTAGCCTGGCAAATGGTTAGATTCAAGACCATAAAACAAGCAATCTTGTGCATAGCCTTGAATACAATCTGAAAAAGCCCTAAAATGTTATTTTTATTACTATTTGAAGAATGACTAGACAAGATTGACCAGGGAACATTCTGGGCAGATTTCTTTCTTTGTTGATAGAGGGAAGGGGAGGTGACCTCATAAATTTGTTCTTTGACTATTTTTTTACAACTCTTTATAAGAAATTTGGCTTTGTAGGCTTTTACCCTAGGGGAAGCTGGTGTTCTTAGTGAGGAAATAGTTTATATCACCATGCAGCACTGTGAAATACTTGACTCAGTCAGGCTGCATACACAGTGAGAAAAAAAAAAAGACTCATTTTCTTAGTAAACACTGCTGTATTCATAACACTTTGCTTTAGCTCTCATGACATTTTGAGATATTGCTCTGCAGTTGCTGAACATAGGGGTAGAAGGGCGTCCTCCATCCTTTTGTTTCTTACTACTACCTCTCCCCGCTTCCCTTGACAAGATGAACAAACCAAGTTTCAGTGGCTGAAATCCTTGAAAACATCAAGTTACCTTTCCCAAGGTGAATAATTATCTATATAAAGAACATGTGGCTTTCATATCTATCATACTTTCTTTTGTCCTCTTTTTTAAACATCAGTTTAGCTCAATTCAAGCCTTTTCCTAGACTGCTTCTTTATACCAATAATTCACTGCTGGTTCTCTGACCAGTCCCCTGCTAATCCTTTCACTATATTGCAGTGTTTCTCTTCCTGAAGTCTTCTCAGTGTCCATAGCTCAAGAGGAAAGAACACATCAACAACTTGTAGACAGCCTAAACACACACAGGTGCGCAGGTATACACAGATAAATGTTTCTTCACACAAAGCAAATTAATTTTCAGCATTGAGACTCATGAGAGTTCACCCTAAGAGCTTTCACTGAGTGTGAGTCACAAGTAATCAGTCTTTGTGGCGTAACCTGTGAGTTAGTGAATTCTTACTGGTCTCAATGAAAAGCCTTCTTTGTCTATGTGGTTATTAATGGGACTGTAAAACTGCATGATAAGATAAAATGAAGCCCTAAAACCTTACATGTTTACCCCACTGCAAAACAGCTGTCCCATACCATCTCTCATGGCCAGATCTACAGTTTTAAGATCTGTGCACCACAGGTTAGCAAAAAAACCTGCTTTGTAAAGGACCACATTTTTCATCAGAGGACCAGCCACTTAACATAAAATTTGAAATCCTCAGTGATAAAAAAGACAGAAATGCAGAATATACCTCATTTCTGAGATCATTTGAAGTTTTGATAAGGTGATTTCTAAACATGGGCTCTAATTTTCTCTGACTACAAAGTGACATTCAGGTGTGAGATTCCATTTCCAGCGGTGAGTTCATCTTTTACTGCCTTTTATCAGCACGAATTATGGTGCAGCAGGTACTTACTTCTCTATAACAGCAGGGGTCAAGTAGATAATTAATGAGAATTAATCTGTAAAAAGAAATATAATGTCCTATTTGAATCTTGGTTTATGACTTGGTTTATTATGCAAGTGTGAAACTTCAAAGGGAGCTAACTCAATGTGGCACTTTAATTACATTTTATTATATTTAAGAGTTTTGTGGAAATTTTGCTTGCTGCCAAGAAATGTTTCTTAAGAACACTTTCTTTCCCAGTAGACTGCTGGGGCCCCTATTCCCAGAGTGGCTACAGAGGGGAGCCGCCAGCACCTTTCTCATATCAGAGAGAAGGTGCAAACAGCTGCGAGGTGGAACACTGGCCTAGGGTGTGGCCAAGGACAATTTCTCTCACAGAGGGTAAAACCACAGAACCCATGAGACTCCCTTTAAGACTTTTCAAAGGCAAACATTCCCAATGGCAAACTGGAAAGCTTGAGTTTAGAGATGGGTTTTTGGAAGACCAAATATGAGGTGTCAATCCTGTGGTGACCTCAGAGATGGCCACTTCCACCACTTGGGGGAAAAAAAAAACAGAGGGGGAAGCACATGCATCTCCTTTCATTGCAGCTTAAGTCAACTTAATTGTGCTGGATTTAAGAGTAAGGGAAGAGATCCTGTCTTTAATAGCTGCATTGTTTCCCTATCCGCTAATCTTTTGGAGGGCATAAAACTAAGGAAAAAGAATTCTAAGGTTAACATGAACCAGTGTCTGAATCCAGGGCAAAGGGCCAGGGTTCCTCCTATCTAATTCCAGCTCTGGTACTGACTTGTCTTATGGCCTTGGGCAAAGCCGCTTGGTCTCTGTGCTTGGTCTGCCCACTGCTAAAATGACAAGGATGATGCCATTTGTGCTGACCTCACTGGGACATTGTACAGACAAGTTGGAAGCTATTTTTTTTGTTGTTTAAAAAGAGTGTTAGGTTTATTTTATTAGATTTGAAGGATATGTTTCTGGTGATAGCAGACTGAAGGAATGCCCAGAAATAGAAAAGCTAAAGAATTGGTTGATTGATTTGGCATGATTAAAGGACAGAACAATGTGTCCAAAAGTGGTTCTGCAAAAAGTAAATGAAGGAATGCTATTTAAGAATAACTTTGTTGTGGGAGGAAACTGCCCTCAGGTTTGAATAGTTTGGTGTTTTCTTTTACTCTTACCAATGGGTTGGCCCCATTGTTTCATAAGTGGTAAAATCTAGGGGTCACCAGACTAATTTACTTCATTTGGAATGAAGGAAAGAGAAAAAAAAATACCATTTTCTCAAAGATATAATCAGTGTTGTGGAAAAGATAAAACATCGAGATTGAAAAATGGCTAGAAATTGAAGAGAATATTGGAATTTTCCAAGCGCTATTAAAATTTGTATTTACAGCACTGAAAGTTGACAGGGAAGAGGCAACCTCATATCTAATCTTGTGGGAGGATAGCCTGCACTGATTATTCATTTATTCATCCAACAAAGATGCACTGAGCACCTCCACCAAGACAGAGTTCCTGCCCTCAAAGAACTTAGAGTTTATTAGAAAAGTTACATGCATTAACAAATTACTGCAAGGTCCTATGATGAGTGTCATAGTAAAAACACATTATGGTTCTATGCTTATAGAGAGAAATGAAAGACATATTCAAAAAGTCTTTGGTAGTCAGGACTGACTCTACGTAGGGAGATGATGAAAGGATCATGATGTGCTTCTTAGACAAAGAGATGAGTAAGAGTTTACTTGGAATCAGCGGAGATGCAGCAAAGATGAGCGGAGGAATAAGCAGAGGGATCTGCATGTACAAAAGTATAGAGGCATCAAATAGTGTGATAAGTTCATAGAGCAGCTCCATGGAGTTGAGACTTAATGCTGGGAGAAAAAAGATGGCAGAAGAGGAAGCCAGAAAAGTCAGCAGGAGGCCATCAAGGAGGGAGAATAACTCTGCAATCAGCTCGTGTTTTTCTGCTTACTGCGTTGCATACTAGGGCAGGTTCCTCAGTTCCTAAGTAAAATGGGACTAATAATCATACCTACGTTGAAGGTTATTGTGAGGACCAATTGTTGAAGGTTATTGTGAGGACCAATTGAGATAACATGCGATTAGTATAGGTGAAGCAATTAGAACAGAGACTGGCATAAAATAACTTCTCAGTGAATGTGCATTTATTCTTACTCATATATTAATTGATGACATTTGTCTTTAAGTCTATAGGCAGAGAGCAGCCGTAAAAGTATCTTAAGAAAGGGTATGCTACGATAAGAGTTGCATGGAGAATGAAGAGGAAATAGGTTAAGGTAGGGAGTGTACTGAGGAAGGGAGGATTTAAGAATAGCTAAAAAGGGCCGGGCACAGTGGCTTACGCCTGTAATCTCAGTATTCAGGGAGGCTGAAGTGGGAGGATCACCTGAGGTCAGGAGTTCGAGACCAGCCTGGCCAACATGACAAAATCCCATCTCTACTAAAAATACAAACATTAGCCGGGCATGGTGGTGGGTGCCAGTAATCCCAGCTACTCGGGAGGCTGAGGCAGGAGAATTGCTTGAACCCGGGAGGCGGAGGTTGCAGTGAGCCAAGATGCTGCACTCCAGCCTGGAGACAGAGCAAGACTCTGTCTCAAAAAAAAATTTTTAAATAAAAAAATTTAAAAATAAAAAAAAAATAGCTGGGCCGGGCATGGTGACTCACGCCTGTAATCCCAGCACTTTGGGAAGCCGAGGCAGGAGGATTGCCTGAGCTCAGGAGTTCAAGACCAGCTTGGGCAAGACGGTGAAACCCCATCTCTACTAAAATAGAAAAAATTAGCCGGGCATGGCAGCATTCACCTGTAATCCCAGCTACTTGGGAGGCTGAGGCAGGAGAATCGTTTGAACCCGGGAGGCGGAGGTTGCAGTGAGCCAAAGTCATGCCACTGCACTCCAGCCTGGGTGACAGAGCAAGATTCCATCTCAAATAAATAAATAAATAAATAAATAAATAATAACTAAAGAGAAGAATTTATAGAATTCAGTGACGGAGATGGAGATGTTATAGGAGAGATTTCAGCCATCTCCCAGTTTTGGGACTTGGGTGACTGGGACAGGCAATGATAACATTAACCTGAGTATGAAAATGTAGAAGAAACAGGAAGTATAGTGGGAAAGTAATAAATTCCGTTTATTCACATGTGAAGTTTGAGGTATCCAGGAACATTCAGATCAGCCATTTTCTGGCAACCAGAATCAGGCCAGGATATCTGAAAAGAAGTCTGAAGACTAGACTAGACCACAATACAAATTTAGTCTCAGACTAAAAATAGAATTTTAGGAGCCTTTGGATTGGGTGAGATTATTTGTGGAAAAAGGCTAGGATGTTAGTCTGAGAAAGACTAGAAAGAGAAGTGTGAGGGAGCCAGGAAGACATGAGATTGCAGAAATCGAGGGAGAAGAGAAGATTCTGATTAACTTTGGAATCATTTTTTGACTCATTTTAAACCGCCTTTTTTATTTTGCCATCCCTTCTGTAGACCATCTCTAAGTCCTCCCATAAGGTGCCTGGACTCGTACAGCCATTTGTGGAACAAACATTAACTCTATCCTGCAACTTTTCACTCTTCCCACTACAGGATTATTTTGCACGTGATTTTCTTTAAAAACAACACAGAAGGTATGGAGTAATATTGAAAAGTCAGGCAAAAATTAAACATGAAATAACTTCTTTTTCGTACATTTTATTAACATATATTTGAATTATAATCAAGTATGTTTATGTGACTTTAAGAGTAATTAGAAATCCAGAATCACTAAAAGAGAGAGATTGTAAATTTTAATTTCTACATATATAAAAAAAATTCAGCATGAAAGTGATCACCATAAGTAAAACCAAAACTCAGAAAGGTATTTGCAGTTCGTATCAGAGATGAAGGACTACTCTCCCTTACACACAAAGAGCATCTAGAAATCATTGTGAAAAATGCCAGTAATAATAAAAAGGTATGGGCCTGAACAGTTTATGCACAGACAAAAGAAGATATTGGTTGCCCCCAAACAAATGAAAAGATGCTCAACCTCATTCATAATAAAAGAATGCAAATTAACACTGACATAGCATTTTATACTTACCAGTTTGGGGTAAAACACCCAAAACAGTATGTTGGGAAACAGACACTGTCTTACATCGCAGGTGAAAATATGAAACTGATATAACCAGAATAACCTTGAAGAAGGGGGATTTAATAAGATTTATCAAAATTACAGATGACTTTACCCCTAACTCAGAAGTCTCACTGCCTACAGATACTCCTGTACAAGTACAAAATGATATATAGGGAAAGTTATTCCTTGTGACATTGTTAATAGCTGAAGTTTGGAAACCACCCAAGTGACAGCAATAGGGTGTTTGGTTGAGTAAAGTATTGTACATCTTCAGAACATAGTAACATGCAGCCATAAAAAATTTAAAAATTAAAAATAAAGAATGAAACAGATTGCTAGGCCCTACGATGAAAAGTGGAGAGATCTCTAGGACACAGTACTTTAAAAATACAAGAGATAGAGGGTTATGTAGTATGCTACTGCTTGCGTGGGAAAATAAGGTGATAGGAACACATACATGTATTGGCTTATAATTACAAAAAGAAATATTTTGGAACATAACTTCCTGGTTGTGATTTCTTTATTTGGCAACATAAACAAATATTTAGCAAAATTTGTTACCTAGAGAGGATAAAGAAAAATGAGGTAAAGGGTATACTTTTAGTGGGATATTTTGTACACAAAAATTACAAATAAATTTTAGTAGTAATACTGGCACTGCTATTTTGAAATTATTTTCTTTATATTTCTTACATGAAACAAAGAAACTATGTAAATTTTAAGATTAAAGGTTTTTTTTTTAGCAAATTCCAGTTATAAAATCAAAGACGCTAAGTAAAAACAATATAATATTAAAAGTAAACTGAAAATATCAATATGAACTTTTAGTTTAAAAAATATGTTATTTGTTATCTAGCACTGAAGTTACCTAGAAAGAAGGTCACCTTGAGGCTTCCACACACCTCATGCCCAGAGTTTGAGTTTTAATATCATTGTCCCCTAAAGAAAATCAAATCCTTTAAGAAATATCTGATTTCTGCTTTGGGGCAGGGTGAGCACAGGATGATGGGCAAAGAAGCATTCACAGATTAATAAGTTCATATCAAATAGTATAGAATCCAGATGAAAGGGGCTCAAACTAACCAAAAACATAACAATTTGAGTGTCAAAAAGAATACTGTTTGTAACTGACATGAAATCTATGGAAATCTATCAGTCTACAACAGCACTCAAAGAGAAAGCAAAAAACAAAAAGAAAAGAAAAGAAAAAGTGGTCACCATTTGAGACTATTGAACCAAATCAGCTTTGACAATCAGTAATTTAAAGGAGAAAATTAAACATTCCTTCTGTCTTACGAAGAATTTTACTTAAAGTTTACTAAATAGTCCCAGTTGGAAAGAGAAAGCTCTACTTTACAGGAGAATGGCAACTAATGTATAGGAAAATAATAATAGATTTAGAAAATCATTGTGCAACTACAAATGGAAGTATTGATTCAGACACATCAACAATAATTGCTAATAAATAAGGATGGGTTTTCTCCATCTGCCATCAGTGTCCCCAAATCTTGATGATAAAATCATCAGGTGAATGGTTAATGTATTCGACTTCAGTACAGTGCCAAAAACAACGTTCCACACTATTCAAAGGGGAGAACTTAGCAATGGGAGGATCACATCAATGCTCAATTTAACATCTTTAATGGTGGGGGAGCCCATTTGAGATGGAATATGAAGTAAACCATGTCATGTGGAATGTTTTGCATCTCAAAAGGTTTAACTGTGATCTAATAAAGTCCTTCTGTTTTAAGGAAATGTAGGGGCTAGTGGGACAAGCTACATGATATCCTCAGAAAGTGATCAGAAGAATCATGGAGAAGGAATGACAACTGGCTGATGGGGGGCAGAGATAGAATGGAGACTTCCTCTCTACCTTTGCATAGATCCATGTGACTTATTACCTATTTAAAAATGAAATAAATTAATCAAATACTTTTTAAACAAGTGATTAGATATTATGCCTTGTAATTGTAATGGAAGAAAAATTATTCCAACTATAGTCAGATACTGATATTATTCTGCCATTTGTGAAAGAGGGTTGCTAATCAATAAGAATGTGGTTTTCCCATCTTCCATACTGTCTCAAAGTCTTGTTTATATAACTCAGCTCTAGCACTGTACTACTGAATGAAGAATGGCTTTTTGCCTAAATACAGTAGACACATTCCTCTTCCTCCCCTTACCCAGTTCACCACTGCCTAAGAACCCAATTCTGAAAGACAGGCACAAAATAAAGGAGCATGAGAAATCTCATGCCAGATGCCTCAGGAGAATATCAGAGGGCATAGGGTTTGGATATTGATGCTTAAGTTTCGGTTTCTCAAAAGGGCCCATAGGTGCTCTCCATAGCAGTTCAGGTTGGCCTCAACTAGTCTTGAAGCAAAAAGGCCTGGTAGATCTGCTTTCCTTTTGCTGCTTACTGGCATTAAACAACAATCAGTAAGCAGGCCCTTAAGCAGGCAGATTGTCCAAATGTAGAATTCAGGCAAGCTGCAAAGGGAAAATTCACCTACAGAGCAGAAGTCTGTGTCCCTGCCTTCTCCCAGGGGACGTGCTCTGAATGGCAATGTTTAGTGCCTCTGCTTCTGTGCATACATTAAAGGAATTAGATAGACCCAACCTTTTGTTTTCCTACTTCTTGCACATGGCAAATATTTAATTTTTAATTTATCAGATAGAAGTGACACATTCTTACTTAAATGCTAGGAAAGGGTCCTCAGAGTCCCTGAGAAAAAGGCAATGAGTGGCCTTCTTTGTAGTAATTTTCTTGGCCAAAATAAAGGACAATGGTGACCTAAGGAGCAACTCACTACCAGACAAAGAAGGGGATGGATTTAAAACTACCTTCCCTGGGAGGAGGGCTCTTTTCAGATCCATCACTAGGATCTCAGACCAAAGGGCTGGATGGGTAAGTGGGTAGAAATGGCTGATATTTACAGCACTCTGAATTAAATTCATCATCTGATTGATATTTGACCTGGTTAATCACTACTGGCCAATAGCAATATTTCCTTGAGTAAAGGAGAAATTATGCTCTTCTTAGAACTAAGGAGTTCAGGGAACCAGAGAGCATTTGAGCAAAGACCTTGGAAGAAATCCCAAGTGAAAGGTCCACGGCAATAAACAATTGCAAAGAAAAGAAGTGGAAGTTGGAAGACAAAGCCTGGAGGGCATCCTTAAAGGGATCAATGCCACACCAGAGTACATGGGTTTATGAGAAACATGCTTAAGCCATTCATTCCACAAATATTTGAGCATCTTCTAAGTGTTAGCCACCATGCTAGGAGCTAAAGATACAATGGTGAGAAGAAGCAGACACAATTCCAGCCTTGATAGAGTTGTGAGAGGAGATGGACATATGCTCATTCACAGCCCAAATGTCAAAATCACACCTCAGCTAAGTGCTACAAAGGGGAAGTGCTCAGTGCTATGGGGAGTACAGTGGAGATATTTATCTTACACAACGTCAGAGAAGGTTTCTCAAGAAAGTGACATTCAAGCTGAGTCTTGAAGTAGAGGTGGGGCAAAATTCAAGTCAGCCAGAATAATATATGCAAAAGTCCAGAGGTGAAAATACCAGGATTTATTCAAGGGACAGAAAAAAAGACCACAGTGCAAGAGGGCCTGCCATAAGATAAGCTAGTCTTTACTAAGAGCAATGATTCTTTATTTGGCAATGAAACTGGCTGTATTCCAAACATTTCCTCCCTATAAGCTAATCCAAGGATTGTATTATACTAACTGTATACTAGGTTAGGAAGCCCACAGTCCACAGATAACAAAATTTGAGAATGTGTTTGTTAATTGTTCAACAAAAATTAGTTGACTATTACTAGGCTTTGAGCTAAGAGCTGGAGTTTTAAGTTACTTATATTTCTTTAGGTCACATAGTTGATTTTTGTTGGGCCCATGTTAGTAAAGTGTATCATCTGCTTATATACTCTGATCAATCACTTAATTTTGAGACAAGATCCACCAGAAAAAGGAAGCTTTCTTAAGAACAGAAGTATTGGATGTTATGAGTTATGGGATTCGACTTTGCCAAGATGTTTTCTCCAGTTCCTTGAGATTCCTCAACATGGATTCACAGTCAAATATAACCCGACCTTAAAAGAGAAACCATCATTTCTTCCTTATATAACCCATCCAATAGTCTGTGGGGCACTTCCTCAACTCTCAAGCCAGGCTTATTTTTCCAAAGATGTTGCCACTGGACTTTAAAATCTAGAATCCACAGTAGGAATGACTAGATTTTTAAGCCAAAGTATTCTCTACTGATGAGAGTCCAACTCTATTGTATCCTACTGAGAATATTATTCAGAATAAGATCCTTCGATGGCTTTGTTGCTCTCTATTCAGCCTTTTACTCAAGGCAGAAATAGTCTGGCCCCAAAATGTTCAGTCCTGGAAGAATTTCAACTTGGTAATGGTTTATCAATATCACAATGAGAACCAGAGTGAGTAAAACAGATTTATGACAGATGTAATTCTAATTCCAAATTGGTAAACCATGACTGTGCCCTGTTTCTATTTTGACTTATAATTGATTAATTTCTTAGATAAATTGGGTGGGTGCTGCAACCTGCTTTAGCAAATAAGAAGATCAGTATCATTTAGGTGGTTTGGCTTTGCTGTGCAGTTATCACATTTCTGTCTGCCAGTTTTTCCCAGTTTGCTTACATCCATGGAATGTTGACATAGAGTTTTCAGAAAATTCCATAGCCCTTAGAACTTAAAAGTTACCTGGTTTACATGGCAAATTTAGTCCATTTTTCTTCCATCTTTATCTTGGGTTATACTTTATCAAATTATTGCCTGAGATTGTATTATATTTTAATGGTGCTTCCCTGTTAATTTGTCTGCATTAATCTGGCATATTAATACAACTACCTCTTTGTTTCTATTTGTCCCTTTCACTGTAAAGACTAGAACAGGGTGCAAAATGGCCCCTGTTCTAGCATTTTAAAGTCCACTGGGGAAGAAAAATTAATGCACACAAACCAAGTACAGGGTTACCCTTGTGTTGGTTAGGACCTTACTGTTCTTAGAGATTTCACTGTGCTTGCCTTGAGGTTCCCAAAGGAAGATTCTCCCTTATTCTTCTCTCTGTATCCACATTCCTATATTTCCCCTTTTTTTCTACTGCTGTATTAGCCCCTTCTCACATGGCTAAAAAAAGACATACCTGGGGGGAGGAGCCAAGATGGCCGAATAGGAACAGCTCAGGTCTACAGCTCCCAGCGTGAGCGACGCAGAAGATGGGTGATTTCTGCATTTCCATCTGAGGTACCGGGTTCATCTCACTAGGGAGTGCCAGACAGTGGGCGCAGGTCAGTGGGTGCACGCACCATGCGCGAGCCGAAGCAGGGCGAGGCATTGCCTCATTTGGGAAGCGCAAGGGGTCAGCGAGTTCCCTTTCTGAGTCAAAGAAAGGGGTGACAGACGGCACCTGGAAAATCGGGTCACTCCCACCCGAATACTGCGCTTTTCCGACGGGCTTAAAAAACGGCGCACCACGAAATTACATCCCACACCTGGCTCGGAGGGTCCTACGCCCACGGAGTCTCGCTGATTGCTAGCACAGCAGTCTGAGATCAAACTGCAAGGCAGCAGCGAGGCTGGGGGAGGGGCGCCCGCCATTGCCCAGGCTTGCTTAGGTAAACAAAGCTGCTGGGAAGCTCCAACTGGGTGGAGCCCACCACAGCTCAGGGAGGCCTGCCTGCCTCTGTAGGCTCCACCTCTGGGGGCAGGGCACAGGCAAACAAAAAGACAGCAGTAACCTCTGCAGACTTAAATGTCCCTGTCTGACAGCTTTGAAGAGAGCAGTGGTTCTCCCAGCACACAGCTGGAGATCTGAGAACGGGCAGACTGCCTCCTCAAGTGGGTCCCTGACCCCTGACCCCCGAGCAGCCTAACTGGGAGGCACCCCCCAGCAGGGGCACACTGACACCTCACACGGCAGGGTACTCCAACAGACCTGCGGCTGAGGGTCCTGTCTGTTAGAAGGAAAACTAACAAACAGAAAGGACATCCACACCAAAAACCCATCTGTACATCACCATCATCAAAGACCAAAAGTAGATAAAATCACAAAGATGGGGAAAAAAACAGAACAGAAAAACTGGAAACTCTAAAACGCAGAGCACCTCTCCTCCTCCAAAGAAACGCAGTTCCTCACCAGCAACGGAACAAAGGTGGATGGAGCATGACTTTGACGAGCTGAGAGAAGAAGGCTTCAGACGATCAAATTACTCTGAGCTACGGGAGGACATTCAAACCAAAGGCAAAGAAGTTGAAAACTTTGAAAAAAATTTAGAAGAATGTATAACTAGAATAACCAATACAGAGAAGTGCTTAAAGGAGCTGATGGAGCTGAAAACCAAGGCTCGAGAACTACGTGAAGAATGCAGAAGCCTCAGAAGCTGATGCGATCAACTGGAAGAAAGGGTATCAGCAATGGAAGATGAAATGAAGCGAGAAAGGAAGTTTAGAGAAAAAAGAGTAAAAAGAAATGAGCAAAGCCTCCAAGAAATATGGGACTATGTGAAAAGACCAAATCTACGTCTGATTGGTGTACCTGAAAGTGATGGGGAGAATGGAACCAAGTTGGAAAACACTCTGCAGGATATTATCCAGGAGAACTTCCCCAATCTAGCAAGGCAGGCCAACGTTCAGATTCAGGAAATACAGAGAACGCCACAAAGATACTCCTCGAGAAGAGCAACTCCAAGACACATAATTGTCAGATTCACCAAAGTTGAAATGAAGGAAAAAATGTTAAGGGCAGCCAGAGAGAAAGGTTGGGTTACCCTCAAAGGGAAGCCCATCAGACTAACAGCGGATCTCTCGGCAGAAACCCTACAAGCCAGAAGACAGTGGGGACCAATATTCAACATTCTTAAAGAAAAGAATTTTCAACCCAGAATTTCATATCCAGCCAAACTAAGCTTCATAAGTGAAGGAGAAATAAAATACTTTACAGACAAGCAAATGCTGAGAGATTTTGTCACCACCAGGCCTGCCCTAAAAGAGCTCCTGAAGGAAGCGCTAAACATGGAAAGGAACAACCGGTACCAGCCGCTGCAAAATCATGCCAAAATGTAAAGACCATCAAGACTCGGAAGAAACTGCATCAACTAACGAGCAAAATCACCAGCTAACATCATAATGACAGGATCAAATTCACACATAACAATATTAACTTTAAATGTAAATGGATTAAATGCTCCAATTAAAGGACACAGACTGGCAAATTGGATAAAGAGTCAAGACCCATCAGTGTGCTGTATTCAGGAAACCCATCTCACGTGCAGAGACACACATAGGCTCAAAATAAAGGGATGGAGGAAGATCTACCAAGCAAATGGAACACAAAAAAAGGCAGGGGTTGTAATCATAGTCTCTGATAAAACAGACTTTAAACCAACAAAGATCAAAAGAGACAAAAAAGGCCATTTCATAAAGGTAAAGGGATCAATTCAACAAGAAGAGCTAACTATCCTAAATATATATGCACCCAATGCAGGAGCCTGCAGATTCATAAAGCAAGTCCTGAGCGACCTACAAAGAGACTTAGACTCCCACACATTAATAATGGGAGACTTTAACACCCCACTGTCAACATTAGACAGATAAACGAGACAGAAAATCAACAAGGATACCCAGGAATTGAACTCAGCTCTGCACCAAGCAGACCTAATAGACATCTACAGAACTCTCCACCCCAAATCAACAGAATATACATTTTTTTCAGCACCACACCACACCTATTCCAAAATTGACCACATACTTGGAAGTAAAGCTCTCCTCAGCAAATGTAAAAGAACAGAGATTATAACAAACTATCTCTCAGACCACAGTGAAATCAAACTACATCTCAGGATTAAGAATCTCATTCAAAACAGCTCAACTACATGGAAACTGAACAACCTGCTCCTGAATGACTACTGGATACATAACGAAATGAAGGCAGAAATAAAGATGTTCTTTGAAACCAACGAGAACAAAGACACAACATACCAGAATCTCTGGGATGCATTCAAAGCAGTGTGTAGAGGGAAATTTATAGCACTAAATGCCCACAAGAGAAAGCAGGAAAGATCCAAAATTGACACCCTAACATCACAATTAAAAGAACTAGAAAAGCAAGAGCAAACACATTCAAAAGCTAGCAGAAGGCAAGAAATAACTAAAATCAGAGCAGAACTGAAGGAAATAGAGACACAAAAAACCCTTCAAAAAATTAATGAATCCAGGAGCTGGTTTTTTGAAAGGATCAACAAAATTGATAGACTGCTAGCAAGACTAATAAAGAAAAAAAGAGAGAAGAATCAAATAGACACAATAAAAAATGATAAAGGGGATATCACCACCGATCCCACAGAAATACAAACTACCATCAGAGAATACTACAAACACCTCTACTCAAATAAACTTGAAAATCTAGAAGAAATGGATAAATTCCTGGACACATACACTCTCCCAAGACTAAACCAGGAAGAAGTTGAATCTCTGAATAGACCAATAACAGGAGCTGAAATTGTGGCAATAATCAATAGTTTACCAACCAAAAAGAGTCCAGCACCAGATGGATTCACAGCCGAATTCTACCAGAGGTACAAGGAGGAACTGGTACCATTCCTTCTGAAACTATTCCAATCAATAGAAAAAGAGGGAATCCTCCCTAACTCATTTTATGAGGCCAGCATCATTCTGATACCAAAGCCGGGCAGAGACACAGCCAAAAAAGAGAATTTTAGACCAATATCCTTGATGAACATTGATGCAAAAATCCTCAATAAAATACTGGCAAAACGATTCCAGCAGCGCATCAAAAAGCTTTTCCACCATGATCAAGTGGGCTTCATCCCTGGGATGCAAGGCTGGTTCAATATACGCAAATCAATAAATGTAATCCAGCATATAAACAGAGCCAAAGACAAAAAACACATGATTATCTCAATAGATGCAGAAAAAGCCTTTGACAAAATTCAACAACCCTTCATGCTAAAAACTCTCAATAAATTAGGTATTGATGGGACGTATTTCAAAATAATAAGAGCTATCTATGACAAACCCACAGCCAATATCATACTGAATGGGCAAAAACCGGAAGAATTCCCTTTGAAAACTGGCACAAGACATGGATGCCCTCTCTCACCACTCCTATTCAAAATAGTGTTGGAAGTTCTGGCCAGGGCATTTAGGCAGGAGAAGGAGATAAAGGGTACTCAATTAGGAAAAGAGGAAGTCAAATTGTCCCTCTTTGCAGACGACGTGATTGTATATCTAGAAAACCCCATTGTCTCAGCCCAAAATCTCCTTAAGCTGATAAGCAACTTCAGCAAAGTCTCAGGATACAAAATCAATGTACAAAAATCACAAGCATTCTTATACACCAACAACAGACAAACAGAGAGCCAAATCATGAGTGAACTCCCATTCACAATTGCTTCAAAGAGAATAAAATACCTAGGAATCCAATTTACAAGGGATGTGAAGGACCTCTTCAAGGAGAACTACAAACCACTGCTCAAGGAAATAAAAGAGGATACAAACAAATGGAAGAACATTCCATGCTCATGGGTAGGAAGAATCAATATCGTGAAAATGACCATACTGCCCAAGGTAATTTCAGATTCAATGCCATCCCCATCAAGCTACCAATGACTTTCTTCACAGAATTGGAAAAAACTACTTTAAAGTTCATATGGAACCAAAAAAGAGCCCGCATTGCCAAGTCAATCCTAAGCCAAAAGAACAAAGCTGGAGGCATCACACTACCTGACTTCAAACTGTACTACAAGCCTACAGTAACCAAAACAGCATGGTACTGGTAGCAAAACAGAGATATAGATCAATGGAACAGAACAGAGCCCTCAGAAATAATGCCGCATATCTACAACTATCTGATCTTTGACAAACCTGAGAAAAACAAGCAATGGGGAAAGGATTCCCTATTTAATAAATGGTGCTGGGAAAACTGGCTAGCCATATGTAGAAAGCTGAAACTGGATGCCTTCCTTACACCTTATACAAAAATCAATTCAAGATGGATTAAAGACTTAAACGTTAGACCTAAAACCATAAAAACCCTAGAAGAAAACCTAGGCAATACCATTCAGGACATAGGCATGGGCAAGGACTTCATGTCTAAAACACCAAAAGCAATGGCAACAAAAGCCAAAATTGACAAATGGGATCTAATTCAACTAAAGAGCTTCTGCACAGCAAAAGAAACTACCATCAGAGTGAACAGGAAACCTACAAAATGGGAGAAAATTTTCGCAACCTACTCATCTGACAAAGGGCTAATATCCAGAATCTACAATGAACTCAAACAAATTTACAAGAAAAAAACAAACAACCCCATCAAAAAGTGGGCGAAGGACATGAACAGACACTTCTCAAAAGAAGACATTTATGCAGCCAAAAAACACATGAAAAAATGCTCATCATCACTGGCCATCAGAGAAATGCAAATCAAAATCACAATGAGATACCATCTCACACCAGTTAGAATGGCAATCATTAAAAAGTCAGGAAACAACAGGTGCTGGAGAGGATGTGGAGAAATAGGAACACTTTTACACTGTTGGTGGAACTGTAAACTAGTTTAACCATTGTGGAAGTCAGTGTGGCGATTCCTCAGGGATCTAGAACTAGAAATACCATTTGACCCAGCCATCCCATTACTGGGTATATACCCAAAGGACTATAAATCATGCTGCTATAAAGACACATGCACACATATGTTTATTGCGGCATTATTCACAGTAGCAAAGAGTTGGAACCAACCCAAATGTCCAACAGTGATAGACTGGATTAAGAAAACGTGGCACATATACACCATGGAATACTATGCAGCCATAAAAAATGATGAGTTCATGTTTTTTGTAGGGACATGGATGAAATTGGAAATCATCATTCTCAGTAAACTATGGCAAGAACAAAAAACCAAACACCGCATATTCTCACTCATAGGTGGGAATTGAACAATGAGATCACATGGACACAGGAAGGGGTATATCACACTCTGGGGACTGTGGTGGGGTGGAGGGAGGGGGGAGGGATAGCATTGGGAGATATACCTAATGCTAGATGACGAGTTAGTGGGTGCAGCGCACCAGCATGGCACATGTATACATATGTAACTAACCTGCACAATGTGCACATGTACCCTAAAACTTAAAGTATAATAATAAAAAATAAAAAAAATAAAAAAAAGAAAATGAAAGACAGTACAAAGGATAAACAGGCAAGAGACTTGAAAAGGTACTTTATAAATAAAGAATACCCAAATGTAAAAAAAAAAAAAAAAAAGACATACCTGTGACTGGGTAGTTTATAAAGGAAAGAGGTTGAATGACTCACAGTTCAGCATGGCTGGGGAGGCCTCAGGAAAGTTACAATAAAGGTGGAGAGGGAAGCAAACATATCCTTCTTTACCTGGCAGCAGGAGAGAGAATGAGTGCCCAGCAAAAGAGGAAGCCCCTTGTAAAACCATGAGATTTTATGAGAACTCACGCACTATCATGAGAACGGGATGGGAGAAACTGCCCCCATGACTCAGTTATCTCCACCTGGTCCCTCCCATGACATATGGCATTATGGGAACAACAATTCAAGATGAATTTGGGTGGGGACACAGCTAAACCATATCATTCCACTCCTGGCCCCTCCCAAATCTCATGTCCTCACAATTCAAAACACAATCATGCCCTTCCAACAGTCCCCCAAAGTGTAAAATTTCCCACATTTTCCTGTGTTCTTCTGAGCCCTCCAAACTGTTCCAATCTCTGTGTGTTACTCAGTTCCAAAGTCACTTCCACAGTTTTGGGTATCTTTATAGCAATGCCCCACTCCCAGTAATAATTTGCTGTTTTAGTTCGTTCTCACGCTGCTAATAAATACATACCTAACTAAGACTGGGTAATTTATAAGGAAAGAGGCTTGATTAACTCAGAGTTCAGCATGGCTGGGGGGGCCTCAGGAAACTTATAATCATGGCAGATGGTGAAGCAAACACACCCTTTCTCACATGGTGGCAGGAGAGACACTGAGTGCTCAGTGAAAGGGGAAGTCCCTTGCAAAACCATCAGATCTTGTGAGAGTTAACTCACTATCACGAGAACAGGATGGGTGAAACCTCCCCCATGATTAAATGACCTCCACTTGGTCCCACAACACGTAGGGATTATAGGAACTACAATTCAAGATGAGATTTGGCTGGGGGCACAGAAAAACCATATCAACTGCATTTCCACACTTTTGGTTCTATCCTTGTACTGTCATCAGATATAAACTTTGCCCTTTCAAAGTCAGAAATTGACCCACACCTAAGTGTTTCTTGAACTTAATAACTTCACAGACAGGAGTCATAAAGGAAGGATTGCATCACAAGGTACTGTGTTGTACCCTCCACTGATACCTCCTCCTTACCTCACCTTTTTATGTCTCTTTTCCTCAGACTCTTGAGTAAAACAAGCATATTCTTCCCCTTTTTCACATAAAACAGTTCTTACACCACTGTAGGTATTGTAGGAGAGAAGGTCAGGGAGACAATGGGTCTGTCACTTCAGGAATGCAGGGAGTGGGATTTATTTGTTGTCTTGATCCCCCCTGAAGCAGACCCTGAGGTAAATCAGCTTTTTTATTAAGGAGTTCCTCCCGAGGAACATGGATAAAGAATGGGGAAGTGAGGCAGGAAAGGGAAGGAAGCCAGTTGAAGCTTAGTCCTGCTGGGGAGCTTCTATTGAGGAAAAATTTTCAAATGGTAAAATCGTTTATTTCATGCAAACATGAAATGAACACATATCAAGGATTTCATTCAACTTATCAATTATGAAGGGAACTAGTATGATATTACAAAGAGTTCAAATAAAAATTTGACTTATCTACTGTACAAAATCCACTGACTTTGTCATGAGTGGTAAACATTTGCTTTGCTATGGACAGAAAACATCCATCTGCAGTCCATCAGCTTTGCCATCAGTGCCCCACAAACTTCTGCCTCTACAGACAGAAAATAAAATACTTAGTCAGACAATCAAAGCTGTATGCTCTTATGGAATAGACAATGCCTGAGGGTCACTAAATCATACCCAACATTCCTTTGAAAGAACATCCAGTAATCTCTTTTACCCACTTCCAAGTCTTTCACAATTTTTTTTCACAACAGTATAGAACATGCCTCAGAGTTGTCCCGCCTGAGAGAAAGGAAGCTAGGATATTTATTCATTGATTCCAGTCAGCATTGATTGACTGGCCTTTCCACCTAGCGTTGTACATTGGCCAAGATTATAAAAAAAATCCTCGGGCAAAGTCACAAGGGCTGGCAATAAGCAGCCCTCTGTGCACAGAGGTGAATGCCAAGGGGGACAGGGAGAGAGTAAAAGAAGATTAGGCACTAGTATTGTCTGCTACACTTGTCTTGTTTATTATTTGTTGATTTGATGTTTTGTCTGTTCCACCTTTCCCACCAGAATGCAAGTTACCTGAGGGCCAGAACATGTCTGTCTTAGATTTCACTGTCTCCCCAACAATTGTCCAGCATGTCGTAGGCACTCAATAAATATTTTATGAATATTGTTAAATAATATGGGCCTTGAGCTGGACCTTAGAGACAGGTTGCAGTCCAGATTTAGAGGAAGGGAGTCTGCAGGGAACTGTAAGAGACCCAACTAGCCAGGTTTAGTACCATGTCCTGGGGCATCAACTGCACAGTTGCTCACCGGTTACTCACTCCATGGCCAAGCTCCTCTCATGCCAAGTCGTGTTCATACTAAGAACAGAGGAACACAAAGTACAGACTCTGCTTGCAACATACTTGAAAATGGTCAATAACACAGCATTATACCTCCCACCCCTTGCTTAATTAGTATCCATTAATTACTCTCCGTGTGTGCTCATAACACTGAGACCTTTCTATACACTTTCCAAGACTCAGAACAAAGAAAGCATAAAAGAGCAGAGACATTTTCTGTGAGGCATGCAGTATGCTCATCCAGGACAGATCTTGGAAAAGTCTATGAAAAATCTAAATTGCATGTAGGCATCACTGAACAGACCCAAGAGATGTACTGGTTTTATTAAGTAGCCAGATGGCCTTCCAGAGTAGCCAGAAGAGCAGACAGGCCCCAGATGACAAATGATGAGGGGCCTTCCCTATGGGCATTTTGTGAGACAACGTGTTGACATTAGGTATGGAAGAAATCCATAACTACAGTGTTCATGCAAATTCTCAAGAAAAGCAGGTGCTATTCACTGACCTTACCCAAATGAAATTTTACCAGAGAAAACAGCCCAACTCCCTTTTAAGTTTAATAACAGCAGGCTCTTTCCTCCACACAAACAAAAGCAAAAAAAAAAAAAAACAAAACAAAAAAACAAACAAACAAAAAAAACACAAAAACCACTTCAAAATAAATTCCATACAAAAAACAAAGTGGGGAAAAAATATAGCTTGAAAATTGCCCTTGATTTGAAATGGGTTGACAGATGTCTTACAGAAATTTGGAGTACTGTCCAGACACTTAGAATCTACTCATTTTAAACAAAGTGCTCATGAAAGCATCATCATTGTCGGATATAAAGGAATGCTTAAAAAAACTATAAAAATAAATACATGCATTTTTATTAGTGTCAATATTATTTACCAATAACAATTAAATGGTTTAGAAATACAGAGAGAACATTGTAGATTGGTTAGTTTTTAGTCCTCAGAAGAAAATCTAAGGTTTATCCTGGTAATGCAAATATTCTTCATGTGTATGTATGTTTAGTTGTATGTTGCATTTTAATAGACATAGCTGGATTCTCCAGGAAGAGATGGCTCTGAGAACCTGAACACTCCTCCTCTAACTGAGTAACTCATAGAAAGCTGTTAGATACCCACAGGAAAAAAGAGACAATAGGTAAGCTGCCCCGTCTCCATTACAAGTCAAGAATCTACACTTTGGGATGACTTGGAAACTATCCAATCATTCACTCAAAAGAAGTTTTTAAGGTACTACTGCATCAGTCATTTTTATGGTGTCAAAAAATGTTTTTGCCTTCAAGAAGCTTATGTATTGTCATGGAGAATAGGAGCAGAGATATTAAGGCCATACTTTACAAAACTGTAAGCACTGAATGGAAAAAAACTGGGGAGAAAAATTTTCCTGAAGACCATATGCTAAGTAAATAGTTAAATATATACAGTAACTGTAAAAATAGAAGCAGAGAACTTAGGGGAAGGAATTGAGAGAAAATTATAGGAATTTCAAGGAAGCCAACAATCCATCACTTGTCAACAAGAACTTCAGGGACACCTGCCACTTGCCCAAGACTGTGTTAGAGGCAGGCGAAGAAGTGTCAAGTTTAATTTCTACCCTATGGGACCCAAGGTTGAAGTGAGGATGCATTATTACACAGACAGAAAAATTAGTAGACAACTCAAACTAGCATAAAATTAAAAAGGAAAAAAAAGGTCATCAGTGTCAATGAAGGTTTCCTACAGAAAGTATGTTTGGGAAAGTATTATAGTAGGAAGCAAGGAGCTAGGTTTTGCTCTGGCTACTGCTACCTAAGAGATTACTTTATTTACAGCCAGATCAAATTGCCTCAGATTCTTGCCTGTTCTAAAAATCAAGCATCTTTACTATAAAGAGTGAGATCTTGATGGGAATAATATGTAGCAGTGTCCAGAAGCATTTAGTGTGAAAGCAGAAAAGCACACAGAAAATACAAAATTCTGCAAAATGTTCAACAATGATCATCACTGCAGGACAAAAAGCAGGAAACTGGGATTCTCTCACTATACCCTCTCTAGGAATTATCACTGCCTGACAGCAGATGTGAGAATTCTCCTTCTTAAAGCCCTAATTAGCAGACTGATTCTCTGCTCTTTACACTTGACGTAAAGAAATGTACACCAACTGTGTCTATTTAGGATTCAAATGTCCAGGAGGTGATATTTTCCTTCTCTTCAGGTCTAAGTCAGCAAAGGCCTGATCTGGTAGTCGGGAAACAAGGTTTGGTCTACAATTATTCGGATGGTAGGGCATCTACATTGATAAAAACGATCCTGGAATGGGTGGTCAATGCAGAACACATGCAGAATTCATATCACACACAGAGTGAGGTGGGGAGACATGTCGAACATATTGCAAAGTTTTCCCATTATCCAAAGGAATCAGATACAGCAGTCAGTGCACATTAACACATAGCTCCCAGACATGACAGCTGCAGAACCCTGAGGACCTCGTGATGGAAAGAACTGACCTCGTGTCATCTAGGAACAGAGGGAAGGCAGCACGAACACGAGAGGCCAACACCTGGCTTCTATTTCTGACTCTGCCGCAGACACTCTGGCAATTTTTCCAGAAACTGTAAAGCTGTGGGTTTTAAATTGTTGGGAAATGTTAGGTTTGTGGCTTTCTTTGCCTGTGGGAACAGAGAGATAATTTTTCTTCTTTTTTCCCCTCTTTCTGAAATTGTCATCATCTTCTCTTCTTGTAAAATTTGACCAAGTGCTTTCAAGAGAATCTAGAGCTTAGAAGACTATCACTTTGACTTTAGGACCCCACAATCTTTCCTCTGTGCTCAAAATGAGGTTAGGCCAAGGGACATAAAGCAACATGCTAACACTAGAGATCCCGTCAATAGTTTCTATTTGGGGTACGGATATTGGTCTAATGGAAAATGTTCCCATTAAGAACAAACATTCTCTTCACTGGCAATACTCATTAAGAGCTAGGCCTAATTTAATTCTATAGAGAATTAATAGGGTTCTAGAAATGTAGATGATTCATAGCTAATGTGCCCAGTACCAGTCATTCAAGATGTGTGAATACACAGAAGAAAATTCCAGCATGAGGAAAAATGTTAAATGTTAGAGGTATCCCTTTTAGGAAGGCCAAAATAAAGAACTCTGATCAGCTTATATATTTTTAGAAAGCAATACAGTTGGGATCAAGCTATAGCTATCTTTCTCCCTATCTTTACCTTTATCCCTTACCAATGTAAATAAATTGGCCACATTTGCAATAAACTCCATTAGGTTTCACGTAGAATCTCTGGCAGGGAAAATCTTATCTAGGTAAGGTACCCAGAGAAAAATGAGGAAAGAGACACTGGCTTACAGAAATTGACTCCTTCTGGGCTCATCCTTGCAGTTTTCAGAGGGAGTGGTCTGGATTAGGTTTGGAGATCAGCTCAGCAGAGAGGTAGGAACATGAGATGAAGATTAAGAAGTTCTGGCTCCAGTTTACTTAAAACCTCGAAGTTACATTTTTCTCATCTGTAGGTTGGGGCTAATAACATTCCTGTTTACACAGGTCTCTCAGAACTGCTGTATGAAATAAGCAAGCTCAAGAACTTTGATACTTTGAAAGACATGGAGTGCTATCCAAATATATAGCATTCTTATTAAGGTAAATAGGAAAGGCTGTGGAATAGTTGGCTATTAGAACTGAGTAAAGTAAAAGCTTGAAGACCCAGGGAAAGGACATCAGTGTTACTCTGGGACTAAGTCTTGCTGGAGCATTGCAGCAGAAGAGTCCAGAATCTGCCCTGGGCATTTGGCTACTTAGTATGAGTGCTCAGCGGTGACACTTCAGTATTCAGGGCGCAGCACCATATGATTCTGATTAGCCAAGTGCCGGCGCTTCCTATTCACTGTTTCCAGCAATCCTATTCCCTAGAAGGTCACCATATACATTGTTTTCACTTCTCTTCTTCGCTCCTGCCTCTCCTGGGCTCAAGACTGCAAGCAGAACTAAAATGTCACAGTTGCCACCTGTGCAGGTAGTAGGGTCAGCAGACCTCACCTGCCACTGCTGAACCTGATCCTAACTTTGCTCCCATTGCAGCTTCTCCATGGTGCCCTGTGTCTGCAGAGCTAATGAGGAGGAGCACTTACAGGAGGGAGAACAGGGAAAGGATCCTGACCCAGACCGAGACTGTAAGACTGTCCTGGTTATTCAGCTTCATATCTCAACTTCAGGCCTACCCTTCTCCTCTCTGCTTTGTGATGTTGCCAGTCTGCCAACCAGTCTTCCTTCATCACCTGGCTCCACGTTAGGCTCTGCTAATCAGGTTCTAGGGAAGGCTGCAAGGCTTGGAGAGGGAGAGGAAAGAGACCTACCCTTTTCACTTTGCTACTTGCTCTTGTCTGTGTCACTGCAGCATCCATCTCTTCTTTAACCGGTAGCAGCTGTTACAGCAGCCTCATGGCAGGCAGCTCTTCAGAAGCCTAAGTCCAGCTCCCATGGGCCCCTCCTCCAAGTCTCTAAACTTTAAAAACACCCAAGTTTCATTTTATTTCCCCAGCCCTATGTGTAATAGCTGCCTCCTGCAGTTACTGCCTGTATGATAATTTGGTATCCTTTTCTTGCCTCTTCACTTCTTTAATATAGGCAGTCCTCACTTTGCACAGTTCTGAGGTGCATGAATTTAAGAGTTTGGTTAAATAATGTCAGTACCCCCAATAACACAGTCAAATTTCAGTTACCATGGTATGTTAACTGTGAGTAATTGTAAAGTACAAGCTTTATTGTTCTCTTAAGTCCACAAATCTGCATACATAACATGTGTATCATGATAAGTGACCAATCACGTCATTTTTTTCCTCAATCCATTTGTTGTTTACTGTGCATCTGTTATTCAGTTCATACACAGATAGCAGAGCATATGGATGTGTTGCCTCCCTGCCTCCCAGTGATAAACCCACATAACATTTTATAGAAACAGAAAATCAAAAGAGGGGATCGGCCAGCAAAGTTGGAAATGCAGCAAAGAACTGACAAGTGATACCACTGGAAGTGAAATTCAAACCCAACATAAATGAAGTTATTAAAAAAAAAAATAGGTGACCGTGAGACCATTGACACTGCTGTCATTTGAGAGAGTCAGGATATGTGGTGTGAGGAAGCCAGGGAAAGGAAATGTAACATAAATCAGAAACATGGTTTTGGCATAAAGGATGATAATATCCCAAAGAAAGGAACATTGGAAAAAAAAAAAACCAAAACTTCACTTTAAAGAAACTCTAAGAGATATTTTATGACTTTGAAGGCAAGAAAGATAAATGTTAAAAGCTGATCCAAACTTAGAAAGGAGTATGACAATTTGCCAAGGCGCAGAAAACATGTTTGCTCAGTAGTGTTCATTATAAGACAAGAAGAAGGTCAGCACTGTTCAAATTATTCTTGAAAAGGTTTTTAGAAAGATAGAAAATATTTTAAATCTCCATGTTTCTAAGGCTTCATAGTGTTCCAAATAAATGTTTGTTTTATTATGCGTTTCGTTTCCCTACACATTTACAACCAATAATAAGAGATTTTTAATATTTTGACAAAAATTATTAAGGGTCACAGAACAATCATAATTTTCTCCTTGATGATTAAGATTGCTTTGTGTGAGTACAGCTTGCAAAATCATTTTTATAGTCCCATACTACTGTGCCAAGCAGACTGCCTGTATCTGGTTAACAATTCTTTGTAGTAATTTTCTCTACTGAAGATGTAGATTCTGACCCCTGACTGACCTGATATGACCCCAAAAGCTCAACCTGTTGGAAAGCCTTACCTCTCATTACATTTCCCTGCCCTTTTGCTGTGGGTTAGTGAGAAAGAGCCATGAATGAAGAGGCAGAAGACTTCAGTTCAAATTCAAGCTCTATTTGTTTGCTGAAAATAGTTATTTCCTCAAGTAAAAATGAAGTTGACAATAAAATCGGCTACCATAAAAATCAAGAGAACTCGATGACACATATATGTGAAAGTGCTTAGTGAGGTACCGGGGTAGGCTGAATAATGATCTCCAAAGATATCCACATCCTAATCTTCAGAACCTGTGAGCAGTACCTCATATAGCAGAAGAGGCTTCATGGCTGTGATTAAATTACTGATCACTTTCACATGTATGTGTCATTGGGTTCTCACAACAACCTTTATGGTAGCTGATTTTATTATCAATTGCATTTTTACATGAAGAAATAACTATGTTCAGGAAACTAATAGAATTTGAACTGAATTCTTCTGCCTCTTCATTCACTGCTCTTTCTTATTAACACACAGCAAAAAGGCAACAAAATGTAATTAAGCATATTGAGATGGGGAAATTGTCCTGGATTATGTGGGCGGGTCCTAAATAAAGTGACAACTGTCCCTATAAGAGGGAAGTAGCAGGATATTTGACTCCAGAAACCAAGAGGGTAATGTTATGAGGGAAGCTGAGACTGGAGCCATGTGCTTTGAAGATGAAGAAAGTAGTCACGAGAAACTAAAAAAGGCAAGGAAATGGATTCTCCCCTAATAGCCTTCAGAAAGAACAAGCCCAGCCAAAACCTTGACTTTATCTCAGTAAAACTGACTTTGGAATTCTGACTTCCAGGCCTATCAGAAAATAAATTTATTTTGATTTCAGCAACTAAATTTGTGATAATTTGTTACAGTAGCAACAGGAACTAATGCAGGTACAAATTGCAGATTTTATTATTATATTAATACCACACTTGGTGAAACTGTGAACGCAGCTCATTCCCACTTAGTCCTTCTGTGGGATCCTTCCTAATTGGAGTTAAGACCTTTAGGAAGCACTGTGAGTACTAATTTGGATGAATACAGTCAGCTGTGCTTGTTCCTCATTTGTCAAGTAGAACCAACGAGGGCAAAACCCCATCTTCTGTTGCACACATTCATGTGACTTGAAGATCGTGCTTCATCGAAATCTATCCTGATGAATTCTTCCCAGTGGGGTGGAATGTTTTTTCTTCTTGTACACCTTTTGCTAAATTTAACCAATAAGGCAAAAGATCTCTACTATGAAAATGATAAGACAATGATGAGAGAAATAGAAGAAGACTCAATAAATGGCAAGATATCTTGTGTTCATGGATTGGAAGAATTAATATTGTCAAAATGTCCATACTACCTAAAGTGATCTACAGGTTTGATGTAATCTTTATCAAAATCCCAATGGCATTTTTCACAGAAATAGAAAAAGCAATCATAAAATTCATATGGAACCACAAAAGGCCCCACAAAGCCAAAGGAATCTTGAGCAAAAAGAACAAAGCTGAAAACATCATGCTACCTGATTTTAAAATATACTACAAAATTATAGTAATAAAAGCATCATGGTACTGGCATAAAAAACTGACATACAGACCAATGGAACACAATAGAGAACTCAGAAACAAATCCACACATTATGGTTACTTGGTCTTTGTCAAAAATGCCAAGATCACATAAAAGGGAAAGAACATTTTCTTCAATAAATGGTGTTATGGCTGCTCTGCCTATGGAGTAACCATAATTTATTCTTTTATTTTCCTAATAAAATTGCCGTCACTTTGCTCTATAGACTCACCCCAAATTATTTCTTGCATGAGGTCCATCTTATAAAAAATAAAAATAAAAAAAATAGTGTTAGGAAAACTGGATATCCAATGCAGAAGAATGAAATTTGACCATTTTCTCACATCATATACAAAAATCAACTTGAAGTGGAAGAAAGACTTGTATGTAAGACCTAAAACTATAAAACTGTCAAAAGAAACATAGGAAAAAAGCTTCTTGACATTGGTCTGGGCAATGATTTTGTGGATATGACCCCAAAAGCTCAGGCAACAAAAGCAAAAATAGACAAATGAGACTGCCTCAAACTGAAAAGCTTCTGCTCAGCAAAGGAAGAAACCAATAGGGAAAGAGATAATCTACAGAATGAAAGAATATATTTGCAAACCATACATCTGGTAAGGGGTTAACACTCAAAATATATAAGGAGCTCAATCAATTCAATAGCAAGAAAAATAACAGTATTAAAAAATGGACAAATGAGCTGAATAAACATTTATTCAAAGAATACATAAAAATGGCCAATAGATGATCATTAATGATCTGAAAAATTCAAATCAAAACCACAACGAGATATCACCTTACACCTGTTGAGACTGTCATTATCAAAAAGACAAGAGATAACAAGTGTTGGTGAGGGTGTAGAGAAAAGGAAACTCTTGCACACTGTTGGTGGGAATGTAAATTGGTATAGTCAGTATGGAAAACAATAGGAAGGCTACTCAAAAAACCTAAGTGCCATTGACAGATGAATGGATAAAGAAAATGTGATAGATTACATAGATAGATAGACAGACAGAAACATACATGTAATGGAATATTGTTTAACCTTAAATAAGAAGAAAATTCTGTCATTTATGACAACACAGATGAATCTAGAGGATATTATTCTAAGAGAAATAAGCCAAGGACAGAAAGACATAACGCATGTTCTCACTTTTATGTGGAATCTAAGAAACTGGAAACCATCATTCTCAGCAAGGACAAAAAACCAAACACTGCATGTTCTCACTCATAAGTGGGAATTGAACAATGAGAACACATGGACACAGGAAGGGGAATATCACACTTCGGGGACTGTTGTGGGGTTGGGGGAGGGGGGAAGGATAGCATTAGGAGATATACCTAATGCTAAATGACGAGTTAATGGGTGCAGCACACCAACATAGCACATGTATACATATGTAACAAACTTGCACATTGTGCACATGTACCCTAAAACTTAAAGTATAATAATAATAAAATTTAAAAAAAAAGAAAGTCAAACTCATAGATGAAAGCAGAGTAGAATAGTGGTTGCCAGGGCCTGTGGAGGGGGTGAAGGTGGAGGTGGAGAAAATGGTAAATGTTGATCAAAGGGTGCAAAACTCAATTAGGCAGGATAAATAAGTTCTGGAGATCTAATGTACACCATAGTGACTATAGTTTAAAACACTGTATTTTATACTTAAATTTGCTAAGAGAATAGATCTCAAATGTTCTCATCACGTAACAAAAAGATAACTATGTGAGGTGATGGATATGTTAATTGGCTTGATTGATTTTACAATATATACATATTATATCACAACATCACATTGTACACTGTAAGGATATAAAATTTTTATTTGTCAATTATATCTCGATTAGACTGGGGAAAGAAAAGAAAAAGAAACTAAATATTAGTAATGCTATAGTAGGTACTTACATCAACTCTTTTGGAAAGTTAACTTTCTGGAAAGTTAATCTTGCTGGAGAAATTGACCTGAAGACAGGACAATGTCAAATTTCAAAAAAGTAAGTAATTGTTATTATTAATGTGGCTGTAGTCATTATTATTGCTGCTGCTGTTATTATGGGTGTGGCTATGTGCTGGACCAAAATTAATACAGTCAACATGTAAAGGAGCACTGAGGGCCATGGTTCCACAGTACAACCAGCCATGAGATCTACGTCGTTCCCCAAAGCATGAGAAGGCACGGCAGACTTGGGACCAGAAGAGACGAATCAGCACCCCAGCTCTGTCACCTCCCTAAGGTACTTTACCTGGATCTCAACTTCTTGACTGGCAAATGGGAATAATAAAGCCTGCTATATAGGGGCTTTTGTGAGGATTGAATGAGCTCCTGTTTGTGGCAGTGCTTTGTAAACTGTAAGGCTCGACAACCCCTGAAGACTTGGTTTATCTCACTGAGTCCTACTAAATTGTGTCTGACCCACTAAAGAACTAGATGTGATAATAAAACATTATAGTTCCATTCTATAATCCTGGAGCAATATTTCTGAAGAATCAATGTTATGCAATGTAATATGAGCCAGTGCATTTGAAAGCACCCAGTGCATAACAGATACTCAATAAATGTTTTTGGAATCTGAGGTTTTATTTTTTTTTTCTCATTTCCCTGCTTCATCTCCTTTGTTCAGGTAGACAGGTCCCTAAGAATGTTTGGTAATCTTTAGCCAAGTCTCACTAAATTTCATGAATGTCGTGTGTGAAGTCTTTTGCCCATGCACATGTATACTGAGCAGATAAGAAAACCGAAAGTATATCACTGCCCACCTAGTCATGCCTAGAACTGGAAACTAGCCAGTACATGGCTAGCCATCATTATGAAAGGAATCTGGAGTTATAAAGGTGAGGCTTACCGGGTGTCAGTCTCAGCAGCATGCCAATTGCCAATTAAGCTTTCCTCTGGATAGATTGGCTCAGAGACTGTCATATGAAACTGGAGGCTCCAAAGGGAAGCTTCTCCAGAATCACTCTTATTGGTTATTTCTTGATGGCCCAACGTGGTCCCCAGGGTCATCAGCAGGCATGCCCTCATGGAAAGCTGTAGAAGGGCAGTGTGCCAAGGGGTGTGGCCACAAGTCTTGATGCTAATGCTCCCTAAGAGAGCCCAGCCAAATCCAACCTTAAAGGCGTTACTGTTAGGAATGGAGGGACAAACTGACATTTTGTGCCCCCTCATGAGAAGCAGCAAAACACACAATATCACCTATGTAGTAGTTTTGCCAGAAACGTTTCAAAGTAATGTAAACTTAAGGAGTAAATGAAATAAATCTAGAATGTGGGACACTCTGTGACAGTTCCTGGACTCTTCAAAAAAGCCAATATCATAAAAAGCAAAAAAGACAAAAGTGGAGGAGAATTTTCTAAGTTAAAGAAGCGTAACAACAAAATACAGCATGCTAACTTGGCTGGATCTTTGATTTAAAAAAATTCTATAAAATATATATTGGGGATGATTGGGGGAATTTAAATATAGACAGCACATTAGATAATATGGAATAAGTGTCAATATCTTGGGTGAGTACTTCCACGTACTTTAAATAAATAAATATAAATAAGACAGGGAGAGAAGTGTCACAAATATGGTAAAATTGCACAATCTTAGTAAAGGAAAAAAGGGGACTCGTACTATTTTCAACTTTTCTATAGTGTTCTATTTTTAAAATAAATAATTGGGGGATTTAAATGTTTTCCAATTATCAGAAATATTCAGAGCACTGTAGTAATTTACTCCTTCATGTTGAATGCACCTAGACATGAATTTCCGTGTCTACCAGTTACAATAAGATAATAATATCAACAATTAAAATAACCCTGAGAGTTCCTAAAATTACACAGCTGTCTAGTGTTCTGGTGTCCAAAATACGTTAACACATTTATCTCATTAGATATGACTTGGTCACTGAGCACTATAATCTTCATTACAGATGAAACCAGTTGCCCAGCAAATCAGTCTTCTCTTCCCATCTCTTAATTTTGAATTGATGATGTCTGGTTTGTTTTTTGTTTGTTTGTTTGTTTGTTTGTTTGAGATGTAGTCTTGCTCTGTCACCCAGGTTGGAGTGCAATAGTGTGATCTCGGCTCACTGTGAGCTCCGCCTCCCTGGTTCAAGTCATTCTTCTGCCTCAGCCTCCTGAGTAGCTGGGACTACAGGCGCCCGCCACTACGCCTGGCTAATTTTTGTATTTTTAGTAGAAACGGGGTTTCACCGTATTGGCCAGGCTGGTCTCGAACTCCTGACCTCATGATCTGCCTGTCTCGGCCTCCCAAAGTGCTGGGATTACAGACGTGAGCCACTGCACCCGTCCCTGTTGATGCCTGGTTTTCTTCTACAATCGGCCATCCAGCACAGGAACTTGGTCCTGGCACAGTGTATGTCCCAGCCCCCTTACTTTGCCCAGCTCCCCAGATGCCAGGGTTTCTTATTCATAGATATACAATGGATTCTATCTAGTGGGGTAGCAGGGACTTTGGCTCTTTAGCTGCTCAAATGAGACGCTGTCCCAAACTACTTAACAGTGGGTATGTTTTCCATCTGGAAAAAAAAATGCAGTGAGCACTGCATTAATTGCACAACTGTTGATCTTCAGGCACTTGAAAGGGCAGGAAAAGAGTAGAACTTTACAAAAAGGTAATAAGCACTTTTTAGAACCTTTTTCTTTTGGTTATTAGAGAAATTCAAGGGTTAAGTCACAGGACTATGAAATCCTATGGTGTACAGAACTCCTTTAAAGTCAGAGATAATTTAACCAGGTTACTCTTAATATTTGCACAGCCTGGAGATACATACGTGAAAGTTGGTACAAAGGAATGTCTTATATTTAGATGGCTGAATGGTGACTAGAGGCATTTCTTACTGACAGCAGCCTCATGCAAGACACGTACAACAGGGGAATTATTTTAACAAAGAACAACAAAAAGGCACTTGCTCCTCAAGCTTGCCATCAAAAGGCTTAAGTGAATTTGTGTGGAGAAATTCTGTGCTGGGGAAATACTAGCAAAAAAAGCAAACAAACAAACAAACAAACAAAAACAGTATTTCACTAAGTTGCTAATTAGGTAATAATTATCCAAGGCAAGGTGTAGAATTCATATCTCACTCTAGAAATGTTTAGGTCAGTCCAAGAGTCCAACAACTCCACAGAATAGTAAATTGTGGACTCTGAGCCAAAATCTCAAACAATGATATCAAATATGGGTGATATTAGAACAATGACATTAAACACTGTAACACTTCCACAGGAACTTGTAGCCATGATAGGAATTTCCTAGTCAGCCTCCTCCCCTCCATGCCCCCTGCACCCCCATTAACGTTAACAGACCCACTCACACAGAGAAAGCCTCGCTGGAGTGTCAGAGGCTTGGGCAGGAGATAATTCGCCGTTGTGCTTGGAAAATCCTGCAGTTGTACCTGCAACAGGCACCTGAGGAGGCTGGGCAAATATTAATATATAATACTTACTGAGTGCTTCCTATGAACTAGGACCTCTGAGAAGAGATTTATGTGCAGACCTCCTCTAACCTTTCCAGCAGCCCATGAGGTAGGCACTATGATTTTATTTATTTCTGCAGTAAGGAGGCTGAGGGTTCAAAACGTCAAGCCACAAAGAACAAGTAGCAAAGCTAGAATTTGAGCCTACTTAATCTGACTCCAGAGACTGGGCTTTTAAACATTTGTACTTATTCTTTCAAACAAGAGACTGAAGCACAGCAATTCTGTCATTGATAATAGCCCTTCTTATATAGCTCTTCATAATTTATACATTTTTAAAAATATTACTTCCTTTACCACTGCAGTGGTCTCTTGTCTGCCATCCCTAAAAAGGGAAACCTCATTGGCAGAACTGCCTGAGCCAGTGAACCAGGTCTGGGCTGTCCAAGGCCAGTGTCTCTCTTTATCCCACCCTGCATTTGGTGCCAGATCTTTTTGCACAGTTCTTGTTAAGTGTTCAGATTTCTCCTTAGTCTTGTTCATCAGGAATACAATAAAAAAACTCTGGGACAGCCTGTCTCTCTTGAAGTTGCCTCATTTGCCATCTGTCTCAAATTTGACCCCACCCTGATGCTCTTTGCTACACTGGTCATCTTCCTTCTTTTAATTGATCTTCTTGGTAATTTTAGTCCAGCTGGAGCATTTGGCTCTGTGTCTCAGGGATCTCTCTCCACTTCAGCATTTATCAGCCCTATTCCCTAATTAGAGGAGCGTAGGCGGTAAAACATCCACAAAGCCTGTAGTGCAATACAAATTATCTACAGCTTTCAGATGTTTATTTTACTAATTATCTGCCAAAAATGTGATTTCTTTTTCTGCCCAACAGAAGGTTTTTGACTCCCCTTTTGTAGACAAAATTGCTTGATAAGATTGACAGATGTCAGCATAAACAGTGAGACTGGCCTTTTCCAAAATTGCATGACTTTATAATAGCTGTGGCAGAAATCAACCAAGGGACTCAAGGGGAGAGCTCTCGGTGAAGCCACACACAGAGTGAAAAAAGAGTGAGATTTCATGACAGTGCTCAGAAGCCATAGATACACTTGGAAAGAGCATCAGAATTTACTATAGAATTAATAAGGATGGACAAGGTAATAATTGAATTGTGTTTATAGACTACAGGTGGATAGCAATGAATGAATGGGTAATTAAACAAATGTAGGAACAAACATTAGGTAAGCATAAACTATGATGAGTGCTTTCACACGTATAAATTCTCCCCATGGCTCTGCTAGATAATAATTATTATTTCAGTTTTATAGATGAGGAAACTGAGGCTCTAAACGGTTGAGCCTTGCCAAGATAATCCAGCCAGAAGCTGCAGGCTTCTGAATGTAGATTTCTCTTGCTTTGGGTTGCTTCAAGTGTACCTAGGATTTTGTTTTTATTCAGGTATGGTGAGGCCAACAGATAAGATGGTTGCCACCGAAACGATAGTTTGTCATAGTGTCCAAGAGGAGTGAGCTCAAATACTGTGCAGGGCCACAGGGAAGTACCATGGTCAATCAGGAGGAAGAAGGAGGGAGGGGGCACAGTCTTTATTGTGTCTTTTGCATGAAGAAATGGGTGAGGCAGATTAAGCAGCTGAGCAGGCTTAGGATAGCAAGGTTTGAACAATTTGGGCGAGCTCTGGGCTGTAGGAGTGGTCTCTGATTGTTTTGTACCTAGCCCTGGTGTGATCTGGACTGTAAAAATCCAATAACAGAAGACACATGGGGATCCAGGATTGGTTGGTTTACATATGAAAGCTGTGTTCACAGGTAAGTTTTTTGTTTTCCCTAGGAATTAACTAACCCTGAGAGGGGCAGTCAGTTTTTCACTAGATCCACAAGGCCCCAAGATGTCAAAACATCATGAAATATAGAAAATAAAAAACCATGATTAATACATGAGCAGAATTTATAGTTTCTATCTCTACAGTGATGAATTACTGAATTTCTGGAAGTTTAGGATGTCATTTTCCAAAACGCAGTAAAAAACTAACCTGAAATGGCAGATAAACCTTTTCAAATACTTCCAATGTCCATTCTTGTTCTTTCTGTGTTTTGGGTTCACCCCCAAGCAAAACTTTTATTCCTGAGTCTGGTCTTGCTGTCTTTTCCATTGCTAAGGAAATATCTTCCCTGACTTAGAGGCAACCTCTTTGCATGTACTACAGCTGCCTATTAATGTGGTCACTATAGAAACTACATGTCAACTGAACTCCCAATTTTTTTCTCAAACTTTATTTGAGAAAATATTATTTAAGAATATAAGCTATACTTATCTTTGCCTTCTACATTATTTGATGCATTGAGGTTCATAGGCAGAAGTCAGGAATGTTTCCAGGTTCTGTGTGGAGCTGAACCTCCAGGTAAGGCCTAAGGATTCCAGCTGCGAAGGTGTAGAGTAGGCAGAGGCTGAGAGTTTGGGAAATCTCTAGATACACATTACAAGCACTTGGTCACTAATCCTCCTGTTCCACCGTTCTCTTTTGTGTTCATATATGTCTCTTATTAAATAATCATCATGCTAACACTAATGAAAATATCTGATTTTTCTTGAGCATTTACTCTGTCTCTGGCATTGTGCTAATTTCTTTATATTCATTTTCTGATCTAATCCTTGCAACAACCCTATGAGATAAGCACTGTTAGTTCAGTTTTTGAGATGAGGAAACCAAAGCATGAGAAAGGTAAATAAATTGCCAACACTAGTACAGCTGTAGGAAGTGTAGCCTTAGGTCTGCCTGATATTGACATTAATACTTTTCATCATTAGCTATGCTGCATTTTCCATTTCAATGTACACTTTCCTGCAAGGACAAGGTACTCCTTGTTTGTATCTACCAAATCTGTAGTATCACTGACATTGGCAGCTCAACAAATCCCAAAACAAGTGTACCCTTTATTGAAGAGATGGAATTCAGGCACAGAACCTTAGCTTCTAAGAGAACAGGAAGGAGGAAGGGTTGTACTGGGTGGAAGGGAAGTGAGAGGATAGCCTTGGAATATCCAAGCAGGGAGAATCTGAGCTCCTCATTGAGACTCCAAACAAGGATTTGGTTACTAAAAGGGAGAAGTAGTGTGGAGCTTGGTGATAGAGGAGCAAAAAAAGAAAAGGTCAGCACTGAAAGTTGATATCAAGCCAGAGCATGGCCAACTCCTGAACCAGAGGTTGCAGAGTCTGAGAGCTCCTCAGGCAGAATGCCTGCAATTGTTTCTAGGTTCTGTGTGGGGCTGAAACTCCAGGTAACGCCTAAGGATTCCAGCTGCAAGGGTGTAGGGTAGGCAGAGGCCTGGAGTTTGGGAAACCTCTAGATACACATTACAGGCACTTGGTCACTAGTCCTATTGTTCCACCATTAGGTCACCATTAATATCAGAGGACCAAAAGCAAGTTTCAGCTCTGTGTGTTGAAGTAGAAGGGAGGCACTTGTTTATGTGATTTGAAGGGTGAATACTGAAAGATGATCCCCCTTATACACACATATTCCTGCTTTGCCTGAAGTCGCACCCCCCATTATAGGTATTCCTTTACATTAAGACACTGTTTTTCTAAAGGTTAAAAGTAAAATGTTACTCTTACTTAGGAGGAATAAGAAGTTAATCCAACAGCACCGTTTCGATGATCTGTGAGCTGAGCGTAAGGATATGAGAGTTGAACATTTTGGTTAGACCACCTGGCACAAGCTGGGATCTGAGAACACAATTACACCATGGTGTGGGTAAATTTTAATAGGAAATGCCACCCTATAATGCAGCCAAGTGAGGCCCAGGAAGGCTGCCCTGAGTGGAGATCTAAGTAGCTGGGGATGTGGGGAGAAGGCAGGGGAAAGAAATTACCACTCATTATGTGTCTTTCATGTGCTAGTTATGTTATATAGCCTATATCTCATTTAACACAAAAATTGAAAGGAGATACCATCATTCCTATGTTAGCTCTGAAGAAATTGAGGATCACGGGGTTAAAATAATTGTCCAAGGTCCCCCAGCTGCTTGATGGTGGAGCTAAAATTAAAATCCACATTTCCGACTATAAAGCCCATGTTCTTTTTCACTGTGGCACAGTGCAGGAAATGCCAAAGATAAATATGTCTTTCCTAATTTTCCCCAGAGTCCTCCCCAGTGATAGCCGGAATCAATGTACATCTGCAAAGTGGGTCTTTTAACATATGTCTTGTTCACACTCTTGACTCTTCTGTCCTGGTGGAACGAGGTTATCTGATAGTGCTCTACGGGGGCCAATACTCTGGGTCACTGTTTGGGGATGCTAAATGCTTTCCTTTATTTCCAAATTGCTTTTCTGTTTAAAAAGCAACATAAAAAGCTTTTGAAGTTTCAAAAATGACCGCAGGGAGACTTGTACATGCAATTTTGAACTGTGACTGTTGAGAAACAAATGTCTGTTTTTATTTTTAAATGTTCCTTCAGCTCGTGAAGACATTTAAGAAAAAAAGAACAAGGCTTTTAAATCTTCCTACTTATCCCTGGGGTGATCTGTCCTCTGTAGAGCAAAAGCCAAATGGTCAAATAGTAAAGAGTGCTGCTTGGACTGGGTTCTGCAGCCTAACATGTGGTCTCAGAATTGGAAGGGACTTCTTAGGGTCTTCCATTGATTGGCATGAATCCACTGAGATGCTTGAATGAAATATGTTAGCCTCATGACTAGCCCAGGTAGTCCACATTTATAGTCATTTATGGGGAACTTTTGATACAGTACACTGTCTCCACTGTTCCACACCCTACTACACAGGTTTTGGGAAGCAAATCTTATTAATTATGTCTAGACCTTCAGACAATATTCTATCCATTTTCCATCTGTTTTATGTGGAGCCACTGAAGGAAATGCAGCCCAGGACAAATTTTGGTAACAAGTGAATCTAGGAGACAATCTGAAACACAAGGCATGGTTTTAAGGTTGAAGATGACCAAGCACTATGTGGGGGTTAAATAGACTGTTCATAAACTGAACACTGACACCAAGTCAAGGAGAATTCTAAGTCAGGAAGGACTTCAATTGAAGCTTTTAAGTCAGTTGCTCACAAATATTTGATAAATCCAGTGGGAGAGCTGTTTTTGCTTTGTTTCAGAGTTTGTGTGAAGTTTTTTTCAGCCACATTTGAGCCTGAGAGATGGAGGTGATAACATTTTCTTTGTTTAGCATTAGAGCAAATAAGAACTCATGCTTTCTTTCCAGTGTAAGAATTTTCAATTCTATTGAAAGAAAATTCAATTACTTGAAGTTTTCATTCAAGAAAAATGAAACTTCGAACTTGAAATATTTTTTTAAAGGTACATTCTTTGATCACAAGATTGAAATCTAAAAGAAGAGATGACTACTTCAAAAAAATTGTGTAAATGTTAAATTCAAGAATTCACTTTTATAACCACAGATTTATCAAGGGTTCAAACTTTTGCTGTCTACCACTTTCATTTATGCCTCATTAGGTGACCCTGAACATATTATTAGCACCTCTTTTATATATATTTATAAGTACATGTATAACTGCTAACCTTCAGACTAAGGGATTTGGCTATTTCAATGAATACTGTCACTAGACCAAACTCCTCAAATGAAAAATGCCAATAAAATCAGAAAATTAGAAAGCACATGACAAAAGACACAAGATGGTCTGGATATTTTTTCCCATCTCACTCTTCTCTTCCATTTAGCTATTTAATTTATTCTCCTCTGCTGGCCTTTTGCAGGCTCAGGGATAGAGTCAGTCGGATAGGAACATGTTGGCTTAGTAGCAACAGAGGGGAGGAAGGAGAAGGAGAGAATTCTGAGAAAATGGACCCAGCTAAAAAATGTCTTGGATTTTCATGTAAGATGTTAATAAAAGCTGATGAAGAGTGTTCTGGAAGGACAGATGAAAGGATCAATATAGGCAGCAGTGAGCATAACCCTAAGGACCGGGATGACAAGTAAGTCCCACATCTACTGCCTACTCTGATCAGTTGCTATAGCACAGCTGTCCAGAATGTCAGCTTGAGAAGGCTTCTAAGACTGCTCCATGCTCAGTGGGAAAGTGTGCGGTATTGGTTAATGATGTCTGACATGGTCATGGCTGGGAGAAAGGGAAGAGAATAGCTCCTCTTATTAAATATCTATTCTCAAACAACACTATGAGGTAGATGCTATGAACCTATTTCATAGAAAGTGAAACTGAGGCTTAAAGATCTTAGGAAGATTTTCCAAGGAAACAACTGGAGAGTGCTAGAGCTGAGATTTGAACTTCAGTCTGCCTCCCTCCCATACATCCTGTGCTATTCTACACTGCCTATCTAGTGACTAGCTGTGTGAGCTCGGGGAAGAGACTAACCATCTCCAGGTCTTGGAGTCGCTTTGCCCAAATAGAGATGACAGTCTCAGCAATGCCTACATCGCAAGGTTGTAATAAGGACGATTTTATTTAATAACTGTATAGTAAAATGTTCACAGAAATCTTACAACTGTGGATGATGGTACTGATATGGTACTAGCATATAATGTAAGGGATGGTCATCCTCCTACTCCTTGTTCCATGAAATACTCCTTCTCCCGAGAAATACTGTCTGCAGCTGATTAATTTTAGGACAACAAGGCTAAGCTACTATGAATGAATCAATTCTGAGCATTTGATTTTCCTTAAAGAATGCTGTAAAGTCACTTTTTAAAAATTCCTCCTATTAAATGCTTCCCTGAGTTAAATCTGCGAGAGAACCATCTTTCTTCATTGGCAGCCCTCTAAAGTGCTGGAGTTCCCTGCTGCAACTAACGTTCCTCCAGAGGCCTTAATAGATTGCTGAAATTCTGAACTTTAATATTGCAATAACATTGGTTTTGCCTTAATATGCTGTAAAAAAAAAGTTTTATAAAAATAAGCCACAGTTTCTATGCATATTTTCACATCCACGGTATTTGCGTATATGTGGTTTTCTGTAAGCTTTTTTCCATCCTTGAAATCATAAAAATGCTCAAACTAATGAAAAAAAAAAAGAAACCAATTTCACTGGAGATCATTACTGGCATGATCCTGCTTCATACATTTGTCAATTAAATATGTTTTTGGAAGTGCCTGTGGACTACATTGTGAAGGTTATTAACTCAAAAGAAATGGCTGTATGCAGGTCATGAGAATATTATCATCCTTCCCCTCTTTTTCTACTCCTATATTGTATCTTTATTGTTTCAAAACTATACCCAAGCTCGGGATGGTTTTATAAATAACAGTGAATTTCTAATATTTCCACAATTTAAGCATAACAATTTTTTGCTCAAATTTTATGCTTAAAGTTGAAAATATAAATATAGCCCACACCTAGATGTCCATGCCATCCAAAAGCCACTGATTCGTACTCATTAGGGTGGCTATTATTAAAAATGGAAAATAACAAGTGTCGGCAAGAATATGGAGAAATTAGAACATTTATGCATTGCTGGTGTGAATATAAAATGTTGCAGCTGCTGTAGAAAATAGTTTGATGGTTTCTCAAAAAGTTAAACAGAATTACCATGTAATCCAGCCATTCTACTCTTAGTTATATATCCAAAAGAATTGAAAACAAGGACTCAAACAGATACTCATATATCAATCTTCATAGCAGCATTATTCATGATAGCTAAAAGGTGGAAACAACCCAAATGTCCATCAACAGATGAATAAACAAAATGTGTTATATGTGCAATGCAATATTCAGCCTTAGAAAGGAGTAAAATTCAGCCTTAGAAAGGAGTAAAATTCTGATAATCCTACAACATGGGTGAATCTTCAAAATATCACACAAAGTGAAATAAGCCAGACACAAAAGGACAAATAGCATATTATTCCATTTTTATGAGATACTTAGACTAGTTCAGCCCTGACAGACAGAGAGTAGAGTGGTGGTTGCCAGGGGCTGGGGGCAGAAAGAGTAGGAATTATTTTTTAATAAGTATAGCATTTCTGTTTGGGATGATAAAAAATTCCTGGGAACGAGTAATGTCGACTATCACACGGCATTTTGAATGTACTTCATGCCACTGAAACGTATATTTTAAAATGGTTAAAGTGGTAAATTTGTATGTATTTATTTACTTTTATTTTTTAACTTTTATTTTAGGTTCAGAGGTACACGTGTAGATTTGTTACATAGATAAATTGTATGTCACAGGGGTTAGGTGAATTATTTCATCACCCAGGTAATCAGCATAGTACCTGATAGGTAGTTTTTTTGTCCTCACCCTCCTCCTACCTCCCACATAAAGTAGGCCCCTGTGTCTGTTCTTCCCTTCTTTGTGTCCATGTGTACTCAGTATTTAGCTCCCACTTATAAGTGAGAACATGCTGTGTTTGGTTTTCTGTTCCTGTCTCAGTTTGTTTAGGATAACAGCCTCCAGCTCCATTCATGTTCCTGCAAAGGACATGATTTCGTTTTTTTTATGGCTGCGTAGTATTCCATGATGGATATGTATCACATTTTCTTTATCGAGTCTAATGTTGATGGTCATTTAAGTTGATTCTATGTCTTTGCTATTGTGAATGTGTTGTGATGAACATACATGTGCATGTGTCTTTATGATAGAATGATTTCTATTCCTTTGAGTATATAACCCAGTAATGAAATTGCTGGGTAGATTGGGAGTTCTGTTTTACATTCTTTGAGAAATCACCAAACTGCTTTCCACAATAGTTGAACTAATTTACATTCCCACTAGTGGTGCATAAATGTTCCCTTTTCTCTACAACCTCACCAGCACTTGTTATTTTTTGACTTTTTAGTAATAGCCATTTCTGACTGGTGTGAAATGGTATCTCATCATGGTTTTGATTTGCATTTCTCTAATGATTAGTGATGTTGAGCTTTTTTTCATATGCTTGTTGACTCATGTATGTCTCCTTTTGAAAAGTATCTGTTCATGTCCTTTGCCCACTTTTTAATGGTGTTGTTTTTTGCTTGTAAATTTAAGTTCCTTATAGATTCTGGATATTAGACCTTTGTTGGATGCATAGTTTGCAAATATTTTCTCCCATTCTGTAGATTGTCTGTTCACTCTTGATAGTTTATTTTGCTATGCAGAAGCACTTTAACATAATTAAGTCCCTTTTGTCAACTTTTGTTTTTGTGGCAATTGCTTTTGGCATCTTCACGAAATCTTTGCCAGGTCCTATCTCCAGAATGGCATTTCTTAGGTTGTCTTCTAAGGTTTTTATAGTTTTGGATTTTACATTTAAGTCTTTAATCCATCGTGAGTTGATTTTTGTACATGGTGTAAGGAAGAGGTCCAGTTTCAGTCTTCAGCAGATGGCTAGCCAGTTATCCCAGCACTATTTATTGAATAGGGAGTCCTTTTCCTACTGTTTGTTCTTGTCAATTTTGTTGAAGATCAAATTTTATGTTATGTATATTTTACTACAATAAAAATAATGAAGACTAATGACTTGTGAAGGTAGACTGTGTACCATGTACTTAATAGATAAAACTTACAAATATCATCAACTTAGTTTTAATAATACTAAGATTTACAAACAAAATTAACATTTTATTCAAAAAATTAAATGCCAGTAATTGCACAATCCCTTTTTGGTGTTTCTATCCCCAAATACTTATCAAGTATTAATTTTGTAGCAAACACACTGGCACTAGCGTTACAAAAGTGACTAAGCCACAGTACCTAACTTCTACAGTCTGAATGTGTGTGTCACTCAACCCTAAAATTCATGTATTGAAATGTAGTAACCAATGTGATGAAACTAGGAGATGGGTTATTTGGGAAGTGATTAGATTATGGGTGGGATCCTCATGATTGTGATTAGTTTCCTTATAAACATGACCCCAAAGAACTGCCTTTACCCTTCCAACATGTTCCAGAGAACTGCCTTTACCCTTCCACCATGTGAGGACACAGCAAGAAATCAGCAGTCTGCAACCTGAATGAAGGCCCTCACCAGAATCCAACTGTGCTGGCACCTTAATCTTGGCCTTCCCAGCCTCTACAACTGTGAAAAATGCATTCTGTTGTTCATAAGCCACACAGCCTATGGTGTTTTATTATAGAATCCCAAGTAGGCCAAGATGCTAACATGGAGGTAATATGTTACAGAATCCCAAGATACTAACATGGAGGTAATAGCAAGGAACACAATCGTTGGGAACACTGACGTACAAATCCAGCATCCTAATACATCATAAGTATGTTGGTAGAAGCACTTAAGAAGCATATGATGTGCCAAAGTAAATAATCTTGTGCAGCGGTTAGTCTGAGAAGGCTTCCCAGAAGGAGAGACATTCTTTCTGAGTTTTTAAGGATGAATGAAAGTTTGCCAAGGGAAGAAGAAAACTGGAGAAGAACAATGCCCTGGCAGAGAAGGTTCATCAGTGAGGACAGCGTCAGTCTTGGTGCAGAAGGTGCCAGGCTGTGGCAGGTGAGCCTAAAGTCATAAGCTGGCACCAGATCACAGAGGCACTTTAATAGCTTATTAAAGAATAATGGGCCGGGCGCAGTGGCTCATGGCTGTAATCCCAGCACTTTGGGAGGCCAAGGCGGGTGGATCACCTGAGGTCAGGAGTTTGAGACCAGCCTGGCCAACATGGTGAAATCCCGTCTCTACTAAAAATACAAAAATTAACTGGATGTGGTGGCGGGTACCTGTAATCACAGCTACTCCAGAAGCTGAGGCAGGAGAATTGCTTGAACCCGGGAGGTGGAGGTTGCAGTGAGCCGAGATCGCACTATTGCACTCCAGACTGGGCAACAAGAGCGAAGCTCTGTCAAAATAATAATAATAATAATAAAATAATGGCCTTATCCTACACTGGGTGCATCTTTTGAAAAGTTTGAGAAAGAAGAGTGCTTTCATCAAGATTCATGTTTTAGAAACACTACTCTGGTCTTGGGAGAGATGAGGGTAGATTGGATAGAGTAAAATAAGAGACAGGGAGAGTGATTAGATGATATCATAAAAGTCGAATTCATTATTCTAACAAATATTTACTGAATGTCTGTTACATGTCAGGCACTATTTCTAGGCTCTGGAAATATAGCATTAAACAAAACAGAAAGAAAATCCCTTTTCTCATGGAGTTGATGGAGAGAAAACAAGGTAAACAAATCTCATGAGGCTATGAGAACTTTTTCTCACTTAAAGCCTTCATGTAACTAGAAATACAAGAATTTAAGAATGTACCGGCTCAAAAACAAGACTGCAAAAAAACACTGATGCTATTTTTCTTCTCTTCATAATAGGAAGATTATTTCAAAGACAGGGTCATAACTGCTTTTCTTAAATTACTACTGCCTAATTCCATGTGAATTCAATCTGCATTGGGAAGGATTTGAGATAATAATAGGAAAGACTTTCTTAATAATATAAATCATCTCCAATGAAATGAATCCCTTCAGTTATCTGTGGTTTTAGCCTTCCTGGGTATCTTTATAAAAATTAAGCTTGTTTCATGTCTTTGGTTTGGGCACTTCAGGTCTGGTTCACTCAAAGGCTAAAAAAATGTCCTTTATAGCAGTGGTGATTCACAGGTTCTCCCGGTTAGGATTCTGTGATGGAGGGTCTGGCCTGGGCCTTTCATTTACCTGTTTTCTCTGCTTATGTAGACCATCCAGCTGATGTGTCTACACAGTTCCAGAAAGATGAAAAAGATCCTTGTCTGCAGCCCCACATTGTCTATGCTCTAAGTTTTTAATATTTTTACAGGCTTCTCTTATTATTCAAGTAGACTCACACTCAGTAAATCCTGTGGTTCCCCTGAACTCAGTTGACATTATATCCATAGCCTCCTTGTTATTATTATTATTACAGATTTATTTGTATATTTGTATGCTTCAATCTAAGCATTACAGGGTTCTGACACTTTTCCCTCTATCTGTCTCCTGCCCTTGGTAGTCACACAAGTCTCACAGGTCTGGGACCTTGCCCTGGTGGCTTTAATTCTTATTCATGCCCACTCCGCAAAATCATTTCCCTGTCTCCTTGGCACTGAGATTTTTCACAAATATGTGAAACAGGATTTGTGTATTAAAATGTACATGTTTGATGTGCTCTTGCAATCGCAGAGAACTGTTAAGAAGGTATGGAGAGAGGGAGGCTTTAATAGGTACTGCAGATTCTCCTTCTTGATCTTTCCATTCCTCTGGCTTTTAACATTTCCTGGGCTCAATTTTTTGCTTAACTTGGATGAAACTTATGGAAGAAAAGTAGTTCTCAATGGGAGAGGAGAAAGGAGTGTTAGAGTAGAGCTGGCCCATGGGGAGCTGCCCACTCTGCGCACCTCTGTCTCTCTCTCTCTCTCCCCTGGAAGCCCAGTGCTTCCTGTTGCCACAGTGACCAGCAGTGTGGTACTGAGGTGGCCTGCACGGCTTGCCCCTCCCAGGAGCTCTGCCCACCTAGGGTCTTTCTCTCAGCCCTCTCCTAATAAACCTTGTGGACATCGTGTCGCATTTCTCAGCACCTTCCTTTTATCCAGAAAATTCGTTCCAGCTAAGTCTTTTTTAAATTTCTGCCAATGCATTATTGAATTACCCCTCTTAGATGAGCTTTGGATTTATGAATCATTAGCATCATAAGACAAAGTGATATTACAAATTATAAAAAATTACAGTCAAATTTAATAAATTATTACAGAAGACAGAACTACCAAAGAGAGATTTTTTTTTTTTTTCCCAGCATGGTCTTTTTGCCCGACACTGCCAAATCCTAGAAACCCCTTTCTCTGCCTCTGGAAAAGGCCAGCACAAGCCAGGACCCAGAAAGATGTGTACAGAGATCACACTAACAACATTTGTTCTGTTCCATTTGGTTTTTCTGCTCAGATGCAAAAGAAAGACTTCTGGATTCACAAAGCTCATTTACTCAAAGAGGAGATCCAAAATAAGTGGAAAAGATACTTACAGAGAAGTCAGGAAGATCATGGGTCGATGGCGTAAAATACAACTAATAAGAGAATCACCACGCAGGGTCTATATCAAAAGGTCAAAGACCATGACGTCCCAGGCATCGCCAGCCAGGTGTGCTTGAGAGGATACAAGCTTTAGTCTCAGACAGATCCAGTTCAATTTCCTGCTCTTTTCCTTATTGGCTGGGTGGTCCTGGGCAAATTCCTTAATCTTGGGTCTCTCCTTTTTAAAAGGGACATAATACCCATTTTTCATGTAGTTCAAGGATTACAAATAATGTTTATGAAGTACTTAGCCCAGAGCCTAGAATATAAGAATGCTGAGTAAATGATAACTATTATGATTATAAGTATTGAACATTTTGCCAGAGACTAAATAGGCTGTAAATAGATTTATATTACTTGGATTTCACTGAAACCATAAACTTCCGTGAAAAGCAACACTGCACCTGTGCTTACTACATTCCACAAATGTTTTCGTAGTTAGAAAGTGCAGACCCTGAGCATCTAAAAGTGGATAAATTGCAACCAGATCAAATTAAATAGAGTGGAGACAAAACTGTTCATGGCCGTTCTAAAGTGCACCACTTCTCCAATCTCCATTTTAGCTGTAGGTTGGTGCCGCTATCTTGCCCTTTTTTTTCAAGAAGGAAAACCTGATTAAGGTGGTTTCTCTTTCCATCTCTCCTTCGATCTAAGCATTACAGGATTCTGACACTTTTCCCTCTATCTGTCTCCTGCCCTTGGTAGTCACACAAGTCTCATTCAATTTCTTACCCATTACTGCCAACAAAGAACTATGAGCCTTCACTTAAACCATCATTTTTCATTTTTCTACAGGGAATCTTGAATGCTAATGTTGACCCTGGTGCTTTTGCCCTTTGTCCCCATTTCACCCTTTTTTTTTTTTTTTTTTGAGACAGAGTCTTGCTCTGTCACCCAGGCTGGAGTGCAGCGGCATGATCTTGGCTCACTGCAACCTCCACCTCCCAAGTTCAAGCAATTCTTCTGCCTCAGCCTCCCAAGTAGCTGGGACTACAGGTGCCCGCCACCATGCCCCACTAATTTTTATTAGAGATGGGGTTTCACCATATTGGCCAGGCTGGTCTCAAACTCCTGACCTCATGATCTGCCCACCTCAACCTCCCAAAGTGCTGGGATTATAGGCATGAGCTACCGCACCCTGCCCACCTCACCCTTTTTAACAATGAGAACGCACTGTGTGCCTGTCAGGTAAAGAAACTACCAAGATTATACAACCCTGTCTCCGCTATAGAGGAACTTGAAATTCAATGGGAAATAGAATTAAAGTTTTTGAATGGGAAATAATAAAGGCAACATATGTTAGGTACTTCAAAATCATCTCTACCCTCTTGGAAATGCCGCCATGAATTTCAGTATTCTCTGATTCGGGCCCTGAGCAACACTGGCCAGGACAGACCTCTCTTTCCTCTCTGCCAACCTTCCCTCTTGTCTTCCCCTAGAAAGCTGCCATGGAGCCTTCATTGAACCCTTACCATGGGACAGCCACTGAGCTAAGAGCATTGCATGCATGAGCTCACATAATCCTCACAACACCAAATGGAGATATCATTAGCTCCATTTCACAGAAGAAGCAATCAAGGTTTACAGACAATAGAGAACCTGGCAAAGTCATCCAGCCTGTGTGTGGTAGAAGAAGATTTGAATTAAATACTTTCCGCCTCCAAAGTCCTTGCTGTTAACTGAGCCGTGCTGCCTCCCAGATGGTCACAGTCATTGCTCCCTTCATCTGAATTTCCTCTTCTCTGTGCATGCTTTTTCTCACATGGGTAAGTATCAAAAACTTTTCCTGTTCTCGGATTTTAAGCCTTCTGGTTTTCTTTAAAGCACTCGGAAAATCCTATCTTTTGCTGGAAGTTGTCCTGACTGAAGGGAGCTCAGTCAAAAACTCCCCATCTGCATCCCAGGCAAACTCGTTGTCCCTTCCACTCCTCAGCAGTCACTCAGGCATTAAATATTTATAGGATCTCATTCCTGCAAACCATTACCATCAGTGGTAGAACTGAACTGAACTCATTGACTGGAAATATATGGCTCTTGGTTCCTTTTTTTTTTTTTTGCTTCTTTAGTCCAGTCCCTTGGTTTATTTGTCTAATGGCTGTGCTGGTATAACACCGATTTAGTTATTATTGCTCTATAATAAATCTTAATAATGAAAGGGCAAGACCCTCTTTCTTCTTACTCATTGTCAGAAGTGTGTAGGCTATCCTTCCATATTTGTTAAACTTAATTTCATGAGAAGCCATTTTGTAATTTTATTGAAATTGCATGAAATCTACAGATGAATTTAGGAAGAAGTGACATCTCTATGGTATTGAGTCTTTCAAACCTTAGTATGGCACATCTCTTCCATAATACAAGTTTTTCTTTCATCCTTAAAGTTGTATAGTTTTCTACATAACAATCTTACAAAAATGTTTAATAAGTTTATTTCTTGGTGCCTTTCACTATTTCTTACTATTATGATTGTGTTCTTCTTTTCTATTGTATTTTCCATCTGGTTATTTTAAGAGCACCAGAAAGCTATTTTGTTTTTGCATGTTGATCTTTGTATCCTACAAACATTTCAAGGCCTCTTATTAGTTGTATTATTTGTTCATTCACTCTGATTTTTTGTGTGCATATGTTATCTGCAAATTGGACAGTTTCCATTCTTTTAAATCTTTATACTTCATTTTTTATTGTCTTATTGAATTTACTAGGACCTCCCGCACAATATTCAGCAATAAGAATGACAGCAAACATCCTTATCCTATTCCTACTTGAAAAGAAATGTTTCCCATTTTACTATTAAGTATGATGTTAACCATAGATTTATGGTTTAGCTTAAGGATACTCCCTCCTTTTCGTAAGTTGCTTAAAATTTTTAATTATAAATATACTGAATTTTATTAAAGACTTATTTATTCTAATAATATTTTAATGTGGTCATTTGAATTTTAATATTTAAAATATTGTTCCATTCCTAAGATATACCCTACTTGGTCACAGTGAAATATCTTTTAAAAATTTTTATTTTTCTATTACGTGGAATTTTGATTTGCTTATGTATTTTTTTCTTACTTTACCACTTGAGTTAATAAAAGTCATACAAAATGAGCTTTCTCTGTTTTTCTGTCCTCTGGAAAAAATAACTAAAGAGAATGATAATTTCTTCCTTGAAGTTTAGGCAAAAGAAGTTGTCCTTAAAACAATCTGGGCCTGGTTCTTCTTGGATTGGATGTGGAGATTTTCTTATTAACTCCATGTATTTAATAATTATTGATCTAGTGAAGTTCTCTATTAATATTAAGTAAATTTTATAATATATATGTTTTTCTACAAAGCTATCTATTTGACGTATTTTCAGGCTTATTATTATATTACAAACTATTCATTTACCATTTTAACCATTTTTAATGCTTCCTATCTTTATACATATTAATTTTTTTCTAACATATTGTTTGCTTGATTCTCTTCATTTCATGCAGTTTGCCAGAGGTTTATTTATTTTATTATCATTTTCATATCTTTAACCAGTTTTTGTTTGCAGTGTTTTTTAATTGACCTATAAAAAACTGCACATATTTAAAGTATAAAATTTGATAAATTTAATCATATGCATACATCCAAAAAACCATCACCAAATTACCTGCAAACATTACTAGGAAATAAATACAGGTTAATAGATATTTGTATTACTTTTGCAATTTTTTCCTTCCACTCCTCCTCACCTCCTATCTACTCTCAAACAACCACTGATCTGCTTTCTGTTAGGATTGATCTGTTTGCATTTCCTAGAATTTTATATAAGTTGACTCATTTAGCAAATAATCATTTTGTATCATTTTTTTCACTCACACAAAATTATTTTGAGTTTTATCCATGCTATAATGTGCATCAATAGTTCATTCCTTTTTTTGCTGAAGAGTATTCCATTGTATGGATATATTATGGTTTGTTTATTCGTTCACTTGTTGATTGACATGTGGGGTTTTTTTTGATATGAGCTGTTACAAGTAAGGTTGCTATGAACATTCATGTCCAAGTCTTTGTATGGACATATGCTTTCCTTTCTTTTGGGTAAATACTTAGAAGTGAAGTAGCTGGATCATATGGTAGGTATATGTTTAAGTTTTTAGAAAACTGCCAAAATGAATTGCAAATTGGTTGTATAATTTTACATTTCCATTTGCAGCATATGAGAGTTCCATTTCCTCCACATCCCTACCAACACACAATATGGTCAGTCTTTGGAATTTTGGCCATTCTAATTGATATGTAGTTGTATCTCATTGTGGTTTTTATTTATATTTTCCTAATTACTAACAATGTTGAACATTGCTTCATGTGCATATTTGTCCTCTGCATGTTTTCTTTAGTAAGGCATATTTTTAAATATTTTGCCCATTTTTTACTTGGGTTGTTTTCTTATTTTTGAGATTTAAGATTTTTTTCAAAAAAATATTCTAGATAAATCTACTATAAATATTTGCAAATACATTTCCCCAGACTTTGTCTTGTCTTTTCATTCTCTTAACAATGTATTTTGAAGAGTAGACATTTTTAATTTGGATGAAAGCCAATTTAACAATTTGTTCTTTTATGGATTGCTATGTTTCTGTTGTATATAAAAGATATTTACCTAATCTAAGGTCACAAAAGTTTTCTCCTAATGTATCTGTATTAGTCCGTTTTCACACTATTATAAAGAAATACTGTCCCTGTTTGCAGATGACATGATTGTATATCTAGAAAACCCCATTGTCTCAGCCCAAAATCTCCTTAAGCTGATAAGCAACTTCAGCAAAGTCTCAGGATACAAAATCAATGTACAAAAATCACAAGCATTCTTATACACCAATAACAGACAAACAGAGAGCCAAATCATGAGTGAACTCCCATTCACAATTGCTTCAAAGAGAATAAAATACCTAGGAATCCAACTTACAAGGGACATGAAGGACCTCTTCAAGGAGAACTACAAACAACTGCTCAATGAAATAAAAGAGGATACAAACAAATGGAAGAACATTCCATGCTCATGGGTAGGAAGAATCAATATCGTGAAAATGGCCATACTGCCCAAGGTAATTTATAGATTCAATGCCATCCCCATCAGGCTACCAATGACTTTCTTCACAGAATTGGAAAAAACTACTTTAAATTTCATATGGAACCAAAAAAGAGCCTGCATCACCAAGTCAATCCTAAGCCAAAAGAACAAAGCCGGAGGCATCACGCTACCTGACTTCAAACTATATTACAAGGCTACAGTAACCAAAACAGCATGATACTGGTACCAAAACAGAGATATAGATCAATGGAACAGAACAGAGCCCTCAGAAATAATGCCGCTTATCTACAACCATCTGATCTTTGACAAACCTGACAAAAACAAGCAATGGGAAAAGGATTCCCTATTTAATAAATGGTGCTGGGAAAACTGGCTAGCCATATGTAGAAAGCTGAAACTGGATCCCTTCCTTACACCTTAGACAAAAATTAATTCAAGATAGATTAAAGACTTACATGTTAGACCTAAAACCATAAAAACCCTAGAAGAAAACCTAGGCAATACCATTCAGGACATAGGCATGGGCAAGGACTTCACGTCTAAAACACCAAAAGCAATGGCAACAAAAGCCAAAATTGACAAATGGGATCTAATTCAACTAAAGAGCTTCTGCACTGCAAATGAAACTACCATCAGAGTGAACAGGCAACCTACAAAATGGGAGAAAATTTTCACAACCTACTCATCTGACAAAGGGCTAATATCCAGAATCTACAATGAACTCAAACAAATTTACAAGAAAAAAACAACACCATCAAAAAGTGGGCGAAGGATATGAACAGACACTTCTCAAAAGAAGACATTTATGCAGCCAAAAAACACATGATCATCATCACTGGCCATCAGAGAAATGCAAATCAAAACCACAATGAGATACCATCTCACATCAGTTAGAATGGCGATCATTAAAAGTCAGGAAACAACAGGTGCTGGAGAGGATGTGGAGAAATAGGAACACTTTTACACAGTTGGTGGGACTGTAAACTAGTTCAACCATTGTGGAAGTCAGTGTGGCAATTCCTCAGGGATCTAGAACTAGAAATACCATTTGACCCAGCCATCCCATTACTGGGTATACACCCAAAGGACTATAAATCATGCTGCTATAAAGACACATGCTCACGTATGTTTATTGCATCACTATTCACAATAGCAAAGACTTGGAACCAACCCAAATGTCCAACAATGATAGACTGGATTAAGAAAATGTGGCACATATACACCAGGGAATACTATGCAGCCATAAAAAATGATGAGTTCATGTCCTTTGTAGGGACATGGATGAAACTGGAAACCATCATTCTCAGCAAACTATCACAAGGACAAAAAACCAAACACCACATCTTCTCACTCATAGGTGGGAATTGAACAATGAGAACACATGGACACAGGAAGGGGAACATCACACTCCGGGTACTATTGTGGGGTGGGGGAGGGGGGAGGGATAGCATTAGGAGATATACCTAATGGTAAATGATGAGTTAATGGGTGCAGCACACCAACATGGCACATGTATACATATGTAACAAACCTGCACATTGTGCACATGTACCCTAAAACTTAAAGTATAATAATAAAATTTAAAAAAAGAAAAAAAAAGAAATAACTGAGACAGGGTAATTTATAAAGGAAAGAGGTTTAATTGACTTACAGTTCCACACGGCTGGGGAGGCCTCAGGAACTTACAATCATAGCAGAAGGCAAAGAGGAAGCAAGGACCTTCTCATGGCGGCAGGAGACAGAAGCAAGCAGAGGAAATGCCAGATGCTTATAAAAACATCAGATCACATGAGAAATCACTCACTATCACGAGAATAGCATGAGGGAAACAGCCCCCATGATCCAATCACCTCCCTCGCTTGACATGTGGGGATTACAATTTCGGATGAGATTTGGATGGGAACACAGAGCCAAACCATATCAGTATTCTAGAAATATTGTGGAAGTCTTACAATTAGGTCCATGATTTATTTTGAGTTAATTTTTGTGTAATGTATGAGATATGGATAAAAATTTATTTTTTTTCATATGAATATCCAATTGTTTCAACACCATTTATTTTAAAGACTAACTTTCCCCAACTGAATTGTCTTTACACCTTTGTATAACACCAGTTTTTCATATATGTGTGGGTTTATTACTGGGATCTACATTTAATTCTATTAATCTATTTGTCTGTCATTATGCCAATACCATATTGTCTTGATTGGTGTCGTTTTATAATAAGTCTTGAAATCAGGTAACTTTAGCCTTCCAATCTTGTCCTTTTTCAAGGTTGTTTGGCTATTGTAGGTCCTCTGTATTTCCATGTGAATTTTAGAATTAGTGTGTCGATTCTACCCACACCCAACCCATAGCCTTTAAAATGCCTACTTGAATTTTAATTGGAATTGCATTGGATGCATAGATGAACTTGGATAGAACTGATATCTTGACAATATTGAGTCTTCTGACACAAGAACACAAGATATCTTTAAATTAGGTCATTGTATTAATAAATTAGGTCATGCTGCTAATAAAGACATACCTGAGATTGGGTAATTTACAAAGGAAAAGAAGTTTAATTGACTCATAGTTCCACATGGCTATGGAGACCTCACAATCATGGCAGAAGGTGAATGAGGAGCAAAGTCATGTCTTACATGGCAGCTGGAAAGGGAGTGTGTACATGGGAACTCCACTTTACAAAACCATCAGATCTCATGTATCACGAGAACAGCACAGGAAAGACCCACCCCCGCCCCTGCCATGATTCCATTACCTCCCACCAGATCTCTCTCAAGACACATGGGAATTATGGGAGCTACAATTCAAGATGATATTTGGGTGGGGACACAGCCAAACCATATCAGTCTTATTCAATGTTTCTCAGGAGGGTTTTAGAGATTTTACTATACAGGTATTTCATATCTTTTCCCAGATTTATATCTAAATAGTTCATATTTTAGAGGCTAGTGTAAATTTTTTTTAATTTCTATTTCTGATTGTTGCTAGCATATAGAAATATAATTGTTTTGTATATTGACCTTGTATTCTCAGTCTTTCTGAACTTACTTATTCTAGCAGTTTTGGGGTAGATTTCATCAGATTTTCTGCATAGATAGTCATGTTTTCTGGGGATAAAGCAGCGATACTTCTTCCTTTAGAGTCAGGTGTTGTGTGTCTCTTTTTCCTGCCTTATTGTACTGGAGAGGATACCAGTGCAATATTCAAAGTGGAGAGGAGTTTTTTCAATAAACAAACAAATATTAAAGTAGATATTATTGTCATGTTCCTGATCTTAAGCATTTTCAGGGAGGCGGCAAGAGAAGAACCATCCAAGAATCTAAATTCAAAAGGATCTGAATTTTAAACTATTGTGATTAACTAAGGCATTCAAATATAAATCCTATTGGGTAAAATGCTACATGAAATATTGAAGCTTATTTTAGATTTCTCTACTTTCGATTTAGTGGAGTTTCTAAGGAAGATCCTTAGTAAGATGTATATGTGTGAGATATTTGAAAAGAAGAAACCAGTATGGATATTGGAATCATCACATCTGTCCATGAAATGTCACTCAGACAAATGTCAGGAAGAGGAGAGGTCAATGGGAACAAACATTGTACCTCAGTAGCTTCCAACTTCCTGTTCTTTGCATTACAGCACTACCAGGAACTGTAATGAGAAATGCCACTTCTAGAGATTTGAGTAACTTTGCTCTGGGCATCTAAAAAAAAATGTGTGTAAACATGCGTGTACACACACACCACCTGCCACATCTGAGTTTTCATGGGGGCACTTATGAAGGTGACTTCATATCAGAATGGAAATTTGGGATTCATAATAATATTGTTATTGTGATTACTCGAAATACCTTTATCAGACTGCACTCAGAAGGAACCTGAACTAAATGTTCTAAGAGGCTCCTATGGTTTAATAGGTGGCTCAAATAATTTTTCATCACCTTTGAATGCAGGATTAGATGAGTTTTGAACAGATCTTGGTGGTGCTGGCTCTGGTTAGAGCACACCACAACTGAGACACCTGGCTGAGGCCCGGGCTGGAGGAGAAGGCTTATGATTGGCCCAGACAAGACAAATGGTATGAAGTGTGCTCAAACCAAATGATCCCTGCTCAGAGTGAAGCTGGCAATGACCCAGGGACTACCACAGGAGTCCTCAGTCAATCTGGGCCAAGATCATCAAGTTATAGGATATTTAAATTATGAGGGTCTTTAGAGGTTCATTTATTCCAACCCTTTCATTTCATTGCTGAAGATACTGAGGCCTGAAGTAAACAGACTTATCCAAGCTCTCCCAGCTGATTATCAAAGGAATCAAGCTAAGAACTCAGCTCTTCTGACCCCTGGTCAAACGCTCTTCCTACAACACGGTATTCTTTCCTATAATTGTTTGATATCTGCCACCACCTGCCTTGTCAAATATTAAAATAAGTGAGGAAAAAGTATGGGTTGACCTAAATTGTCTGAATAATAGAGAGTAAATGCTACCCAGGCATAGCCACATATGGAAGCTGACCATCTAGAGAGTAATATATTCAAACACTCTCTAATCATAAATCCCTGTGGAAATGAATAGCAAGCAAATAATTTCCCCTTAGGGAACCCAGTATGCCTCACCATTTCTTCCAGACGTTCTCCAACTCTCTTTACCTACTATCACTGTAATGCTCAGCTTATCATGCCATGAGCAGGCACATTCTCTATTTGAGGAAGAAAATCAATGTATGGGTTAGAGATCTCTGGTCCAGTTTCTTAGGTCCATACTAGAAAACAACCAATAGCCAGCTCCATAAACACAGAAGCATCTGTCTGAATTATTGAATCTGAAAAACGTGTGCTCAGGGACTTTTTTCTCTCTCTCTTTCTTTCTTTCTTTCTTTCTTTCTTTCTTTCTTTCTTTCTTTCTTTCTTTCTTTCTTTGTTATATGACTGCTATTGTCTGATTGTTTATGCACCCCCCGCCCCCAAATTCATATGTTGAAGTCTTCATTCCCAAGGTGATGGTATTAGGAGGTGGGGCCTTTGTGAGGTGATTAGGTCATAGGGGCAGAGCCCTCATGAATGGGCTTAGTGTCCTTATATAAGAGGCCTTAGAGAAACCCTCCCCACCCCCGCCACCCATTTTACCATGTGAGGACACAGTGAGAAGACACTATGAACCAGAAAGTGTGCCCTCACCAGACACGAAATCTGCTGGCACCTTGATCTTGAATTGTCCCGCCTTAAGAAGTATGAGAAATAAATTTATGTTGTTTATAAGCTACTCACCTTATGATATCTTATTACAACATCTGGAAAATAGACTAAGACAGTGACCTAGAGCAAGTTACCATTCTGAGTCTCAATTTCCTTGCACACAGAAAGGAAATAATAACATCTTCCTCATAGGCCTCTTTAAATGAACTGGTAAGTTATCTAATCCATGCAAATGTCACTTCTTTCTTCTGCCTTCTACTCCTTCATCCAAGGTTTAAAAATTCTTTCAATGATGATTGTTATGGTAATAAGAAAAACAGTTCTTAAGTACTCTTCACTCTGGCCAGTCAGCAAAGAAATTGCTTTTAACAGAACTGTTTTCTAACTTCAGCTCGGCATTCACCAGCTGACGACTTGATTATCAGCACCAGAAGTTTCATCCACTTAAGAACATGAGACAAATCTGAGATGTGTTAACAAGGCAGTAGACATGTGTTGTGCACTCTTTAAGTGTTTACCATCTGAAGATCACCAGGATGAGTAAACCATATCTCTGTGGGTGTCTTTATGGTTCTGAGATTCTTTGATCATCACCATTAGCTATCAAAGGTGCACTGCCTATTGAAAAAGGAAGGTTACTTGCTTCAGCCCTGCTCTCTGCCTGGTCACAGTATGTTAGTCTGGGTCCTCTGAGAAGCAGGTATCATGAGAGGGTTAAATATGCAAGTATTTTATTAAGGCAAACCCCTGTGAGGGAACATGGGAAGGGAGCCAGGAGAGGCTATGAGAGTTATCATATCTTTATGTAGGTCTGACCCTTGTGAAGGACAGAAGGAAGAAGGCAAGTTGGGTGGGAGAATCTTAAATGGCAGTGCAGGGTCAAGGAAGTTCAGCAACACAGCTAGGGAATTACTCAGCTCAAGCTGTCCACCAGAGGAGTCCTCCCCCGCTGGAATGAGCCATCCTCGGGATCCCTGCTGGGCTCAGTCATTGGTTGGCAGCAGCCTATGGCAAGTATGGCTTCAGCACCAATTCCAGTATGGATTTCCAGGCTCAGCAGCTGAGACCTTCAGTCAATTCTGCTCCTGCAGTGAGAGATCTGAGAGGCACATCCTCACGGCTACCTCAAATACTACAACCAGCAGCAACATTGCTAAATACATAAAGTACACATCGGTAACAAACTAAAATGTCAACTGACACAAGTAAGATGGCAGTTCATTATTTTGCCACCTCAGGTTCTCTCATTTGTAAACTAAAAAACAGTAATAGCAGAACAGTAATCTAAAAGTTTGCTTTCATCCTGGACTGCTAGGAATACACCATAATATTCACAACCACTGATGAGCACTTCTCACTTCATATACAACTTCTTGCTTAATCTTTATGTAAATCCTATTGAGGAAATATTATCTGCAGTTTGCAGATGGAGAAACTGAGCCTTAGCCAGGTTATGTAACTTGTTCAAGGTTATACGACTAGTAAATGGTGAAACTGAAATTGAAAAAATAGACTGATTCCAAAGCACATGCACAAAGCCACTCCTCCCTATTCTCCCTTCCTTTGTGGAAGTTTGAAAACCCAGAAAAAAACAGCAACAATCTAAGTGGCCATTTAAACCTCAGTGAGGTCAACTTGATCCTAGCTGAGACACAGTCACCATTAATTGTTACATTAATTCACCAACTCAGCTCTCATGTATCTATTTTCTCCACTGTGGGTGAGAAATTATGAGTACTTATCCTCATTTTTTTCTAAAATATACAAAACACAGTAACAATCTATGTTCTAAGCACTCACAATGCAGGAAATTTTTCTAAAGCTTTAGGAGACTGATGGAGCCCTACAGCTGTTTATCAAAACCCCGTCTCCAAATTACACAGCAGAAAAAGGTTGTCTGATAGATTAGAAACCGTACCTTTGCCCTCTGTGGCTAAACCCCAAACTTTTCCCAAGCCTCTCTATCTTAGCTTCCATGTTCAGTCAGTCAGTCAACCTGTGAATAACACTTACTGAAACTCCACTGGGTGTTGGAGATAGGGCACAAAGAAAATAGAGGCTTCAGCTCCCATCCCTGAGAACATTACAATCAATTTCGGGAAGTGGAAGATACACTCATGATGGAAATGTAAGATCACTTTAAGCAATGTGCAAACATATTCAAATGCATGTGGGTCAATGTGACCACAAAAGGAGAAATGTCATGTAACTTTTACCATGGGACAGCACAGCTGACTGCAGGAGACTGCTGTGGGCATTCAGTCTGCACCAGGAGTTCTAGTCTTTGTTTTGCTCTGACACTGTGAACTTGAGCTTGCCACTGAATATTTCTGGAATTCCACTTCTTCTCTGTAAAATGAAGCAGTTGGTCAAGACGAGTGATTTTTCAAACTCTGCAAAGCTGAAAACCACTATTTTTTCTCCTCCTAGATGAACCATAATAAAAGTTTGAATTAAGGCGCCCTCTATTTCCCCTCAGAAGTCCCTTAGGCTGTGCATGAAAGTATCTCTAAGATACTTTCTTACATTAATATGTGATGATTCTGTGAATCCCAGAGCATGGGCAGCTTAATGTAGGAAACAGATTTTAGTTCTTTCGAGATTTGAATTCAACTCAATTTATAAATCAATAGTACTATAGTAGAAGTAGAGACATTATATCTTTCTACTGTAGAAGATGTGAGATCAATAACCCATTAGACAAGCAATCTGGGTCATTCTTAACCCAGATTTATAATATTCATAAACATTTACTGAGCATCTTCTACATGCCAAGCATTATATATATACTGGGTGCTGGGATTTAAATCCCTGGAGGAGTACTCAATCTAATAGGTTTTAGACCAGAAAATGTTCTTTATTTTGAGAAGCCCCAAAGAAGGCAGAGTGTTCTCAATGACAGCTTTTAAGCCATGGGTTATTTATTTTATCTAAATGGAACTACTCTGGATGGATTGAACATGTACAACACAGCCTAAGGAAGATCTGTTCAATCTGTCCCAGCATGGAGAGACTGGTGGAGTCCTGCCTCCACGCCTGGGACGCATTATGTGTACTTCATCATTTAGAGACAGAAGGCAGATGGAAAATGCTCTATATGAACAAGCTTCGCTGGTTATTTTATCCTGAAACATGGCTCAACAAGGAAAACACTCTGTTGCTACCACCCTAACCACTCCCAAATCCACTTGTTACTCCTGCATGTTAATCTACTGGAAGATTAAAAAATGGGCCACAAAATAGCCATCGCCTGGAGGACCAGGAGTTCGGACATGTTTTATGAGGGTTCTTGCCTGTAGAACCCAAAACCTCTTGTTCGTTAATGGTTAAATTAAATCTTGCTATGTCTCAGGACTAGGGAAATATGGCTGTTGACTCAATGAGAATCTTACAAGATCAAACATCAAATTCTAACACTTATAACAAGAAGAAAAATGAATATGTACATTTTTGAAGCATTGCAATGAAAATGATCTTCAGAGAATAGATAACAATGCATAATATGAAAGGAAGCTCTTTTTATAAGTATACTGTTATATATATTTATGTTTGTTATATGTATTTTTTAAATATATGTATGTATTAAATTGTATATTTATATACACACTTTTAAATATAAATAAATCAATCTATGTATAAGCATTATATATTCTTTTTTATAATAATATATTTGCATTATATAATGTTATATATACTACATGTAATAATATAATATATGTATATATTATTTATATTTTTATATAATCGTAATATAGAAGAAGCTCTTTAAATATCTTTCTTTGGTTGGCACAGAGATCACTTTGAAGCTGAACATACATAAAGTTATTCACATAACCAGGTTAACTCCTCCAGGCTATGAGAAGTCCTACCTAGTGTTTGTGCACACCTACCATAATACAATTGCAAGTACCATCCTCTTGCTAAGTAATGAATTCTGGGAAGTAGAGTATATAGTGATATATATATCAGTATCTATGTGTATATATATATATATATATAAAATTGTATACACAGCCCATAGGTCAGTGTCTTTTTATCACTAGCCATTGACAAAAGTTTATTTATTTTAATAAAACATTTCTTCTTGTAGAAAATTTCAAATGCATACAAAGGTAGAGACAATAAGATAATAAACTCCCAATACCATTATCTAACTTCACCAATTATCAACCAAAAGCCACATTTATTTCATTTATATGCCTACCTACTTTCTTTTGGAGCAAACTATAACATTACATCATTTCATTCTTAAATATTTTGGTGTATATCTCTAAAAGATAATAAATCTTTAAAAAAAAAACCCTGAGACCATTATCACACTTAAAAAATGAGTTAACAGTAATTCCTCACATCAAATATCCAGGCAGTTTTCAAATTTTCCACATTGTCTTATAATTTTTACATGATTTTTATTCCAATTAGCTTTAAGTAAGTGCTTGGCAGTTGACTGATATGTCTCTGAAGTCCCTTTTCAACTGCAGTAGAAGCAGCCAATAAGGATATAATGTGAGCCACCCATGTAATACTAAATTGTCTAATAGCCACATTTTAAGTGTTAAAAATGGCAAAATTCATTTTAATAATATATTTTATTTAACCCAATATATGAAAAATATTATTTCAACATGAAACCTATATAAAAATTATCACTTTTTTTGTATTGTCTTGAAAGTTGGTATATACTTTGTACTTACAGTATATCTCAATTCATACTAGCTGTATTTCAGGTGCTCATGTACCTAGTGGCTACCTATTGGATAGTATGAATTGTAGGTTCCCTCTCCAAGGCCTAAGTTTTTAGTAATCAAAAAACAAAGTAGCATAGGAACAATTTTTATGTAACTCTTTCTTACAAAGTGATAAGAAGATTCCCAACAGTATGACATATGCATGTTTTGGCCTGTGCATCCCCAAATATTGAGACACGCTCGTGTGCCCATAGTTTATTTGGGAATATGATCTTTCAGAACAGGAGTACGTGGCAGGTGGCAGGAGAGTAAAACATGAAAGGAGCGAAAACTTGTTCAAAATTATGTTGTAGAGTTGGCCTCTGCTACAGGATACTGTGATTTATTCTACTGGGGCCTTCTGGTCACCTGCGGGCAAACAGTAAAGCTTGTCTACAATGGCTCCCACCTCCCAGTGCCAGAAGATGGCCTCTTGGGTATTATAGCCCTCATGTTTCTAGAAGTAAATGTGTGAGTGAGTGTCCAACAGTTCTGTGGAATGGAAAAGCCCAAGAGAGGAAGCAAGAGGTATCTGACTGGGCCAGAGAAAAAGTGCGGGCGGAAGGAGAGGAAGGGGGTGTGCTGCTGACCTGTTCTAGCTGTGCTGTTGTGAGCAAAGCCTGCAGGGCACAGACCACCCACTGCAGCAGTGGCTAGAATTAAAAAGTAAGGCCGAGAGGTTTCTGGTGTTCATGAGGATGCACTTGCAACTTGAAAGTAAATATATGTTAGATGGAAACCATTTCTACAGAGATAGGATGGCCGTGATGGGGGATGGGGAACGTGGTTAAGGAGGCATTAAAAAGCCATGCATGGTGGCTCACACCTATAATCCCAGCACTTTGGGAGGCCCAAATGGGAAGATCACTTGAGCCCAGCAGTTCGTAACCAGCCTGGGCAACATAGCAAAACCCTGCCTGTCTCTATTTTTAATTTTTTTAAAATTTGTTTTATAAAAGAAGGCAGCATCAGAAGAGGCAGGAAGAGACTGTACTGAAAATATTACTCCAGCTAAACTCCCGTATATGCTACTGTTTTTTAAAGCCACGTAACTCTTCAAATACAATCAACAATATTTGAAATACCAATCAGAATATGTAATGTTCTGGTTTTCATGTGCTTATCTTTATTATATTATTTTATCTTTCTGGAATTAATCAGGTTTTCACAATATGGACAATAACCAATCAATTCCTAGACATCATATGTACTTAATAAGCAATATATTTCTGCCACTTATAGTTGATATAATTTTGTGAAATTGTTTAATCAGAGCTGGAAAAGACCTTAGAAAGAAGTGATACGTCAAACCAATGCCACTAAGTGATGTAAAAGTTCCCTTGAGAGCCTTCCTTAGAAATGGTCCTTCAATGTGTGCTGCTACCAGAGAATCAATGTGAAATACCTAGCTTAGTTTTGAGCATCTGCCTGAGTACTACTGCCTGAGTACTTCCAGTTGTCATAAAGCTAGGCTGTTTATCCACCCTCCACTAGTTACATGCTGCTGTCTAAAGCATGACATACTTTAGTCTGAAAATGTTCAGTTCAAGGATGCTATGTTCCGCAACATACCTTTTACCAATTCTGCATAGTAAAAAGTTTATGGTCCTATGTATCTGCCTGGTCACCATACTATACCAGATAAGTCATCTGTAAGAGTGAGTTTTACTGTGCCTCGAAATGTCTGTGATGGTTATAAAAGTAATTGTGTTTATGAATGCTGCACACATTATGGGATCTTATTTTCTTTACATATCAAAGTCTGATTCTTGTTGAGTGGCTGAATAAAAATATTACTGCACTGGGACAAAAATGATTAATCTGGAAATGTGAATGGACTTGGCCATTCTTCTAGCATCCCAAAGATCATTCCGCAATTTCTAACCAATTCCTCGTCTACACCCTTCCTGAAGGGAATAGATAATTTATAGTGAAGAGAAGCTAAGTTTATCTACATAATAAAGGGCTAAGAGAAATCCTGTGGAGGAAGGAAAGGAGGGAAGAAAGCCCTGTAGGGTAGGAGAGGAAGAAAAGTATTGTTTTGGGAGTTGGGGGTAAGGAGATAACAGAGAGGATCTGACTGCTGGGATATGTGAAGGAAATGGAGAAGAGGGAAAGATGTCAACATCGCTGTGGACTGAGGAGTGGACTCCCCTTTAATGTTCTTTATGGGAAATTGTAAAGAAATGTCTTTTTAATTAATGTTGGTCTTTGAACTGTTCTTAATTGCTCTGTGAATATTTGTGTTTCTGGGGGTTATACTACTCTCCTCCAAATGAAGCCCAAGTTCAATGAGATATTAACCAAGTAAGTGAAGGTAGCCCATTGCTGATTTATTGGCCTCATATCTTATTTTTCATGTTTGTATTAGCTGCTTTTTCTCAGAGCTGCATTTAAAAAAAAAAAACAAAACACCTTTCTTGGCTTAGCTTTTGAAACATTTATTCTGATTGCAGCAGCTATTGTGGTTAAGTTGCCACTGCATTGAGTTGTTTCATTTTATTCACCAGACCCATATTGAGTGCCAACCATATGTCAGGCTCAGTGCTAAGACTGACAGGAACCTATAATCCATGATCAGAGCTTGCATGGAAAGCAAGTGATGGTACTGGAGTATGCTCCAGGGCACCTGAGCAGGAATGTTTAAAAATGCATATATGTTAATAGTGTTCACAGTACTGCAAGCCATGATCTTAGGAATCTTATTATGCTTGTTATTGCCAAGTCAGAGTACCCACCAAGAAATTTCAACACTTTGGGTAGTTATACACAAAGGTGGACGAAAAGTGAAAAATTCAGTCACTCGTCCAGATCTATTGCTAATATTATGAAATTTCTTGGCAACTGTCTGATTTCCTTTGCTTTCATCTTGAAGTTTGGCCTCATGGAGCCATATGTTGAGTGTAAGCATGTTCAGGAATGCATATCCTCAGCTTCAAGGACATTTTCATTTGATTGGAGGTGATAACACAACTGGAATTGAGTTATGGCACTGGATGCATCCCTCCCATTCCAGTAAAAATGATTGGAGGATGTTCAACACCTGAAATTAACCAGATCTTCAAGTTATACATCTCATCATTAAATTTATCACTGCAGAACCTGAATTTTCCTGACATGGAAAGCTTTTTTTAAATAAATGCTTAGAGCTGGGAAGATGCCCAGCACATTAATCCTTGAACCATACAAAGGGAATCATTTTGTAAATGGAAATAAGTCCTTTAATATAAACTGGGCGACCATTCAATCACTAAGCCTTGCTTTGCAGTATCCTATTTAACCCACTGAGTGTTCTGTTCTTTTCCATTCATCTAGCTTGAGCCACAAATATGTTGCTTCTCGTTTTGCCCTCGGATATTTTTTTTCTTATCATGACTTAGAGGCAGCCAGAAGAATAGTATCAGTGCCTAGAAATGAATTATGAATCACTCAGTAGTTTCAAAATCCAAAGGGATAAGAAAAGTCATAATCCCAAATATACCAGTCATTCTTCTTTACTTCACTTTTTGCAAGAAAAATGTTATAATTTGAAAACTTGCTACAAATTTTTCTTGTTGAAGTCAGAGACATGGATATTCTGGAAAGAAGATGTAAGAGTAAAAACGTGAGAGAGACCAACAAGCAAGTGTGTTAAATGCATCTTCATTATGTACGATTTTTGTGCCCAATGGATGAGTCAGGATGTCAAGACAAGGAAGTTTGGATACGTCGCTTTACCTTCAAAGTGTAGTTTGCTGCTTTCTGCCAAATGAAATGTAAATAGAAAGTCAAAGTGATCTTTTTCTGCTGTGAGTCAGATGTCTAAAGGCCCGTTCAGGAATGAAGGCTGGTCCATGCAGAGGTGACCTGACGATCTGACAGAAAGGTGCTTCTGTATTTGAGAGGCTCGGGCTAAGCCAAAAATAAAAGCAGTGGTCTCTGGGGGCTCCCCTCATATTCCAAGGTAAACTAAATAAATTAAATAAATGGTAAGTCAGCATTAACATTCAAAATTTGTGACAGGTAAAAAGGAATCATTCAGAAAGAAACATGGTCACACTTTGTATCAGATTCAAAGCAGAGATTCTGACCCAGTATAAGCAAGAGTTTGTGTCTTTTTACTTACAATACTGTGACGGTGACTTATAAAGGTCTTTGTGTGTGTGTGTGTGTGTGTGTGTGTGTGTGTGTGTGTGCTCAGTGTCTTTCTATTGTGTATGCAGAAACATGCAAAGAACTCTACAGCCTCATTAACAAATACTAGATTTGAGAGGCTAAGTATTTTATGGGATGTTCCCACTCGTACACTTCATTAGTAAAGATTTGTTAGTAAAGGCGATCTCAAAAGGTCTGGTTATTCCTAATTTCCCTAGTCCCTAACTCAAAGTCCATATTTTCATTTCACAAACTGGATAACATTTAATTGCTTCAGGTCCTTTTAAGTAGCTGTACCAAAGACCATTGTTTGCCTACCCCCCAGTATCCATTCACCACCCCCCCCCCTTATTTTTTAGCAGTAGAACCCTGATTTCTAACTAGGATTCCCATATTTAGCAAATAAAAATACAGATTGCTAAATTAAATTTAACTTTCTGTAAAACAACAAATCAATTTTTAGCATAAGTATGTCCCAAGTATTTTATAAGTATGTATAAGTATGTCCCAAGTATTGTATAAGTATTGTATAGTATAAGTATGTCCCAAGTATGCCTAGTTAAATTTGAATTTCAGATAAGCAACAAATAATTTTTAGTCTACATATTTCCCAAATATTTCATACTTAAGCAAAAAAGTATTTATCTGAAAACCAAGTTTAACTGGGCATTTATTATTTTATCATGCAACCCCCTTAACTGCTCAATCCCCTTAACTAAGTTGCTACCCAACTTAGACTACATTTCCAAGGCTCAGACCATGGTGTGACAATGTGACCAAGCTCCTGTCAATGAGGTGGAAGCTTATGTTGAGTGGTGTTCCCAGGAGGTCTCCTAACCAGAAAGGAGGTCTACCAGAGCTCAGTCATGAACAAGGCTCTGATAGAGACAGAAAGAAGTGGGGTCCCTGGCAACATTGTGTTGCTGACGTAGCAGCACTGAGCTGCCTCCCTGCAAATTCCCTTGAGAGCTATATAAACTCCTGCTTTATTTAAATAATCACCATTTCTTCTGTTACATTCAGTTGAGTCCAATTCTAACTTATAGAGGCTTACCTTCTTAGGGATTTGTGAACACAGCAAAACCAAGATCTGTGAACAGGGAGGTCTGTGGAAAGTAGAACATGTGAAACAGTGTGAACATTCACAGTTACGTAGATTCTCATAGTCTCGCTGACTGTCTCTCACACACATTCAGATTTCCCTACTTTTCTAAAGCCCTGGGTCTTCTAATTTCCTGCCCCGTCTTCTTCCTGACAGTGCTCAAAAGTTAACTCTAGTAATTCAGAAAAAGAAACAAAACAAGCAAACAAACAAACAAAAAACCCAAGGGCCATCCTTAGAGGACTGGAGCATAAAGCTAAATTGGGTTTAACAGTTTCATTGAAGAGGTTGGGTGGCGTGGCCATTTTCAACACAAATAATTTGTGGATACTTTTTCAGTGCGCTGTCAGGTGGCAGGAATTAAGGTCCTAGATTACAGTAATTTAATACTTTGGAGCATCTTTGGCTTTGGAGAAAAAAATGTAAAAATGAATTCCTAATAACATGTTACCTTGTATAAAAAGGAATAGATCAATATATCATCCCTTGAAATTTTCCCAGGTCAGAATACTTATATATAAAATTCTGTTCCAAAAATGCAATGTTGATTTTTTTTTTCAGTGCTTAAGATTTGCCAACTTCAACATTTTTCTTGGTACCATGAAAAATGTTGCCACTGGCAGGCATTCTATGGAGGTAGGAAAGCAAAAATAGTGTTAAACAGTGGGACTGTGAGAACAGGAGTCTGTACATTTTCATTAACATGTCATTCAGAATCCTGATTAGGAGATCTATTTTTAATTCCTTAAGGGGACAGAAATATATAGAAAGCAGATGAACAGAAAAAAAAATACAACCTTCAAATGTAACAAATAAAAGTAAAACTAAGGCAAAGATAAGATATGAAAAAGGCTAAACACGATTAGTTTTGTCATAATAAAGACACAACCACCACTAGTAGATTTTTGCAAAGGCTAAAAATTTCAGAATCTGGTTAGAATGTGGAAGTTATCTAAACGGGATTGATTAGTATCTCCCCAAAATGCAGAATTCAACCTATTTGGAAATAGGTTCTTTGCAAATGAAATTAGTGTTGAAGGCATACTGCATTAGATGGGCCCCAAATTCAATGATTACTGTGTTTATAAGAAGAGGAGAGGACATGCAGAAAGACCATGCAGAAAGAAGGCTACATGGCAACACAGTCAGAGATGAGAGTGATGCAGCTACATGCCAAGGAATGCCAAGGACTGCTGGCAACCAGCAGAAACTAGGAGAGAGGTTTAGACCAGAGTCTTCCTCAGAGCCTCCAGAAGAAACCAACTCTGCTGACACATTGATTTTGGACCTCTAGCCTCTAGAGCTGTGAGAAAATTAATTTCTGTTATAGTAAGCTACCCAGTTTGTGGTACTTTTGTTACGGCCCCTAGGAAACTAATACATCACCCAATGCCCCTTGCCTCTGAAAGCAAGGCATTATATACATGTTCAAAAGATATCACTGGATCCCAGGTCACCCAGAACATTCCAGTGCTTATTTTTCAACTCCTCAGATCCCGACCAATGGATGCTATTGACAAGCAAATATTTTTGCAGGATCTTTATTTATTTGAAAGCCTTTATTCTGCCTGCCAAGTTGGAAAGACCATTCAATTATGTCTTTTGTTGAAAGCTTAGTTGTTTATATTTTGTGGCTTCATTGGCTTCTTTATTTTCAAAAGAAGAGAAAGCAAAATCAAAGGAAATGAAGCAAAGTGAAGTTTTATCAGCACTTCAAGGTCTCTGAGCCTCTACAAATCTACAAACACAATAGCATCATCAGTGTGTCTCATATATTCTAGGTCTGTGAAGTCAGGTATATAATATGGAAGGTTTGCAAATGGTCTGCCCTTCCACCATTACCTAACTAAGAGTGCATTTAGTATTTCTTCTTCATCATATTGACAGTCCACTCAAAACAAAATAGAACTGTATTATTTTCCCTGACCAAAACCAGGACTGTGAGCCTATGCCTCTTATAAACACTGAGGGTCCCTTTGAGAAGTGTTACTCAGCCCTTCTTCAAATCAACACGCATTAAGAAAATGAGCATTATAAAGCATAATGCAGTAAATCGGAAGAAGAAGGGGACATGAGGAAACTTATTTGCAACTTGGTGGAAAGACATATCACATTTTGTGTACTATATAAAAATGGCAAGCGATAAAATACAAAATGTTAAGGAAGGTATTAAATAATGATTGCATAAATATTCTGAATAATTTTTTCAAACTACTGAATTCAGGAAGTTTTCAGGGGAAGCTGGATAAATATTATTCATTATAATTCCAACATTGTACGTTTTTAGATGTTTTTAAAAATTGGTCTTAGGACTTTTAACATCAAGAGTTTATTGAAAACTATCTTGGGGGAAACTCTAGAAAGAGGATGGCAGTGGCTACGAAGGTTTTAAATCTCTCTAAATACATAAAAACAGAGCAGCTAGAGAGCAAAATCACAGAAACCTGCGGCGGACTCTCACAACACAACTATGCAACAAGGCATCCCCAAAAGCTATAAAATGCAATTGGAAGACACAATACACGCTAATAGTCATAAGACCTGCATGATCTCAAAATCCATGCAGGAGATGGCAGAAGGGACCGGGGGTGATGGACAGACTTGAGAACATGAGAATTTCAAATGTTCTTTTTATCATGACACTCCCTCTCATAACTTGTTGCTTCATGCTGCATTTGCTGAATCTTTCCAAGCCTCTGTCATAGATTTAACCTACCTCCCTCAAATGTTACCAAAGAGACAGACTTGAGTCTGATCAGTCCTCATGATCCAGTTGCCAGTTTGCAGGAAAAGTGGAGAATAGAGAAACATGTTGTATGAAACCATAAATACGCAGTCAACAAAATCCTGACTGTGGGAAACTGTAAAAGTCAAACGCTCTAGTTCCTCCACAGAAATACTGAAAGAAAAGAAAGAGAGGGAGAAAGTGTAGATTTAAAAAGATTTAAAATACACATGAAATTTTTTTAAATGGGTGAGTCTACACGATAATGTTTAGGAATGCACACTCGCGTGATAAAAAAAAGATTTAAAAAAAAAGCAAGGATGTGATTTACTTTCGAAGGGTAAGGAAGAAGCTGCCATTGAGCTAGAATACACAGAAAGGTCTAATAGAGAGGCTCGGCGGGGCGCGGTGGCTAACGCCTGTAGTCCCAGCACTTTGAGAGGCGGAGGCGGGCAGATCACCTGAGGTCAGGAGCTTGGGACCAGCCTGAGAAACATGGAGAAACCCCGTCTCTACTAAAAATACAAAATTAGCCAAGTGTGGTGGTGCGTGCCTGTAATCCCAGCTACTCGGGAAGCTGAGGCAGGAGAATCGCTTGAACCCGGGAAGCCGGTTGCAGTGAGCCGAGATCGCACCGTTGCACTCCAGCCTGGGCAACGGAGCAAACCTCGTCTCAAAAATAAATAAATAAATAAATAGGCTGACTCTATTTTTGATGTTTGCCTGCTGACGACTTTCAAGTCTCCCTGGCCCCTGCTCCCCATTCTGCCCCACATTTGGACAAGCCAGTAAGAGAGCCCACAAGCTCTTCCTTTGCCACCAGCAGGAAGTTCCAACTATGCATGCCATTTTCAGACCTGCTAGGATACCTACCTTGCTCTTGCCAGAAAGCCTCATTATATGAGTAATACATCTTTTCATACCCTCTTTATGTGTTTCATACCCAACATTAATCTCAGTATCCAGGCCAAATTTTGGGTAAAGAATCAATTTGATCTCTGTAGCATGACCACAACAAGGCTTCTGGGGTGGCTGGCAAAACTCTACTTTTTTGACCTGTGTGGGTGCTTAAAAAGGTGTTTGCTTTATAACTTAAGATGAATGTTTATCATGTATGTGATTTGCTGTCTCTTTATTTTATTTTGCAACAAAACAGATAAAAATAAAAGCAATAACAACAATGATTTCCTGTGGCAAATTTGTAACCCCTTGTGATACATCCATTAGAAATCTCAGACTTGGAATAACACACTTCTTAGAACCAAAGTACTAAGTAAGATAGTGCTGGTCCTTTAACCTGGCTTGCCACCGCATACGCTGGTTTCTGGACACTACCAAGAATAGGACTCTAATCTTGACCTACAGAGTATATTAGTCTGGGTCCTTCTGGATAAAATCAATTCCCTACATGTCCCATGTCTTCAACTATAATTTCATGTTTTTCCTTTTGCATTTCATACAAAGATGACCATAACTTTTCGTGGATAACCTGAAGAAGTTACATAAGGGAACATTCTATGTATTCCTCCTGTTTTACATCTTCTTGGACACCAGTTCAAAGGGAGTCAAACAGTTAGCAAATTTGCTTCCTTCTTTTTTTTTTTTTTTTGAGATGGAGTTTCGCTCTTGTCACTTAGGCTGGAGTGCAATGGCACTATCTCCGCTCACTGCAACCTCTACCTCCTAGGTTCAAGTGATTCTCCTTCCTCAGCTTCCCAAGTAGCTGGGACTACAGGTGCCCACCACCACACTCAGCTAATTTTTGTATTTTTAGTAGAGATGGGGTTTCACCATGTTGGCCAGGCTGGTCTCGAACTCCTGGCCTCAAGTAACTCACATGCCTCAGCCTCTCAAAGTTCTGGGATTACAGGCATAAGCCACTGTGCCTGGCCTGCTTCCTTCATTTTTATAATAAAGCTTTATTTATTAGCCACATTAGAAGCACACTTTTGCTTAACCATTTTATTATATCACTATCTAAACTTCTATTTGAAATATGCCAAATAGATTTAGATAATACTGCATTTAAAGTGTCTGTATAAACTCAGGAGACTTGAACTAGTGAATTAAATAAAATGTAAGAGAACTGGTTGCTTTTATTTTATTTCATTTTTTGCACTTATGATATTCAATGAAATTGGCATGTAATTTTCTGTTCTTATATTTGTCTAGTTTGGGTATTGCATAAGCTAGAATAACTAATATTAACTTCTGTAATATAGGAACCTCAAACCTTAGTGGCTTAATCTCATAAAAGTTTATCTCTCACTGATGCAAAAGCTAATCAGTTCTTCTTTGTTTAAGGGCATCATTCTATATGGCCATTCTGGGACACACTTCTTTTTATGTCTGTACCATCCACCAAGTCCTTGAAGTACTCTGCCACTTACTCTGCATCCAGCTCTCAGAAAAGGCAAGAGAGACCGTGTAGAAGATACCATGGGAAGTTTCAAAAGTCCAGGCCTGGAAGTGGCATTGTACATTACAACCACCCACGTTTCAATGGCAAAAACAAAGTCACATGACCACATCTACAGCAAAGGATATTGAATTGTGTAGATTGGTTTGTGTAAGACTGGAATCAACATTTATCTGAATGTTTGATAAATCTTTCTGATAAAATCATCTAAACCAAATTTTTTGTTATTAGGAAAAATTTTAACTATTGTTTAACTAAAAAATCAATTACATTAAGGTTTTTGAAATTTATTGGCATAAGTATTTTCAGAGAAATCTCTCATATTTTAAAATCTTTGCCATGTCAATTGTTATGTCCTCTTTTCATGCTTAATTTATTTGTGACTTCTCTTTTTTCCTCGATCAAAAAATCAGCTTTGGTATTTATTAATCCTGAATATCATTTCCTATCTCATTAATTTCTTCTCAAGTCTTTATTATTGCCTTCCTTTGACATTTTGGGTTTGATATATTGTGACTCCTCTAATTCTGGCATTATCGTAACAACATTTTTCTAATATTAAGCATTTTCACTTCTAAGTTTCCTTTTGATTATCACTTTAGCTGATTCCTACACATTTGTATATGAAGTATTTTAATTAGTAAGTTTAAAAATATTGTAACTTCCACTCTGATTGCTTTCATGGATTGTTTTAGTTTGTTTGCTGGTGCTATAATGAATCCCTCAAATTGGGTAATTTATAAAGAAGAGAAATTTATTTTCTCACAATTCTGGAGACTGGGAAGTCCAAGATCAAAGCACCAGTAGTTAGCAAGTGTCTTCTTGCTGCTTTATCACATGGTGGAAGGGCAAAGAGGCAAAAGGGGCCAAACTCATCCTTTTATAATGGCATTAATCCTACCCATGAGAGTAGAGTCTTTATGCCCCAATCATCTCTTAAATGTCCCACCTCCCAACACCACTGCAATGGTAATCAAATTCCATGAGTTTTGGAGGGGACAAACATGCAAACCATCACATGGACAAGTTAAGTTAATTATTAGAACCGTCTCCCATTAAAATTCCACGTTTGGACTTTTTTGCAGTAAACTTCTTGTGTGTTTTAAAATTTTTTACTTAATTATATTAGGGTTAGATAGTATGATTTCTATAATAGAAATACTTTGACACTGACTGAGACTTGCTTTAAGGGCTTAGTATGTGGTCAGTCTTTATAAATACTCCATGTGCCTTTTAAAGGAAGATTCATTCTAAATTTGCTGGTTGCAGGGTTCTACATTATTTCCGTCAGATCAAACATGTTAATTGTTTTACTGAAACTTATATCCTTTAGTAAGTTTTTGCCTACTTATTCAACCAATATGTTAAACTTCTTCCATTTTGCTAGTAAAGTTATTAATCTCTCTTTATAATTGTGTCAAATTTTTCCTTGTATCCTCTCAAGCTATATTATTGGGTGGATAGAGGTTAAGAATTATTATACTTTCCTGTTGGATTTAACCTTTTATTATAATGCCTACTAATGCCTTTGCCATGAAGATATCAGGAATTTTATCAGTAAGCTATACCAGATGTCATTAAATTTTACCTGAATATATTTAACAGTTTTTTTATGAAGGTCAATTGCATAGAGTTGGATTAATCAAAGTCCTTGGTGCAGTATGCACTGCATTTATTGATCTATCCATGACCATTCTTTATTTCATTGTTTGTCTATTTGTTCATTTGTATGTTTATATTATAAACTCCCAGGAACCAACTTCCCAATACATAGAGCATTGCCAATAATTTATATGTGAGCTCCTTCTATATTTCACACTTCTGGTTCCCCTTCAGAGGCAGTAATTATCCTAAATTTTGTGTTTATCATTTGTTTGGTGTGTTTGTATTTGTTTTGCTTTCGGGTTCACTTCATATATTTGTTTGTTTTTTATCAACTTTTAAGTTCACTTCATATATTTGTATGCCCAAACAGTATATATCTTTTAGTTTCATAAAAAATACATTATATTGAGGCTGGGCACGGTGGCTCATGCCTGTAATCCCAGCACTTTGGGAGGCCGAGGCAGGTGGATCACAAGGTCAGGAGTTCGAAACCAGCCTGGCCAGCATGGTGAAACCCCATCTCTACTAAAAGTACAAAAATTACCTGGCCGTGGTGGTGCACGCCTGTAGTCCCAGCTACTCGGGAGGCTGAGGCAGGAGAATTGCTTGAACATGGGAGGTGGAGGTTACAGTGAGCCAAGATCACACCATTGCATTCCAGCCTGGGCAGCAGAGCAAGATACCGTCTCAAAAAAAAAAAATATATATATATATATGTATATACACACACACACACACACACATATATATATTATTATATTGTATGTTGTTTTGAAGGAGTTACTATTTTTACTCAATTTCGTGTTACTGAGAATCACCCACCCTGTTTTCTGCACTTAATTATTTTCAGTGCTGTACAATACCATGTTACCTGATTATACCACAATTTCTTGATCCATTTTCCAGGCAATGAGCTCCACTTTTATATTCAGTCTTCCTGTCAACATATATTTTAGATTCACTTCTAGTGAAAATAAAAACCAGAAGTTTCTTTTTAAAAATTTTAACACAATATGTTAAGTTCTTTCTTTTACACCTGGATTTAGATTTTGTATATTTAAAGTAAATTACTAAAGTTTTTTCTACATTTTTAGTTTGAACTTTCTATTTTCTTGCCTTTATTATGTTTCTTTTATTTCTTCTTTCTAAACTTTTTTAGCAGTGATTTTTTTTTTCATTTTTTTAACCTATGTTTATAGAAGATATGTACTTTGCTACTTTTAATAGTTGACCTTAAAATGTTAATATATGCATTTAAATTAAAATGTAAAACTATTCATTATTTCTACTTTGTTTCTGGACAATACAATGACCTTGGAACATTTTACCTCTGGTCACCTCTGTGGTAGACATGGAGGAATGATGTTCAGCGTCTATTGCAAATTTTTTTAACTGACAAGGGCTAGAATGCTAAAATGGTTTTCCAGCCTCTTGCGGCTAATGTTCTGGATATGATTTCGTTTCCACCAAACAGAAGCACCACCAATCAGAGTTGGAGTACAGAAGTGAGGTAGACATCATACCTTGGCTGTTTCGGCTGGCAGGTACGGTCAGGAGGCATGTGGTTACTCTAAAGCAGTGTTGTCCAAGGTCTAGTATCCAGTCAGTTGCTTCACGAATGTTGTCAGACAAGATGTGAAGCATTCACTTTAAGGGACCATGTTTTTGATGTTGTATCTAAAAAGTCTTCACCATTCTCAAGATTATCTAGTTTTTCTCCTACGTTATCTTCTAAGAGTTCTATAGTTTTGCCTTTGATATTCAGGTCTCTGATACATGTTGAATTAATTTTTGTGAAGGGTATAAGGTTTGTATCTAGATTAATTTTTTTCTGCATATGGATGTCCAGCTGTTCCAACACCGTTTGTTGAAAAGACTGTCTTTTCTCCATTGCATTGCCTTTGTTCCTTTGTCAAAGACCAGTTGACTATATTTATGTGAGTCTATTTCTGAGTTATCTATTCTGTTCCATTGATCTATTCGTTTATTCTTTTGCCAATACCACACTGTCTTGATTATTGTAGACTTCTAGTAAGTCTTGAAGTTAGGTAAATTTAATTCTCTCACTTTGTTCTTCTCCTTCAATATCGAGTTGGCTATTAGGGTCTTTTGTCTCTCCATGTAATGTTTAGGATCAGTTTGTTGATAGCCGTAAAATAACTTGCTGAGATTTTGGCTGGGAATCTATAAATCACGTTGGAAAAACCAGACATCTTGATAAAATTGAATCTTGCTAACCATAAACATGGGACATCCCACTTTTTATTTCTTTATTTCATCAGAGTTCTGTGGGTTTTTTGACATAGATATTATATGTATTTTGTTAGATATTTATCTAAATATTTTATTTTGGTGAGAACCACTGTAAATGATAATAAATATAATTTTAATTTCAAATTTCTCTTATTTATTGCTGGCATATAAGAAAGTGATTGATTTTTGTATGTTAGCCATATATCCTCCAACTTTACTATAATCACTTATTACTTCTAGAACTTTTCTTGTCTATTCTTTAAGATTTTGTACATAGGCAATCATATCACCTGTGAACAAATGGTATTATATTTTCTTTCCCAAGCTGTATACCTTTTATTCTACCTCTGTTTTTGAGTATTTGTTTATCACCATATATAATTTGCAGAGGGCAGTTATTTTCTTTCATCCCTTTGAAGGTATTATAAACCAATTTTTGGTTTATATTGTTTCTGTTGAGGTCTGCTACCAATACAATTTTTGTTTTATTATAGGTCAACTCTGTTTTTCTCTGCCTGCTGTTAAGGTTTCCTCTTTGTCTTTAACCTTATGTAGTTATATTACAATGATTTTAGAAGTGTTTTTTTTAATTTCTATATCTAATTCTTTGCATCTTGTGGGTTTCATCAATTTTAGACATTTTTCAACTATTTTATTTTCTAATATTGCATCTTTTTCATTATCTTTAATCTTTGGTTGGTTTAAATTCAAATAGGCATACGTTAGAGCTTCTCATTCTGTTTTTCTATTATATTTTTCATCTCTTTGTCTCTCCTACATTTGTTTCAATATCTTGTGCTCTATCTCCCAGTTCACTTATTATCTCTTTAGCTTTATCTAATCTTCTGTTTAGATTTATGTGTTGAAGATTATATTTTTTTACTTCTAGGAGTCCTTTTTTATTCTTTCTCAAATCTGCCTGGTCATGTCTGAAAGTATCACATTCTACACTCATGTTTCCAATTTCTGTATTTCTGAAAACACTTTAATCACACTTTTTCTTAGTGTTTAATAATTCCAATATCAAACAGAGGGGTGTCTAGCTCTGCTTTTTGTTGTTTCTGATAATATTTATATATTTTTTCTTCCTGAACAATGTGACTAGGACCCATATTTGACTGTTTTTATATACACAAATTCTGAAACGCCTAGGCTGAGATGCATTCTTTTAGAAGGAATTTGTGTTATCTCTTTCCAAGCATCCCGGAACATCCCTGACCCCAAAATATTTTAATTTAATTTACTGAATTGCATTTCCCTGGACTGTGCAAGTGATATTAATTTGAATCCTTTTTCTGTACATGGGTAGTCATATGGCTGCTAATTTCCAGAAAAAAATTTTCCCACCTCAAGCCAAGAACTTAGACATATTTCCTTGCCAGCTTCTTTTTCCAGGAAACAGATTTTTTTTAGCCCCCTTTTTACTGTAGCTATAACCCTTCATAACTGCAGGGTATTTGGAGGTCTTTGTTCTTTCTACACACTTTATGTGAGCCAAAGTTTTGTCTGTCATTCTCCCTCATGGCTACTACAACGCAGCTTTTGAAGCTCCTCGTACTGGCAGATCCCTTCAGTGTAGCCCATGTCTCTATTACACATACATCACTCTAGTTTAGTTCACTATCTTTTGGCTCCAGTAGATTTCTTGCATTTGTGTTGTGGGTGGGTGTGACCCTACATATGAATTTCAAAGATTATTAGTTAAGTATTAAGAAACATAGCTAGGTGTATGCAATAAGAAGGCTTTTCAGAATTTCTTACTCATAATATTACTGAAGTGGTAATAGAGTTGAGAGCCATGAAACAACTGGAAATTATTTAAAGATAATAATGCTTACAATAATGCTTATAATAGTTTTATGTACCAAAATGCACATAATAACCTACCCAAAGGTTTTTGGTGCAATGATATAGGATATCTTGAAGGAGTACTATTCCAGCTTTATTAACATTTGATATTATGTATATAATTGTTCAATGTAGATTAGCCAGTGTTCATATTTTGTCAGCAAGTGTTCAAGTCTCAACTGGGAGGAACTGTGAGTAAGAAAAGCATGAGATATTTTAAAGGAATTAAATTTGATATTTGGATTCCTGGATTTCTAAAATTGCCTTTGACCTTTCTGCCCTATGTTTATCTGTAGCCACAAATTTCAAATCTGTCAACCATTTTTATTTAAGACAAAGAACACTTTTGAATCCTGAAATTTCTGTGCCGTAATAAGTTGGATTTTATCTGTTCACTCCAGAGAATACACATGCTTCAAGTGTGTAACCCCAGGATCCTCCTTCTGCCATGAGGAATGAGGATGCATGTGAATCCCTTCGGGCCTGTACTCAAATTGCCCAAGCCCTGAGAGCTTCTAGTACCACCAGCAACAACAGCAGAGCTACAGGCTTTCCGTGAACCCACAGAATCTCTGGTTTGGAGTTCTGACCATGATTGTTCTGCTCCCTCCTTCTTCCCCTGCCTTGTTCTCTTGTTTGTGCCAGAGTCAAATGGAAGCATCAGACTCCCATGTAAGTGGTGACTGTGATCTCCCCACCCTATGGCTTACTGGACTTCTGGCCTCTCTTCTCTTCTGGGCAACCTCTGGAGAGGAGGATGTCCATCCCCCTCAGGCCCTCAGCTGCAAGCTTTCTGGTTGCAGGGCAGAAACTCTGCCTCATTCACAAGCTTTCTGTACTTAGAGTGAGCGAGAAGCTCTGTTCTTTCTTGCTCTGTGAAGATTGTAAGCAGGATAGCTCCTAATTGACACATTTGTTAAAGCCTCTCTGCCAGCAGCTCAACTTGTCCTCACCCTACCGTGCTCCCAGCCATGAAGCTTTGTAGGCTCATTGCACCTGTTGACAGAGGGGCCATGGCCACAGGCCCAGCTGGCTCAGCATCCCTCCAGCAGGAAAGCATGAAAAGTGTTAGACTCCCATGCAGCACCCCAGACCCATGGGCAGGGCAGGATGAGGCAGAGGGTCTTTTAGAAAAATCTGAATACCTGCTGTGAATGAACATCGTGCCAGTTAAGACTTTCTACAGGTGGAAGGCAAAGAACTGTAAAGACTTCCTTCCTCTCTCAGAACATATAACCCACTGCCCTGAAATGCATTTAGCCAGGTAGCTGGTCAAGGTGTCAGGCTTATAGTAAACTCTCAAAGTCTGTATCATGGTCTTCCCCTCTCTTCCCTTAGGCATCTCTACTCCAAGCTTTTATTTTGAGCCTTCTTTTTTAAAAAAAATTGTTATCCAGAGATATATGTATAATATCATTTTGATGTATGTCCTCTATAATTATAATCTAGATGCATGCCTCCAATAATTTTAAATTTAGATTTTAGTTCATAATGATTCCAGTTTTCAAAGCCTTCTAGTTTGTGCTGTACATTAAAATAGCCATAATTCTTGACTTCCTTTCTCAAAAACTGAATTCCAGAACAAGCCAATTCATTCATATATTTAAAACTGTTGAGCATTTACTACTGCCAGGCACTGGGCTAGGTGCGAGATATATAAGAGTGGGAATATCAGACAAGATCCCTCCCCATACAGTGTTTACAGTTTAATTGGAGAGACAGAGCAAAGTAGCTATACAAATAAAATAACTACAAACTGGGATGGTTGCTATGAAAGAAACATGCAAGGGGCTGAGCTGAGACTACAGAAATTTTACTATATTTCTTATCAAAATATATCCTAATTATCTGTCTGTTCCTCTTTTTCTTCATTAGACTGTTAGAACCTGTAAGGTCACAACTAAGACTTTTTCATCTTGCTGTTCCTCGTACTTAGGAGAGTGTGTGATACATGATGGGTACTGAGAAAAAGGTCTGCTGAATGGACATAAGAATGTCTGTGTCGATCAATGAGTTAGCATAAGATTGGGGCTTCATTGAGAAATGGTTACACTTTGCACCAAATAGGAAAAGAATTGAGCACAATCTACATCTCACATTGTTTTCTTAATAATTTTTATATTTAATATTCAAGTTCTCTGTTTTTATCCTATATCAGTTCAACCCATAAGGAAGCGTAAGTTTTATAGGAGAACAAAGAATCCAGTTTTCCGAATTATCTTCTGGCCAGACACAAATGAAGCACACAATACTAGTGCTGTTAGTGTTAAGCTGTGTCATCAATGCTGGAGGAAAACCTGAGAAGGTGGAGGTGTCTCTGGAAGCTTTAGTGATAATTAAGTTCCCTGTTCTCAGGTTTCTTGTCACCTTCCTTTTAGCTACCAGCACAGTGTGTTTTCAGTCCTGACTACTGACGAACTAACTGAGCAGCTGGTTTTGTTCCTGTCTCTTCCCCGCTGGGCCCCACTACCCTTTCAGTCGCTCCCTTGAATTTCCGGTCACTCTGCAACTTCCCCAGGGGCACTGGGTTGAACAGTGCTGGTATCTCTAAGCATATCCCATGATCTCCAAGGCAACATTTGCCTTCAAGATTGTGTGGCTTCTGGTTTCTGAAAGATATGGATGCTGGATGAGATATGGGAGAACAAAGACTAGAAAATGTGCTGCTTTTGGGAAACTGAAATGGGAGTAATTATCACCTTCAACCGACTGGCTTTAGGACAAGAAGCTGAGGCCGGAGGGATAAAGTAAATAAGTGAGGAAGGTGGAAAATGGCAGGCCCAGGGCCAGAAGCCCGGCCACCCAGCTCTGGCCACAAGTGCCCTGCCTCCTCCACCTACATACTTACCGCAGCTGTTCTCCAGTTTTGCAGCACTCAATGTACAAACTCTTGCTTGAAATTGGGAATCAGAAGTTTAATTTCAGTTGGTCACAATCACAATTTTACAAATATTATGGAGCATCTGTCAAATGCATGGATACTGCTATTTTAAAAAATCAATAAATGACATAGCTCCTGCTCTTGCAAACCTCACAATAAGGAAAGCAACTTTAAAGCTACAGTTGTGTTATTTAGCAAAGGAGGAAATGGTCCCACTGAAGGAAACATGATCTCCCAGCTGATTCGCTAACTGTTGGAGGAAGAGCTGAAACTAAACCCTAGGTCTCCTGACTTCCAGAATGATGGGTATTCTACAATATCCTACAGGCTGTGTGTAACCGCAGTGAGAACCACGTGGAAAACAGGAGCCGGGGCTTGTGGTGTTGCATATTGACTATACCTAAAAGAAAAGGGGATGGAAAATATGGCAAACATCAGGGTAGATCCTGGGAAGAGGCAAGTCCTGAGCAAGGATTTATAGGAAGATTGCATTTGGGAAGGAGACACAAACACACACACACACACACACACACACACACACACACACAGAGAGAGAGAGAGAGAGAGAGAGAGAGAGAGAGAGAGAGATGGAAGAAAGAGCAATGAAGTCATAAGAATAAACCAGATAGCTTCAAGGGCTGCTAAGGGGACCCACGTTCCTGGAGTGGAAGTGTTTCAGGAGAGTAAAGAAGTTGCATAGAATGGGTGGGATCAGCTCAAAAGTTCAACACATACAACTGGGCACCCTACGTATGCCAGGCACTGTGTTAGGCACTGGGGATAGACAGATGAATGAGAAACGGTATCCCATTATAGTGGTTTTACCACTTTGGCCACTAGAAGCTTCATTCTAAGAGCCAGGTAGGGTTTGCCAAAATCTACCTACAGAAAAACAAAACCCAAAGGGAACTTTAACTCAGAACTTTATGAAAGATGACAGGAGGGTGTGGTGAAAATGGGTTGACAACATACTTTGTTAAAAGATCAGATAGTTCTTGATCTATACCTGGGGACAACAACGCCTAAAAGATAGACATTGATGCTGATGGCCGGCTACCAGTTCCTGCTAACCTAAGCAGGCAACCACCCTCAGCCAGTGGAATTCAAAGAACATTTTCTGAGCTAACCTGCTCCTGCCTCTGCCCTGGATCCCCTTGGCTCTAATCACATCTGAATGGGGATGTTTCCTCCTTGCTTCAGAAGCCTCATTTCTAAGAGGTAGTTTGCCCTTTTTTTCTTTTCTTGTTCTTTAATGCACTCACTTGCTAGTCAGTCGATTTTGTCTTTCCAGGGTACTCTGCAAACTCTGTGGTGAATGTGTGATACTGAAGTCCAACAGCATCGTCTGTGTCCTCTTCACCAAGCTACATCTTTTTTTCTGGCTGCCAGATACTTTACAAAGAATTATCATTATTCTGTCTGCTGTGTTAGTGGGAGGTTTCTCGGTTTTTTGTTTTTAATTCTTCTTGGAGAAAATGTCACTTCCTGTATAGAGGATGACATTAAAACAAATGCCACAATAGGCTTTTTGCAACATCATTTAGCATCCACCTGTCCTCAAGAAAATGCGGTGGAGATTAGAAAAATCAGTTGAACTCAGTGATTTGTTGGGTATGAATAAAGAGGAGGAAGGGATAGAAATGATGGAACAGCTCAAAACATACGTCCTGCCAGTTTCTCAGGCCAGGTAAATTGTGACTTTCCTCTCCTGTTGCAAGTTCTATTCTCAGAAGCGTGGGACACACACTCCTGCGGAACACTCAGCAAAGAACAAGGCTGACTGGGAGGCTTCTGAAGGTGCCCTCTTCAGGAAGCCAAAGAAGTCATTTGGTTTGATTAATTGATCCTCCACTTTCAAGTTAGAAAACAAAGGATGCACCACAAGTCGTAAGAAGTATACAAGGAAAAAACTCATTTTTAATAATTTTTTCTCATTGCTTTTTATATTATGGAAAATTTTAAACATAAAAAAGTAACAGCTTGGAAAATAAACTCCATGCACTCAAATATAGTTATTTTTATTTTACCCTTTTTATTCTGTTTCACACTTTATTTATCTGTTTATTTATTTTAATAATTTTAACTTTTATTTTTGATTCGGTGGGGGTACACATGCAGGTTTGTTACATGGACATATTGTGTGATACTGAAGTTTGGGACACAAATGATCCTGTCATCTAGTGATCACAGGACCCAATAGTTTTTCAGCCTCTGCTCCCCTCCCTCTCTCCCTGCTTAGCCGTCTCCAGTGTCTATTGTTCTATCTTTATGTCCATGAGCACCCAGTGTTTGGCTCCCACTTATAAGTGAGGCATGCAGTATTTGGTTTTCTGTTCCTTCATGCATTCTTTATAATATAAATAATACATAGAGTAATCCATTAGATGATTTACATATTATATATATTTGAGAAACATGCTCGAAATGTTTTACAAATAGGTGTATTACATCAAAAGTATTTGGAGACAGTTGTGTTAACAATGGTCAATAGGCATGTTTAGGAACAATAACAAGAATGATAAAATGTGTTGATGCTTATCTGTGCCAGGCTCGGTGTAAACGGCTACCCTGTGAGGCAATGTCAGCAAGGCCCAGACTGTACACTTTTCCTGTAACATCCATTACTTGTGTAAAAAAATTGAACTGATGAGCCTCAAATCAGATATTTAATCCTACCTCCAAAAAAAAAAAAAGAATCGTTCTAAAAACAAGTACTAACCTTCTCAATATATTTTTTAAAAATCTAAGTTTATATAACATTCATATGAAATAACTATATAGTACTTTGGGGAAGGCATTATATTTTTTTAAAACCTGTTTTAGTATCTGCAAATGAGGGAGCTAGAGTGTCTATTGTCTTTAATATTCTTCCTAGCCCTAACATTTTACGAGCCATTTCTCTGAAGCTGTAAATTGCTAATGCTAAACAACCTATCCAGTGCATTATGTATTATTATTATATCTGCTTTTTTAGCAGGAGGCTTACACTTGCAGCATGCTGTTATGTAAATCTTTATCACAATCATCAGCATTTATTGAGGACCTCTGTTCTACGGCAAATGTCACCAAACAGTACCAAGAATGAATGTGAAGGAGGCCACATTTTGCAGATTCCGTTCATAACTCTGGCAATCTCAGACCACACACAGACTGCCAGTGCCTGGTCACACCATTGTCCTGCCGTCACCCACTCCCCTTGGAAGGAATTGCCTTGATATGTGGAGGCTGGCACCCTGCTCAGTTGGCTGCAGGGAGCCTTGTAGCACTTAGAGGGATGGGCATGTGGGCTAGATTCCTTTGGATAAAGTGATAGGCACATCACACTCTGGTGTGCAGGCTCTGACATGCCACAGATTAGCAGGCATGCCTCTGGTAAGAGGCATGTGACTGGCCTTTTGGTCCATGCTATGAAACCCTTGAATTCTCCCTGACATTCTGTACAGCCATTTCCACCCAGTTAGGGCCTATTTTTTTTTAATGCTTCAAGTGCAAAAAATGAAAATGCATAACAGTGGCTATGGCTCACTGACTTTTGAATGCGATGTTTCCATTTTTCTATTAGACAAAGCTTAGAGAGAGAAATTGCAGAGACTGAGTACTGTGATCAAATGAACAATTTCAATGTGCTTAACATAGAAGATACTAGAGCATAGGGGTTTTTAAAAATGGGCTTTGGTGTCAAGCAGACATGGACTTGATTCCCATCTCTACCACACTCACTGGCCATTTGACCCAGGGCAAGCTTATTTTTCATAAGATTAGAATAAATACTTATTTTATAGGGTTGATAACAGAATTAAATGATTTAACATATGTATGCTACTTAGGAGAATACCTGGTATCTGGTAAGCACTAAAAAACTAGAATTAGTTACCACCATCATTGATAATCCCTTTATTGAGTTATAAAGCCAAAGAGTCTCCCAAATGTTTCCGTGGCAAATTCATCCTAAATACTGACTGATATAATCAAGAATAGCAAAATGAACGGTAGGGTGCCAGATGCCTATGGCTTGTCCTGTTCACCTCTGAACTCATCTGCAAACAGGGACCACTTTACCAATAGCCAATTAGACCACAGAGGTGATAAACTTGAGGCCCAACTGTCACTCAATTCCCCTCAGTATGACCCAACCAATACTACATATCATCACATGCCTCCTCTCTGCTAAAGATATAATGCAGATTTCCAATAGGATTGTTGCAGAGACCTCCAGACTCAATGGTTCAGATAAATATTCTGAGAGAAGAGGCAGAACAAATTGCCTTTGCAACATTTTCAGTTTAAAGCTATATTTTCATGTGTGACCTAGGGTCTCTCAATTGACTAAGAACTCCTGTCTATAATCTTTTTGCTCTTCCACTCGGTTCAGATCAAAGGAATCTTTAGTTGACACCTAAGAAAAATAGTTACATGCCGTAAATAAATAATTGGTCTGTCAATCTTTATGAAATACTCCTCTACCAAGTTCATCTCTTGATAGCTCATGGGATAAGTGGGGTTTCTCACAATATGACATGATACCTACTTCATCAGAGTATTGAAAATGTTCAGTAGAAAGAGACAGAGGAACCCACTGTTCTTTGATTTGTATTAACCACATAAGTACCTGGAGAAAATTATAGCCAAAGCAGTGGGACTGATATCCTACTGGCCTTTTGCTTGGAATAAGAGAGAAAGATGACTGTGGGAATTAGTCAAGGTACAAATCACATCACATCATCTTCTTGTGCAAACAGATTGCCTGGGGAGTGGTTTCCAAGATTTTTCAGTTTACAGAAAATATAGAAAAATGACAAAACTGAATATATAACACAGAGGCAGAGAGATGAGGTTGCTCATGAGTGAGGTGGCCATCCTGGGAGCTCTGGGCTTCTCAAACTTGAAAATTTTGGCACATTTGTAACCAATAAGAGGTACCTTGGATGAAAAGCTCAGGGCTTTCGGTTAACACTAAATCCATTTACTCTGGATCTATGCATAACCCCAGGAGAAAAAAAACTGAGTCCTTTTTGGGCATATTAAAAAATAAACAAGAAAACCCAAGCAAAGAAAAACAGGTTTTTTCCCTCCATCAGGTGTTTAAAAGATAAGTGAAAAGAAGCGTACTATAATGGTTAAAAGATTTGACTCTGGACTCAGATGTGAATTCACATATCATGTATGACACCAATTAGCTTTGAGACCCTTGTGAAAATTACCTGATCTTGTTAAGCCTCAGTTTCCTCTTCCTTAAAAAGTCATATGCCCCTCAGAGAGATGTTAAAAGAATTAAATAAGATAATGCATGCTAGTACTTAGCACAGCATAAAAGTTGATTGAGTTCTGCTTTTCTTACGTGTGTCATTCTGAAATAATCATTGCATGGGGCTTTTGCTTTACACCAAGATAAGCATAGGTCAAGGAAGATGGAAAGCAAAGAAACAATCCAGTCACTGGTTTTGCTCACCTTAGCCCCAACCAAGAAATGAAAGCACGGCGTTAGTTGTCCTTCATATTCTAACTCTGTTTTCCTGATCCATGCATGAATTTCAGTTCTAGGCATAGACATGTGTGACCAGTTTTAGTTTGTAAAGGTAAATCAGATTTGCATTCAATCTAACCCCAGAGGTCTAGTTCCAGAATTAGAGGCAAAGGGGGCTTTCTGGTTTTGTTGCCCAATGTGCACAGCAAATTAAATCCATGGAAACACCAGGTTGCAGCAGAGAAAAAGGTTTAATTGTAGGCCCTGCTGAATGAGGAGATGGGAGGAAACCTCAAATCCATCTCCTCAGGAGTCTGAAGCTGGAGTTTTAGGGGTTTTGGAGTGGGCCAATGTGTGGAGATTGTTGATTGGTTGAAGAGTGCAGGTTGAAGCCGTGGGACAGGAAGATGAAGAAACTGTATTCTCATGCTGATTCTGTTTCTCTATAGGGGTCTTCAAACTGGTTGGCATCAGCTGTTTCGGCTCTTTCGCTAGAATTTAGAATCTGTGAGACCTCTTAAGCAACTCTTAAATAAAAGCCTTATGCTTCTAATGTCAGAAATCCTATCTACCCTAAACAAAAGCCTTATGACTCTCTTGTCAGAAATCCTATCTATAGGATCAGTGAGGGTACACACGGTCAGCATTTAGAGTTATGTGACTTTCAGTTACAAGGAAGTAGGTCAACGTGCAGCCTGATTATTGTTTAGTTATAACTACATTTCTATCTAGAATTCCTGTTAGCCATGTGAGGGTGGCTTTAGTTTGAGGTTCTCAAACTCTGCCTCAAAAGACTGTTTCAATGGCACACTGTTCTCTCCTGACTTTAAATACTTTATGACACTCAACTTGTTTGAACCAATGCTTGACCAGGCTCCCAAGGGACAACCCTTCTGTCCTGACTTGCTTGAAAGGAGTAGAAGCTCTGCAGTTGTGCAGCTCCTTTGCAATGTCCAATGCATACCCCATGGCAGCCCTCATCCCTCACCTGGGGCTGGGCTGGAACAGGCTCTGATCCAATTTCTGTCTTCTGAGTGAAAAGTGGACAAACAGGTTCCTTGAACCTCCCATTTCCTCCACCCATAAGGTGTTTTACTCTGTTCTTTGAACATTAGAGCTAGTTCTTTGGAATTTACAAACCAAAAATTATCTGAGATAGGTCTCAGTCATTTAGCTTATTTTGCCAAGGTTAAGGACAAGCCTGGAAGAAAAGAACACGGATCATAGAAACGATGTGTCGTCTGTGCCTTTCTCTAAAGATGAATTTGAGGGCTTCAGTATTTAAAGGGGAAAAGCAGGCTGGAGAGGAAAGACAGAGGGTTTGTAATCCACTTGTTGTAAGAGAAAAGGAGCAGGTAGGGGAACAGTCAACTATGTATTCCTCTCACACTCAGTAAATCGGCACCTTACATAAAGTAAGGTGAACATAAGAGTTATCACTTGTGGATATATTTAGCCTTTTATCTGTAGCTATCTGCTTAGGAACAAAAGGAAAGGCAATTTCTTGCATGATTCAGCTTAATTTTTTCCTTTTGGCATAGCTAGTTGGAGTCCCAAGTTTTTACTTTCCTTTCACAAACTGCATTGCAGTTTGCACGTGGTTCTGTAACAGCCACATCAGTACACCTTTGGTAACCTCTGTATATTTGTAGTTTCATTGGATATTGCCCTTATAGAAAGAAAATTCTCCTCAGCAGACATGAGACTGTGTGTATCATGGGACAGGCATGATCTTCTTGCCCCTTGTGAGCCTTCTGGCCACAGAGTTATTAGGAAAGAGATTTAGCTAGCAGGAATATATTGTAGCAGATTCAACACAAGTTGGAAAACAGGTATGCAAGAATTGCCACATTTCGTTACTTCTTTATTTTCTTAATTATTTTATTATTATTACTTTTTTAGAGACTGAGTCTCACTCTGTCACCCAGGTTGGAGTGCAGTCATGCAGTCTTGGCTCACTGCAACCTCTGCCTCCCAAGTTCAAGTGATTCTCTTGCCTCAGCCTCCCGAGTAGCTGAGATTACAGGTGCCCGCCACCACATCTGGCTAATTTTTGTATTTTTGTAGAGACAGGGTTTTGCCATGTTGGCCAGGCTGATCTTGAACTCCTGCCCTCAAGTGATTCACCTGCCTGGGCCTCCCATAAAGTGCTGGGATTACAGGTGTGAGCCACTGCACCCAGCCTGGTTACTTCTTTAAATCAAATTAAATTCTATTCTCCACCTCCCTCCAGACTGGGGCAAAATTCAAAGGCAATCATCATTGAGGCTCCCTTCGCCCCCAACACCCACCTCCCCAAAGAGTCTTATATATTCAGAGAAATCCCTCTGATCTTTACTCCACTCTAGGCACTTTAGAAATGCAAATTCATTAAGCCGTCATGTTTCTTTGAAATCCAGTAGCCTGGAGCCTCTGACTCCACCAACTGGTTGAGCATTGCTAGGTGACCCCATTCCTTTCCCATCCCAGGGCAATGTGCAGGAGCAGACCATGGGTCCCCTCAACACATGAGACCCACAGAGCCCTGTGTCCTCTCTGGAGGCCTCCCCATTTTGCTGCTCTCATTCTGTCTCATTTTTCTCCCTGGCTTAACCACTTCAATATGAACTCAATTTCCAGAAAACAAAAGCCAAGGAAGACAGTTCTTAGGCGGCAACTTCTGTTTCCTGTTGTACAACACATACCTCCCCTAAGGCAAGGAAGCCTGCCCACTTTCTTGGAACAGGCGATAACACACAAGGAAGATAGAGCAAAATATCTCAATGAATTAACTTGCTACAATATATAAGAAATTTAGGCTGTCTCCAGGTTTGAGTTGTTCATTTGGTTGGTGATGGCCACTATATAAGAAGGTAATGAACATTCTAGTACATACATTTGTTTACATATTTATGATGAACTCCTTGGGGCAAATTCCTAGAAATGAGATTGTTGGGTCAGAGGGTATGCACAAGGAGCATTTTAATAAATATTGCTAAACTGAACTTTCAAAACAAGTATAGTAATTTACATTCCCGTTAACAAGGCATGATTGCTCATTTCCCAAGATCTTTATCAAACCAAGTATTGTCAAGCTTTTTAAAACTTTACCAAATTGATAGGCATTTTTAAAATCTTGCTTTTGTCTGCATTTCTTCAGTTGTCAGTGAGGCCAAATACTTTTTCCCATATAGTATTTAGTCATATTAATTACCTATGTATATATTGTTTGTCTGATGGTGTATTCTTGTTATTGATTTGCATGACTTTTGGTATATTAAGGCTATTAGCCTATGATTTGATGCTGGTCCCTAAAGTATAAGAGAGTCCTCTAAAACTCCATAAAATCAGACATCTTCCTCTTTAACTAAAATGGGGCAGTCACTTCAACAAAGCAGTCATACCTGTATTTGGTGAAAATTTTCAGCTATGGAACCTGGACCTGCCAAGCTCAAAGGAGACTCCAGTCATCCAGAAGCCCAGGCCCTACCTGGCTTTCTCACCACCTGCTTTGCTCACCTTCAGAAGGGAAAATGTTCTGTGTTGTACATGGTGCTAAAACCCTCTACACTCACTTAGTAAGTCTAGAGTTTAGGGTGGGGAGTGCTGGTAATAAACAGTGCATATGTGTGACAAGTGTCTCCTCTGTAAATCATTACCTTAAGGCAGCATTCTTAAACTTTTCCAGAACACAGACCCCTTGGGCAGTCTTTTGAAGTCCATGAACCCTTTTCCGAATCAGTTTTTAAATGCAGAAAATAAAATACAAAGGATTACATAAGAAACTAATTACATTAAAAATGCTTATCAAAATATTTTCTGAACATAAATTTGTGACAATATATGGATGAATCCACATATGGATGAATATTATTATAATATGTATTATATAACATAATATGAATATTATTGTCACAAATTTATGGGACAAATTGACAAATTAATGCCAATATTGTGTATATATGGATGACTATATCTTACTAACACATTAAATAATAAGACCTAGCAATGGCTTTAATAGCTATCATAAATTTAGAATTAGTGCTGAGAGTAAATGATAACAACAAACAACCATAAAATAGTATAAAAATATCTACTTTCTATTAGTGGTGAAGTCATAGGTAGCACTAATACTAATGTATTAGGTTGGGGCAAAAGTAATTGAGGTTTTTGCCATTAAAAGTGTTGCCAAAAATCACAATTACTTTTGCACCAACCAAATAGTTTGTTCCCTACATCCATAATTGAAAGAAATGCTAAGTTTTATTTACAATTGTTGGAGGTTAAAGAAAATAAGATATAATTTTTTCCCAACCAAGTTTATGGACATTCTGAATGCTGGGGGGTAGGTTAAGAGCCTTTTTATAAGAGGCAGAACATGTAGTGTTAGTTCAGAGGAGAATTCTGCTTCAATGTTTCCCTTGAGAAGGCCCTAAAACTTGTACTTATAAAGTTTTGTGCTGTACAGATGTTCTACATTTTTAAAGATTCCAATTTTAACTTCATAGTTTCCATTTTTCTCCCATGCTACTGCTTTTTTGGTAGACCGGTGCTTTTGCTCCAAGGGAAGCAAGGGTAAAGATGTGACGGAGCTTCAGGAGCTTCTCTCCAATGAAGTCATTGAGGCCTGCGAGAATGGGGCACGAGGCAGTCTTCCTGGAGAGCTGTCTTCAGCGTTGAGCAGAACATGACAGCTGAGCAAAACTAGAGAAGTTACAGACAAGGCCTGATACTTAATAAAGGCTCTCCCCAACCAACAATTATGTGTGTCTTTTTCCATTGGACAGAGTCACTTACGGGTTCTTGAAGTTTCTCTTTGGAATCTTTCCAAGGGCATTTCTGACTTTATGTACCTCCATTGTCATAAGATACCCTATTCTCAGTCTTATGACTAAGCAGCTAGTTCCCTAACTAGAATTGGTCCAGTTATGACCATCTTGTATATATAAACATTCAAATTTTATTCCGCATTTTAAAGAAAGTGTTGAGAAAAATTATGCTTTAAATGTGGTCATTGTAAATTCATTGGAACAATGGAAATTACCAGGTTTTGTCTTTGACCAATGTTCCCTCTGACCTCTTTTCCTATCCCTGCCTTCACCTTGCTATCTCAGGTGATTTCTGATCTCACCTTAAAATGCCACTTATTCATAGAGCAAATAGGTCCCCTGTTACATTATCATGACTTATCATATTTTTAATTATATAATTTAATGATTAGCCCAATGTTGATCCCTCTTGCTAGATTCTAAGTTCCATGATGATAGTAACCATGTTTGCTTTGCCTGTTTCAATATCCTCAATGCCTAGTTCGGAATCTGTCACACAGTAAGAGTTTCATAAATTTTCATTGATTAAACAATAATTATTGTTGTCTCTAAAAAGAGAAATAGCATCAGATTGAGTTATAAGTTTGGTTTGAAGTGAGAAAACCTAGATCTGAATCTTTCCATAGCACTTTTATTAGCTGTATGACCTTGGGCACATTACTAAATTGGTCAGTGCCTTAGTTTATTTGTCCATAAAATGGGAATAACATTAGCAACAGCATAAACTTTTATGAGGATTAATCATACAATGTGACCAGAAAAACTCAAAATCAGCTGTTATTATCATAATCATCATTGGAGAGAGAGTTATCTGAAGGAAAATAAAGATAAGGCATTGAAAACATTAAAAATCTCACTTCACATCAAGTTCTTTCTTGGATTCTTTAAAGTGAGGACAAAAAAAAACTCAAAAAAAAAGAAAGCCCCAAGGAAGTTATGTTTGGTAAAGATTTCTATAAGCACCAACTCTCTAGTAAGTAAGAAGAACTAGACCCACACCTTTTTCTTTTTAAATACATGAGCTTTTTATTATTTTAGCCAAAAATCCTCCCATTGAAAGAAAGTTGCATGGTCATAAATGATCTTCTAACAATGCCAGCAAATTCTCTGATGTTGCAGCTCCTTTCTGCCAGAGTCATAGCTAGATTGAGTAGGAGAGCTGTCGAGACAATGGCTAGAAGATGCCTTGCATTTGCATGCAAACTGCTGTTTAGCAATGCCAATCATCATTTCCAAATTCATGCCAAATGCCACGATGTGATAAGGAGCATCATCTTTGTTCCCATCATTGCATCTCAACTAGTCATATTTACCAGTTATTAAGCACCTGCCAGTTGAAACCTCATGAAGGATTTATTTCTTGACCTATGAGCTATTTCTGTACTACAAGGTATATCTGATTCTCATACCTGTGCTTGGCTCAACAACATTTCTGTGACAAAAAAAAAAAAAGCCAAAAATATAATTAACTCTTCAACCATTAAAGAAATGAGCAGTTTGTGACCACTGGAATAAGCAACATATATATCATTTGGATAAAAAGATAACTACCTCTTCTCTCACGTATCTTTCCATTACATCAAAATTCTTCAAAAGCTAAAAATAACTATCCTCTTACTGTCTACCTGAGAAGCCACACCTGTTTCTTCCTGCAAATCTACTCAAGATGTTTCCAGAAGACTGACCTGACCCTGGACGGATACCAGAGTGACTCAAACACAGTACTCAGAAGACCTAGTTCTCCCTGATGGCCTTCAGTGCCTCAGGCATTTCTTGTAATAAATGGTTTCCATGCTCAGAAATAGATGAAAGCCAGGTCTTGCACCTTTCTGGAATCAGGAAGAGTTATTATAACAGGCATAGATAAAAATTCAAGACCATAAAAGGAAGAAAAAAAAGATGGGTATGCACTGGAAAAGGCAGTAGAGAAAATAAAATGTAGCGTACCTCAGAATAATAAGAACCTGGTTTTGCTTAAAACCAGAGTGGAAGAAGTTTGAATCATGGTGGAGCAAGAATAGGAGACAAGCCCTCGCTGCTATTGAATTCGCCCTTTCTGTTTGTGTTTGCACATCAGCCAAATTCAAAATGGCAGTGAGCAAGGCTGAGGAGGCCTCCAGAAAGCCAAGACGAAGGCAGCTTCCTGCTGCAGGAAGCCATGCTGTGCTTCCCCATAGGAAGGACTCATTGACCCCTGAAAACCATCATCCTGCAGGGGTGACCCCCACTCTATACAGAGTAGCCGTCCTGGAGTACCTCAGAAAAGAGGTTTTTTAGGCAGCAGCAACTGCACCAAAATATATCAAAATGACAAATGTCACCTTTCTCACCAGTGGCCTACCATTCCTTGAGATACAGAGTTGGAGTCTCTCTTAAGGCAACAATTGCTACGAGAAGTGTAATTCCATACATCTAGTTCTTCGATGGGAAAGAAAGGATAACTGAAAGAAGTTAGGTGCCTGGATTTCTCATGACTTCAGAAATCCAAATATTTGAATGATCATCCAGTATCAGTGATGCCAGCAGACTGTTCACTGTGAAAAAGACAATTTTGCCTTTAATTTTATTTTAGCCACTTAGAAGTTTAATAGCCTTTTTACAAACGGATTTCAACATTTGTTAACTATATGTAGGTGTTAATGCAGCACTGAAGAAGCTGTTGATTTTGAAGCAGTGGGTTTCTAATGAGTTTACTCTTTTTACAATGTGATGCAGAGGTTGTAGCAACAGATATATGATTTCATACAGATTTACTTCCACCATAGTGGATAAGAAGCTCAAATCTAAAACTCAAAAAAAAAAAAAAACTAAATAAAATAAGGAGGAGGAGAAAGAGGTAGGTAAAAGGGAGGAAAGGGGTATATTTGAGGACAAGGTAGTGCAGGCTACCTTTTGCAAGGTAGGTGAAGGGAATGATATTGTTGAGAAGAACAGACATATTTTCCAAGCAAGCCAGCTGGAGGAGGCCTTGGCAGGTTGGTGTGAATTTACTTCTGGCAGCACCAAACCTTAGAACAAGTATTTCTTTGGTTGTCTGTGGGTAAAGAAGCTACAGAATGAGATAGCTTAGTAATTTAAAAAAAAAGAAAGAAAGAAAGAAAGAAAGAAAGTAGCCCCATTCTCCTGAGCCAGGCCCTGCAGATAGGACCCCCAGTCAAGATGGTGACATCTCTGGGCAAGGAGCCAGCTTAATGCCCCCAAACGTCACCAGCACTCACTAAATGTTGAAGAACACAAATACTGGGATCGCTTTAAAAATATCTAGCTGTTTCTCTTCAATTGGGTTGAATTTCCTTTCGCAATATGAACTATGTTCCTGCCAATTTTAAAGTTTACAGCTCCAGCTGTTAGGGAGTTATGTAAGAGCAAAAGTGATCAAAGAGCCTCAAGAGTGGAAAATGCATTTTTTTTCCCTTGGTTGCATAACTCCTCGAATGGAATGGGCAATGCAAAATGCAATAGAAATATCATCTGCCCACTCCTCCTGCCCCTCATTACTACCTTTCCAAGAAAAGAAAAAAAGTTCACCTTGGAGGGAGTAAAGAAGAACATGAGCAATGTTGTTGGACTCAAATTTAGCATGCCCAAGCATTTTTCAAAATAAAGTTGCAAGTAACTGAAATAGGTTTAAGCTGAAACCAAATTCCTCTTAACTCTAGGGCACTTTCCCTAAAAATAAAAAATGAACCTAGTACATTAAAGAATGTAGTTCTTTACGGCCAGCACAATATTCTAATGTCATTATCTTCTGAATGTCTCTCCTCCTATTAGTCTTTTAGTTAACAAGCGTTGAAATCAGTTTGTAAAAAGGGAACTTCTCTTTTTGTCTTTGCCTTCCCAGTTCCTGGCATAAAATAAGATCCAATAAATAATACACGAATAAGGATTATAGAAAATGTGGCTTTAGCCATATGTTTAGACTGACTATCTGCGGAAGCCTAGACATGATGCAATGACAACCTTTGGAAGTAAGAGTGACACTTGATGAAAGCCAAACATGTACTTTCTTACCCATTTTTCCCTTTTTCCTCATGGCTCTGATTGCAAAAAGACTGATAATAAAAGCTAGACAAAGTCAGATTGGTATTTGATCTGTGCCCCACCCACATCTCATGTCAAATTATAATCCCCAGTGTTGGAGGTGGGGCCTGGTGGGAGGTGATTGGATCATGAGGTTGGATCCTTCATGAATGGTTTAGCACCATCCTGTTGGTTCCAGTCTCATGACAGTGAGTGACTGAGAGCTTGACAGATCTGGTTGTATAAAACTGTGTAGCACTTCCCCTCTCTCTCTCTCCTACTCCTGTGCCCATCACGTGAGACGCCTCTGTATTAGTTTGTTCTTGAACTGCGACAAAGAAATACCTGGGACTGGGTAATTTATAAAGAAAAGAGGCTTAATTGGCTCATGGTTACACAGGCTATACAGGAAGCACAGCAGCATCTGCTTGGCTTCTGGGAAGGCCTCAGGAAACACAATCTTGGCAGAAGGTGAAGGGGAAGCAGGCATGTCTTACATAGCTGAAACAGGAGGGAAACAGAGGTGGGGGGAGGTGCTACACTCTTTTTAAACAACCAGATCTCATGAGAACTCACTCACTACACAGTACCAAGGGGAAATGGTGCTAAACCATTCATGGGAACTCCAGCCCTATAATCCAATCACCTCCCACCAGACCCTATCTCTGACACTGAGATTTACAAATGAACATGAGATGTGGGTGTGGACACAGATCCAAACCGTATCAGTCTCCCTCCCACTTTGCTTTCTACCACAGTTGTAAGTTTCCTGAGGCCTCCCCAGAAGCGGAGCAGATGCCAGCATCATGCCTCTTACACAGCCTGCAGAACTGTGAGCTAATTAAACCTCCTTTCTTTATAAATTACCCAGTCTCAGGTATTTCTTCATAGCAATGTGAGAACAGACTCATACACAGATGACAGAAGCGGACAAAGGTAGAAGTCTCTGTAAGCCGTTAGTAACAACTACAGAATATCTCTTGGGTTTCAGATGTCAATGGCCCACCATATTCGTCTCTGAAAATGTCAGCTACCATACCATAATAACCCCTGCCCAGAGCTGAGATAGGTATGGACTGTGATAAGCCTGGGCGCAAAGATCCCACATGCCTCAAGAATGGCCCATTAACCACTTAGCAAGTGATATTCCCAGATTCAGGGTATACTCAGTCACTGGACAGTGTGATTCAGGTTGATAATACCTTCTACCAAAATCTAGGGAGCTCCATCCTCAATAGATAGATTCTACTCCAGTGGGAGGAAAGGGAAGCTAGAGAGAAATTCCAAAGAGCTGACCAAGGGTTTGAGAGGCAGCAGGATGAGAAGACAGGATCATCCTTGCTAACTTTAAAAAGACACTTCTCTCTTTGTGATAAAATTTGCGCTCATTGCATTCTTGGTGTTTCCATTCCATCATCCTTATTTGGGTCTTCCATTTTTCTGGTCTTTTTATCTATTAAAGAGAGTAAAGGAGGATTCATGCACTGGAAAAATGTTGAATTAGAGAATGACTAAGACCTTTCCAGCTCTCAGACACTTTAGTTTACATATATTTTTGTACCCTTCTCATTGGTCTCAATCTGCACTTTTTTCTCGTAGGACTCTTCCCCACTATATAAAATCATCAGGTTACTTTCACTATTTCACAATCCTGTTCAAATGCCAAAATGTCCTCCCTACCTTACCCTAACCTCCTGAAAGTCTATACCTCTTTGCCTATCAGAACACCTCAAACTGTGGTCTAGACCTTCCTCTTCTGCCTTATTTTCTCTATTGTCTAGAAACACTGGTCCTTTCTGAATCATGCCCATCTTTTAACATCTAGGCCTGGTACCTTTTGTCTAATTTCTCCATGCCATAGCAATATCTCAGTCCTCGGAGGTTCCAGGGAATGGTTTAATAAGGAGGCTCATGTGCTCAGTTTTCTCTTCCTTGCTGGAACTATGGGTCAATTCCATACATGTAGGCCACAATGGCTTCTAAATGTCATGGAACTTGAAGGGATCTCCTGTAGTGAGAAGAGCACTGATACAGACTCACAGGTCTAAGTCTCAGGGCCAACTTGGCTATTTAATGACTCTGTGGTATTGCACAAGTGATTTATAATCAGTTGTAGAAAGGGACAGGTACACTATTCAGTAACATGTGCCAGAAACCTGGGATTGCAGATTATTTTAAGCAGATATTAAATATTGTAATTTTATGTTTTAGAACAGAAGTTATTTTGTAACAAAAATTATAGAAAGTAAGGTTTGACCAAGTCTTGGCTAAAGAATGCCTTTAGAAATGGACTTTTTTTTAAAGTATTGAGGCTTAATTAGAGATGAAAGGCTTGTTTCCCTCAGAAATGGAGTAGATTAGAATTTCTAGGGGACATGAGATTTTTGTGGTTATTAAAAGGGTTAAAAGTTTAAGAAAACTGGCAGCTTACCATATCATAAGTATTATTTTATGTAATATGGAAAAAGCAATTAATCATGGGGTTCTTGTGAGAATTAAGTGAGACAAGGCCTGTGAAAGTGTTTGTAAACAGCAAAGTGTTATTTAAATGTAACATATGAGCCCATATAAGAGGTTCTTATTACCCCATGTTTCTAGTTAATACCAGAAAAAGACAGCTTAAACTGAATCCATTTAAAACAGAGACCAGTGTGGACATAGGAACTAGTAGGGGGAAATGAAATGTTTGATTTAAATATGGATATGAATATTAAAACTAAAAATTATGAAGATGATTTATTTACCTTGCACTTTATAAACTTTAGAATATTATTATGGCCATGTGCTAAATCTTAGGACAAATAATTCACATAATTTATCTATTAAAATTGGATCATAGCACAATACAACTAATTTACCTTGCATTTGGGTTTTTTCAGTTTGCTCATAACAAGGAATAATTTTTGCAAAAGCATGAGATGATTCATCAATTTTCTCAAGGAAAATTTGCTTTCTCTTTAGAAGCCCCAACATGTTATCAACTTTATCAATTTTCTTTTCTTCAATAATTGATAAAAGCCTGCCGGATTTTAATTTGTCAATAGCATTATATCTGATTGAATGTCTCCAACATCAATTTCATTATTCTTATGAAATACTAAATATTTTCTAAATTTGTCATTTTGTTTCTTTTTTTGCACTGTTTTTCCAATGTATTTTCTGCTATTTATAATATCAGTAGGTCATCAAAACACTATTAACAAATACACATTGACATTATGAGTGGAGGTAGATATTAGAGTTAAACAAAGAATACTCAGGTGGATCAATTCATTTTATAAATGGTCCATTTATTAGTTTTATATCTTATGGTAACTTGCTTTGCTTTGCAACCTGGCACTGCAAGGCCTTGGATGATGAATTCTTAGGTTAGTAATGAGAATTTTATCTCATATTTTGTATTTCTAATAATGCCTCTACATTGCCTTACTGAGAGAGGTACTTGGTTGACTGGATAAGTAATTGATTGATTGAGAGGGTGAGTGAGTGAGTGAGTGAGTGAATGAAGAAACTGGAGAAAGAAATAAACAACCAACAGCTCTAAGCTCCTACTATAGATTTACGTGTTAGCAAAAAAAGCCACACAGAAGAATAGTTAATCTCAGAGAAATAGGATAAACACAACATCAGAAATGAAAATGAATGGAAACAGACCAATTTGTCCAGGGTTCATGAGGAAAGTGTGTAGGTTCTCACTAGGTCCATCCCTAAGCAGAGATGCAGATGAATAATATCTACAAAAATAACAATAATTGTAATAAAAGCTAACACTAGGCTGTGTCAAGGAGCCACTTTGTACCAGAGGCCTTATATGCATTATGTTCAAGATTCTCGCATCAGGGAGTCTCAAGGGATCTATAAAGTTATAGGATAAATACAATTAATCATCTCAAGACAAAATTTTACTTAAAGATTTGCAAAGAAGAATTTTCATATTCTTTTTATCTTAAACACAAACATATTTTTGAGTAGACTACAAACTAGCCATACATTTATACAATAAAACTTGAGTTTTCTCAGACACTTTACTTTTGCAGAAGGTCTTGAGGCTATCTCTTCAGTGAGCATCCCACTATCCACCCTTTTGATCCTCCAAAGTACACGTTGATGCTCAGCTATTAGGAACACTTAAGTGGAAAATTTTAGAAAGCTCTTTATCATATCCTGCCTTCCTCTCAGCAACTTCATGACACACATCTTTGTGACATGAGCATCATTTTTGTTTTGCATATGAAGAAAATGAGCCCCAGAGAAATTATGAATGAAAGCTTGCAAACTTGTTAGGACAGAATGGAGATTTCCCCTAAACTACATTGTCTGGGAGGCAAGATGATCTTTCCTGTCCCCATCATTTTCTCCTTTTTCCACTTTCCTTCTTTTGGCTGAACCTCCTTTCCAGATGCCCAGTCTCTGTGGTGTCTCATTACCTAGATTCATAGAGGAATACAAGCTGATGGTTTGTCTTTACACGTCAGGATTCTAAAGGGGTTAGGCAATTGAGTAGCTGCTTTCTAACAGAGAACTGCTAGGCTAGAGAAATGCTCATCCAGTTAACTGAATTGTCTTTAGTGGAATCTCCAGCTCCTCATAGATCAATTAGGGCAATACATTAGATGTCCTTTCCTGTACTCCTCAAATGACACTGAATGAACAGCTTCAGACATGCCAGGCCAGTTCTTTCTTAGAGCGCTGGCCAACAAAGACATCCGTGAATTATCGTCACAGCCCACCGTGCCAGCTTTCCCAGAGGGGGTGGCTGGAGAATGGCAGCAGGTAAGAGGTCTGCTGGCAGTGGAGAGGGAAGTTTTTCTGTTGCGTCATTTAATCAACTCATCATGAGGCCCATTTTACTATAAACAGATACTCTTCTAGCCCCCAGAGTGTAAAGGGGTGAATACATGAAAAAAAGAGGAACTATATCCTTAAATAGTTCTAAGGAAGGTCTTTGCCCTGAGGGAGAACTGAGATCCATTTCAGAAACTTGTGGCCATCTGTCATCACAGCATCCTACAAAACTGAAAAAAAAAAAATAGTCTTTCTCTAATATCTCTGCGATAGAGAACATAGAGTCATTACTTTAGGAAGTTGGTCTGTCTGTCATTTGACTCTTCTAAAACACAGGAACTTATGGGTTGAAAACAGCCTTAGAATCTCCAGGATTGGCCCAGAACTCCAACTTGTGGATAAGCCACAACAGGACATAATATTCTTTCCTGTTAAGTTCCTGTATAATTCTAGTTTGAATATGTCCATACTTGTGGTTTCTATTTCTGCCCTAGTTTTGCTTCCTAAACTTCAGAATGTCTGGTTCTCTCATGCTCTCTGTCTCTCTCACCCCCCGACACATACACACCACATTTTATTTCTTTTGTTGGGATTTATTTTTCGATGACAATTAGAGGATTGCGAAAACTAAAGGCCAGAGGCCTTATCTGACAAAGGCCTTCTAAGGAAAATCTGATAATATTTTGTGATCTGAAGGTTTATAAGTATAATTAAGCATGCATGAGACCAAACTAAGGCAATGAGATAAAGAATAAATTACAGTTTGTAACAGGAATTGTGAGGAAAGAGCAAAAGGATAAACAGCAAGCATTGGTGTGGTTCTGACTATATGACAGATACCCTCCCATGTGTTAAATAATCCTGCCAGCAACCTCATTATGTTCTAGGAACTATTATTATCCCTATTTTACAGATGAGAGAGTTGAGGCACAAAGAAGTTAAAAAATTTGCTTAACACACAGCTAATTAATGGTAGAGGAAAATTTGAACCCAGGCATTTAGGCTGCCTAGTTTAAGCTTTTAACCACTATAGAGATCTGCCCTTCTAATAATTGGTGAAACTTTATTTACTTATTCATCCATCATAGCCTTTATTTGCTTATTCATCCATTCTCTATTCTCTTCTTTTCTTCCCTTTCCTTCATTCTTTTCTCTTTTTTTTTCCTTTTTCTTATTCTGTATCCCACTATTTGCCCCAAAATGAAACCAGTCGTTTTTAAATGCATTTGCTGTAGTTAAGATAATATGGCAAGCTGTTCCTCATTCACTCAGCAGATAGAGGACACTTCCACTGGTGAATGCTCAAAGACAGAAACAGGATTTGCTTACTTAAAACACACACACAGCAAATAAACATTCCCTTCTCTTTGTGTGTCTCAGAAGAATTTTTCTTCTGAGGGTTAGTAAAAACCTCCCTACTTCGTTCTTACTCTCTGGGTTGCAACAACACCCTTAAGATTTTGTCTTTATCAGTCCTCCTTAACATTTTAAGAGCTTGAATTCAATCCATAGGTTTGTTTACAGCTGGGCTCAATCCATCAGAAATTCTATAACCCACATGGAACCCGCTGAGCTAGAGCCATTGCTGCTTCCTTATTTTACTACTGAACTGTAGTTGTTTCTGTGACAATTTTCTTATTACTGTGGTATGGTTTTCTGAGATTTTGTTTTTGTGTTTTCCATCCAACAATAAGCAGATCTATCTTTGTCTATTCTAGCCCATTCTGTCCTTTTAAGGAGGTGGTCAGTTCTAAGGTGACGCTAGTTTTCATTCCCTGATAGACTGTCAGCTTGCTGAAGGCTGAAACTTATGACAGCATATTTGCCTGTGGGTGCCTAACAATATCTAGCATGTAACAGGTGCTTGCTTAGTAATTGCTAGTTAAATGAATGAAACAATGAATACATAAATTTTTCCCCTATTTTGGCCATCTCTCTATCTCAGACTTTGAAGACAACATCCCTCCTCCTCCAATTTACCCAGTAATTCTTTCCCAATGTATATTTCATTATTAAACAGAATTCTGAACTGACAGTGGGTAGATTATGTAAGTCACAAACTCCTTTATACTTTAAGATGTCCTCTGACCAATCATTACATCAAAAATCTGTCCCAAAATGTTGCTAACTGCTAAAGCTTGGTAATGGGTATATAACGATTTATTATATTATTTTCCAAACTTTTGCATACATTTGAAAATTTCCATAATAACTTTTTAAATCTGCTTACCTGAAATGTTACAGTTTAATTAGGATAATAGTGATTTTAAAGGAAGTGATAGTATTAAAGCATCTACTCAAATCTTCTGGGTATAATTGCAAAAGAAGCTATTGATATTTGTTTCAGCCATAGTGAAGCACTGATTTAAAAGTAGTTTAGTTAGAAAGCTAGTGAAACCATTTTAATTTAAAACTGGATGGATCGATGGATCCTTTGGAAATAATATTTATTTTTTCTCTTTCTCGTGGAATGTGGCATTTGTCTTACCACACAGTGACCTATCAGTTCTAAGATGCTGACGGAATCTAGGTAATAATGCTAACGTTTCCTGAGGACTTAAATAGAAAATTGTACCAGTGAGAAAATAGACTAGAAACTTAAAGCATATAAGATGACTTCTGTATGCATGTTGTCTATAGATGTAGACAAATATTTATACTGAGAGATATTTCCACTAAAGATAAATAAGAAAATGCTGGCTATAGCCATTAACATTGATGGCTCAGAAATGTAGAAACAGCAGGCTTCTGTTTCAATTAGACTTTGCTATTATACAATTGTGTTAACTGACTAAAGGCATTAGGATATCCTTATCTATGGTAATATATCTATTTCAAACAAACCAGACTATGGCTTTTCATGGTAGTATCCATCTTCAGTATGTTGGAATTTTTAAAAATTTATATAACCTACATAAGAAAATGAAGTAAACTTAGGCTAAAATTCTTTGGTATTTGTAATTTTTAGAAGAACTTGAGATTGAGGCTGAACACACTGGCCTAGGACTGTGACTCAAATACACACTACTTGCTCCCACTACACACGTTTCTGAAGTTCTCTGGTGTCTCAGTTCCCCAGTTTCTTTAACGTGCAGAGATTATTCAAGTTAGAATTGCAATTCATCAATTTAGAAATTCAAAGATTGTTCTTAACTTTTTCATTTGGAGTTTTTTCTCAAATATACAATATCTGAAGAAACTGGTCCAAACTCCTTAAGACAACAACACTTATTTCTACTTGAAATTCAGTTCCTTCTTTTTTGTTAAAAAGGCTTGTCTTTCTTTGATAGCTTTTTTTTTTAACCATTTGAGTTTCTTTGGTATTAAGAATGTTTAAGAAACTTCTGAGATTCTGTATTACCTAGAGTACGTGTATACCTACCTATGAAGACAGTGGCATCAAAGAAGAATCTGTAAATTAAGTTAATTAAGTTATGGTTGGCAATAATTCTGGTGAGACTACTGCTGCACCTAGGATCCAGGTCCCTAATAGAGAATACACATGAGAGGGCCACAGCCATCTTAAAGGACAAAGAACTTCAAGTCTCTCCAGAATAAGAGGTTGGCAGAGTTTGGGACCAGGCATCCAGCAATGTGAATAGCTCATTTTCAGACACTGTACACATCTTATTGGATCTGAATTGATTCAGTATGGTTTTTCCAAAAGAATTCAAAAACTTAATAAATATTAAGCTGACCTTGTTGCATGAGCCAAATCCAATTAATTTTGGTCAGTATAATCCTAACAAACTGGGATGCTGTAAATGGAACATTCTGAATTCTGCTTACCCACTTCAGATAAAAGTATATGCAGTTAAAGCCAATGCTTGACTAGCTGGGCATAGTCAGAATTATTTATTTTAATGTTACCTTCCTATATGTCTTCATGTTAAGCATATGCCCAACTGTCTTTAGTCAACTAGTCTGAGGCTATAACATGCTAAAGTACATCATTCAACTGTTGGTCTTTGAGGGAGTGCAACCTTTGATCACAAATCCCTTTGGCCAGTCACTCTATTTTACCAGATCAAAAATAGAGGTATTTATTTCATTTGGCATGGATTGGAAAATTAAATCAACACATCACCAAACACAAGCTCTCCAGAAGATGTATCTCAGACAAGGATCCTAGAACAGTCCCAGAAATTTTTTTATGGTACATAAAGTTTTTATTATGCATAAACTCTAAATTTATTTTTAATTTTTTCAAGGCTGTCAGTGGAAGGATTGCTGGGCCTATTGCAAATTGCAGATTATAAAAATCTTTCCACAATGAGGCAACATCTTTTTCCAAGGTGACTGTGATCCAGGTTCTCACAGCAATGTTCTTACCACACTGGGTCATGGCCAGGTACCTTGGAGGTTAGACAAATACAGCCAGCTAAGAAAATCCTAAATGATAATTGTGTCCCAATGTCCTTTGCCATCCCCCTCCCAGACACGAAACCATTGGCTTCCTTGCCACTGGGCCAGCACACATCCTCCCCTCCTGCCCCACTTTCTCTCACAATGGCCAGCATTCTGCATTGCTCTTGGCCCAAGGTTTGGCCCATGCTCCCAGGGCCTTGGAATTCATCTAGAAGTGAGGCTCTCATGATTCAAACTTCCTGTGCAGACTTCAAACACACACACAAGCACCAGGACCAGCTCTCATTGAGTGAGAAAACAACATAGAATACACAAACCTGATCTTCATACCTGCCAGCAATATCTCAATAAATCCTCCAGTGTTGTCTTAGGTGGAAGAAACACTTCTGGGATCACTTCTTCTCTACTTGAGGGACGAAGCATCCTCCAAACCCCAAAAATGTGGCCTAGATTCTTTGGAGGCAGTCTCTTTAGTAAGGTCCAGGTAGTTTCTGAAATAAAAGGTCACTTTCTGAAGATATTAGCAGGATTCTCCCTCTTTTTATAAGCACTCAGATTTCATTCTCCCCAAACCCATTTGAAATCTGCAAAAGTTTACATTGTTATAGAGGAAATATAAATGTACAAACAAACAATCATAATATAAGGCTTCTTTGTATTAGAAAATAAACTTGTAAGACTTAATTCCTTCTGGCAATTAAGTACTTACCATTCAACTTTCTGCTAAGGAATAGAAAAGCCTCCTTCAGGAACACTTTTCCACTGTTGGTGGGACTGTAAACTAGTTCAACCATTGTGGAAGACAGTGTGGTGATTCCTCAAGGATCTAGAACTAGAAATACCATTTGACCCAGCCATCCCATTACTGGGCATATACCCAAAGGATTATAAAGCATGCTGCCATACAGACACGTGCACCTGTATGTTTATTGTGGCACTATTCACAATAGCAAAGACTTGGAGCCAATCCAAATGTCCATCAATGATAGACTGGATTAAGAAAATGTGGCACATATACACCATGGAATACTATGCAGCCATAAAAAAGGATGAGTTCATGTCCTTTGTAGGGACATGGATGAAGCTGGAAACCATCATTCTGAGCAAACTATTGCAAGGACAGAAAACCAAACACCGCATGTTCTCACTCATAGGTGGGAATTGAACAATGAACACTTGGACACAGGGTGGGGAACCTCACACACCGGGGCCTGTCGTGTGGTAAGGGGAGGGAGGAGGGATAGCATTAGGAGATATATCTAATGTAAATGATGAGTTAATGGGTGCAGTACACCAGCATGGCACATGTATACATATGTAACAAACCTGCACGTTGTGCACATGTACCCTAGAACTTAAAGTATAATAAAAAAATAAAAATAAAAATAAAATAAAATAAAATAAAGAAAAGCCTCCTTCAGGAAGTGAGAATTTAATTAAGCCCTAAAAGAAGGATGGATTCGGCCATGATAGTCCCAGGAAATGTTTCTCCTTCCCCCTCCCAAATCCTCCAAGGAGAAAGAATAAACTTTGCAGAAATTGCAAGAATCTGTAGCTGAAAGTCAGCCACGCGGAGGAGGAGGAAGAACTGAGATTCCACTAGTCCATACAATACAAAGTCAGTACTCCAGTGCCAAAACTTGACTGTCCCCACTGATTTCCCTTTTTACCCATATATGTTTTGGCAACAGCTTTGAGTTTCATGCACAAAAGTTCCGTTGAATAGGTCTAGTCCAGGCTTTAAGCAAGAGGAGTCAAACAGTCTTCATTTTCATTTGTCCTATTCCTGTTTTCTGTTCAAGGTAACTGAAATGGCAAGTCCATGGGAATGTTATGATTTATCTTGGCTCCCAAGAAACACCTGGGTCAAGAAACATCTTCATTGTGTTCTGGTGGGAAGTTGTAACCAAAGACATTCAAATATTTCTTCAATTCTGGGCCTATCTTCTGGCAAACATGAAATTCTTCCTCTTTCTCTAGAATTGAAACTTATGATATATTTAAAAACAAATGATCTCTGGCAAAAGTTAACACACTTTCTATTTATGGACCAATAACAGAAAAAGTCATTGAAACCCAAGTACTCCTAAGAAAATTAAGATCCTGAGGCAGCAGGACTTCAGAATGACACAGTATGCAGCAAACCACCATGAGTCATACTTTCCATCAATAAAAAGTTTTTAAAACTCATGTGTACAGTAATCACACAAAGGATCATACAGCCCCAGACAATTAAAAGAGCACTGGCTCCTAGACTCTAAGGATAACTATAAAAAGATGAGTACATTTGAGCAAGCTTCTTAGAAATGTGCTTAACCAAGCATGGTGTTAAATTAAGTTTAGCCTAAAGCTGGCTCCTTACATATTTTAAGTTCAGTCTAAAGGTTTCTCTGTACATCAAGAACTATAACCTAAATGGAACTGTAAACAGACTATAGCCTACCCTTGTGCCAATCAATGAATTTTGGCCAATCGAAAGTGGCCAACTGCTCAAACCGTTTTTAAATAAGGCAAACACCAAGTTGTAACAAATCCAGCTGTTTCTGTACCTCACTTCTGTTTTCTGTATATCACTTTCTTTTTTCTGTCCATAAATCTTCTTCCACCATGAGGCTGCGCCGAGGTCTCTGGGCCTACTCTGGCTCAGGAGGCTAACTGATTTGTGAAACGTTCTTTGCGGAATTAAACTCTTTTAAATTTAATTTGGCTGAAGTTTTTCTTTTAACCATGGTTAGCAACTGGGTAGTGTCTTTAAGGCAACACAAAGTAGGCGTGTGTGTTGCTTAGGACCAGAAACCTCTCATGGGTGTTCTTAGGTCACGTGAATTAGGAAGACCTGACTAAAAAAAAAAAAAAAAAAAAAAACCTTTCGCATTTCTAGCAATATGGATAAAATTCATGCCATCGGGGATACATTATTTGGGGTTAGGATTTTGGTTACCCACTCTTTCTTTTATAAAATGCAAATACCCCTGAAAAGTGGCATGACATTAACACATTAACAACCAGATGAAATTGCAAATCATTATCTTCCCTGGGCAGTGAGAGAATAAATCAGAGGATATACATTTAAAAAGAAAAATTATTTTCCTGTGTGTCAGAAAGGGGTTTGGAAGAGTTAAAACCAGGAGCATTTAGAATCAGTTTAAGAGGACTCCTGGAGAGCCAAAATTCTAACACAAAGTAATAAATCTCTAATTATATGATTTCATCTATCCTTCCAATTACAATACCTAGACTCAGGTCTCCTCCAGCAAAGACCGAGCACAGATGACCCTTGAACAACATGGGGGTGAGGGGTACCAATCCCACCATGCAGTTAAAAATTTATGTATAACTTTTTGTGTTTGTTTGTTTGTTTTAAGACATGGTCTCACTCTGACATCCCGGCTGGAGTGCAGAGGCACAGTCATGGCTCACTGCAGGCTCACCCTCCTGGGCTTAAGCAATCCTCCCACCTCAGCCTACTGACTTGCACACCACCATGTCTGGCTAATTTTTGAATTTTTTGTAGACATGGGGATCTCAGTATGTTGCCCAGGCTGGTCTCAAACTCCTGGGCTCAGGCAATCCACCCACCATGGCCTCCCAAAGTGCTAAGATTACAACTGTGAGCCACTGTGCCCCAGCTTCATGTATAACTTTTGACTCTGAGAACTTAACTAAAAGCCTAAGGATTCTGTTGATCAGAATCCTTACCAATAACGTAGTCAATTAATACATATTTTGTATGTTATATGTTTTATATACTGTATTCTTAGAATAAAGTAAGCTAAAGAAAAGGAAATGTGATTAAGAAAATCATAAGACAGCGAAAATATATTTACCATTTATTTAAAAAAGGTGGGTCATCACAAAATCTTCATCCTCATCTTCACATTGAGTAGGCTGAGGAGGAGAAAGAAGAGGAGTGTCAGGTCTTGCTGTCTCAGGAATAACAGAGGCAGATGAAGTGGAGAAGGTGGAAGGGGAGGCAGGAGAGGCAGGCACACTCTGTAACTTTTATTGAAAAAAATCTTCATATAAGTGGACCTGCACAGTTTGAACCTATGTCATTCAAGGGTCAACTGCAACTGAAATTGGATTTTTTATATATATATATATATATATATATACAGTTTCACTCTGTCACCCAGGCCACAGTGCAGTGGCATGATCATGGCTTACTGCAACCTCGACCTCCCAGGCTCTAGTGACAGGGTAGCTGGGACTATAGGCGCTCTCCACCATGCACAGCTAATTTTTGTATATTTTGTGGAGATGGGGTTTCACCATATTCTCCCAGCTGGTCTAGAACTTCTGGGCTCAAGCCATCTGCTCACCTTGCCTTCCCAAAGTGCTGGGTTTACAGGCGTAAATCACTGCACCCACCCTGCAATTTGATTTTTAAAACTTGTGTGTGTGTATGTATGTGTGTGTGTTGTTTTCAAGTCATGTAAGCCTGCTGTCTCCTCTTAAATCGGCTGTTTCCATCCTGCCTCATTCCAGCCAAAGGTTAAGATAAGCAACTGTGCTGAAGGCACCTCAGGCATTAGAGACCTGTTCATAACAATTGCCTCAAACCTCTTTTCCCTCCAGGCCTTGCTTCTGCTTCTTGTTCCTGCTGTCTTTCAGTTCGGCTCAGCCCTGACCCTCTGGCTGTGTGTCTACTCTTGTCCTCCAGGTTTTCTAACAAAGTAGATTTTGTTTATCTGCTTATATTTCAGACCTGGCTTGAGTTTACCATCTAACAGGGTTGATTCTTGAGCTCTGGATGAAATCCCCACATCACTGGCTCCAATATTGCCCAAGGGGGTCTGGGGAGGCAGGGTTTGAGGGGTTCTGACTGAGGTGCCTCTGCTGCTGTGTGATTAGGTGCTCCACATTATATACTCATGACAGCCTCTCCTCATGGTGAAGGAATGAGAGAAATGTTGGCTCCCAGCTAACATGAGCCCTAAGAAGCTTGGAGAATATTATAGCAAAGAAGATTACAGTGACATTTTTACGGCATGTATTGTGCCTTTCTTTACCCTAATTATAAAAGTAATGTGCTATTGTAGAAAATTTGGAAAATAAAATTTTAAATGTAAAAAAAAAAATTTAATTATCTCACCACCCATAACAGAATCTCCGTTAACATTTTGGTTTATAATCTTCAAATACTATTTCTTATATATAGTACATGTTTACATAGCAAAATTAGTCACAGTAGTCATTCTATTTTGTTACTTTATTTTTGCTTAATATATTCAACGAACATTTCCTAGGTCTTTAACTGGCTGTATTAAACTTGAAAAGGCTTTCACACAAAAAAACTATGAATTCAACATAATCAGTGAGTATGATGGACAAAATGAAATAAATAAGTAGGTGAAGTAGAGATGATTATAAAGCACAATTTAAACATGGTGATCTAATGTTCTTGGTGATATAAACTTATTCTTTTTGAGGCAACATCACTTAGGAGTAGTGATTCTCCACAGAAAACCCAGACCAAAAACAGACAACTTCACTCTAGACCACTGAACTTGTAGTCAAATACCCTAGTTCAAGTTTAAATCGGTAGTGCATTCTTTAACAACCCCCTCGGCCTTTCTTAGGCTGTCTCCCAATCTTTAAAACAAAGTTCATAATTGTTACTATTTAGAGTTACTGTGAGGATGAATGAGATAATGCTTTGTGAACTGGGAAGTGCTGAGTAAATACAATGAATGGTTCATTGTGACTGGAGTGTAAGGTTGATTAAGAGTGTTGCCATTTAATTTCCATTAAGCACACTTGAGTGCTCTAATAAGAGCAAGTTTTCTGAGAACATCTCCAGATCTCTGAATTCTCTCCCTCCTAAATATCACTAGTATCAGCATGGTGGATAGTTCCAATTTTCTCCCCACTTAGATCAGCAGAGTGGACGTGTCCTAGCCTTACTTTCCTTCTCCAAAGGTCATCTTTCTAAAACCCAAAAAACAAAAATAAAACAAAACAAAATAAACAATTAAAAAACACTAGTTGAAAAATCTTATATACTTCCACTGGCTCAACCCAGGATATTAAATATAAAACTCTCCACCTAAAAAACTAAAATAAACTTTTATTACAAGGCAGATTTTAGAAAATGACCTAAAAGTGAATACTACCCAATAACATTGTCAATTTGTGTGTGAAAGTGGGGATGGAGGGCTGTCTAGAAAACCATAGAAGTGTGAAAATGAGCTATCTGTGACACCCTTCTCTGCCTAAAGGACTATAAAACACATTTAAAGTGGGATTTCACATTGAACATCACAAACAAAAATAAATTCACTTAACGTGACCAGTTACCTCTGGTCTTGCCAAGTTTTGTTTCATGTGTATTAATTTTTGGTCCCGATTCTCACCTAGATGATGAGCCTGGTGAGGGCAGGGTACTCTTAGAACACTCTGTGGCCCCTACAGCTCTTGTCACCACAGAAGCAGCTCATTAAAACCTGTTGATCCAGCCGGGTACGGTGGCCCAGGCCTGTAATCCCAGCACTTTAGGAGGCTGAGGCAGGTGGATCACCTGAGACCAGGAGTTTGAGACCAGCCTGGCCAACATGGTGAAACCACGTCTGTACTAAAAATACAAAAAGTTAGCTGGGTATGGTGGCGGTCCCCTGTAATCTTAGCTACTTAGGAGGCTGAGGCAGGAGAATTGCTTGAACCCGGGAAGCAGAGATTGCAGTGAGCCAAGATCATGCCACTGTACTCCAGCCTGGGTGACAGAGTAAGACTCCATCTCAAAAAATAAATAAATAAAAAACAAAAAGTATCTATCCAAAATATACCAAAAAAAATCTTTAAAAGTCAACAATTAAAAGAAAAAACCCTACTAAAAAATAGGCCAAAATGGGACTAGTTAATTAAAAATCACCAAAAAAATTACTGAAAAGACATACAGAGGGCAAATAAGCATATAAAAAGATGTTAGGCCGGGTGCAGTGGTGCACGTCAGTCTCAGCTACTTAGGAGGCTGAGGCAGGAGAATCGCCTGAGCTGGGAGGCAGAGGTGGCAGTGAGTCGAGATCGCGCCACTGCACTCCAGCCTGCGAGACAGAGCAAGACTCTGTCTCAAAAAAAAAAAAAGATGTTAAACATTATGCAACATTAGGGAATTATACATTTAAACAATAAGACACATTATACACCTACTAGGATGGCCAAAATCCAAAACACTGACAACACCAAATGCTGACAAGGACATGAAGCAACAGGAACTCTTATTCACCACTTATGGGAAAATGGTACAGCCACTTTGGAAGACAGTTTGGCAGTTTCTTAAAAAACTAAACATATTCTTACTATATCATCCAACAAATACACTCCTTGGTATTTACTCAAATGAATTGAAAACGTGTCCACATAAAAACCAGTGCATAGGTATTTATAGTAGCTTTATTCATAATTGACAAAACTTGGAAGCAACCAAGGTGTCTTTCAAAAAGTATAGATAAACAAATTGTGATACATTTATACAATGAAACATTATTCAGGTATAAAAACAAATGAGCTATCAAGCCACACAAAAACTGGAGTACTCTTAAATGCATACTTCTAAGCAAAAGAAGCCTGTTTGAAAAGGCTACATACAGTGTGATCCCAGTTGTATGACATTCTGGAAAAGGCAAACCTATAGAGACAGTAAAATGATCCATGGTTACCAGGGCTTAGGGAGGAAAGGGAGAGAGGAATAAATAGGTGGAGTGCAGGGGAATTTTAGGGCAGTGAAATGATTCTGCATGATACTTTAAATGGTGAATACATGGCATTACATAGTTGTCAAAACCCACAGAACTGTAAAAGGCAAGGACTGAGCCCTAAAGTAAACTACAGGCTTTGGTTAATAATAAACTATCAATATTCATTGGTCAATTTAACAAATGTTATACACTAATGCAAGATGCTAATGATAGGGAAAACGGGCTGGGGCAGGGGAGGGAATATATGGAAGCTGTCTGTACTTTCTGCTCAATTTTTCTGAAAACCTAAAATTGTGCCACAAACAAAAGCCTATTAATTAACAATCTTGTAAAGCTCCTATTGATCGATTTCCTTTAATAGTGAGAAATGGAGCACTTCTGAGGGTCTAGATCCTCTTTCCAAACAGGAAATGCTACTGACGATTGTTTGATAAAAATTGGAATCATGAAGTCTTCCTACTGCATACTAAGTGCAAAGGCAATATGGAATTTATGAGGCTGTTTGCCAATCAAGCCTCTTTCTTCCTCAGAGCCCTGATCTTTTCTAAAATAAAATCTGCCGGAAATTTCACACTCATGGAAGCAGAATGGCTCCTCCCTACAATCCCATGAGGGAAGCGCCCTTGTGGCCTTGAGCATAAACACAGACAGGGAAAGGCAGATTGAATAGCTCCCTTGCTCTTCTCCTGGGAGTCCCTGTGTTGTGCAAAATCATGAGTAACTTCCCAGACAGCTGAAAGGGACTTTCTACTAAGCCAAGGGCAATTTAATGTATTCACCTTATTAATCTTTGAACCCTCATTAAATGGAAGATGTATTAAATGGACCTGAGATGTGGAAGCTGAGAGAAGAATATTCTGGGCTACATGGGGTCACCCTGGAAAAAAATTAATGAGGGAGGGAGAAGGGGGAGAGAGAAAGAAAGGCTGGGATGGAGGGAGGGAGGGAGGAAGAGAATATCTTTTCCAAAGTCTTAAAGCATCGATATTTAAATACATCCATCATGACGTCTCTGAATTTACATGTGGCAGAGTAAGGTCACATGCATATATGAAAAAAATTAGCTTCCTAGGAGTACTGATGCATTACTCCATTATTTTTACACTCAATCTCTTATTTTCACTTTTTCTGAACCATCTCCCCCAATCTAGAATGCTTTTCTAATATTTTTTCCTGTGATGACTGTCAAGTTCTAATTAATTAAGAATCACCTTCCCTCCCTCTTATAAACTTTTGCTCAGAGTTCATATTTTCCATAGACACTTCTCTAAAAAGAACAAATTCCTATTATATTCATTGTAATATGTAAGGTAACTGATAGTGTAGCTAATTGGCACAAGGCATCAAAAAAAGACTTAAAGATTCAAAACCAAGTAAGAATGTCAAAGTTGAAAGAAATGTAAGGGTCCTGGAAACTTGTTTCCTTTTTTTCATAGGTACGGAAAGTGGGAATTGAAAGAGTTAAGTAGCTTCCTCCGTGTCACATAGTGTCAGATCTAAGATTAGAGCCCAAGTCTCTCAGAACCTGTTTTCTCTTATCTATATAGCAACATACCTTAAGCTGAATATAAATTTTGTTCCAATGCTTTTTTAAATAAAAACACTAGTTTCATTACTAAGCAGCAGTAACTTATTTATTCATTTTCCCTACAAATATTTTTAAGGTATATCCCGCTTCAACCCTGCAATACAGTGACCAATGGAACACACATGGACCCTGCCCTGTCCAGCAGATGACATCTTCAACGTTTTCACGATAGTAAGGGGGGTGGTGGAAAAATACACACATTGCACTCAGAGTCAGCCCTCATGGAATTTAGGATCAATCAGAGGGTACACGAAGGGACACAGAGGAAATAGAATTCAAGGTTTGGAAGAGGTTAAAAATAAATACCAGGAGATTTAATTGTCTTGTTTTTGAGGGTAGGTTTCATTTTGTCCATAACAAGAAATCATTGGAGGATTTTTTTTTTGAAATGGAGTCTTGCTCTCTCTCCCAGTCTGGAGTGCAGTGGCGCAACCTCGGCTCACTGCAAGCTCTGCCTCCTGGATTCACGCCATTCTCCTGCCTCAGCCTCCCGAGTAGCTGGGACTACAGGCACCCGCCACCACGCCTGGCTAATTTTTTTGTATTTTTAGTAGAGACGGGGTTTCACCATGTTAGCCAGGGTGGTCTCGATCTCCTGACTTCGTGATCCGCCCGCCTTGGCCTCCCAAAGTGCTGGGATTACAGGCGTGAGCCACCTCGCCCAGCCGCCACTGGAGGATTTTAAGCAGAGAAGACATGGACTACGATCTGTGCTTTAGAGAATTCTCTACAGTACAAGAAAGAGAAGGGCCTAGAGCAAGGCAGCCGCCACTGTGTGCTACACCAGCCCTCCCCTCAGCCACGCCCTGCATAAGGCTAGCCCTCTACATCACAGCAGCAGAGAGCTGGGCAGTTCCTTCTAGAAAGACACAGTTCCTATGCTCCAAAACCTCTATTACCTAAAATGGCCACCCCTGGCATTATCCCAGAAAATAGTTATTTGTAGGGTAGAGTCATTTCAAACCCCAAAGCTACTGAAGAAGTCGTAAAAAAGCAGAAGTACAGATACAGTGGCTGCATCCTTTTAAAAGTAGGGTCAGGACCCAGGTCCCTACTGATTACTTAAGTAGAAAAGAGCTTCCAAACTTTTCCCAAAACAGGACACTCTTATTTGGAGAACGGAGCTACACAAATACTAATTAAAAGAACCCACTTTGATTTCCTATCACAGGGGTAGGCAAGCGTTTTCTGTAAAGAGCCAGAGAATAAATATTTTAGGCTTTGAAGACCATACCACTTCTGTTGCAACCATTCAATTCTGTTTTCATAGACAAAATGTAAATGAATGAGCATGGCTGTGTTCCAATAAAACTTCAGTCACCAAATAGGCAGTGGGCCAGATTTCACCTAGAGGCATTGCTGCCCCCACCCTTCTATCCTATAAGAAATCACTTTCTCTGTAATTTTCCCATAGGACATGTTTGTTTTGCTAATTCCTACTCATCCCCAACAAGTTAAAATGCAGTATCTCAGTAAGTTGTTCTTGTTATTTCATTCCTTGCTTCCTTTTTGCAAAGCTGATGAACATTACATTTCTTTTAAAAAAAAAAGGTTAAGTTTTACTTGATTTAAAGCATCTGTGAGCAGTGGCAAATAATAGAAAGTCTTAGTATTAGAAATTGAGAAAGGTTTTAGAGACCCAACCCCCTTTCCTGGCATGATAATCTGAAGCTAAAGAGGCGAAGTAACTTGCCCAAGGTCAAGCAGTCAGTTCAGTGTATAATCTCAAATGAATGATATGAATTGATAGAAATACTGTGCATCAGATGGACTGCTTAGATTGCCCCATCGCAGGTTGGTGGACACCATGTTTGGAGTTTTTTCCTCCTATGCAACCACACTCATATATCCATGCTCTCTTTTCCTTCAGTTCCTTTACTTAATTTCGAAAAGCAAAACACAGTCTTTCCACAATGCGTCAAAGAAGTCCACCCTGATAGCGGCCCAAAGCAGTCAGCAAAACATCTAATCTTGGGGCCATGGTCAAAGAGGTACCACTTGCCAAGCAGAAATACATGAGTATTAGCAGGAGTCTGAGACCATTCCTGAAGTTCCTGTTCTGGCAGTAGGTTGACTTGCCTGTCATGTGCAGAAGTAACAGATTTGTGTTACTCTGTTCAGGGGCATCCATTTATCTCTTCTAGAACGATTAGAATTAATTTGACTATGATTTTAAAATCCAATATTTCAAACAAGATTTCCAATGCCATTTGCACTAGTTGAGCTATTTTGTTTGTAGTGGAAATACTTATAAATTGTCCAGAAAGCTGTGAGCCCTGTTAACATCTGTTGGAATGGGGTGAATACAAAAGGTTAGAGAGGAAGTGCCAGGAGCAGAAGTCTCCGATGACAACATTTCCTTTCTTCTACCTCCACCTTCTCTCCAGGTGGGTATGAGTAGGAATGCCATATGCTAGTGTTGAATTTAGATGTTCGAGGTGGAACATTTGGACTTGCACTGAATATTTCCCTTGAATGCAAGCTATAAAAATAAATTACACACTGTCCACGACTGACTCATTTGGCAATGGTTCCCACAGAGAGGTCAGATTAACTGTATTCATTCCCTTAATATACTTCCACTCAACACTATGTCAAGTTGGTATCTTTGCATTTTAAATATTCTGAAATCTTGTTCATGTACATACTGTTCCATCACACAGAAAGATCATTAATTCTTTGTCAGTTGATAGTGTCTTTTATTTCTGTTTTACTTTATATTTTTCTTTCCCTCCCTTTACCAGAAACAATTCAGCCACCAGCCAACCTAGATTAGTATCGACTCGCACTCAGATTTCTGGGGCAATTTAAGAGAGTAAGCTCTCTTCTGAGCTGGAGATGGATGGTCCTAAAGACTTCCAAATTCAATTAGATCCCTGGGTTTCTACTCCCTAATTTTGCTTGCTATATGCCAGGCTCTGTGTGAATTACCACATTTAATCTTCCAACGACCCTATGAGATAAGCACATAATTATAATAGCTCCACTTTACAGAGAGAGATATTAATGTTTAGAAAGGTTAAAAAAATTGCCTAAGCTCACAAAACTAATTATAAGTGAGGAACCAGGGATTCCAACCCAACTTGTCAGCCAACAGGGTTCACAGTCTTGAATACCATGCAAACTCTTCCAATTTGCTAAATAATTCCAGAATCATTTTTTGTAACATGTAAAGCAAATAATATTACTCTTCTACTCTGAAAACTTCAACAGCTTTTTATATCTACAGGAGATTATTCAAAATATATTTTCCCTAGAGTAGCATTTTGGAGCCCCCTCTGCCCTCCCGTCTTTCTTACCGTACCTTTTTCCACCTGTTCTTCTCCTGGCTTACACTTTATGTGCCAAGCTGCTCACATGTAAATATGATGGGCTACTGCACTTCTCCTGCTTTGCTCAAACTGCTGTCTCTGCCTAGAGAACCCTCTCTCTTGTTCTTCTTGGGAGATACCTATTCACTAGCATTTGGTTCACAGCCATCTCCTCCTAAAGACTTTTATAAACTTTCCCCCAACTTCCTTCCTTCGGCCGCTATTTTACCTTGTGCTGACTTTTGTAATGGTGACTAGAACACATCATTGTATTTCTTGGCCATAAATCTGTCTAAACGCCTCTTTAAGGCAGGCCCCATGCCTTATTTATTTCTGTATCCTTAGTGCTTATCAAAAATACATAGTAGGTGTTTGATCATAGCAACAATAAAGAGCTATCATTTTTTGAGCATCTGCTGTGTGCCCAGTTTGCATATGTTCTTTAATCATGTGTGTATATGTCCATGTGTCTCTTTGTATATGCATGTATATGTATATGTATATGTGTATATGTACGTGCATGGTAGGTTTTATTACGTACGCCCTTGAAGACACAGAAGCTACTGTAGCTTGATTGTTGCTCAGAGAGGTTATATAAGTTGTCTAAAGACATGAAGCAAGAAAATGACAAAGCCAGAATTTGAACTCAAGTTTGACTGACTTCAACAAGAAAGGAAGGAAAGAAGGTAGAAGGAAGAGGTGTATAATCTCAAATGAATGATATGAATTGATAGAAATACTGTATATCAAATGGACTCCTTAAATTGCCCAATCAAAACATGAACAGCATATTTTGCAGATGTAGATAGCAGGAATGGAGGATCTGTCTTGGAGGCTTAACTGGTAGTACCCTTTTTGTGGGAAAATTCAAAACAAACATGCCTGTTGCCCCAAAACCATTTGCATAATCACACTGCCAAGAAGAAAGTAAAAAGGACAAGACAGAAGCCCTTTAAAAGCATTGTCTTTTCTCTGCAACTGTCATCCTCTCTCAACAAATAACAAGGGAAAAACCTTCATAGCAAATTATAACTAGAAAAGGAGTTCCCTAACCATTTAAAAAAAGTGAAAACTTGCCTTCAACTTTGTAAAGAGTCCCTCCTCAAGTTAGTCCAATTTAAATGTGTCATCTGTTTCCTGCAAGTGTCCTGACTGTTACAGATAAAAGCATATAATTCCCAGATGAAAAAATCTAAATGGACAAAAAAATATGAAGATGTAAATGCACATTAAAACAATCAGTGGGAGAGCATGTCATGCCTATTAAATTGGGAGAAATTTCCAAGCTTAACAAGAATTTGGGGAGAAGGGAAGTTGGCAACTCTTGTTGAGAGTATTAGTTGGTACATCTACTTTGAAGAGAAATTTGGCAATACATAGTAAAGTTGAAGGTGTTTCTCCACTGAATCTTAGAAGTTCCACCTTTAGTACATGCTTTAGGGAAATCTTTGCACAGGTGCAAAAGGAGACACGCACAAAATGTTCATGGCAGCGTCATTTGCTATTATTAAAAATGGAAATAACCAACAGTTCCATAATTAAACAAATAATAGGATATTTATATTATGAACTTTTGTTTAATACTTGAATGCATTAGAGCTACAACACAGTATCAGTATGGAGGTCTCAAAATTATAAATTTAAGGGCAAAAAGCAAGTAGCAGACTCATATAAACAGTCTGAAATTATTTATGATAGGAAACAACACTATTTTGCTAATGGCTACATCTGTAAGTAGTTAGTTCATGATACTATAGACAGAACTCATATTCACCAATCTCCAGGTAGTAGTTCTCTCTAAGTAGGGGATAGATCACTATATTGTTTTGGTTTTTTTTTTTTAATTTGAAACAAATAAAACAAAAGGTTAATATTTGTTCCTTTGGGATGATAAGTACCCGGAATGTTGTTATATGAATATCTGTTATGTTCAATATTTTTGAACAAATTTCAAAATAAAAAAATGATCATAAAAAACCTAATCCATGAGCCCAGCCCTGTAGGAAATGTTATCTGGACATGTGTGTTCATAGCTGTAAAACAGGATCATAGCATGCATAACGAATGCATGCCAGAGGAGCTCAGGCATCCCACACTCACTGATGAGAACAGTGGAGTCAGCCCTTGGATGATTTGTCTAGCCACACATGTAGTTAAGGAACAAACCACCACAAGAGGTGGCTGGGCTGCTAGTTAGTGACAGAGCAGCAGCCTAGGTCTTCAATGTTCTTCTGTGATCCTGGGCCCCTCCTCAAAATCAAAACCAGGTGAAGGAAAAGCACTTAGAGCTTGTTTACTGAGTGTTCCTGGTGTTACTCTCTTTTCCTTTTATGATGGCCTCATGCTAAATGGTATACATTACTGTTTATTTATTGCTTTGTAACATTTATAGCAAAAAAAAGGGGGGGGGAGAAATAAGTTGACATAAAACCATCATTCCTGTCCCTAAAAGAGAAAAAATTGTTATTTTGTAGAAAGAAATTCTGAACTGAATGACAAATCCCAATCTCCAAATCACCTTATCCTTTGTGACTCTTCCCAGCTGATTGTGGAGGACAAATGATTTGTAAAGCTATTGGGTCACTAACAGACACTTTTCATGACTTCTCTCACACACTGTTAATTTCACGCACAAAATGTGAGGGCCTCTGATTCAGGACAACATTCAGTTTCCTCCACCACACACCTGACCAAGCCAGCCAGAGACTGCCCCAGATTGCCCGACAGCAGTGACCGGCTCCCCGGCCTCCTGGCCATTCTGCTCTGTTGTCCCCTCAGCCTGTGCTGCTTCAGGCCAGGTGGTGTTTGGTTTCTCCCACCCACTTCTGTTCTTATCTCTTCATCACCAACCACAAAATGGGATTCTGTCCCAAACTGTAAGTGGAATGGGGAACTCAAGAGCCGACGGTGGGCAGTCACTGCCTCATCTGAGAGCAGCCTGGAAGGCCAACTAGGAAGGTTCCGCATCTCTGCCATGGACGACGCCCGTGCTACGGGTCATGCTGTGTCTTGGAAGAAAGCCAAGAAGAGGCAAGGCCTCCTGGGTTAAAAGGCCTCCTGGGTTAAAAGGTGTTTAAAGAGGAATGTCAAACCCTGGTGTGATCAGGGCTGATGACACCTTGAGGAGCTGCTGAAAGATGGGGGGAGCAGGGCCATGAGTCAGGAAGGTCTACCCATTTTGAAGCAGGACACCAGTCAGGGGCTGGAATATTGGGTACAAGCCTATTCCCTCAGAGGATGACAGTGAATAGCTATGTCACATGCCAAGATGGCTTACATTAACAGCATAATTAAACCCCAAGAAGGAAAACAAAATGCAGTTCAGGAAACCAAGGCAGAAGAGGCTCAGGTGTATGGCCTGGGACATGGCTTGGGAAGGGCAGGTGATTGCACAGTGATGGCTGTGAGATGCCAAGAGTTCATCCCTGGCATGTGGACTCTGGGCTCAGGGAAGCCAGACTAATTCTAGACCCCAACATGTAGGTACTGAGCCAACTGATATTTGTCCACCTGGGTCAGGAATTGCTCCAAGACTAGGCAGGGCTGAGCTTCCAGGGTGAGGATTCTCAGGACTGCAGCCTGAGCGGCTGGGGAAGGCAAGTACTGACCATCAGGAATCTTCAAAGCTTGGGGAACCTGGGTTTCCTTCCCAGAATTGGGAAATAAATTTATTCTACAGTGGAGGTCGAACCAAGTATGCCTATTCTAAAATTAAAAAATAAAGACCCCAAACACCTTCCACTATAAGAGGTAGAAAAGATAGTTTCCTTTGTTGATAATTTTATGTTGGAGCTATGAAACTGCTATTTTTATACATAAAAAATTCACCCAATATTGGCAATTTCACAGGATTCCATCTTAGTAAATGTCCTACAAGCCTTGGACAATGTGAACTCTTTCCGTGGGAAATGCAGTGACCATTTCAAATCGTTGGGTAGTGAACTTTCCTGGTGGCTTTGTTTCCTCTACTGTAAAATGTGTAAAATCCACACTGATCATCCTTCAGCAGAATTGCTTCAAAACATAATAATGAAAATAATAATCAGTCACTGAAAGAGAACATGAGGTCATGCTAGAGAATGTGAGGTTATTGTCATGCTAACTTTATGCATTGAATATTATAATAACACTCTTCTGTATGTCATCACAATTAAGACTAGTGTTTATGAAAACAAGCCATCAATGTCATGTCTTTCCACTCTTTTCCCCAATTCATTACTACTTCTTGGCATCCAGGTGCCCTCCCTCTGGGTGCAGGCCAATCATTTTGGAACAGAGGTTACTCAGAACCAGGCTTGTCTCTAGTGGCCTCCTGGGTGTCTTGTGTCTAGTGATCCTTGGCACCCTGCAGCCTTAGCTCACCTTCTGTATCACAAAGACAGGGGTATCAAAGGGCAAAGGGGGAAAGTCTAAAAGGAAGCTCTTAGAACTTTCGCTGGGTGCGGTGGCTCACATCTGTAATCGCAACACTTTGGGAGGCAGAGGTGGGCAGAGCACTTGAGGTCAGGAGTTCGAGACCAGCCGCCTGGCCAACAGAGTGAAACCCTGTCTCTACTAAAAATGCAAAAATTAGCCAGGCATGGTGGTGCATACCTGTAATCCCAGCTACTCGGGAGGCTGAGGCAGGAGAATCGCTTGAACCCAGGAGGCAGAGGTTGCAGTGAGCCGAGATCGTGCCACCGTACTCCAGCCTGTGCAACAGAGTGAGACGCTGTCTCAAAAAAAAAAAAAAGAAAAAGAAAAAAAAGAAAGCAAAAGAAAAAAAAAAAAGAACTTTCCAGGCCAGAAAAGAATCTCCCTTCTAGGCAGGAACAAACCCCTGTCATCACCCACTGTGTTCCCTGCTTACGCACACCCTGGGACACAGGAAAGGCATGTTAAAGCCAGTGGCCCTGCGTGGATTGTTCCTCTTATTTGTTTACATAACCCATGACAGATGCCAAGTCAAGCAGTGGAGGAAGAGCAGGCAGCACAGAGTGTCACTCAGATGAGCCCTTCCCTGCCCTTGCCTTTTCCACTTTCCATGAGGAGGCCAGCAGACACTTTGGGGCTGCTGTAAACCTTCAGTTAAATGGCAGCTCAGTGACAATGACAGCAAAGCTGCATTCCCCCATGGCAGACACGCCATGTGGGCACTTCCTCAGGTCTGCTGGGAAAATCGGAGCGTCATGTGCAGACCCTGCTGGAGGCACAGCAGGAAGTGACCAGGCACAGGCTGGGCAGTCCTTCTTCCGCCCCTGAGTCACTGCCACATGCATGAGAAGGGAACTCAGTGCAGGCTAGACAGAAAAGGTGGAGGCTCAGGCAAGAGGATCAGGAAGACATTTAGATAAAGAGGATGACGAAGTTAACACAACACCCACAACCCCACGCACACAGAGATTTACACTCACACACGCACTTGGCATCTGTCCTCAGTGAAGAGCAATTAAAGACACACCCCCTCAGATTCAAACAAGCAAGCATTAAACGGATTGCAATTATTCTGGAACAAACATAATTCCAATTTGTGTTCCCAGTATCTATGCAGCAAACCCGAATTTCCTAAACTAGCACCAACTTCCTTTTACTACACCCACACCTACTTTCCTATTTCAATACGGTCCCCAAGATACATGGAATTTGGAAATATATCAATCCCATTCTTTTCTCCTTGCATTGACTTTTTCCATTCCTCCCAATCTTCCAGAAAATATTTGGCCTCTCTCTCTAAATCTATTCCTGGATTCATGCAATAAGTATTTTTTGAGTATAGTGAGTAGCTGTTACATGCCAGGCACTGTACTAAGTGATAGGAACACAGCAATATGCAGAAGACACCAGAGCCCTGTTCCCACAGAGTCTGTTATCTTAATGCAAATTCCTATTTCTTTTCTTTTTTTTTTTTCTTTTTGAGATGGAGTTTCACTCTTGTTGCCCAGGTTGGAGTGCAGTAGCATGATCTCAGCTCACTGAAACCTATGCCTCCTGGGTTCAAGCCATTCTTCTGCGTCAGCCTCCTGAGTAGCTAGGATTACAGGTGCCTGCCACCACGCCCAGCTAATTTTTTGTATTTTTAGTAGAGATGGGGTTTCACCATGTTGGCCAGGCTGGTCTCGAACTCCTAACCTCAGGTGATCCACCGGCCTTGGCCTCCCAAAGTGCCGGGATTACAAGCATGAGCCACCGCGTCCAGCCGCAAATTCCTATTTCGAGTATGTCCTCTTCCATCTCTTAACTCATGGCAAAATTGCCCATACCAATATTTGGCAATTAATACTCTGCTTTATTTTTGTTCATTGTTCTATTGTATTGTTATTTAACACTTTATAGGTATCTACATGGTCTTATTAAATGAACTCTACAAGATCTATGAGGACAAAGACCTCATTTAAATTTTTCTTTGTATTTAATAGCTGTCTTGGGGAGCATGGTGAAAATGAAAATATGTAACAAGATAATAAGAAAGAATGGAGGTCTTATCATTCCTTATTTCACTAGCCAAGGCCTAACCCAGGATTTCTCAACCTCAATACTATTGATATTTTGGACCTAATAATTCTGTGTTGAGAGGGCCTGTCCTATGTATCATAGGATGTTCAGCAAAGTGCCCTCGGCCTCTTTCTATTAGATGCCAGAAACACTCTTTTCCCATCTGTCACAACTAAAAATGTCTCCAAACATTGCCAAACATCCTCAAGAGTTGAACAGGAACAACACTAACCACTGGCTCACAATATATCTGATATGTCTTGAGCTTCCTTTCTTGTTTCTATGTCATTAAATTCATACACACATGTGATATTGACATTGAAACAAACACAAATTTAATTTTATGTGTGACATATTTTCCCAAGGCATTAAAAAGTGATTGAGTAAGCTCAGTACACTAAAATGCAGCCCCTAGGGCCTAAGAGTGAGGAAGACAGATCCCAAGGGTCATAATTTGCTCCCCAAATCTATTTTGTGTCTTTGGAGAATTTCTTTAATATTCCAACAGCTGTAAGTCTATAAAGCCCTCAAGACAATCTCCTGGGATAGTTAGTGCCTGCTTATTTAACTAGGGCTAGCTGGAATTCATGGTCAAATTGCCATCATCCACATCCTTCCTGCAGTTTATAGTTCTAAATTCCCATCCCATGTGACTGCAGTAGTGCAGCCTCCTCCTTGCATGATACTAGTAGACTAGAACCAGGAAGTCAAAGGGAATGTCACCTTTTCCTTTTGTGTGAGTGTGCTAGAGGGGCAATGTCAGCTCATGCTAAGGTTGAAAATTCTTCCTTTGAAAGATGGCCTGTCAAATGTGCCTTAGGAATCACTTATTATTTTTTTTTTTTCTTGAAACAGTCTTGCTCTGTGGCCCAGACCAGAGTGCATTGGTACCATCTTGGCTCACTGCAACCTCTGCCTCCCATGTTCAAGCAATTCTCTTGCCTCAGCCTCCCAAGTAGCTGGGATTACAGGCATGCATCACCACACCTGGCAATTTTTGTATACTTGTATTTTTAGTAGAGATGACGTTTCACCATCTTGGCCAGGCTAGTCTTGAGCTCCTGGCCTCAAGTGATCCTCCACCCTCGGCCTCCCAAAGTACTGGGATTACAGACGTGAGCCACCACACCTGGACAAGAATCACTCTTAAATAAGATATAAAATTGCAGAACATATTTGTCCCTGGCATTCACCATTTAACAAAAATGTTATTAAATATTCTTATAGATTTTTTAAAAAGCTTCCTTCTGGATTTTTTTAAAAATAAGAATGAAGTCACAATTAATTGGAACCTAGAGACATACACTTACAGGTTTGTTAGGACACTCCTGGGTGGGTTTCATGAGGAAGCAGAAGGAGGACTGGGGAATTGTGAAGCCTGCTTGATCGTAAGGTCTCTGAAGGCAGGGAGCGATCAAACCCTTCCACTCTCAGTACCTCCAGCACTTGGTACAGTGGTGGGCTTTTACATATAATATTCAGTTCAATAAATGTTTGTTGATTAAATAACTTCAATAAAACATATCTTATTTCTTTTTGGTCCTAGTTTGAGATGCGATTTGATATAAATAAATGTATATTATAAAATATTATACTTTATATTTTAACATACAGTATATTTACATTATAGAAAATAAATTTATTATAAAAATGTGAATAAATTATTTTTTATATTTAATTATATAATTTAATATAAATGGAAAACAAAATCTACACTGTGTGTTACTATGTGCCAAGCATTCTACTGGGTTCTTTCACATATGTTTCATTTCATTTACTTTAGATTTCTGTGTATATTCCCTCTTAGATCCTGAAGATACATGATAAACCAAAAAATTAGTGATTATTTATAAAGCATCTATTCTTTAATTTATTCATTTTTCTTATTCATTTGGCAATTAAATACTTGGTGAACAGCTACTCTCTATAAGCCCCTTATTGAGACCTGGAGAGAGATAAAGAAAATAAGATAAAGCCCTTACCCACAAGAAGATTCTGGTCTACAGCGAAAAACAAAAATCTAAACAGATAATTATAGTGCAATGTGGTAAGCAATAAGGATATTTATAGGCATTATAGATCCCCGGAGCAAGGCCCCCTAAATGAGTCAGGAAGAGAAGAGAAGATGCCAGAACAGGTTGCTGGTGGAAGAGACAACTGAAATGAGTCATTCATAGGCAATGAAAACTAACCAAATAAAGGGAATGAGAGAGAGGTGAGTGTATGGAGTCAAGCTGATGTAACTACTAAAAACAGGCTGGGCGTGGTGGCTCACGCCTGTAATCCCAGCACTTTGGGAGGCCAAGGCAGGCGGATCACGAGGTCAAGAGATCGAGACCATCCTGGCCAACAGAGTGAAACTCCATCTCTACTAAAAAATACAAAAATTAGCTGGGCATGGTGGTGCACGCCTGTAGTCCCAGCTACTCGGGAGGCTGAGGCAGGAGAATCGCAGAGAATGCAGTGAGCTGAGATTGTGCCACTGCACTCCAGCCTGGCGACAGAGTGAGACACCATCTCAAAAAAAAAAAAAAAAAAAAAAAAAAAAAAACAAAGGCATGTACTCAAAAAATACATACAGGAAATTGCAGAAGTCTGGAACTTCTGAGGCACTGGGTATCAGTCAGGACCTGATTAAAAGTGAGGATGGGGAAGTAAAGCTAAGGACCAGGCCATGGGGGTGTCGGGGCTTTATCTTGTGAGTGGAGAACCATGGAAGGGATGGAAGCAGAGGCACAATGTGCCCAGTTTTGGTTTTTGATGGTTCACTGTGGTTGCAGTGTGGCTGGGAGGGCTCAGGCCCACCTAGGGTTTGGTGGGTGTGGAGGCGGTGATAAGAGTCAGTTAGGAGATGAGAAAGGCTATAACAGAACAGCTTTGGTAAGGCTGGAGAGGAGAGAGTTGAGTCGGAATATATTTGACATTAGGATATTAATCTAGGCTGTAAAGGCCCACGCAATGGCTTCTGAGAATCCATGAGTCCTCTGACACTGAAGCAATGAAGCATGTGTGTGTTTTTCAGTAGAAGGGACCATCACTTCAACAGACTTTCAAGATTTACAATTTATGAGCATATTCTGGAGCATGATTTTACCTTATATACAAAGCTCCTAATTCTAGTTTCAAAATAGGATCATCATTCTGACTAGCCACTGATATCTGCTAGTAGCTAGTGGTTAAGATTCAGGTAATTGCAGAAATTTAATTTTAATTTTGCCAAGGAAGATAATCCTGTTTAGTAACATAGCAGACAGCTGAATAACTGGGGGTCAGGTGTAGTGAACAGAATAGTTATCACCACTCTTTGGGTTTTTTTCTTCCATGTTTATAATGGGATATATCATCTTCCTCAGAGAAAAAAACATCTGGCCATGCATGGTGACTCACGCCTGTAATCCCAGTACTTTGGGAAGCCAAGGCAGGAGGATGGCTTGAGACCAGGAGTTCAAAACCATCCTGGGCAACATAGCAAGATCCCTGTCTCTATAAAAAAAAAATAGATTGAAAAATTAGCTGGGTATGGTGGCACACACCTGTAATCTCAGCTACTTGGGAGGCTGAGGCAGGAGGATCACCTGAGCCCAGGAGTTGGAGGTTGTGGTGAGCTACGATTGTACCACTATACTCCAGCCTGAGTGACAAAGAGATACCTTGTCTTGAAATAAAGGGAGAAAGAGTGAGAGAAAGAAAGGAAATAAAGAGAAGGAAGGAAGGAAGGAAGGAACAAAGAAAGAAGAAAGAAAGAAAGAGAGAGAGAGAGAGAGAGAAAGAGAGAGAGAGAGAGAAAGAAAGAAAGAAAGAAAGAAAGAAAGAAAGAAAGAAAGAAAGAAAGAAAGAAAGAAAGAAAGAAGAAGGAAGGAAGGAAAGGAGGGAGGGAGGAAGGAAGGAAGGATGGAAGGAAAGGAGGGAGGGAGGGAGGAAGGAAGGAAGGAAGGAAGGAGACATAAATAAATGAAGAAAAGAAAGAAAGGAAGGAAAGAAAGAGAGAGAAAGATCTGGTCATGGGTGCTGTTAACCTCATCTGCTTTGTCAGGACGTTACTTCATCTTTGTTCTCACTGTTTTTCATACAGATACACCATCTTCAGTGGGAAATGGTCATCTAATTGTGGTGTTGAGTTCTTTCAGTGAGTTCTAGTCAGCTGGCAGAGTTAGTTGTGGCCCAGTTTATCAGGTCTCCCTTTTATGATCTTCATCATGGTAGATCATGAGAGACAGACAAAAGCAGTGAGGTGTTTGGAAAGGAGCTTTGGGAAGAATATCAAGGCATAACTTTTCACTAATCTGGACAAGAATAATCTAAGGATTCTAATTTCTGCTCCAAGGAGAGCGCATATATTGTTCCTTCCATCTCTTTCCACGCTTTCCCTGAAAGTGTTCTTTACCCAGTTACACTAACGAATGTGTAACCTTGTGGTAATGCACCCAGATCAATACAGAAGCAGCCCCATAGAATTAGGTCACTCTAATGGAGATGGCCCACCCACTTGTGAAAAAACATGCTGCTAATTGAGTCAGAGCCACAGAGCAGTCTTCGGTTTCCATGTGGAGGGGAGAAGAGTCGCAGTGCAAACGGCGATCCCGTCCAACATGTTCATGAGCAAGGTGATACATTCACACCTCCCTTTTCTCTGTTTTTTTGTGAGAAATCTATGCACCGGAGGGAAGTGTACTTGCACAAAAATCCAGGATGGAAAATAAACTAAAGGGTTTTTTACTAACCATTCCACATGTAGTCTCTTGTAGACTCTTGTCCATCACAGGCAGGAATTTTATTTGTGTTTGTTATTGATGACCACTTTTGGCACTTTTGGCGAGACTTTTGGCAGAGGGTACGATGAGGAGAGAAACACTGGTTTGGTTTAGAAAGTAACTTTATGGTCATACCTTCTTTATACCTACTATCTGCATTATGTAGTCTTTCTCTAAATGTTTGTTCAGGTTATTCAGTACTTGGTTTTCCCATTGACATCATCTGCAAAAATAATGGGAAATAGCAAAGTTCAACCTGATATTTTTAAACAAGATTACAAGTGTCTTACAATTTCTGAGTGTCTTGCAAACTCATTTCTTACAAATCCTAAGTGGTAGAGACTTTGTGGGCAATTTTCATCTTCTTGGAGAATCCTCTTTAGTTTCCCACATCTGTAATGACTCTACTTCCTAGCTAGGAGTGTTGAAAATATATCTTTTAGAATAGTTGCTGTTATAAAGCAGAAAATTTTTGAACTGAGAATGGTGTGTGTGTATGTGTGTGTGTGTGTGAGAGAGAGAGAGAGAGAGAGAAAGAAAGAGAGAGAGAGTTGTGTGCATATATGGCATAAGTTCCTCTCTGCCAAACTGCCTAAAAGAGTAAAATAAATTATTAAGACTTTTAAACGTAAGTTGAAGGCTGAGATGCTGCCTGGAGGATACACACACACACACACACACACACATGCTCACACAATATCTGTGTATTTACAGATTCATGTACATATATGTGTGTATATACAATTCTCCATGGCACACACACTATCCCTTTCAACAGTTGTCCTATTGCTCTTCATCAAAGTACCTCACTGACTCCTCTCCAAAGCTGACTGAGGGGAAAATCTTTGATCCTCTTTTCCCGTGCTTAAGGGCCTCCTTAAGAGCAAATTAGGAACTCAGTTACATTACCTTCTCAGGAAGTGATAAACTAAATGTGACCCTAGTGACTTAAAAGAGTGTGCATTTCCAAGCATCATATTCACTCTCCTGCATGCATGTACAAGATGGAAAAACCAAATGCATATACTCAGTTTCCCCCAAAGTTTTAAAAAAGTTCCTTTGGGATTTGTGATTAGTGGGCTGAGCCATAGTTTACTTTTGCATGTTTCTACCTAAACAAGGACATGTTTAATCAACTAATAATATCAATTAAAATGTAGTATTGTAATAGAGACAGGGTTTATAGTCACCAGGCTTGGTTTGAATCCCACCTCTGCTGTTTGTTGTAGATGGGGAGGACTGTCTATCTCACTTCCAAGAGTGGCGCTGAGGGTGACGGGAGATGATGAAGAAATGACTATTGTTATGAGCTGAATTGTGTCTCCCTGTTCCCCCGCCACACATGCAAAATTCATGTGTTGCGGCCCTAACTCCAAGTACCTCAGAATGTAACTGTATGAGTATTTAGAGATAGGGCCTTTGAAGAGGTAATTAAGGTAATATGAGGGCATATAGGTAGACCCTAATTCAATATATCTAACATTATTTTATGAAGAGGCGATTAGGACACGTACACATGACAAGAGACCATGTGAAGGCATAAAAAAATGCAACCATCTACATGCTATGAAGAGAGGCCTCCAGAAGAAACCAACCCCGACAATGCCTTGTTCTTGGACTTCTAGCATCCAGAATTGTTAGGAAATGAATCTGTGTTGTTTAAGTCACGTAGTCTGTGGTACTTTATTATGGCAGTCCTGGCAAACTAATACTAAACTGTAAAACTAACTAAAACCTACTAAACTGTAAAACCAACTAAACTGTAAAACTCCATAAAAGTTGGAACATTAGCATCCTACCACTGACAACAAATTGTTGTTAAATGTTTTGTTTCTCTACAAATATGTATGTTTAAAATTCTAATTATAGGTAATTTATATCTTTTTATTTTGAAAAGCAACTCTAACTTAAAAGATTATTAGCTCTTACCTTATTTTTAAACTTCAAAATAATGACAATTGAATGTAGACTTTTTGGTGATTAACTCTAGCTTTTCATTTAATTTGTCTAAATTATTTTTGTGTGTCTTGTATGTTACAGACAATGGGAATTGTGACCTTATAAAAATGCCATATACATACTTAAAGTTGTGAATGACGTGAACTCTTGAGTTCTTATTTGTTTGTTTATTGTATTCAAATCTGTGTATTTGGAGCTCTTTGGATTTTAAATTTGATACACCAACACAATTTTACAATATGTCAATTTTAAAATTTTTCAAAGTACACAATACTGACAATATATAACAAAGAATGAGTCAAAAGGGCAAAATATATATATTATATATATAAATATTTTGCATTTTAAAATACACACACACACACGCAATTCGTCACTAGTGTTTGAGAACAACCAAATAAATATATGTAGATTTTGTCACAAAAAAGAAAGCATGTAAAGTGGTTTGGAAAGGCATAAGAGAGGGTCATCAACCTCCAGAATAAAAGGTAGCAGTGAGCAAAGGGGAGCAGGCAGAAGTCAGAATGGATAGGTCTTAGTCGGCTGCAGCTGCCATTGCGAAATACCACAGACTGGCTGGCTTGAGCAACAGATGTTTTCTCACAGCTCTGAAAGCTAGAAGTCCAAGACCAAGGTGCTGTCAGGGTTAGTTTCTGATGAGGCCTGTCTTCTAACTTCTTTTTTTTTTTTTAACTCTCTTTATTTATTTTTTTTTTCTTCTTTTTTTTTTATTATACTTTAAGTTTTAGGGTACATGTGCACATTGTGCAGGTTAGTTACATATGTATACATGTGCCATGCTGGTGTGCTGCACCCACTAACTCGTCATCTAGCATTGGGTATATCTCCCAATGCTATCCCTCCCCCCTACCCCCACCCCACAACAGTCCCCAGAGTGTGATATTCCCCTTCCTGTGTCCATGTGATCTCATTGTTCAATTCCCACCTATGAGTGAGAATATGCGGTGTTTGGTTTTTTGTTCTTGCCATAGTTTACTGAGAATGATGATTTCCAATTTCATCCATGTCCCTACAAAGGACATGAACTCATCATTTTTTATGGCTGCATAGTATTCCATGGTGTATATGTGCCACATTTTCTTAATCCAGTCTATCATTGGTGGACATTTGGGTTGGTTCCAAGTCTTTGCTATTGTGAATAATGCCGCAATAAACATACGTGTGCATGTGTCTTTATAGCAGCATGATTTATAGTCCTTTGGGTATATACCCAGTAATGGGATGGCTGGGTCAAATGGTATTTCTAGTTCTAGATCCCTGAGGAATCGCCACACTGACTTCCACAATGGTTGAACTAGTTTACAGTCCCACCAACAGTGTAAAAGTGTTCCTATTTCTCCACATCCTCTCCAGCACCTGTTGTTTCCTGACTTTTTAATGATTGCCATTCTAACTGGTGTGAGATGGTATCTCATTGTGGTTTTGATTTGCATTTCTCTGATGGCCAGTGATGATGAGCATTTTTTCATGTGTTTTTTGGCTGCATAAATGTCTTCTTTTGAGAAGTGTCTGTTCATGTCCTTCGCCCACTTTTTGATGGGGTTGTTTGTTTTTTTCTTGTAAATTTGTTTGAGTTCATTGTAGATTCTGGATATTAGCCCTTTGTCAGATGAGTAGGTTGCGAAAATTTTCTCCCATTTTGTAGGTTGCCTGTTCACTCTGATGGTAGTTTCTTTTGCTGTGCAGAAGCTCTTTAGTTGAATTAGATCCCATTTGTCAATTTTGGCTTTTGTTGCCATTGCTTTTGGTGTTTTAGACATGAAGTCCTTGCCCATGCCTATGTCCTGAATGGTAATGCCTAGGTTTTCTTCTAGGGTTTTTATGGTTTTAGGTCTAACGTTTAAGTCTTTAATCCATCTTGAATTGATTTTTGTATAAGGTGTAAGGAAGGGATCCAGTTTCAGCTTTCTACATATGGCTAGCCAGTTTTCCCAGCACCATTTATTAAATAGGGAATCCTTTCCCCATTGCTTGTTTTTCTCAGGTTTGTCAAAAATCAGGTAGTTGTACATATGCGGCGTTACTTCTGAGGGCTCTGTTCTGTTCCATTGGTCTATATCTCTGTTTTGGTACCAGTACCATGCTGTTTTGGTTACTGTAGCCTTGTAGTATAGTTTGAAGTCAGGTAGTGTGATGCCTCCAGCTTTGTTCTTTTGGCTTAGGATTGACTTGGTGATGCGGGCTCTTTTTTGGTTCCATATGAACTTTAAAGTAGTTTTTTCAAATTCTGTGAAGAAAGGCATTGGTAGCTTGACGGGGATGGCATTGAATCTGTAAATTACCTTGGGCAGTATGGCCATTTTCACGATATTGATTCTTCCTACCCATGAGCATGGAATGTTCTTCCATTTGTTTGTATCCTCTTTTATTTCCTTGAGCAGTGGTTTGTAGTTCTCCTTGAAGAGGTCCTTCACATCCCTTGTAAGTTGCATTCCTAGGTATTTTATTCTCTTTGAAGCAATTGTGAATGGGAGTTCACTCATGATTTGGCTCTCTGTTTGTCTGTGGGTGGTGTATAAGAATGCTTGTGATTTTTGTACATTGATTTTGTATCCTGAGACTTTGCTGAAGTTGCTTATCAGCTTAAGGAGATTTTGGGCTGACACAATGGGGTTTTCTAGATATACAATCATGTCGTCTGCAAACAGGGACAATTTGACTTCCTCTTTTCCTAATTGAATACCCTTTATTTCCTTCTCCTGCCTAATTGCCCTGGCCAGAACTTCCAACACTATGTTGAATAGGAGTGGTGAGAGAGGGCATCCCTGTCTTGTGCCAGTTTTCATCTAACTTCTTATTATGTCCTCACAAGGCCTTGCTTCTGTGTGTGTGCAGAGAGAGATCTCTGGTATCCCTTTTTATTCTTTTTTTGTTGTTGTTTTTTTGAGACGGAGTCTCACTCTGTCACCCAGGTTGGAGTGCAGTGGCGTGATCTCGGCTCACTGCAACCTCCGCCTCCTGGGTTCAAGCAATTCTCCTGCCTCAGCCTCCTGAGTAGCTGAGACTACAGGCACCCACCACCACGCCTGGCTAATTTTTGTATTTTTTAGTAGAGATGGGGTTTCTCCATACTGGCCAGGCTGTTCTCAAACTCCTGACCTCATGATCCACCCCCCTCAGCCTCCCAAGGTGCTGGGATTACAGGCCTGAGCCACCACACCCGGCTCCCTATTTATTCTTATAAGGAAGTCCTTTCAGATTAATGCCCTACCCTTATAACCTCATTTAACACTTGTTACCTCCTTAGAGGACCTTTCTCCAAATACAGTCACGTTGGGGGTTGGAACTTCAACATATGCATTTTTGAAGAACAGGATTCAGTCAATAAAATTCTGCCTTATAGGCTTCCAAAACTCATCTTTCTTGTACGCAAAAAATTTTCACCTCATTTCACCCACAAATTCTTACTCCAATCCAGCATTAATTCCAAGTCCAAAGTCTCACTAAAAGTCATCGACATGAGGTATGGGTGAAACTTTGGGTATTATTCCTCCTGAGACAAAATTCCTCTCCAGCTGTCCATCTGTGAAACCAGATAAGGTACATGCTTCCAAAATACGATGGTGGGACAGATATAAGATAGACATTCCCATTCCAAAAGGGAGAAATGGAAAAGAAATAAGGGCTCTGGGTCCCAAATAAAACCAAAACCTGGCCAGATAAATTCTGTTAGGCTTTAAGGCTCAGGAATAATCTTTGGGCAGATGTTCTGCCTTCTGTCCACTGAGGTGGCAGTGGCCATTCCCATGGCACAAGGTGGTAGCCGCACCCCCTCAGCTCTGTGCAGCACCCCCCTACCACCACCACATTGAGCAGCCTCACCCACTGAAATTGAGGAAGTAGGGAGGTGGCCTCACCTTCTGAAATCAAGGAGGAAACAGCCTTGCCCCCAGGGTCAGTACCCTCTGGGTGAGAGTTGCAGCCCTGATGATTTCGGAATCATCTTCAGAGTCAGTCTTCCATTTTCTTTAAGGATAAAGCATATTTGCAGCCAAGTAGCTCTATTGGAACATCAGAAAACTGAAGCCTTCCTTCTGTCTCTGTCTCCTTTTGTTCATATTTGACAGTGTTTTTGCTGATATAATCTCATTTCTCTTCCTGGCTTCTGCTGAAATAACTGATTAAAGTAAAAAATAATCTCTTTATGGAGTGATTGTCCAGCCCATCCTTGGTGTTCTCTCTAGAACATGCTTTCTCACTTTTTGCAATATGGATAGGCTGAGAATTTTCCAAATCTTCAAGTTCTGGTTCCTTTTTGCAAAATAGTTCCTTCAATTTCTCTCTCTTCTCTTGCATTTTACTATAGGCAATAAAAAGAAACCAGGCCACACCTTGGAAGCTGCTCAGAAATCCACTCAGGTAAATATTCAGTTTCATCACTCACAAGTTCAACCTTCCACAAAACACTAGATGACAATTCCGCCAAACTCTTTGCCAATTTATAACAAGGATTGTCTTTCCTCCAGTTTCCAATGACGCATTTCTAATTTCTGTCTGAGATCTAATCAGAATCACCTTTCATGTTCACATTTCTACCAACACTCTGTTCATGATGATGTATGTATTCTCTAAGATGATAGAAACTTTCCCTACAGCTCTCCTTTTTTTGTCTTCTGAGCCCTCACCAGAATTGCCTTTAATTTCCATATTTCTTTCTACCAACAGTCCCTTCAAGGAAATCTAGGCTTTTTCTACCATGCACCTCAAAACTCTTCCAACTCTACCTATTACCCAGTTCCAAAGCCATTCCCACATTTGTAAGTAATTGTTACAGCAGCAACATCTCATTTAACAGTACCAAAATCTGTATTAATTTGCTAGGGTTGCCATAACAAAATACCACAGACTGTGTGACTTAAACAACAAAAATTTGTGTTCTCCTGATATCTAGAGGCTGTAAGTCCAAGGTGCCACCAGAGTTGGATTCTGGAGAGACCTCTATTCCTGGCTTGCAGACAGTTGGCTTCTCACTGTGTCCTTACATGGCCTTTCCTCTGTGCATGTGTGAAAGAAGAGGGATCTTTGGTGTCTCTTCCTCTTCTTAGAAGGAAACCAGTCCTGTTGGATTAGGATCCATCCTTTCAGCTGATTTAACATTAATTCCCTCATTCCCTCCTTAAAGGCCCTATTTGCAATATAGTCAAAATAGACGTTGGCTTCAACATATTGATTTCATAGGGACACAATCCAGTCCTTATCAGGACCCAAAGGGTGTATTTAAAAGCTTTGCTTAGGTATACAGAGAGATAAAGGATGGGCCAGAAGTAGAACTGGAATCATAACCTCCTGAACCTAGAGAGAACTTCAAGAAGTCATCTCTTATCATTTGGCTTCAGAAAGTAAGTGGTCAGGAAACCTAGAGGAGATGATTGTCTATTCTCTTTTCAATATCCCTGAGTGTGGATGGCCTTTCTAAAGTACAGGACTTCCTCATGCTAATAAAAATCTTTCCTCTTCTCATCCCCCACAATCATCAAGAATGATTCACACATCATGCACACAACAGGAATTCACATCACTTAATTCTCACAGTAGAAAATAATACAGAACGAAAAGCCATGTTTCCTATCCTAAAGAAACCAAGGCAATCATTGAGGGAATAAGAATAGTCATATGGATTGATTCATCCAGAAACATCTGTCATCAAATCACCTCTTTTGTCTTAGTGGAAACTGCATCAGATTGGAAGTCAGGAGACCTGGGCTCTGGTCCCAGGTTGACCATCACTTAGTGATATAGACATGATGAATTCGACCCTTTTTGTATCTGCATTTCCTTGTATGTAAAATGGTGGTAGGTGACTGTTGAACTAAAAAAATCTCTAAATATCTTTCAATTCTTTAAGCATTTCTAATAATCCACAATTGTCTATTTAATATTTTTTTAAACCTCCCTGACACAGTCTTACAGGCTCTATTGCCCAATACTTCAATTACTTTTGTGTTTCATTTTACTATAAAGTGCAGGGACTAAAACTGGAAACTGCATTCTAATAAATCTTCAACTAATGCTGAATATAGCAAAAAACAATTATTCCTGGCCTTGGATATAATTCTTCTTTTATAACTTCTCAGTATCATGTCTCTCTTTTCCCACAATGGAAATCTGGCTGAGAATTTTGTTACCAAAAATAAGGTTGAATATGATACAACATAAAAGCGTGAAGAGACCAGTGGAGGACCCAATAATGTTTGCAATGAATCCAAAACTAGAAATATTCATTTTTACACAAAGCAGATTAATTGAATAATTGACAATATCCCTTTCCCTTGTTTTCTATGAAAGGGCAATGTTTTGTTTAGAAGGAATTAGATACTTTGCTGCATTTGAGAAAGAAATGAAACATTGTGTAAATTATGATGTATGACAGCGATCCTAATATTTTCTTCCATTGACTCTGAGTGTCAGACCCAGCTCAAGTAGGGAAGCCTGTCATTTAGAGTGTAACCTTTCAGAAGACTTGTACGTTCCTGCATTTCTGAGGTTAAATCTGTTTGTGTTGGTACGTGGACCTATGGTGCCTTGAAATTTGATTACAAAACTTTGCATACTAAATAATATTTTTTGAGGTACAGATTGTTTTTGTTTAATAATAGTAGTTCTCTATTAGAAAGATCTTCAGATGATGTAATTGCCATATATTGCACTGAAAGTTGAAGAGGATAAGGTTCAAGTCTTAAATTCTCAGACACCGGTTAAGGAGAGGCTAAGAATGTTACAGAAATGATAAGCTCGGTCTCTTGGAAAGAGATCTGCACTTTTTAATTTTCAGCACCTTTTGTTCATAAGACCCCCTTAATATGAGAATCGAAAAAGCTGCCTACATCCCAAAGACTGAGCATAGTTAATGAAAAGGAAATCTAAAATATTTGACAATGGTAATTAGCTGATACATAAATACTATTGATAACTCATTTCAAAGTGTAAATGTGCATTTATTCTCTTTGCATAGGATGAATGCGCAAGAGGACTGCGTGTAAAGAAAGGTAAGACCATTCAGAGGTAGATCACTCAAAGTATTGGTGAAATGTACATTAGTCTTAAGTACATTATTTCAGACACAAATTAGACAGTAGGAAAATAAAGTGTGACAAGAGAGGGCAAGAGACTCAAGAAGCCCACCTTGGAAAGCTTGACAGGAGAAGCCACCCATTTCTTATTTTTATCCTCTTGGAGTAGAATTCCTCACAGGGGCTTCACATTCCTTGGGCTCAGACATGATTAAACATCATATCTTTAAAAATGTTTTCCTATTCCAAGCTGAGGAATATATAAATAACCCCTTTCCAGCTACCACTCCTTGGCCCGGAATTCAAGCCGAGTGTCTTCTGGGCTTCAGTCTGCTTTGACGAGGCTCCATATAAGAACAACAGCAAAAGGCCACCATGCTGAGCAGCCTGGGAATCTGCATGCTGAATGCACAGGAACGCAGCAGTGAGCAGTAATGGAGGCCTTGTTTTTTTGTGCCTTGAAATGTTTTAAAAAGGAACAATGAAGTTGTAGCCACATGGTGAACTGAAGGAGGTTTGAACCAACTCAGATCGGGAACAAAGGTTCTAAAATCCCTCTCAATGGCTGGTGTTGATAAGGGACACAGGGCTTTCCTGAGCAAGCACATACAAAGACTTTTATGTCTGTTAAGAGTCAGGATGCATCAGAATTTACATCTAACATCATCATAAGTCACCCCAACTGTGATCTGTATGGAGAAGTTAATATGCCAGGGGCCTTGCTTGGGGAGAGAGGACTGGCACTTGCCTTACCTAGTCCAGTCCTGACCTGCCTCTCCAATCTTTTCTCCCTCTACTACCCTGCACACCAGCCAACATGATGACTCTTTTTACTCTAAAGCAGTCATCTACATTCCTACATCTATCCTTTTTCTCTCACAGTGAAGGCCCTACTACCTCTCCTTCCTTCCCTCCCTCCCTCACTTCCTTCCTTCCTTCTTTCCTTCCTTCCTTCCTGTTTTCTCTCCCTTCCTCCCTACAAGCTTCCTTCCTTTTTTTCTTTCATCTTTCTCTCTCTCCCCTCCAACTGCCTCTCTTCTCCCACCGTCTCATTTAAGTTTTGTTCTCCCTCAATCCAAGTTACAGTGTCATTTCATTCCAAAACAATTTCCCTGTAAATCATAGACCAATATTTTTAAAACTATGTTCCTCAAACTATCTGGTTCAGAATGAAATGCCAGTTTCTGAGCTCCCACCCTAGACCCACAGAGTAAGACTCTGTTGTTATAAGAGCCAAGGACCTGCATTTTAACAAGCTCCCCAGGTGATGCCAATGCTCACTAAAGTTTGAGAACCTCTCCCACAGCCTCATTGTGTATCCTTGTAGCAGATACTGTCAGTCAATATCCTGACGATCTCGTATAGCAGTGGTTTCTTCTCAGTGGTTCTCAAACAGTAGCGTGTATCAGAATGCTGTGCAGAGCTAATAGAAACTATTGAGGCCAGGCTTCATGAATAAGGTCTTTGTATTTTACCAAGTTTCCCCACAGGCTTCTGGTTCACACAAAAATTTGAGGCTAGCTGTCTCCCATTATTTGTTATTATTTTCTGACTATGGCCTGGGTCCTTCATTGAATTAGAAGTCCATGCAGGACAAAGACACAGCATATGATTACAATAGAGTTATTGGTGATGATGAAGATAGTGATGTGATACATTTGCTTCACTTTACATCCTTACATTCCTGGGATTTTCATTCTTCTTTGTGTCCTGCAATAAATCTGTTACCCAGTCTTCAACAGGGCCAGCTCTGTGGGCATGCACTCTGAGCAGTTGTATGGGGCCGCATGCTAAGAACAGCCATAAATTTGGTTTAAAACCCCGCTCTCATCTCAGTGAAATTGTTACTAATTTTTAAATAATAGACCCAGGTTTTCATTTTGCACTGGGCTTTGTAAATTAAACAGCCAGTCCTAGTCCCGTAGACTCATTTGTTTCAGATGCATTACTTTCTCTGTACCCTGTCTGCATCCACTCTGGCCCCAGGTGCTGTTATCTCATGCCCAGGCAGCTGCATCATTGTTTGCCCTTCCCCTAGTCACTTCTCACCCCAGAGCATGCTCAGCATGCCAGCTAGTGGCCCTGAAACAACTGATCAATTTTCATTGATATGAAAAGTAATAAGGGACATGGGTAGTGGAACTGTAAATCAAGGCAGACAATTGGCAATTTTTCCTAAAATTTTAAATTCACATAACCCACGAGCCAGCAATTTTATCTTAGAAACATCCTGTAGGAGCAAATTGCTTGCGATTATACAGATGTTCATTGCATTGTCTATTAAAGCAAAAGATTACAAGCAAACTAAATGTCCATAAATAGAAAACTAGCTAAATTTATACATATACAGATACATATATATCTATATATGCCTGTACATGCATAAAATACTTCAAGAAGTATATGCAGGAAACTGGGAGTAGCTGCTGTCTCTGAAGAAAGAAAACTGGGGCTGGGTGAATAATCACCTGTTATTTTATGTCTTTTTGCTTTGTTTGAATTTTTTTCTTAATTTGCCACATGTATTATTTTTCAGTCACAAAATTAAATTCAATTTTTAAAATGTAGTACGGCTTGATTGAAACTTCTCATGGTAGGCTGATAAATAGCCCCTCAAAGATATCAGGTGCAAACTCCTGGAACCCGTGAATGTTACCTTTCATGGAAATAGGATCTGGCAGATGTAATTAAGTGAAGAATCTTGGCTGGATGCAGTGGCTCACACCTGTAACTCCAAAACTTTGGGAGGCTGAGGCAGGAGGATAGCTTGAGCCCAAGAGTTTGAGACCAACCTGGGCAACATAATAAGAACTTGTCTCTATTTTTTTTTAAGTAAGTTAAGAATCTTGAAATGGGAAGATTATCCAGAATTGTCATAGCGGTTCTACTTATTATAGTACTGTCTTGGCACAATCTGTGTTGCCATAACAAAGTACCCAAGACTGGGTAATTTAGAAAGAAAAGAGGTTTATTTAGCTCATTATTCAAATGGCTGGGAAGTTCATGATTGAGGGGCCAGCACCTGGGCAGCTTCGGCAAGGGCCTTGTACTGTGTCATACCATGGTGGAAAAGCAGAAGGGGAAGTGGATGTGTGCAAGAGGCCACCTGGCTTTACAACAACCTGTTCTCATGGGAGCCAATCCATCCCTGTGAGAACTAACACAGTCTCTCAAGAAAGGCATTAATCTATCTTAATGACCTAATCACATCTTAAAGACACTACCTCTAAACACCGCCATACTGGGGACCAAGACTCAACATGAATTTTGGTGGGGACAAACCATATTCAAACCAGAGCAAATATCCCAAACTGGGAATTACCCAAATGTCCATCAATAATTGAATGGATAAATATATTACGGTGTAGTCACACAACGGAATGCTGTACACTAATGAAAACAAATAATCTACCATTAAACTGCACAGTTAATTATTTTTATTTTATATTTTTGGAACTGCTTAAATTTCATTTTTAAAATTTTGCCACATATATTACTTTTTCGATCACAAATTAAATTAAAAATTTTAAATGTATTAGAGCCTGATTGTTCTCAGAAACCTGAAAGAAGACAGATATGAAAGAATATATATTGTGTGATTCCATTTATATAAAAGGAAAAATAAAAGTCAAAATCTATATGTGTCTGGGCACGGTGGCTCACACCTGTAATCCCAGAACTTTTAGAGGCTGAGGCAGGTGGATCACCTGAGGTCAAGAGTTCGAGACCAGCCTGCACAACATGGTGAAACCCCATCTCTACTAAAAATGTAAAAATTAGCTGGGCGTGGTGGCGGGTGCCTATAATCCTAACTTCTCAGGAGGCTGAGGCAGGACAATCACTTGAACCCAGGAGGTAGCTGTTGCAGTGAGCCAAGATCACACCACTGTACTCCAGCCTGGGTGACAGAGCAAGACTCCATCTCAAAACAACAACAACAAAAAAACAAACAAACCCACTTGCTGTCGAAAGAATCTGAACAGACATTTCTCAAAAGAAGAGATACGAACAGCCAACAGATATATGAAAAAAGTGCTCAACACCTCTAATCACTAGGGAAATGCAAATTAAAACCAGAGTGAGATATCACCTTATACCTGTTAGAATGGGTAATATCAAAAAGACAAATAATAACAAGCATTGGCAAGGTGGGGATGAAAAGAAAACCCTTGTACACTGTTGGTGGGAATGTAAATCAGTGCAGCCATCTCAGAAAACAGCATGAATGCTCCTCAAAAAATTAAAAATAAAATTACCATATAATACAGCAATCTCACTGCCAAGTATATATCCAAAAGAATTGAAATCACTCTGTCAAGGAGATATCTGCACTCATTTCAGCATAATTCACAATAGCCAAGATACGGAACCAACCTAAGTGTCCATCAATAGATAGATGGAAAAAGAAAATGTGGTATAAATATACACGGAATACTATACAGCCTTTAAAAAGAAGGAAATTCTATCATTCGAGACAACATAGATGGAACTGGAGGACATTATGGTAAGTGAAATAAGCCAGGCACAGAAAGACAAATTTCTTTGAGACTATATGATCTCATTTATATGTGTAATCTTAGAAAGTCTATCTCATGGAAACACAGAGTAAAAGTGGTCACCAGGGGCTGATGGAGAGGGAGAGAGATGGGGAAAGGAAAGATGTTGATCAAAAGGTACAAAGTTTTGTACCTTTGGAGGAATACATTTTAGTAATCTGTTGCATGCACGGTAACCACAGCTGATAATAATGTATTGTATATTTCAAAATGGCTTAAAAAAAATAGATTCTTAATGTTCTTACCACAAAAAAAGTTAGTGAGATTATATGTTAATTAACTTGATTGACTCATTCTATAATATATACATAAATCAAAACATCCCATTGTATACCATAAATATACACAATTATTATTTGCCAATTAAAAATAAATTGTAGGGCCAGGAGCGGTGGCTCATGCCTGTAATCCCAGCACTTTGGGAGGCCGAGGTGGGTGGATCACGAGGTCAGGAGATCGAGACCATCCTGGCTAACATAGTGAAACCCCATCTCTACTAAAAATACAAAAAATTAGCCGGGTGTGGTGGCGGGCACCTGTAGTCCCAGCTACTCGGGAGGCTAAGACAGGAGAATGGCATGAACCTGGGAAGCAGAGCTTGCAGTGAGCCGAGATTGCGCCACTGCACTCCTGCCTGAGCAACAGAGCGAGACTCCATCTCAAAAAATAAATAAATAAATAAAATAAATAAATAAATTGTAAACATCTATATGCTGTCAGAAGACAGGAAAGGGTACCCTAGAGGGGGAATATGTCAGGGACGTGGGGATAATGACTTATCCCTTTATCTGAATACTTATTGCAGAGTTGTGTACACTCTGTGAAAATTCAAGCTGTACACTTATGCCATGTGCAGCATTCTGTACCATTGTGGGTCCGTAATTGGTGGGTTCTTGGTCTCACTAACTTTAAGAACCAAGCTGCGAACCCTCGCGGTGAGTGTTACAGCTCTTACAGTGGTGTGTCTGGAGTTTATTCCTTCTGATGTTCGGATGCGTTCAGTTTCTTCCTTCTGGTGGGTTCGTAGTCTCGCTGGCTCAAGAGTGAAGCTGCAGACCTTCGCAGTGACTGTTACAGCTCTTAAGGCGGCGAGTCTGGAGTTGTTCGTTCCTCCCGGTGGTCTCGTGGTCTCGCTGGCTTCAGGCGTGAAGCTGCAGACCTTTGCGGTGAGTGTTACAGCTCATAAAAGTAGTGTGGACCCAAAATGAGCAGTAGCAAAATTTATTGCAAAAAGCGAAAGATCAAGCTTCCACAGTGTGGAAGGGAACCCAAGCGGGTTGCCACTGCTGGCTCGGGCAGCCTGCTTTTATCCTCTTATCTGGCCCCCACCCACGTCCTGCTGATTGGTAGAGCCAAGTGGTCTGTTTTGACAGGGAGCTGATTGGTGCGTTTACAATCCCTGAGCTAGACACAAAGGTTCTCCACGTCCCCACTAGATTAACTAGGTACAGAGTGTCCACACAAAGGTTCTCCAAGGCCCCACCAGAGTAGCTAGATACAGTGTCGATTGGTGCATTCACAAACCCTGAGCTAGACACAGGGTGCTGATTGGTGTGTTTACAAACCTTGAGCTAGATACAGAGTGCCCATTGGTGTATTTACAATCCCTGAGCTAGACATAAAGGTTCTCCATGTCCCCACCAGACTCAGGAGCCCAGCTGGCTTCACCCAGTGGATCCCGTACGGCGGCTGCAGGTAAAGCTGCCTGCCAGTCCTGCGCCATGCGCCCGCACTCCTCAGCCCTTGGGTGGTCGATGGGACTGGGCACCGTGGAGCAGGGGGCGGCGCTCATCGGGGAGGCTCGGGACGCCCAGGAGCCCATGGAGGGGGTGGGAGGCTCAGGCATGGCGGGCTGCAGGTCCCGCGCCCTGCCCCGCGGGAAGGCAGCTAAGGCCCGGTGAGAAATCGAGAGCAGCGCCGGTGGGCTGGCACTGCTGAGGGACCCAGTACACCCTCCTCAGCCGCTGGCCCGGGTGCTAAGCCCCTCATTGCCCGGGGCTGGCAGGGCCGGCCGGCGGCTCCGAGTGCGGGGGCCCGCCAAGCCCACGCCCACCCGGAACTCCAGCTGGCCCGCAAGCGCCGCGCGCGGTCCGGGTTCCTGCTCGCGCCTCTCCCTCCACACCTCGCTGCAAGCTGAGGGAGCCAGCTCCGGCCTTGGCCAGCCCAGAAAGTGGCTCCCACAGTGCAGCGGTGAGCTGAAGGGCTCCTCGAGTGCCGCCAAAGTGGGAGCCCAGGCAGAGGAGGCGCCCAGAGCGAGCGAGGGCTGTGAGGACTGCCAGTACGCTGTCACCTCTCAATTGCATTAAAATTTTTTGAAAGATCCAAAGGTCTGATAAAAGACACGGACATATGTATGTAAGAATGTAATATATGTATGTGTGCCTACATACCACACACACAGAACACTGCTTTTATAGAGGGCCTAATAAACTTAGCAAAAATATTTTAAAGCTGAGCACTGAAATTCCTTGTGTCCTCCTTGCTGACTTGCCCTTTCTCATAATGTTATTTGAAGTCACACAAAATTTGGTATTTCGGTGTTTCAGCACATTTTTTTTTTCTCTCAGTGGAAGGAAAAAAAGAAAATGTCACATGAAGACTTATATACCTCAAAGGCAATTCTGCGAACAGTTCTTAATCATCCCCAGTTTTCATCTCTGAGCCAGTCTTCTTGACTGAGGGGACTTATTTTTAGATAGTTGTGCATTTGACAGTTGAGAATCCAGCCACTCCACCCTCCTCCCCTACCTCTCTGCCAGATCCTGCTCAGTTGGGAATTTACATTTTCCGCTGTCCCCCTAGGATTTTTAATGATGTTGGGAATTAGCTGATGTGGAAAGCACAACCATAGAATTGGACAAAAACTGATGTTTGCAATGGAACATTTAGAAACTAAAACAATGACCATTTAATTTAAAACTGAGGCTTCAGGAATGAGAAATGAGCTATGAAGTTTTCACCTCCAAGTCACTAGATCAAGTTACAATTCTAAGCCCTAAGAAATATTAGTCCCCAAATTAAGTATCGGTTTAGAAAAATCAAGCACCCGACTTTATACTATAAGTCAATGGCTCTCAAAGTGTGTTCCCCAGACCAGCAGCCGCAGCAGCAGCAGCAGCAACCCCCACGAACTTGTTAGAAATGCACATTCACAGGCCTACCCTGGACCTACTGGATCAGAAACTCTAGGTGTTGGCAAACGCTATTGGGGAACAATATGAAAATAATTAAGTGTATCAGAAACAGCACTGCAACCGGTGTTTCAACGTGCCCTTGAGGTGATTATGATGCATAGTAAAGTCTGAGAACCACTGCTCTAAATAAGTGTTCTTTCATAAAGAGTTAAAACGTAATCATTGTGCTGCATCATGCAGTTGCATTTTCCACATATTTAAATAAGTGTAATAGAATATTTGCTAGCATTTGCTTTTCCTGAATTTCCCAACAGGCCAGACACAGTTCAAGAATTATCTGGCAACACAAACACCTTTAAGCACAAAGGTAGGGATGTGAGTGGATATGGAGTGTGTCTGCATGCACGTGTACATGCTTGCATTGGGCAATGGAGCCACAGCAGCCTGCCTCTGTACATGCTGGTGTCCACTGTAACCTGCAATTATTTCATTTGCTTAGGTTTGAAAAGTAATTTTTCAAAACTCTGCCTACCACCTAAAGACTTGTGGGAACACCCAAAAATAGATCTGTAAGTCCATAAATATGGTCCCATTAAATTCAAGGCAGCAAGTGAAAGCTTAATTTTTTTTCAGAGGAAATTGTGAATGCTGGAAAAAGCTCCCAGATAGGATTTCGAAGATAATCAACATAACGCCTTTGAAGAAAACCGACTTGAGCTAAAGAGACAGAAGCACTGAATCTAATACCCCATGGAAAAAACTCCATCATTTAAGTTTAGATTTAAGCATTTACTGAGCATCCATATGTGTAAGGATCTGTGATAGTATTTTACGCAGTGTGAAGAGCAGTCTTCTGATGGGACGGTACATCCCGACCTCCTTGGAAATATAATTCCCTTGTAACAGGAGGGCTGTTATGGCAAATGACAGAAAATCACCATGAATTTGCTTAAGCAAAATTTTAAAAAGAAAAAGGGGAGGAAAGGAAGAAGAGAAAGGCATTGAGATTGTATTGGCTCATCAAACCAAACTTTGGAGAGATTAAGGCTGGAATATACATAACAAAAGTTTAGAACCAGCAACTCAAACAACATGCATCTACTTCTGTTATGGTTAGTATTACTCTATTTCTCTCTCTTGTTTAACTGCTTTATTGAGATATAATTTGCATGCCATACATCTGACCCACTTAAAGTGTACAATTTAATGACTTTAGTATAATCACAGAGTTTTGCACCTGTCATGATAATAAATTTTAGGATATTTTCATTACTCCATAAAGAAACCTTTCACCCCTTAGCCATCAACCCTCCCCAAAACCTTACCATCACTCCCACTTCTAGGTAACCTCTAGTTTATGTTCCATCTCAACAGGTTTGTGTTTTCTGAATATTTCATATAAATGAAATCATAAAATACATGATCTTTTATGACTGGCTTATTTCACCTAGCATAATGTTTTTAAAATGCATCCATGTTGTAGCATGTGTCAGTAATTCATTCCTTTTAATGACTGAATAATATTCATTGTTATGGATATGCCAATTTTTATCTATTCATCAGTTGACAGACATTTGGGTTACTTTCGCTTTTTGACTATTAGAAAAATTGCTGGCAGTACTTTCATAAAACAGTTTCTCTAGGTGGCAGGAATCTAGTCATCACCAGTCCTATGTTCACACCAAGTCCCTAATAACTTCCCAATCAGAAGTAAAATCTTCCCTACAGATTTCAGATTGAAAAAAGAAACAGGTGGGCCTGTAATCCCAGCACTGTAGGAGGCCAAGGTGGGCAGATCACCTGCGGTCAGGAGTTCAAGACCAGCCTGGCCAACATGGGGAAACCCCAGCTCTACTAAAACTACAAAAAGTAGCTGGGTATGATGGCACATGCCTGAAATCCCAGCTGCTCCAAAGACTGAGGCAAGAGAATCGCTTGAACCTTGGAGGCAGAAGTTTCAGGGAGCCAAAATTGTGTCCCTGCACTCCAGCCTGAGCAACAGAGTGAGGCTCTGTCTCAAAAAAAAGAAAAGAAAAAGAAACAGGGAGGAAGTATGTCTAGGCTGACTCAGTGCAACTCTCGACCAACTTAACTAAGGGGCCAGAGAGAAGGAAGCACCTAACAAGACAGCCACTCCTATTCAGATCACTTGTTTAGAGCGGATGATTGTTGTTTCCTGAAAGGAGTAAGGGGTAGCATAGACATGGTTACTATGGAAACTTTTAGTTGGGCAGCTTCTTCCATTTTTGTCTAGCTCTTTTCTGCATATTCCCTGTACCTCAGGCATATGAAGTCGACAAACTTGACATCTTGAGATGTGAAACCATAAAGCTACCAGCTCTACAGTCCTTCAGAAAGACCCTAGAGAGTTCTCAAGAACAAAGTACATGAGGTGGGTCCAGATTTAAAAGCAAAGAGAATACACAACGTAAAAGGAATTCATCCAGTTAGTCAACTATCAGATATTTATTACTTATTTATGTACTATGAGTTAGATACCATTGTAGGTAACAAAGCAAATAAGATCCATGAAATGATTTGGGGGCTGAAGTGATCTTGCTAAGAATTTATTTTCTTTCTTGCTCTTTCTTCTGCTTCTCTTCTTAACTCATGGTGGCCTGTGAGTGTACAGGTTTGACACAGTGGGCCTCAGGGTTTTAAAGTTGTGAATTTTTTCCACTGTCAATTATCCAAGTTTGTTCTCTTCCATGGCATCAAAATGCAACAAGCTCTTCAAGACTAGGCTTTGGACCAGGAGAGAGAACAAAGAACTCTCAAACCTGGAACAAATCCATGCTGGAAAACCATGCAAAGGTTACCAGTCACTAGGGTTTTTGTTTTGTTTTGTTTTTATCAAAGGTAAGAATTGAATTTAGGAGGAATTTCAAGAAGTTAAAGACCTTAGAATATGTGGTTCTGACTCCACACTGTTGCATTTCCCTTGGGACTCTGTCACCACCCCCATTATTCCCCTGAGAAAGAGTCCTCTTTAAAAGCCTGGATAAGCTCAGACAAAACCTTTAATAAATGTGAGTTGGCAAATGCTATTTGGGAACAACATGAAAAAAAGTAAATGTATCAGAAATAGCATTGGCTCTGAAGCTCATCAAAACTGTTGTAGCACTTCCTATCTGTGGGAGGCTGGAAAAGTCATTTATATTCTTTTAAATTCTTTTTTCTCTTCTGGAAAATAAGGGTAATAATACTTATCTTGGGCCAGGCATGGCAGCTTCTGCCTATAATTCCAATGTTTTGAAAGTCCTAGGTGGAAGGATCACTTGAGGCCAGGAGTTTGAAAGCAGCCTAGACTTCATAGCAAGACACCATCTCTACAAAAAATACATATACATTTTTCATTTATATATAAATAATATATAATATATAATTGTATATTTTAAATATATTTTTATAATATATAAAATATATATATATATTTAAAATATGTATTTTAGTCCCAGCTACTCAGGAGGCTGAGGCAGGAGGATCACTTGAGCCCAGGAGTTTTCAAGGTTACAGTGAGCTATGATCATGCCACTGCACTCCAGCGTAGGTTATAGAGCAAGACTCTATCTCTTAAAAATAAAAAAAATAAATAAATAAAATATAATACTTATCCCACAGGCTTATATTGAGGGTTAAATAAGATTTATTCACTTGACAAACGTATACTGAGTGCCTATTAAGTGTCAGACACTGTTTTAGATATAGCAATACATACATACACAAAAATCATACCTTTATGGAGCTTACATTCCAGTAAGGGAAGACAGACAATGAGCAATTAAATAGATAGAAAATTTGGGCTACATATATTTTACTTAATATTTGCTGCTATAACAAAATACCTGAGACTGGGTAGTTTATAAAGAACAAAAATTTATTCCTCACGGTTCTGGAGGCTGAGAAGTCCAAGATCATAGCACCAACATCTGGTAAGGACTTCTTACAGTGTCCTCACATGGCAGAAGAGCAGAAGAGAGCAAACCCAACCCCACAAGCCCTTTAGATCGTGGCATTAATCCATTAATGAGGGCAGAGCCCTCATGACCTAAACACCTCTTACTAGGCCCCACCTCCCAACACAGTTGCATTGGAAATTAAGTTTCCAACACATAAATTTGGGGTGACATATTCAGATCATAGCAATGTGTGTAGCCATGTCTAAGAAGAAGAAAAATATATATATACATATAATAATTAAAATATATATATATAATTACTATCTGAAAGCCACCTGCAATTTGTAACTGTTGCTCAAGAATGTGCTTTTGGAGGAAGTTGACGCTTTTGTCTGTGAAGAGCATTTCAAGGGGGATTTCATTATCCAAAGGAAAAGGCCAAATCCCATTTCACAACTAAGACATTTTGGAGAATGAGGAGCTAGACTTCTATGCACAATAATTAAGACATTAAGACAGGTCTGGGACATTAAGACAGGTTGAGGGAAACTTGGCCTAAGTCTAGTGAGTACAGAGTTGAGGGAGTGGGGACAGCCCCTGACCAGGGTAGCAGACTGGGGCTCAGGAGGAAGCAACCAATCACTGATCCTTTGTGAAGGAGCTTGGTTTGTGTTTCCAGGAGTAGGAATGTCTGATATATAGTCTGAATTTTCCATCTTGGCATTGTAATTGTCTTCTGTTATTCTCAAGCTATTTGTAAAGTTTTATCATACATTAAAAATTGGTAGGTAGTAACCATGCTTTCTGAGAAAAGGAGAAGAGTATTTGTTCATACCAAGAGTGCCTCAGGGTGGGGAGAAGCCAGAGGGCATTACAGAAATCAAAAAGTGTGAAGAGAAATGCCTGAAAGAGAAGTCTAATGTGAGAGATGACAAAAGCCAGATCAGAGGACTGAGGGTGCATTTTCTAGCAAGCACAAGATTACTAAGAAAGGGGAAACTCAGGAAGATGAGAACCTGTGGAATGGAGCATCGGGTTACATTTGTTGAGCATTTAAAAGAAACCCCAAAGGCAAGAGAATTTGGGAACTTTATGAGCACATATGTAACACTCTGGACACATAGTAGACACTCAATACATGTTCATTACCTTCCCTTCTTCCTTCTTCTTTATTTACATGATAAAATCATAAGAAAAAAATCAAAGATGTGAGAAAATATTCACCCGTCAAGGTAACGTGGAGCTACCAGAGTTAATTTGGATACAAGGCAATGTCAATTCACAATGTTTATAGAAATTTTCAAGGATTCTTGCTTCCTAACTTTCATTTTGCTGCCCCATGCAAATCCTTTTTTTCTTTTTGATACGTAAGAGTCAGTGTCCAAACATCCTTTTCTTTGTCCCTGTTCAGGCTTCAAGTGAATTCTCACTGGTCAATCACTTCAACATCTCAGCTCAGTTCCGGTTCCTGGTTGTAAATGTCCTCCCTCCACATAATTAAGCATTATATTTGATGACTTGCCTGGTCTTATCTCTAAGACCAATCTTGCTTTTTAAATACAGGATAGCCTGACCATATGACCTGTATCCAAAGAATACTTCAGTAAACACAACCATACAGCTAATGTGCCAATAACACTATTATCGGGGTGGTGGTTCCGATAGAGTGTAGTGAAAATTATATTTTCTTTCCCGGTGCTTCCCTTGGCTCTTTATCCTTCATTTAAATGTTTCTCAGTGAAGCAGCACAAAATTTGGTTTCTCTCCTTTCCAGTATTTCTTTTTCTGCTCCCTTTGGTTGTGAGTTACCATTTACAGGTAAGACTGGAGATGGAGTTTGGCTATAGTTGCATAATTTCATCTGTTTAGCCTCATCACGAAGCATGCTGGAAAGATCTTAAACGTGGTGCACATTTTGCAGGCTAGTAAATACCTTGTGGTACTTTAATTTACTTTATAGCTTTTTTCCAAGCCTGGTGCTTGTCTGCAAGGGAAGAGTCAGCTCTTCCTCTAAGTGACGGAAATAAGCCATTCTCAAGTAGAAGGAATGCATATTTAAATTTATGATAGCTGAACTTGGCTGCAACAGCCACATTCTTGTTCTGCTTGGAGCTTGGCAGGCCACCTAATACTTGTGCTTGGTCTGTAGACGAAGGAACTCTTTATTTTTCTTTGTTGGGATCTTACAAAGCTCAAAAATATATTTTCATTTGAGACTTTGATAGACCATACAAAGATGATGTGAACAGTCAAGTTTTGCCCAGCCTGACAAACCAGTGAAAAGAATGTATTTACAGTTTGTTTATGTTTCACTGCCATAAGACCGTCAAACATTTTCTTTATACAGAGGCTGATTTACAGTCAAACTCTAACAGCAAATTATTTTATTCTAGACTATCTGTTCAATTGGTTCAGTATAGAAGTCTGGTTTTAACAGAAATAATGTTTTTAAAAGCATATAGGCCCACAGTATAAGTGGTCTAGTTTAAAATCCAGAGATATTGCATTTATTTGGCTCAAGTCCACATCCTAAATCCTGGGGCAGAGTAGTGAATTAAACCAATCTTTCCTTCCATCTACCTCCACATATTCAAACACACTCACAAGAATGTTATCACAACATATCAGGAGGAAATTTTATTATAAGAAACACATGAGTCATCAGTATTCTGCAACCTGTCAAGATAGACTGTTTTTTAGACTTTAACTCATTTAATAAGTAGTCATTTAAACATCTATTATGTACCAGATTCTGGAGATACATGTAGTAGCAAGCCAAAAGACAAATTTTGTATAATCCTGGAGCATTCTACAGGGAGGGCAGGGAGTGGGTGTGAAGCAGGAAGGCAATAATCAGATGACTATGTAATATAAAGTTAGCTAGCGGTTACAGCTTGGAAGAAAAGTTAGTTTCCACAAGAATCAAATGGGCACTTGTTTAAAATGCAGATACGTGAGTCCACCCACACTGAACTGGAGTATTCATTCTAACACCTCACACTGTAACCTGGAAAGTGTCTCCAATGCTACTTCCAGTTTGGTGGAAGTCTGGTTCATCTAGACAGCCCTGGCAAGGGAAAGTAAAGCACCGTCCATTGCAGCCTGCCCTCCACATGGTCATCTATGCTTAGTGGGTAATGATTAGTCCGAACTGATGATCAACCAGTAGACTTTCTACCAGCCCCAGGCAGCTGCAGCTCTGTCTGAGACAGCAAATGCCTCTGGAAGTTAACTATGCCCTGTGCCCACTCATAAGGTTGCTATAGGCAGGGGTCACTTTAAAGAGAAGAAAGCAGAAGATGTTAGAGAGAAGCATTTATTATAGGAGGTGGGGAGGTGGGAAAGGTCAGTTAGATTCTCCTCCTAATAACACATGACCCAGATGTCCCAGATATCAGATCTATCCCAATCAAATGACAAGGTTTCTTGAAAGGGAAAGTAAATAGCCTGATCCATTATGTGAGCCTCAAATGGTATATGAATGTGCGAGCAAGACAGAAAGAGAGAGAGAGTAAAAACTACAGAGCCTCTTTAAGAGGGAGCAGCTTGTATCCTTAGAAGGACCACTGAGGTCAACAACAGGAAGAGTGAGAAGCTTAAACTTTTTATTTTTTGAGACAGGGTCTTGCTTTGTTGCCCAGGCTCAAGTATAGTAGCACCATCATGGCTCACTGCAGACTTGACCTCCTAAGCTATCCTCCCACCTCAGCCCCCCAGGTAGCTGGGACTGCAGGCGTGCACTACCACGCCCAGCTAATTTTTGAATTTTTTATAGTGATTAGGTCTTGCTGTTGCCCAGGCTGGTCTCAAAATCCTGAGCTCAAGCAATCCTCCCACCTTGGCCTCCCAAAGTGCTAGGATTACAGGCATGAGCCACCACACTCACCAGTACCTTCATGCATGCTCTTATAACTTACATGTGAACAAATGAAAACGGTATCTGTAATTTCTTAGATAAGTCAATTCTGGAGGGAACTTTAAACAACATCCACCCCATATACAAGCAAGGAAAACAAGGACTAGAGGGGTGAATGATGTCTCCAAGGGTTCAAGACAAGTTGAAGCAAAAGCCCGTGGAGCATGTGGCCTCCTAGTACTAACTAGTCCATTTCAGATGTTAAAGGTAAATGTTATAGTTTACCCTATATAGCCCTTTTTAAAAAAATCTAAGTTTTTATCAGAAATAACTGAATTCAGATGAACTGTACTAACAGTTTATTAAATGGATACCTCAAAAGAGCCTTAACTAAGGTTAACTCAAATGTACCTAGTGAGTTGAGTGAGGATTCTCCTGACATAGGATGAAGATCTGGGTCAATTCACCTGTGTCCATCTGTCATTTGCTGAGAAAGACCTATGGGGGAAAAGGGTGAAGGGTTAACTTCGGAATGTCTAACCCTGCATTAGAACAGTTGGAAGGACCATGAAGCATGGGGGAGATGCACAGATTTCCCCTCTGAAAACAACTCCAATGCTACAGAGCCAGGGGAAGGAGGCAGCAGTATATCTGACGCTCTGAATTGGGTACAGCCATTCAGAAGTACAGAGACCTTCCTGAGGTAAGGTCACCTGGAGAGCCAGAGGCTCATTTATGGCAACTTTGATTAAAGGAAAAAAAATTTGCTGAGAGATTCTCAGTGTAGAAAGCAAATAAATATCTCAAGCAAGGGCACCATAGCTCCCCCTTGTAAATGCTGGGCTATGCCTATGAGCCCAGCTTTGCAACCTGGAGTTTCATTTGACCAGCCTAAGGTAGTACCAGCCAAGAAATTAGATCTGCCAGTGTCCCCTTAACAATAGTGATGAAGAAGTGGAGCCTACAGACAGGACTCAAAAGCAGAAATCCCAGCAAAGTGTGGAGCTAAGCCAATGAGGTGAAGAGGCAGCCCATTCAGATCTCAGCCCTGAAATCTCCTTCCCCCTATCTCCCCGCCAAAATCCTGACCACTCCTTTATGCCAAACTCAATCCAACTTGTTCCACGAAGATAAGCCTGTCTGGCTGCGATGGCTCACGCCTGTAAAACCAACACTTTGGGAGGCCGAGGCAGGAGGATTGCTTGAGGCCAGGAGTTCCAGACCAGCCTAGGCAACATGCTGAGATACCATCTCTGTCAGGCTGCTGCCAAAGGCTTTCCTTTCATTGTGTTCCTAAACTTTGCCTCTTTCCATCAGAATTCCCTACCTATGTGTTTTCACCAGTTTGTGAGCTGGACCTTATCTTATTCACATTTGTACGTTCCTCCAGAGCCCAGACATTTGCTTGCCTTTGTAAGAGTGCAAAAATTTATTTACTTTGTTGAATATAGAAGCACACTTAAAGGCTTAAAATGTTACGGCTAGGCATTCCAGCTAGCACCAACTGGGATTGCAGGAAGTATTGCTAAATGGTCCTGAACACTAAATTAGAAAATCCTCTTTTTTTTTTTTTTTACAAGTCTCTATTCAATTCTCACCTCCATCAAGACATTTCTTAGCACATTATTCTAGCATTTGTAGCCAACTTGGCCACTGCTCACTGTGCCCAGATTCTCTGCCTTCTGACATCTCTTCTACTTTTGTCCTTTACTGCTTTTCAACTCCCATATGTTTTTCTTATTATGTATCACAGAGATTAAGAACACAGACTTTGCTATCAAATAGATCTGAGTTCAACTCCTAAGCTAACAGTTACTAATCAAGCACCCTTTGACTTGCCTTCTCTCTAAGTTTTTATATCTGTAAAATGGGAAAATAATAACGCCTACTCCATAGGGTTATTGTGACCATTTAATGAGTCAAATGTAAAGTGCCTAGCATGAATCCTGGCACAATAATAAATGTTAGTTCTTATTTTTACTATTAATATATAATAAATAGCTCCCAGGTTATTAGATATTTTCTTAGGAAATGGACTTCTTTAAATATCTGATTTAAAACTCTTGCCATTCGGCCAGGCACGATGGCTCACGCCTGTAATCCCAACACTTTGGGAGTCCGAGGCAGGTGCCTCATCTGATGTTAGGAGGTCGAGACCAGCCTGACTAACATGGTGAAACCCTGTCTCTACTAAAAATACAAAAATTAGCCAGGAATGGTAGCACACACCTGTAATCCCAGCTACTTGGGAGGCTGAGGCAGGAGAATCACTTGAACCCAGGAGGTGGAGGTTGCAGTGAGCTGAGATCGTGCCATTGCACTCCAGCCTGGCAACAAGAGTGAAACTCCCTCTAAAAAAAAAAGAAAAAGAAAAAGAAGAAGAAAAAAACTCTTGCCATTCTCCTCTGAAAAACAATAGATATACACAAAATTTTGCAAATAATTGCAGGAAAACCATGGAAGCTGTGAATCCATCCTTTCACCTCAGTTTGGGATACCCTGGTATAGCGTGTACTTCAGTCTTCAATCACAGTATATGATTTTTGAGGGCTGAAATTATGTCTTCTGGGTTTTCTGCTCACTATAACACCTATAACAGTGCCGAGAGTTGGAAAACACTTAATAAATACTTGAACATTTGTTGATGCCAAATTTTAATTCTCCATTGAATGTTAGAATTAAGCTCTAAAAATGTGAAGTTATTCTCTTTATTAATAGAGGAAAAAATGAGTTTTGCTTTCCTATTCTTTGGAGGACTTGATGTTAGTATTGCTTTTGCCCAGAACATGAGTTATCAATTCCAAATGGGACTCTCAGTTTCCAAAGTTCTGCGGCCAGTTCCAAGGAAGGACATTCAAGCCCCTAAGCCAAGTCACACTATCTGGGAAGAAAGGGCGTTGTTAGCCAGTGTCTGAACCAGAAGTTTTTCACATCTCTGCGGACAACCAGATGTCATGGTGCACTATTGCAATTGCTTGCATGAGGCCATTTGCAGCATGTCAATTTGTACCAAGTCTAACTTTTTCAACATAGGCTAGAAATTGAGCCAAAAATTCAATAGGAACTCTGTCAATAATTAACTCATGTTATTGAACCCTTTTGTTAATGTAGACACACTATAAATATATATTTATTCAAAAGAATTGATAAAAGGTGCATTTGTCCAAATGTAAATACAGTCGTATGACACGACCTGCAGTTTATGTCCTTCCCTCCCTCTTTCCTTTCCTTTCAGGATTTTTGATATTTTTCCTTCTCCTTTGCTTACCTATGAGTAATAGTTGTAGCATGTTTTGGGGCAAAATAGATGCTGACCAGAAATAGCGTATCTTTTCTTGTCCTATTATTGGAATTAGTTTCTACCTTTCTTGAAGTAATCTGTTAACTAATTGTGCACTCTAACACTTGATCATAATGTGAACTGAAAATGCAATAACAATAGCTAAAGAAGATAAAAGAAAATTTAAAGTCTTTTTTTATAGATCCGGTCAGCATGAAAGCTCAGACCTCAACATTTTTATTCCTTTTTCTTTTCCTAACATATGTGTGGCAGAGACTAAGCAGGTTCTTTTCCTTGAGCCTTTGTGTTCTTCAGACTAACTGACTCTGGCACCCTGCTCAGAAGAATGCAGAGCAGGCCCGTGGGCAAGTGTTGACTTGTTTAAAACACTGTTGAGAGCATTAGGAAGGTTTAAGTAAGGAATTGGGAGCAGATTTTGCTAATTCTGACATTCTGCGCTGCACTATCTGCTAGCCTGGGGGCACGGACTTCCTCTATGGACCTTAACACACAGAAATGAATATAAGGCAATCCTCTATCCCCCACAGGGGCACGCACACACACTTCACACTTCACACTTCACTACCTAAAATAATGTACAACAGTGTATATGAAAGCATACTTAAAAGCAAAAAAACAGGCCAGGTGCAGTGGCTCACGCCTGCAATCCCAGCACTTTGGGAGGCCGAGGCGGGTGCATCACTTGAGGTTAGGAGTTCGAGACCAGCCTGGCCAACATGGTGAAACCTGGTCTCTACCAAAAATACAAAAATCAGCTGGGCGTGGCGGTGCACATTTGTAATCCCAGCTATTCAGGAGACTGAGGCAGGAGAATCGCTCAAACCCTCGAGGCAGAGGTTGCAGAGAGCCCAGATCATACCACTGCACTCCAGCCTGGTGACAGAGTGAGACCCTGTCTCAAAAAAAAAAAAGAAAAGAAAAGAGAAAACAAAAATCAAATCGTAAGACCCTGTGCTTGGTTCCTCTACTCCCACCAACAAGCTAATTCTCTCTATCCTAGTTCTTTGGGACTCTTGTCTGTGAGTGGAACTTGGAGGAGCCCCTCAGATGACAGCTTCCTAAGTGACTTGCAGAAGTGTTCAGAAAAAGCTTAGTTGCCCCGAGCCTTTTCTTCTCATGCCCGCTGTGCATACTCTTTCTATTTGAATGCCAGCAAGGAAACCAGTGCCTCCTCCAGTGCGTTCCTTTCTTCCAGACTTTGAGTGACCTCGAAGACCCACTCTAGTCACTAATGAGTTAAACTTTCTGCCTTCTTAGCCTACCCCACCCTTTAATAATCTTGCTAATGTATAACTTATCTTTGAAGATAGAGATAAGAAGACCCAATCACTCACAACTTGTGTTTAGAACAAAGTTTTGGCTTAATAACTAGAACCAGGAGCAAGTTAGAGGAAATAAGGAATCTGGCTTAGGCCAAAGTCCAGAGCCCCACTTGAGGCCAAGGGAGTGGGCTTATGGGTGAATTCTAAGTATATGAGTAGAGAAAATCAGCCCTGCTTCTGACTCCCATTGAGAGAATTAGACTCTCCTCTTTGCATTCCCTGCATAGCTCTAACAAGCAGGCCAAAGCTTGGCCACAAGCCAATAAGACTTGGAGCAGCCAGCAATCAAGATACCATTTTTTCCTGGTTCACAATGTCTCCAAGTTTCTAGATATGAACTTCCCTTCTTCCAATCCATGAGAATTAAATTTGCAAAGTGACAAAAGCTTTACAGAGAGCAGGGTGGACAAAGCACCCTGGTAGAATCTGGTGCTTAGCTAGAACCTGAGCCGGTTCTATTCATCTTGGTCCTGGGTCTCCTTCCCATCATGTTGCCCATGCTGAGCACAGTTACGCTGTGCTGGCACCAGCCTGTGTAGGTTTAGATGCAGTTGCCAGAAGGTGCTGGATTCAGGTACCCAGGCCTCTGCTGCCTGTCTGGGGGCTTAAATGACCAAACCATGTGACTATAGGGAGTCACTCTCCTTCCTGCCCATGTCACAGCCCCTACAATTTAGTAGGAGCTAGACTCACACAAGGAATTTATTTTTACTTTGGAAAATGGAATAGTGTTATTTTGGCTAATTATCAACATGCAAAAGCCTCATCATGAAAACAAATATACAGTGTGAATGGAACCTACGGGGTTCGCAGTCATCATATTTTATATATCCAAAAGGGTGTTGTCTCCTTTGACATAGTTTCTTCAACTAGTCAGAAGTTTAAATACTTTAAATAAGAGTTCACGACATTTTCATTTTTTAATATCCTCAATGGTGGTAGCTCTGTACTCTTGCAGGGTGGATTTGGGTTTTGAAGGCAACCAAAAGTCATTTAGACTTCAGTCTGAAGACTACCATTGGTTGTCCAGCTGGTTACAGGCAGCAACTAAAATGGTCCCTGGAAATCCCTGCCTCCTTGTATTCATGCCCTTGGGCAATCTCTTCCCCTTGAGTGAATGCATTTTTAAGAAACAGTATATAGCAAAAATGATAGTGTGCCACTTCCAAGATAAGGTTACAAAAAGTGTGGGACTTCCATCTTGCTCACACTCTTCCTATTCCTTTCTCCCTTGTTTGATTTCTGAGGGAAGCCCCTGCAATGGTGTGAGCTGCCCTATGAGAGGCAAGAAACTGGTGTCTCCAGTCCGCAGCTACAGAGAGCCAGAGGTCGGTTAGGAGCTGCCTGAGTGAGCTTGGAGCAGATCTTCCCCCATGCAAGCCTCCACAAATCTGTGGCCCCAGCTGTCACTGTGCTTGCAGCCTCATGACAAACCCTAAGGCAAAGGACCCACATAAGCTTCACCCAGACCCCTGACCCACAGAAATGAAGAGATAGCAAATGTTTGTTTTCACGATGCTCTGTTTTAGGGGTAATTTGTAACACAGTAATAGATAACTAACACAGATTATGTTAGAATCAAATGAGGGTGTGGCCGCTGAGCAAGAAAAATGATTTTCTTTTGTACCTCAAAACTGATGACTCCAAATTAACTCTCATCCTGTCTTAACATGCATCTTACATCTGGGAGCCCCTATCTTCAGGACTATAAGTCTGACACCTCCCCTCTCCGCCTGACAGTGAGCTTAGGGCAGGGACCAATGGACCAATGGACCAAGGCTGGTCTGAGTAGAAGGCTACCTAGCAGGGTGCTTAAGGAATGCCTTTGAGTCTTCCATTCTTTTTCTTTTTATTTCAAATTACTACCCTGTCTTCCTGCTATGGCCAGGATGGGGAAACGTATTTAAACATAGCTTCAGGTACAAGAGCAGTTCTGTCAAAGTAATGAGGAGACCAGTTTAAGTGAGCAATGAACTGAGTTCTAGAGATGGTGGCAGCAGCACTCCCTGCCTCCCCACCCCTAGTATTTAAAATGCCCACCACCCAACCCACATTGTAAGCAAACCTTTATCATCTCCACTCCTTATAACCAAACTCTTCTTTGTCAGCCTTCTCCAGAACTAAATCAGAGAAAACAGGTTATTCGAACTGCTCGAGAGGAATTTCTTCACACACTTAGCCTTCTCTTCCTGCCTCTTAGGAAGCTGCTGTGAGGCACATTCCACTCCCTGATGATGAGAGAGAGAGGGAAAATGAAAAGCAAGATGGAGGCAAAATAGAAAGTCAGGGAGAAAAAGAAATAAAGAGAGGTGACCCCACCTGCCCTACCACTGGGCTACCATGCTGCTTGAGTAGTCACTTCTTTTTCTGACAATGGACTGGCAGGTGTGTTCCTGATTTGCTTGTTGTCTATTTGATATGACATGTCATATCAGTTAGTCCAGTGAGTTAAAATTGCTCAGAAATGTGGTCACAATATATCTCCATTTCCACTTTTGTCCACAAGCTTCTCGACAAAACTGGTTGGCCAACTTTTAAGTGTCTCTGCTCTTCCCTGAGTGGGAAAAGTAAAGACTTCTTTAAAATCTGGAATCATTGCTTTATGAACTCAAAAAAAGAGAGGGAGAAGGGGTGGGGACTGTAATTTCCATGGTAAGCCTTCTGGCCAGGAGGCCAAGTCTAACTTCTTATCTTAAGTGTTGAGTTTATACAGCTGATCTTCTAACAAGACTATTATATGTTGCTTCTGGGCTCAAAATTGTATGGGAATAACTTGTGGAGTCTTTTGTTTATTTGTTTGTTTGTTGTGTTTTGTTTTGTTTTCAGATGGAGTCTCGCTCACCCAGGCTGGGGTGCAGTGGCACGATCTCAGCTCACTGCAACCTCTGTCTCCTGGGTTCAAGCATTTCTCCTGTCTCAGCCTCCTGAGTAGCTGGAATTACAAGCGCATGCCACCACACCCAGCTAATTTTTGGGTTTTTAGTAGAGACAGGGTTTTGTCATGTTGGCCAGGCTGGTCTCAAACTTCTGATCTCAGATGATCTGCCCCCCTTGGCCTCCCAAAGTTCTGGCATTACAGGTGTGAGCCACCGCACCCGGCCAATAACTTGGGTTTGGTGCCCTTGTTTGTAGTAGTTGAAGAATTATAGAAAAATGCATAAAAATCTTTCCACGTGAAATTTTTTGCCTAATTTTAAGGCTGTTTCCTCAACTTGCTGTCCAACAGTCTCTTTCTTTTGATGCCACCAACATACCTCTTATCCAGAACACTCCTTTTGCCTGCTGGCAATCAGGAAACAGAAAGCCTTTGCTAAGCTGTCACATGGCAGAAAGGACAGCTTGAAGAATCAGTGAGCTGTTCTCCTTGGACTATGGGAAGCAGTTCTCTAGAAATCAAAAAATCCAAAGACAGCCCTGAGGCAGGGGAGTTTTCTTTCTAGCCCCGGGGAACGTATCCTTTCCAATGGAACTAAGAAGGTGATGTGTGCCCTTTCTCTCCCTACTGCACTGACTAAATTCTAAATGGAGCAGGAACTTCTGTGATCTCATCCTTCTCTTTCTTCATCATTCTTCCGAGTTGGCAATTCTTTGCCAAGAACAGGAAATTGCATACTTAAGATTTGCTTTGGATTAGAGAGTTCGTGAAGAAGAGGTAGATTTGGGGTATTAGTATGAGTGTATGTATGTATTAGAGACACTTTCAGGTCTCCTCGTGGGAGGCGCAACCAGAAAGCAACAGTAATAGCATTTTAAACTTTAGTGTCAGGCCTGCAGAGAGACGGTGCCAAACACCCTTCCAACCCCATCACCTTCCTGCTCCTCACACCTTCAGCAGCACTTCCCGTCTGGTTTTCTGCTTGCAGCACGGGCTGGATGATACTTGTACATGCCCCTGCCATGGGTACCCAGAAAGCACGTGCAAGTGAAGGTTCTAAGCTGTAATTTTCCATCAGGAGGAAAGCATAATATTAGTGAGTAAGGAAGATGTTATTAGAAGGCTGACACTGGATCCGCTATCACTTATATTTTTAAAAATAAAATAAATAAACCATTCACATGTCAGTATTTGCAAACACTACTGATAGCCAACTGCCTGCTCCCCATTCCACCAGTTGATGCAATGCAGTGTCATGGTATGCATGGAGGCTCTGGGTCTCAACCCCTTACTGTGCAACTCGTTGAAGCTGCTTAACCCTGAGCCCTGGTTTCTTTTGAAAACTTAGGATGATAATAATTCATAGTTCATGAGGTTGATGGGATTGTAAAGTATACTAACTACATCTAAAGCTTTTGGAGTAATGTTAACTTTAGGAAAGCAATAGTATGTATAGTTCAATTAGGGAAAAATGTACCAAAGTGTTCTATGCGTGTTATGACAGTAGAATGCTGCCCACCCCACCTATGTATCTCTTAGACAATCTTGGTAACCTGAGATTAAGAACATTTGCCTAGCACAGGGTGTGACAAAGTATTGTGTTGGGGGGCAAATGCAGCCGACTTGCTTTTGTAAATGAAATTTACAAAATTAACTAGTTTATGTATTGTCTATCACTGTTTTCAAGCTACAGCATCAAGGTTGAGTACTTCAGGCAAAAGACTGTATGAGCCACAAAACCTGAAATACATATTCTTAGCTCTTTGCAGGAAAAGTTTGCCAACCACTTACATAGCCTGCTGTGAGACACTAATTATATCCAGCATAGCCTGTATTGATACAGCTTTTTTGCAGGACCAACTACATAATTTGTGAAGCACACTGCAAAATAAAAATGTGAAGCCCCTTGTTCCAACCTTATTAGGAATTTCCAGACAACAACAGCGTATCATTAAACCAAGCATGGGACCTCCTGAATTAGACCTAGTCTGACTGACTACAGAGGTAACACACCATGAATCCAGCCATGCCTTTATGTTCTCCAGAATTTACCCCTAGTGTAAATTCCATTTTCATTTTCATCCCCAAAGTACTTTTGAGGCAAAAGCTAGAACGAAAAAAGAGAAGTATTACCAAAGTTATGCCATGAAATAATTCCAGGCGAATTGGGTTTGGAGTTATCTATTGAAGGCAGAATTGTTCATATGAAACACTCTTCCTTCATGTAGCACAATATTTTTTCTCTTGGTTCTTTGTATTAAATTATTTTCCTGGGTTTTTTCTAATTTCTTAAGTTATTTAACTAACTATTTTATCCATTCTATCAATACTGGTTAGCTGAGCCACAGAGAATCATCATATTTGGCATTTGGAGTCTGACAACTATTAATGCATTTTTCCTTGAGCAATAAAGAAGGCATTTGGTATTTTTAACCTTGTAAAACTAGAAAATGTGTCCTAAAGGTGAGAAGAGCAACCCTAAGCTTATCAGAGGCAAGGGTCCAAGATAAAGTATTACTCAAGTTTTCTTTTTCTCATTTTTTTCTATAAAATATCACCTGCCATTTGGTTCCTAATTTATAGTATTCCTTTTTTAAAATGGAAGTTTTATAGATCTTTGAAAAGTATGTACTTTTAACTCATTTGAACATTTCTGTCCCATCAATGTCAGGACTTAAAAAGGCTTGATAACCAAGAGCAGCTAGGAAATAATTCTGCTGCCTTTCTTCGCTGGTTATGCTGATAAATGAGGAACAAAGTGGACAATCTCCTACCTCTTTGTGTCATTTATGCTACAATAACACGTGGGTTAAGGCACAGGATAATTAAAAAGATAAAGTTGGGCAGACCCCCACAGATCAGCATCCTTTCCAGACCCAGACCCACGTTTTTTCTCTTTAATTAGCAGGATGACAAAGGCAATGGGAGCTAAGAGACGATTCCAGGAATTAGCCGGGCATGGTAGTGCCTGCATATAGTCCCAACTTCTTGGGAGGCTAAGATGAGAGGATTGCTGGAGCTAAGGAGTTTGGGGCTGCAGTGAAACTAGGATTGAGCTACTGCACTCCTGCCTGCGCAATAGAGTGAGATCGTGTCTCCAAAAAAAAAAAAAAAAAAAAAAAAAGAAGTGGATTTCTTCTCAGGCAACCCTTCCTAAACCCCTTTACCCATAAGCTTTTCCAAAGTCAAGAATAGGAACAAGGGATGTATAAGGCTAGGCACAATGGCTCATGCCTGTAATCCCAACAGTTTGGGAGGCCAAGACAGGAGGATAGCTTGAGCCCAGGAGTTCAAGACCAGGGCAACAAAGAGAGACCCCATCTACATAAAAAATAATAAAATGAAAGAGGGAGAGAGAAAAAAAATAGACATATATGTTAACTATAGGACGAGACCCTGTCTTTACTCTTCCTCTGTTTGCCCATCTCTGGGACCCATTCTCAGACCTGGCGTTCCTTGTTTTCTTCCTCTTGAAGTAAGGAGAGTTTGTGCAAATTTACTGGAAGTTAGTCATGCCTTTGTATTCCTACTTCCACAACTCAGCGTGGTCCTCCAGCTTCCACAAACAAATGGCCCACTCTCAGCCAAACAGACCACATACCTTCAGAAGAGAGTGACCCTAAGAGGCAGCAAGAGCTGGAGATGATGTCTGAGAGCCATGCACTTGAAAGCCGGCAGTGTCCTGGCCGTGGCTGGCTGAGCTGGTGTCCTCACCACAGTCTCCCTGCAACATGGTCTTGAGAGATCCTCTGCTCCTAGTCTCCTGCAGTCCAGCTCATCTTCACCCTTTTTTTTTCCTAGCCTTCCCACCCACTTTGTGAGATCTCTGGTTGTTGAGATCTCTGGTATCCTTCTAGTCATCAGCTTGTCCACTTTTGTTCACTGAAATTGGCTTCTGCAGTTTGTAACCAGGAGCCCTAACCGACACCACTGCTGTTTTTAAGAATCAGGGTTGTAAAAGAAAGAAAAAAGAAATCCCAATTGTTTAGAATGGGTCATACCCTCTGAGGGGGCTGAAGACATCTGTGCTGGCTTCCTATAAAAAGTACCTGTGGCCTGGCACAGTGGCTCATGCCTATAATCCCAGCACTTTGGGAGGCTGAGGTGGGTGGATCACCTGAGGTCAGGAGATCGAGATCAGCCTGGCCAATATGGTAAAACCTCTCCTCTACTAAAAATACAAAAATTAGCCGGGCGTGGTGGCACATGCTTGTAATCCCGGCTACACAGGAGGCTGAGGCAGGAGAATCGCTTGAACAAAGGAGGCAGAGGTTGTAGTGAGCCGAGATTGTGCCACTGCACTCCAGCCTGGGCGACAGAGCCAGACTCTGTCACAAAAAAAAGTACCTGTAACTCTGCCCAGTAGAGCATCTTGGGCTCAGTGCTCTGTGCAAATACGCTTGTCTCACACCTCTGCCCGGCCACCGCAGCCTCTCAGGACTCCCCCACGGGACTGAGCTGTCTTCAACTGGTGGTAAGAGAGAGGAAAGGCATTTTTAAAGTGGAAGGAACTTGACTGACCACACCCTCCTGAGCCTTTTTGCTCCCCTCCCGTCCCCTCAGTGGTCACTACCATACCCAAAATGTGTTTAGAATCAGAAGTAAAATGTTATCAGTAAAAAAAAAAAAAAAAAAAAAAATCTGTTTTGTTCATTTCTATCATCCCTTCTTCAGGGCAAAAACACATAGAAGTTACAAGTAAGGGTTGTTAAAAATAGAGACCTGGATTCAAATTCCAGCTCCACCATTCACTTGTTCCCTTAAACTCTTTGGGCCTCAATTTCTCCATCAATAAAATGAATATAAAAATGATGTCTGCCTCATAAGTGTTGTGAGAATCAAGAGTCCCATGTAAAGCATTCAGAGCTGTGACGGATACATTAAGTGCTCATTAAATGTTAATTACTGCTATTATTATTGTATTATTTCAATCTCGTCATAGTGCTTGCTGCATAGCATTTTTTCCAAGGTGGGGCGAGGTTATATGAGTGGGAAAATAATCAGCTGATTCTTTTTAAATGCAAAGGAAATGCATGTTTTTAACATCACAATAGGATTTCACTTCATCAGAAGCCCCAAGCAGAACATAACTAACTGTTTGAGGAAGTGGTGTGGGTAATTATAACTCAGTCTCATTGACAACATGAAGCGAGGCCTCCGTTTTAAAGGGCTCACTTGGCATTTCATATGGCTGCCTGCTGCCCCTCTGTTCCAAGTTCACTTTAATCTGCCATTTTGGACCCAAATAGAGATCACTGACACATTCAAATAGACACGCCTTTCTGTTTTAAACAGATTTTAGTGCATTTTGGTACAAGCAAAAAAGTTTCACAAATAATGTGATTTCTAGAACTTCAGGCTAGTGAACCAACATCTGCTGAGTAATCACATGACCTCAGGCCAGGGAACTCTGTAGGCCACTGCAAAAAGTAACTTAAAAATGAAATTTGGCCAGGCGCGGTGGCTCATGCCTGTAATCCCAGAACTTTAGAAGGCCAAGGCAGGTGGACCACCTGAGGTCAAGAGTTCGAGACCAGCCTGAACAACATGGTGAAACCCTGTCTCTACTAAAAATACAAAAATTAGCCAGGGTTCCCTAATCCCAGCTACTTTGGAGGCTGAGGCAGGAGAATTGCTTGAACCTGGGAGGCGGATGTTGCAGTGAGCCAAAATTGTGCCATTGCACTCCAGCCTGGGCAACAGGAGTGAAACTCCGTCTCAAAAAAAAAAAAAAAGTGAAATTTTTTTCACGCTTATAATCCCAGCACTTTGGGAGGCTGAGACATGAGGATCACTGGAGCCCAGGAATTCGAGACCAGCAAAATAGAAAATAAAAAAATTAGCCAGGTGTGATTGTGCATGCCTGTGGTCCCAGCTACTTGAGAGGCTGAGATGGGAGGATGACCTGAGCCTGGGAGGTCAAGGAGGCAGTGAGCTGTGGTCTTGCCACTGTACTCCAGCCTGGACAACAGAGTGAGACCCTTCTCAAAAAAAAAAACATCGAATTTTTTTCTAGAAAGAACATTAGACTGCCTGGCTCCTTTTTGCCATTGGAATAATGTCACATAATTAGTTCACCACTCTGGAGTGAAGGCTTCCTCTCTTGAGAATATGAACCTGCAGTCACAGCCCTGCTGTGGCCAGGGAAACATGTGGCCTTGTGTGTGCCACGGGGATTATACATGGGTTCCCTGGAAGATTTCCCCTGTGAACAAAAGCAGAGACCCACCAAGAGGACAAAGAAATTAGATTCATGACCCACAAAAGGGGAGACTGAGCCTGAGAAGTGTGTGTAAACAGTGATGCCATATAAATGGAAAGAAAGGTCAGGTGCCAGGAAGGCCAGAAAGAGTCCAGGGCAAGAAAGAGAAGGGGGTTACACTGCCAGGGTTTGGATCCTGGCTTCAATACTTACAAGCTGTGTGATTTCAAGCAAGTTAGTTGAATTATCTGTACTTCATTTTTCTCATCTGTGAAATGGAGATGAGTCTGTCTGCCACTTCTTCTAACCACCATGACCTCCAGAGAACAGTGGCTGCGGCTATTCTTCTGTCTCTAAAACCTCAACACCTTTTGGTGAACTCTCACCAGGAACATTTAGATGAGGATAATACAGTTCCTGCTAAACCAAACTGATAACCAATCGTTAGGGGCTGAATTGTGCTCCTCATCTTCCCAAATTCGTATGTTGAAGTCCTAACCCCCAGTACCTCAGAATGTGACTATATTTGAAGATCTGCAAAGAGCTAATTAAGGTTGGATGAGGTTCACAGGGTGGGCCCTAATCCAATATGATTGGTATCCTTAAATGAAGAGTTGATTAGGGCACAGATAGGCAGCTCTGTCTCACAGTGCTATTGTGTGGATTAAACTTGTTAATATACATAACAAGTTTGTCCAGCCCGCAGCCTGTGGGCCACATGTGGCCCATGATGGCTCTGAATGTGGCCCAACACAAATTTATAAACTTTCTTAAAACATTATGATATTTTTTGTGATTTTTTTTTTTTTTTTAGCTCCTCAGTTATCATTGGTGTCAGTGTATTTTGTATGTGGCCCAAGACAATTCTTTTTCTTCCAGGGTGGCCCAGGGAAGCCAAAAGATTGGACATCCCTGATATATAAAGTGCTCAGAACATTGCCTAGCACATAGTAACACTGTATGAGTGTTAGCTATGTTATCAACATTTGCGATGATTAACATATTGATGATGGGTCAACAGGTGCAGCTAACCACCATGACACACGTTTACCTATGCAACAAATCTGCATGTCCTGCATATGTATCCTGGAACTTTAAATTTAATTTAATTTAAAAAAATATTGAAATGCTTTGCAATGTACAAAGCAATATGTAAATGTAAGGCGTCGTGCTGGATTGATCAGTGTATGTGTTTGCTAAGGCTGCCCTAACAAAGTACCACAGACTGAGTGGCTTAAACAACAGAAGTGTATTTCCTCATAGTTCCGGAGACTGGAAATCTGAGATCAAGGTGTCAGTATGGCTGATATCTTCTAGGATATCTCTCTCCTTGGCTTGTAGATGACCGTCTTTCAATGTCTCTTCACATGGTCTTTCCTCTGTGCCTGTCTCTGCCCTAACCAACTCTTCATTTAAGGATACCAATCATATTGGATTAGGGCCCACCCTGTGAACCTCATCCAACCTTAATTAGCTCTTTGCAGATCCTGTCTTCAAATATAGTCACATTCTGAGGTACTGGGGGTTAGGACTTCAACATATGAATTTGGGAAGATGAGGAGCACAATTCAGCCCCTAACGATTGGTTATCAGTTTGGTTTAGCAGGAACTGTATTACCTTCATCTAAATGTTCCTGGTGAGAGTTCACCAAAAGGTGTTGAGATTTTAGAGGCAGAAGAACAGCTGCAGCCACTGTTCTTTGGAGGTCATGGTGGTTAGTAGAAGTGGCAGATAGACTCAAAGATGTCAGGCAGATCCAGATTCTCCTGGCTCTTCTTTGCTCCCCAGCCCTTCTTCCAGATTCCTGACCCCATTGACCAGCAGTGGCCCTAAGCCAATCACCAGACATTAGGCTGAGAACTCACAGACGTTTCCTATACCCCTCACCATAGCACTTCAGTGGCTGGATGTGCCTGGCTCTTAGGATTGACCAGCAGCAGCTGCCCTTCACCTCCCACAGCTGCACAAAATCTAGCCAGGAGGTACATCTCTTATCCTATAACACTCAGAGTGACTCTGCTCCCATCATTGGACCTGGATTCTAGCTAGCTAGAATAATATTTAATAATAATGTTATTATTATTTTTTTAGACATGCTATCACTGAACCAGAAAGGAGTCTCTGCTTCACTGATAAGCATATATTTGAAGTTCTAATTATCTCAAGCAGGAGCTCATTCCAAAGTCCTCTGAATTTGTCCTCATGCTGCCATCTCTCCTGGCTCCAATATGTCCCACAAGCGGCTGCCAGATAAAATTTCTTGAATCACATTTATGTCATCTAGCAATGGTCAAGGGAAGTCCCAAGATGACAGCTGAGTAGCAGGCCTAGAGGGCAACACATTCAGACTAGAGCAAAACAACAAAGAAATGGAGGGTTCCCAGACAGTGGTGTCCAGGAAAAACAAAATGGAACAAATGCACCGAAAGTATGGGAAACATTAGAGGGTGGTTTACCATGCCATTGGGTCACCGCGGAAAAAAAAATAGTAATGAGGCATAGAAAATTATGCAATTTTTAAAGTCATTACAGTTGTCTTCCTTATCCATGGGGGATATGTTCTAAGACCCTCAGTAGATGCCTGAAACCACAAATAGTACAGAACCTGATTGCCATCAATCATAATACATTTCTGTTCATGTCTCGCACCCACAAACTTAATTCCTTTTCCATCTTAACTAAGCACTTATGCACTGTGGCCATAACTTTTGATGTTTCATGTGTGACAGCAAAACTAGCATGAGTTTCTTTTTCCTTCTTCACAATTTGATAGATAAAAGATTTGTTCTTACCTTAGATCTTAGCAACCTCAGCATATGATACATTTACTCTCCTTATTAAAACTTTCACATTTTTACTTGAAGGAAGCACTTCCTAGCTTGCTTTTCTTTGGCATATCTGTATTGCCAGCATTACAACTCTTTTTTTTTTTTTTTTTTTTAGATGGAGTCTTGCTTTGTTGCCCAGGCTGGAGTGCAGTGGCACAATTTCAGCTCATTGCACCCTCTGTCTCCTAGGTTTAAGCAATTCTCGTGCCTCAGCCTCCCAAGTAGCTGGAATTACAGGTGCATGCCACCATTCCCAGCTAGTTTTTGTGTTTTTAGTAGAGACGGGGTTTCACCATGGTGGCCAGGCTGGTCTCGAACTCCTGACCTCAGGTGATCCACCTGCCTCGGCCTCCCAAAGCAGCATCACAACTCTTGCACTTATGGCCATAGTCAAGTAAAATCAGATTTACCTGGATGCAAGCACTGGATACCATGACAGTGAATCTGATAGCTGAGCCGGCTACTAAGTGACTAATGGGCAGGGAATGTAGAAAGCATGGAGACGTTGGGCAAAGGAATGATTCACATCCAGCGCAGAACGGAGGGACATGGTTTGAGATTTCATCACACTACTCAGAAGGGCATGCAATTTAAAACACATGAGTTGTTATGCAACCATAAAAGAGAACAAGATCATGTTCTCTGCAGGAACATGGATGAAGCTGGAGGCCATTATCTTAGTAAACGAACACAGGAACAGAAAACCAAATACCACATGTTCTCACTTATAAGTGGGAGCTAAATGATAAGAACACATGGACACATGGGAAGAACAACAGACGCTAGGGCTTACCAGAGGTGGGAGGCTGGGAAGAGGGAGAGAATCGAGAAAAATAATAAATGGGTACTAGGCTATTGGTGACAAAACAGTCTATACAACGAACCCTCCTAACACAAGTTTACCTATATAGCAAACCTGTATATGTACCCCTGAACTTAAAATAAAAGTTAAATTTTTAAAAATGGCCAGAGGACATGAACAGACACTTCTCAAAAGAAGACATACAAGTGGCCAACAAACATATAAAAAATGCTCAACATCACTCATTGTCAGAGAAATGCAAATCAAAACCACAATGAGACACCATCTCACAACAGTAAGAATGACTGTTATTAAAAACTCAAAAACAACAGATGCTGGCAAGGCTGTGGAGAAAAAGGAATGCTCTTACACTGTAAGTGGGAATGCAAACTAATTCAGTGACTGTGGAAAGCAGTTTGGAGATTTCTCAATGAACTTAGAACTACCATTCCACCGGGCAATCCCACCACTGGGTGTATACCTAAAGGAAAATACTTTCTTCTATCAAAAAGACACATTCACCCACATGTTCATTGCAGCACTATTTACAATAGTGAAGACATGGAATCAACCTAGGTGCCCATTAACAGTGGATTGGATGAAGAAAATATGGTACATATACATCATGAAGTACTACACATCCATAAAAAGAATGAAATATGTCCTTTGCAACAACATGGATAGAACTGGAGTCCATTATCCTAAGTGAACTAACACAGGAACAAAAAAACAAATACTGCATTTTCTCACTTATAAGTGGGAGATAAACATTGAATACACATGGGAACAATAGACAGTGGAGACCACTAAGATGGTGGAGGGAGAGAAGGGGATGTCAGCTGAAGAACCACCTGTTGGGTATTATGCTTACTGCCTGGGTAATGGGATCACTGGGACCTCAAGCCTCAGTGTCATATATATGCCCATACAAGAAATCTGCACATGTACCCTTTAATCAATAATAACAGTTGAAATTATTTTTTAAATAAATAAAATGGTTGAGTTGTTTATTTCTGTAACTTTTCATTTAATACTTTCAGACCACATTGGACTGTGGATAACAGAAAGCAAAATCCCAGAGAGCAATGCCAAGACCAGCTAGGTCGGGAAGACCCTAACCCAGTGGCGCTAGAGGAATTAAAGACACACATAGAAATATGGAGGTGTGAAGTGGGAAATCGGGGGTCTCACAGCCTTCACAGCTGAGTGCCCCAAACAGAGATTTACCCAAGTATTTATTAACAGCAAACCAGTCATTAGCATTGTTTCTATAGATATTAAATTAACTAAAAGTATCCCTTTTAGTAAACGAAGGAATGGGCCAAATTAAAGGAATAGGTTGGGCTAGTTAACTGCAGCAGGAACGCACCCTTAAGGCATAAATCGCTCATGCTATTGTCTGTGGCTTAAGAATGCCTTTAAGCAGTTTTCCTCCCTGGGCAGGCCAGGTGTTCCTTGCCCTCATTCCCGTAAACTCACAACCTTCCAGCTTGGGCATTAGGGCCATTATGGACATATTACAGTGCTGCAGAGATTTTATTTATGGCCAGTCTTGGGGCCAGTTTATGGCCAGATTTTGGGGGGCTTGCTCCCAACAGAGCAAAATTGTGGATAATAGGGAACTACTGCATTAATTCCAGGACATACAGAAAATCGTACAGGAAAAAATATCATCAAATTACACTACTACACTCAAAGGTGAAGACTACTTGGCATAAGAGCATACAATGTCATGACTACTTACAGAATATTAAGTTGTGAAAAAGCACTGGAGAAAATGGGGAAGAGGCTGACCTAGCAGGGCAGAGGTCACAGAAGTGTGTTTCAGGCTGTAACAGGCAGCCTATGTGGACCACACCTTAAAGAAGGCAGACTGCAAATGGGTAGCTGAGAAGTGCAGCAGTAACTCGCAGGGCGTGTGGGACAAGGAAGATTTTGGGGAGATGCAGGAGAGAGGAAAGCTGAAAGCAGAAAAGCAGATAACCAAAGAGTATTTGAGAGGGCTAAGAGGATGGACTTAAAGCCCAAATGGAAGATCAGGGTTTCGATAGGAACAGGGATGTGTGTTTCATTACACCAGGTGGGAAAAAGATCCAGGCACAAGCAGGCTTGTGTGTCTGGGTTGAGAGGAGAATGATTTCCTTTCCTCTCATCTCCACCTCCACTTCCTTAGATGTGAAGTCTCAATGCACTTTCTTAGAGCTGCCTCTTCTCCCTACTAATTGGGAAGGTCATAGAGGAGTAGAGAAAGCTTAGGTTGATGATGGGGAGATCGTAAACCAAGGCAGAGATGAACCAACTCATTGGAGTCACACGGCTAATTAGTGACAAAGCTAGGACTAGAATCAAACTGGCTCCTAGCCTAGTACTCTTTCACTACCAAATTACCGTGTAATATTTAACAGATGGGAGTGATTAAGGTTTAGAGCCATTACAAAGACTAACACAAGCCGAGTTACATTAAATAAGGAATCAAGCAGAAATACAGCTGAGATATTTAAACTTCACTTCACAGGAAGGGGTAATTTTACCCACTGTGAGACCATGATTAGATCAGGGTGGGTTGAACTGAACTGTAAACTTTTTCAAGGCACTGCCTTTGCTGTTCTCTAATCCAGAGGGACTGGGAGAAGCCCTCGCTGTACTAGGTGGCACTCAGGGGATAGGATAGAGATAAATGTCAGCCAATAGTATTTACCAGTAAATTTACCCAAATTAACTGTTTAAATTACACAGATCCTCTGGCAATCTTTGCCCTACTCAATTCAGAAGCATGCGTTAAATACGCCGAAATGTACAAAGTACCTAAAAATAACAGGTATTGTTCCACCTCCGTGCATGTGGGGTCCCTGGCATTTGTAACTTCAATGAGAAGAGGTTTTTCTTCAAAATATACTTTCCATAAACTTCTCTGTCATGCCATTCATGTGGCTCTTGTTTCATTTGCAGCAAAAGTCTTTCATTGCTGTGTATTTGAATTTCCAGCGTATCTTGGACCTTGGTGTTTATTTTGATTGACATTTAGTTATCTGTCATGCAAGTATTATTTTTCCCTCAACATCACCGAGTGTGATATATGTGTGATATATGTTTCATTACAAATGCTGGCATTGGTCAGGTAGGTTGGTTTTGCTGTTACATAACTTTGAGGGTGAGGGGCAATTTGTTAATGCCCACATTGACAAGTTACCATCAGATTATGCTAATTTGCAGTACCCTTTGCAATTAAAATCCTTCTGGCTGAATATTTAGCATTTATAATTAATGTAATTTTTAAACACTCAACCAATGTTCACCTTTTCCACTAAGGCTGAACTCCAGTGCCCTGCCCTATAGCCCAGGACAGAATTCCTGGGCCAGGGGAAATCTGGAAGAACTCCACGGGATTCCAGATTGCCCAGGCATCAGAGGGAAAATACTCATCCTATCGAGAGGTATTCTATTAGATTACTACTCTTACTAAATTCTCATTACCTTACCTCAGACTAGATCAATATAATTATATGTCCAGGTCTCACTCTCACCTCACAGAAAGGCTCTGGAGCATCTAGGGACAAATAATACAGCAGATACCAGACAGAGTACCATTCCCCACCCACTTCACCAGGATGGCGTGTAACATAACTTCCAGTGGGGAAGTGATAAGCTTATAAATGCAGAAGCCTTCTCTGGTCAACCTATACCAAGAAAATGCCATCCGTATCTTTCCTTGTTATTCTGTGTCTCAACATCCTATGCATTGTCTTCATTTCACTCATCATGATCGTTTGAATTTCTGTTTTACTTGTTTATTATCTATCTTCTCCACTACAATGTAGTATTCCTAAGAGCAGAAGCCATGACCATCTTGTTTCCTGTGGAATCCCCAAGTGCCAGGAACAATGCCTGCTGCAAAGTAGGTACTAGATAAATATTAATTGGTTGGATGGAAGGTTAGATGGATGAATAGAAGTAATATGCTCCCTTCTCCCACAGTGAGAGTAAGATGGGGCCCAGTGAGCCCCCTGTTTAAAAGGAATCCCAGTTCTGGATAACTAGGTGGGTCTCAGGTGAGTGTAGCAGAAAATATGACAATTGCTAACTCTTTTGATCCAACTGACACTTAAACTTGAAAGAAAGGTAACAAAACCAGATGGAGAGTTGAGGGGAAACCTGACACTACAGGGAAGAAAGAAAACTTTGTTATAGAAAACTACCATTGTCATGTCTTGGAAACCTAAGTGAAACACAAAGGTGAATTAGACAAGAGATTAGGAGATATTTAACAAATACATATTGATTGACTAGTTAGCTGACAAAACAAACAAACAAACAAAAGGTAGACATACAAATTAGATTCTAACCTGTTAGGGTGGAGTCTTCTGTACTCTTGAGGAGGATCTACCCTTGGCGTGAAGCAGGGGAGAGTCCTCTTTAGGGTCCACTCCTCTGCCGCCTACTCCCGACACACACAGTCCTGTCCATATCCAGCAGGTTCATATTGACTTCCTGCTAATCCCGCCACCCAAAGGCTGCTTTCTCCATCAGTCTGCCCACATTGTAATGTATTCCAAGAATTTGGCTTTTCTTTACCCTATCAAAAATATTTGCCCTGGATTTTCTCCATTCAAAATTCTGATGATAAATAGTTAACTGAAAACCCCTCAAGAGTGGTCATTTCCATCAGGGAAAAAAAAAATCATAATTTTTTTCAACTTAAAAATAATAATTTATTGACCTCATCTCGCCTCTTGACACAGCTCCATCTGCTTCCCATTTCTCTGCTCCTCTTTACAATAAAACTCATTAAACTGTGGTCTACACTTGCCATTTTCAACTTTTCCCCTCTTATTATCTCTTGAATCGACTCCAATAAGAGTTTTGTCTCAACCATTTCACCAAAACGTCTTTCATCAAAGCCACCAATAGCTTCCAAGTTGCTAAATCCAGCAGCTATTTTCAGTCCTCAATTTCCCTAACCTCTCAGTGGCATTTGACACAGTAGAGTTCCCTCATCCTTGAGATGCTTTCTTCTCTGGCCTTCCAGGACATGCCTTGTCCTAGCTTCCTTCTGGTTCACTGGTCACTCCTTCTCAGACTCCTTTGCTGATCTCATCAACCTGATCTCTCAACTCAGTCCTTGGTCCTTTTCTCTTCTTATCTGCTCTCACTTTCTCAGTGATCTCTTCTAACCTCAGGGCTTTAATGGCCATTTACAAGCTGAGGAAGTTACATTTCCAGCCTGGATTGCACTCCTGAACTCCAGATCCGTAGATCCCACTGCCTAACTGAATCTTCTGCTCAGATACCTAGATCTGCAGATTTTCCTCCCAAATCTGCTGTTTTCACAGTATTCCCCACATGAATAATGGTAATTTCACTCTTCCAGATGTTCAGACTCAAAAACCTCAATGTTGCCCTTGGTTGCTTTTTTTTTTTTTCCCTCTCATATCCCACAACCAAACACCAGTAAATTCTTTAGACTATGTTTTTCAAAATATATCCAAAATTTAGATCCACCTCTTTGGTTCCAACCTGTTCAAAGTCATCAATACCTCTCACCCCGATTAGAACAGAGATTTTCCAATGAGTCCTCCTGCCTCTGTCCTTGCCACCTACGGTCTATTCTCAACACAGCAGCTACGGGATCCTTGCAAGAGAAGGTCAGATGACATCACTCCCCTTTTCAGAACCTTCCTATGGTCTCATATCTCACCCAGAACAAAAGTCAGAGTCCTTACAATAGCCTGCCCAACCTATACAACCTGGAACCTGTTGTCTCTCTGCTCATCTCACACTGTTTTTCTCATCATCACTTTGCTAGCCATCTGGGCTTCTTGGTATTCCTCAATCACGCCAGGCATATTCCCACAGCCTTAGCACCTACTGTTCTGCTCTCTTGCTGCTCTTCTCCCAGACTGCCTTGAGGCTTCCTCCTGTATCTCCTTCAGGGCTTTACTCAAATTTCATCTTCTTAGCTGAGGCCCTCTCTGTCTACTCTATTTCAAATCACAATGTCTCCTCTCCTACCACCTCTCATTCTTCCCCTCTGCTCTATTTTTTTCCCCACAGAACTTATTACCATCTATTTTATAATTTTTCTTATATTGTCTGTCTTCCCACATTATAGCGTAGGCTCCATTAGGACAGAAGTTTCATCTTGTTTGTTCATTGTTTTATCCCCAGTGCCTAAAACAATGGTAAGCAATCAATACATCAATACATATTTGTTGAAGCAATGGAAAAGCCATTCTGCCCCAATGCGTTAATAATTTCTAGAATTCTAATGGGAACAGCCTAGACTCAATTCATTCCCCCAAACACAGTTGTGTAACCCAAAGGAGTAACACAAATGAAGGGATATCAGACCACATAGAATGAGCCCATAGCACCAAACAGCCTAGTAAAGAGATATGTTAGGGTGGCTGGGCTCTTGTGGTACCCCTCAAATTATACTGCATTGTTGACTGCTATGTGAGCATGTAAGCCACATGCTCAATATGAGTCACAAGAGTGGTATGGCTGCCAAAAAAAATAAATACAATTGTTGACTACATTAATGGTGATATGTTTCAATGGGTATCATACTTCCATTGTTTTCTGGTCTAGTCATACCACATTGGGAGTGCTGTGTTCAACTTTGGGAGTTATTTTTCAAGAGGAATATTGTTCAGGAAAATCAAAGAGAATATCCATGATATATGAAAATAAAACAATTGAGTGACCAAAGGTACTCGGGGATTACATTACACTTAAGGATGGTCTAAAAAGGTACACCATCCTGCCACCACTCTCCTCCTCTGTCCGTGGAAGACATTAATAATCAATCATTATTCTCTTCCTGTAGTGTTTGGCCAGCTCATAGCCCTCCAGGCAACCACTATGCACTCTATTGGATTGGACAACTAAGATGAAATTTATTAGTTATTCCAGCTTTAAGGCAGGTATAATTTTCTCATTAAAATATTTTGATGTGGCCAGGCACAGTAGCTCACACCTGTAATACCAGCACTTTGGGAAGCCGAGGTGGGCAGATCATTTGAGGCCAGGGGTTCAAGAGCAGCCTGGCCAATATGGCAAAACCCTGTCTCCACTAAAACTACAAAAATTTTCTGGGCGTGGTGGTGGGCACCCGTAATCTCAGCTACTCAGGAGGCTGAGGCAGGAAAATCACTTTAACCTGGGAGGCAGAGGTTGCAGTGAGCCGAGATGGCACCACTGCACTCCAGCCTGGGCAACAAAGCAAGACTCTGTCTCAAAACTAAATAAATAAATAAATACATAAATAAGAAATATTTGAATCCATATGCTATGGGAAAAAAAAACTAAACAAACTAGTCCCATCTGGTTCTAGAGCGTAAAACTAGAACCTCTGAGTAGTAAAAATTCAGGATCAAGAAGAATATTCTAATGGTAATAACTGTCCAAAGTGAGGTATTGAAAGGTAGGAAGTCTGGAAGACCACCTGCCAAGGAATAGTGGATGAAATCTCCTATCTTAGGTGGGAGATTGGACTGGATAACCTCTAAACTTCATCCAGCCCTAAAATTCTTCAGATCTTTTCCTACTTGGCTCTGCTAGGCAGGGCCAGGGTGTTTTCCTACTTGGATCTGCTAGGCAGGGGAGGTGGCTGGCAAAGAAAGTCTGCAAAGCAAAACCATTCACCTTTAAATTTCAGTTATCTCACTGAAGAAGATAACAGAAAAACAGAATAAAAGAGATGATGGATTCAGCACAAAGAGATAAAGTGATTATATCTAAGTTGAATAACAATAGAAACAAAAATCTTTTTGTTAGCTTTTGGATACTCTCGTCTCCCATTTATCTTAGTTCTTCCTTATTCTCACATTCTTTAACCTCGTGCCCTAATCTTTTTGGTGAGAAGCCAATTAACTCTGTAAAAACTCTGGCAGCTGGTGCCAGAAGCGTGGCTCACTGTGTTCCAAGACTTGGTAATTCCTTCCCTAATGACATAGTAGAAACACTGTCGCCACAGTTAAGAGCAGGCTAGAGACAATTACTATATTTAAGCTGTGCTTTGCAGGTTATCATACCCACATCTGCAAGCTATTCCCTTTGTAAGGCATTTGGCATCATTTGCCACAGAAAACTCATTGCAAAGGGCCAGCAAGCAACTACAGGAGGACCAAGGACTGAGACTTATTCCATATGGCTAGCAAGAGAGAGACGTATAACTTTCTTTCAGCAACTCCAAACCCACTCCTGCTTCCTGGAGCCAGGCTCCTCTTATCAAAACAGGAAATCTACAAAGAGGGGTCCACAGAAGGGCTGGTGAGGAACAAATGCTCTAGCAGCCACCCACCCACTGGTCTGTGAAGGGACAGAGACCAATCCAGCAAGCTGGGCAGCTGGAAGGTTACTTGCTGAACAATCTCCCTGAAAGCACAGGACTCCTGCACAGGATGGCATTATCTAAAAGAAATCACAGGACTTGCTGGGTCCTTCTGAATACTGAACTGCTAACATTCATGTCATGGAGCAATTCATGGCCTGGAGTTCACAGCTGCTCTGGGCCTTGGCCCCTTCATCTTTAAAATGGGGATATCAGTGCTTAAACTTCACTGCTCTGGGGGGAATGGAAAGATTAAAGTAATAGATGTGAAAGCACTTTCAAAAGCATTTTAAGAATTATCCAAATGTCAGTATTGTTCTTATGAGTATTAGTATTATTTTGAGCCTGTAATGATAATTACCTATAAGATTTCATATAGTGATGATTATCCTAAACCCAAGATGAAATCAAGGCCAGTGTCACTCTAATGCTTTTGCATAGGACCTTTGACTGAGTTCATCTTTTCTGAGTTCATACCTTTCTATGTTTTTCTAGAATTTTCAGTCCTTCAGTTGGTTAATTCTTTCAGTCATCACCCAAATATTGAATCAGTTATCTTTTGAAAGAGTGTGTCAGTTATTCAGGACAGGTGCTTAGGCAAAGGCCTCTTACATAGAAAAATCGCACTTCTATCTGCTGACCACCAGGACTCCCACTTAAAATTTCACCCCATCTTACCCCTTGTCTCACCTCATCCCCATCCTCCTTTCCCAGTAAGTTAGACCTAATTAAATGTACCCATGTTTTGTCACTCCTACCAAACAGATGAGTCTGCAAGATACATAGATACCTCCATTTTTCAATTGACTATTCTAGTAGCTTATTGAAAAAATATGTCTTTGTTTTCATTTGCATCCATCTGCACAAATTTTAATTTTACCCCAGAGGTAGATAGAATAAGATAAAAAGTTAAACTATTTAACAAGTACTCAGAGACAAACAGGGAGCCAGTACGTAGGACAGGGAAAAGAAGTGAGAAAGCAGGATTGAACCACTGGTTAAAAGGATGTTTATAGATATCATTTAGTATAACATTGATGCCGCCAATTACCATGTGTGTATTGGCTAAATCTGTGTCAAGGGAACTGTTTTCAGATATTTTCCAGGATTTCCCAAATAAAATAAATTAACTATTCTAGAACATAATTGGTTTTATGCCTGTGAGATATAATCTTGCAATATTTATTGAATGTTAGGCTCTTTACTTTTTATGTTCACTATAGTCATGGAATTGTAAGAAACACCAAATAAAATTGAGCACTAACACATTTCCTAAAGTAGTTTAACAACCAAGAAATGACAAATTTCTGCATTATCTTCAGACACTTAGGCTAACCCTACTTTCATTTTATAGGACCAAATAGAATATATAATTCTAATTTGTGTTGCGTTGAATGTATTATAAGAACATATATATACTAATGTATTTTATTATAAAAAATTGGAAGAGAAAAAAATGAGTCAGACACAGCAAGTAGACAAATTTACAACATCTCATCCATCACTTTAAACCTCCTTATTTTGCTTCCTATTACAAGCATGGTTGGTGTGGGACTTGATATGACAATGTAAGGTTATGACAAATGTATCTTCATATATGTATCTCACATTGATTATTCTAAATATTAAATAAATCACACAGCATTAACAAAGAAAGGACAAAACCTTTGAAGATACAGAATGAGACACATATGTATAAAAGAACTATGATTCCAGCAATCAGTCACTAAATATTTAGTTTCTTTTTCCTGGTTTTTTTCCACCCCTTCCAATCCCTCATTCAACTCTGCTCAGGATCTTAAAACTTACAGTAACTCTATAAATAGCTAGTCCCTAGGTCCATAGAAGTCCATAAAGGTGGTGATAAAGACTCATACACTATTTTCAGTATTTCAAAAATTCTAACAGACAGTATCTATTTGCTATAGATCTGAGTGGTAGTTATAGATGTTTTCTGTAAATAAAATATTTGAAACAAATAATTAACAAGTTCTCGTAAATGTTTCTAGGTAAATCTGTGAAAACATAGGATCCGTGTACATGGAAAATACTCCTAAAAAGAAAATACTCCTAAAGCACTCCTGCATTGGTGATGAAAGCTTTGGAAACCTCTGAAGTAGCAACTTCTTGAGAGTAAATTGTGGAGGAGATAAGAGACAAGAATTATTGCGGGCTGCTTTGACCTTTTGATACAAGGAATTCCTATCTTCCTGAGAGGGCTATTCATGTACTTCCTTAATTCTTTCTCACTCTCATCCAGGAGCAAACTCATTGGCAATAGCTATATAAATAAAATTATAATCTGCATATGGATACTCATGTACATTTTCAGAGGTAATCTAAAAAATGTGAAAATGAAAATGATCGTATCTTGTCTGATATAAAACATGAGCCCTTGGCATGTGGTGTGTAGAACATGCAGAAAATCTTGGAAATAAACTGTTACTGAAGTATGGCTCCTGAAGAGGAGTTCCTTTAAAAGAATCAGTTAAAAATTATGCATTCCTTATCATTTTTGAAGAATCCAGGGTTTTCTTTATAAAGGAAAGGATAGCATGCCATGGTACATGAGGGAAAAGTAAGAGTCAGGCCCTAAAAGAAAATCAAAGAAGCCACCAGTTCCGACTTCTAACTGGAGTCTAGGCTGGTTTCCTTGATCAACAATGAGTATCTATTCCTGATGTTAAAAGCCTATGTTTGTTTTATTCATTCATGTATTTATTCCTTTATCTATTCACTTATTTTTCTATTTATATAATATTCAGCAAATATTTTTGAGCACCAATCATGTACCAATATAAGTTGCAGAACTATAAAGATGAATATATTATGATCCATACCACCAAAGAGCTTACAGTATAACAAAGAATGCGGTAAAATAAGTATCACTGAACAAGTGTCTATTGAACACCTGCTAGGCACCAATGTTCTAGGTGCTAGGACACAGCAGATCAGAGCAGACACTAATCCCAGCTCTTGCACAGCTTATTTTGTAGTGCAAAGCTTGCTATGATAAAGATATAGCCACGCTGCTACAGGAGTAAGAGGTTGCGCTAACTAATCCAGATTTGGAGTCTGGAACTAGAGTAGATTCAAATTTGTAATATCAATTCCTCCTAAGGCACAACAATCCCTCCCTCCTACTCCAGCCACAGCATAAAGCCTCAACCTGTTGAGATATCATTGGACACTTTTAGAAAAGTAAGTTATAGTGAATAAAAAATAGGTGTTATACATTTACAACATGTTTTGAAGTCTTTGATAAGGTTAGGTCCAGGAATCACTGTCTGCAGCTGTTATCTCAACACAAACTATTTAATCCATCCAACTGAATGTGACCTTTCCACAACTTTTTAGAAATCTAGAAATATGAAAATGTATTTGTTCTCACCATTCTTATCTTCCTGGAGGACAGAGTTGGTCTCAGCTGTATTATCAGGCTTCAGTTTCCCATAAAACAAGGGGTATTGGGAGGATCATGGTTGTGATTCTTCCAAGGTCATACTTCTTGAGTTTTTCATAGATTATGCATAATCTAACATGATATTGTTTATATGTCCAAAAATTTATATTTACACTTTTATATAGGTATGCATGTAAATTAATTCAATATTTGAGAGCTACACATATCATATCATTAGCAGTGATTGGTTCTAGAGTGTAGAAATAAAATGGGAAAATGAAGTAGAGTATTTTAATTTTTAAATGATTACATAGTTATATGTTATTTGTATGATTTTTAAATGACTTTATTAAGGTATAATTGACATAGAAAAAGCTGTATATATAATATGTGTACAACTTGATAAGTTTGGAGATAAATATATGCCCATGAAACCATGATCACAATCTGTGCCATAACCTATCCATCATTTTCAGAAGTTTCCTTCCACTTTCTTAGTTTTTATCATTGTTGTGATAAAAACACTTAACATAAAGTATACCTTCTTTAACAATTTTATGTATAAAATACCATATTGTTGGCTGGGCACAGTGGCTCACACCTGTAATCTCAGCACTTTGGGAGTCCAAGGTGGGAGGATAGCTTGAATCCAGGAGTTTGAGACCAGCCTGGACAATATAGCAAGACTCCATCTCTATTTATAATATATTAAATATGTAAAAAAATAAGAATGCAGTATTGTTAACTATGCTGTACTGTAGATCTCTATGACCAAGCTCACCTACAAATAACCCTTTTTTTAAATAATGTAACAAAATAATCCTAATTCCTTCCTCTCATCCCTTGTATCATTGCTTCACTTATTTTAGTTATATATACACATACATATGCATATATGCACACAGAAGATATACATAAGCATACAGAATCACATGCATTGTTGCTGTTATTATTATTTTGAACAGGTATCTGTTAGATCAATTAAAGGTAAGAAAAATAAAGTTTTTATTTATTTATTTATTCATTCACTCATATATTTATTTATTTATTGAGATGGAGCTTCGCTCTTCTTGCCCAGGTTGGAGTGCAGTGGCGCGATCTCAGCTCACCACAACCTCCACCTCCCAGGTTCAAGCGATTCTCCTGCCTCAGCCTCCCGAGTAGCTGGGACTCCAGGCATGCACCACCACACCGGGATAATTTTGTATTTTCAGTAGAGACAGGGTTTCTCTATGTTGGTCGGGCTGGTCTCCAACTCCCAACCTCAGGTGATCCACCTGCCTCGGCCTCCCAAATAAAGTTTTTATTTTACCTTCAACTATATCTTCTTCAATGCTCTTCCTTTTTTTGTGTAGATCCAAGTTGCAGACTTATATTATATTCCTTCTCTCTGAAGAATTTCTTTTAACATTTCTTGCAAGGCACGTTTACCGGGAACAAATTCCCTCAACAAATTCCCGTTTTGTACGAGAAATTTTGTTTTGTTTGGTTTTTTCACTTTTGAAGGACAGTTTTGCAGGGTGCAGAATTCTAGGTTGAGTTTTTTGTTTGCTTGTTTGTTTTTCTTTATGCTTTAAACATTTTACTCCACTCTCTTCTTGCACATCTGTTTTCTGAGCTGTCAGATGTAATTCTTTGCTTCCCCATAGGTCAGGGGATTTTTTTCCTCTGGCTTCTTTCAACCTTTACCTTGATTTAAGAATAATATACCTAGTGTCATTCTTCGGTTTTGTTTTTTGTTTTATCCTTTTGTGGGTATTTTTTGAACATTTATCTTGCTTGGTATTCTATGAGCTTCCTAGATTTGTGATTTGGTGTCTGACACTAATTTGGGGAAATTCTCAGTCATTATTGTTCCAAACATTCCTTCTATTGCTTTCTTCCCTTCTCTCTTCTGGTATTTCCTTCTCTCTTCTGGCAAATCCTCCTGGTACTTCCATTATGCATATGTCGCAACTTCTGTAGCAGTTCCATAGTTCTAGAATATTCTGTTCTGTTTCTTCTTAGTCTTTGTTCTTTCTGCTTTTCAGGAGGTTTCCATTGAAACATCCTTAAGCTCAGAGATTCTTTCCTTAGCCATGTCCAGGCATTCTTCATTTTATTACAGTGTTTTTTTGTTTGCTTGTTTGTTTTGTTTGTTTTGTTTTTGAGACAGAGTTTGCTCTTGTCACCAGGCTGGAGTGCAATGGCATGATCTCGGTTCACTGCAACCTCCACCTCCCGGGTTCAAGCAATTCTCCCTCTTCAGCCTCCCAAGTAGCTGGGATTACAGGCACCTGCCACCACACCCGGCTAATTTTTGTACTTTTAGTAGAGACAGGATTTTGCCATATTGGCCAGGCTGGACTCAAACTCCTAACCTCAGGTGATCCACCGCCTCCCAAAGTGCTGAGATTACAGACATGAGCCACTGCACCTGGCCATTACAGTTCTTTTTATCTCTAGTATTTATTGTTGGTTCTTTCTTCGGATTTACCTCTTTGCTTACATTGATGATATAGTTCAAATGTTGGTAGCTGCCAAAATTCATCTATTGTTACTTAGTACTCAGTGTGATAGTATTAAGAGCCTTTTGGCAAGTAACTAAGTAATGAGGACTGCACCCTCATGAGTAGATTAGTGCCCTTATAAAAGAGGCTAGAGGAACCTAGCAAGACAGGCCAACATTCAAATTCAGGAAATACAGAGAACACCACAAAGATACTCCTTGAGAAGACCAACCCCAAGACACATAATTGTCAGATTCACCAAGTTTGAAATGAAGGAAAAAATGGTAAGGCAGCCAGAGAGAAAGGTTGGGTTACCCACAAAGGGAAGCCCATCAGACTAACAGCAGATCTCTCCACAGAAACTCTACAAGCCAGAAGAGACTGGGGGCCAAGAGACAATGTTCTTAAAGAAAAGAATTTTCAATCCAGAATTTCATATCCAGCCAAACTAAGCCTCATAAGTGAAGGAGAAATAAAATGCTTTACAGACAAGCAAATGCTGAAAGACTTTGTCACCACCAGGCCTGCATTACAAGAGCTCCTGAAGGAAGCACTAAACATGGAAAGGAACAACTGGTACCAGCCACTGCAAAAACATGCCAAGTTGTAAAGACCATGGATGCTAGGAAGAAACTGCATCAACTAACGAGCAAAATAACCAGCTAACATCATAATGACAGGATCAAATTCGTACCTAACAATATTAACCTTAAATGTAAATGGGCTAAATCCTCCAATTAAAAGACACAGACTGGCAAACTGGATAAAGAGTCAAGACCCATCAGTGTGCTGTATTCAGGAGACCCATCTCATGTGCAGAGACACACATAGACTCAAAATAAAGGGAGGTAAGAAGATCTACCAAGCAAATGGAAAACAAAAAAAAGCAGGGGTTGCAATCCTAGTTTCTGATAAAACAGACTTTAAACCAACAAAGATCAAAAGAGACAAAGAAGGCCATTACATAATGGTAAAGGGATCAATTCAAAAAGAAGAGCTAACTATCTTAAATATATATGCACCCAATACAGGGGCACTCACATTCATAAAGCAAATCCTTAGAGACCTACAAAGAGACTTAGACTCACACACAATAATAATGGGAGACTTTAACACCCCACTGTCAACATTAGACAGATCAACGAGACAGAAAGTTAACAAGGATATCCAGGAATTGACTCAGCTCTGCACCAAGCAGAATTAATAGACATCTACAGAACTCTCCACCCCAAATCAACAGAATATACATTCTTCTCAGCACCACATCACACTTATTCCAAAATTGACCACATAGTTGGAAGTAAAGCACTCCTCAGCAAATGTAAAAAAACAGAAATTATAACAAACTGTCTCTCAGACCACAGTGCAATCAAACTATAACTCAGGATTAAGAAATTCACTCAAAATCACTAAACTGCATGGAAACTGAACAACCTGCTCGTGAATGACTACTGGGTACATAATGAAATGAAGACAGAAATAAAGATCTTCTTTGAGATCTTTGAGAAACCAATGAGAACAAAGACACAATATAGCAGAATCTCTGGGGCACATTTAAAGCAGTATGTAGAGGGAAATTTATAGCACTAAATGTCCATAAGAGAAAGCAGGAAAGATCTAAAATCAATACCCTAACATCACAATTAAAGGAACTAGAAAAGCAAGAGCAAATACATTCGAAAGCTAGCAGAAGGCAAGAAATAACTAAGAGCAGAGCAGAACTGAGGAAGATAGAGACACAAAAAAACCTTCAAAAAAATCAATGAATCCAGGAGCTGGTTTTTTGAAAAGAGCAACAAAATTGATAGAACACTAGCAAGACTAATAAAGAAGAAAAGAGAGAAGAATCAAATAGATGCAATAAAAATGATAAAGGGGATACCACCACCGATCCCACAGAAAAACAAACTACCATCAGAAAATACTATAAACAACTCTATGCAAATAAACTAGAAAATCTAGAAGAAATGGATAAATTCCTCGACACATACACCCTCCCAAGACTAAACCAGGAAGAAGTTGAATCCCTGAATAAACCAATAATAGGCTCTGAAATTGAGGCAATAATCAATAGCCTACCAACCAGAAAAAGTCCAGGACCAGATGGATTCACAGCTGAATTCTACCAGAGATACAAAGAGGAGCTGGTACCATTCCTTCTGAAACTATTCTAATCAATAGAAAAAGAGGGAATCCTCCCTAACTCATTTTATGAGGCCAGCATCATCCTGATACCAAAGCCTGGCAGAGATACAACAACAACAAAAAAGAGAATTTTAGACCAATATCCCTGATGAACATCGATGCAAAAATCCTCAATAAAATACTGGCAAACTGAATCCAGCAGCACATCAAAAAGCTTATCCACCACGATCAAGCTGGCTTCATCCCTGGGATGCAAGGTTGGTTCAATGTATGAAATCAATAAACGTAGTCCATCATATAAACAGAACCAAAGACAAAAACCACATGATTATCTCAATAGATGCAGAAAAGGCCTTTGACAAAATTCAACAGCCCTTCATGCTAAAAACTCTCAATAAACTAGGTATTGATGGGATGTATCTCAAAATAATAAGAATTATTCATGGCAAACCCACAGCCAATATCATACTGAATGGGAAAAAACTGGAAGCATTCCCTTTGAAAACTGGCACAAGACAGGGATGCCCTCTCTCACCACTCCTATTCAACATAGTGTTGGAAGTTCTGGCCAGGGCAATCAGGCAGAAAAAAGAAATAAAAGGTATTCAATTAGGAAAAGAAGAAGTCAAATTGTCCCTGTTTGCAGATGACATGATTGTATATTTGGAAAACCCCATCGTCTCAGCCCAAAATCTCCTGATATTGCAACTGATAAGCAACTTCAGCAAAGTCTCAGGATACAAAATCAATGTGCAAAAATCACAAGCATTCTTATACACCAATAACAGACAAACAGAGAGCCAAATGAGGAGTGAACTCCCATTCACAGTTGCTACAAAGAGAATAAAATACTTAGGAATCCAACTTACAAGGGATGTGAAGGACCTCTTCAAGGAGAACTACAAACTACTGCTCAATGAAATAAAAGAGGACACAAACAAATGGAAGAACATTCCACGCTCATGGATAGGAAGAATCAATATCGTGAAAATGGCCATACTGCCCAACGTAATTTATAGATTCAATGCCATACCCATCGAGCTACCAATGACTTTCTTCACAGAATTGGAAAAAACTACTTTAAAGTTCATATGGAACCAAAAAAGGGCCCGCATTGCCAAGACAATCCTAAGCAAAAAGAACAAAGCTGGAGGCATCATGCTACCTGACTTCAAACTATACTACAAGGCTACAGTAACCAAAACAGCATGGTACTGGTACCAAAACAGAGATATAGACCAATGGAACAGAACAGAGCCCTCAGAAATAATACCACACATCTACAACCATCTGATCTTTGACAAACCTGAGAAAAACAAGCAATGGGGAAAGGATTTCCTATTTAATAAATGGTGCTGGGAAAACTGGCTAGCCATATGTAGAAAGCTGAAACTGGATCCCTTCCTTACACCTTATACAAAAATTAATTCAAGATGGATTAAAGACTTAAATGTTAGACCTAAAACCATAAAAACCCTGGAAGAAAACCTAGGCAATACCATTCAGGACATAGGCATGGGCAAGGTCTTCATGACTAAAACACCAAAAACAATGGTAACAAAAGACAAAATTGACAAATGGGATCTAATTCAACTAAAGAGCTTCTGCACAGCAAAAGAAACTACCATCAGAGTGAACAGGCAACCTACAGAATGGGAGAAAATTTTTGCAATCTACCCATCTGACAAAGGGCTAATATTCAGAATGTATGAAGAACTTAAACAAATTTACAAGAAAAAATCAAACAACCCCATCAAAAGGTGGGCAAAGGATTTAAACAGACACTTCTCAAAAGAAGACATTGATGCAGCCAACAGACATGAAAAAATGCTCATCATCACTGGCCATCAGAGAAATGCAAATCAAAACCACAATGAGATACCACCTCACACCAGTTAGAATGGCAATCATTAAAAAGTCAGGAAGCAACAGGTGCTGGAGAGGACGTGGAGAAATAGGAATGCTTTTACACGGTTGGTGGGACTGTAAACTAGTTCAACCATTGTAGAAGACAGTGTGGTGATTCCACAAGGATCTAGAACTAGAAATACCATTTGACCCAGTGATCCCATTACTGGGTATATACCCAAAGGATTATAAATCATTCTGCTATAAAGACACATGCACAAGTATGTTTAATGTGGCACTATTCACAATAGCAAAGACTTGGAACCAACCCAAATGTCCATCAATGATACATTGGATTAAGAAAATGTGGCACATATACACCATGGAATACTATGCAGCCACAAAAAAGGATGAGTTCATGTCCTTTGTAGGGACATGGATGAAGCTGGAAACCATCATTCTGAGCAAAGTATCGCAAAGACAGAAAACCAAACATCACATGTTCTCACTCACAGGTGGGAATTGAACCATGAGAACACTTGGACACAGGATGGGGAACATCACACACCGGGCCCTGTCGTGGGGTGGGGTAAGTGGGGAGGGATAGCATTAGGAGAAATACCTAATGTAAATGACGAGTTAATGGGTGCAGCACACCAACATGGCACATGTATACCTATGTATCAAACCTGTATGTTGTGCACATGTACCCTAGAACTTAAAGTATAATAATAATAATAATAATAATAATAATAAAGTGGTTGGAGGGAGCTTCCTTGCCCTGCTGCCATGACAAGGTGCAGCTAGAAGGTGCCATCTCTGAAGCAGAAAGCAAGCCTTCACCAGACACCAAATCTTCTGGTCCCTTGATTTTGGACTTCACAGCCTTCAAAAAATTATGAGTATTAAATTTCTGTTGTTTATAAGTTACGCAGCCTAAGATATTTTGTTATAGCAGCAGGAATGAAGACACTTGCCCATCTGTTCTTACATGCTGTAGACTTTATCCTTTAGAGCTGTTAGCATATTAATTACAGCTGTTTTAAATTTTCTGTCTGATCATTTCAACATCCCTTCTATGTCTGGTTCTGATGTTTGCTCTGTCTCTTTAAACTGTATATTTTGCCTTTTAGTATGCCTTGTAATTCTTTCTTGATAGCCAAAAATGTTGCAGTAGGTAAAAAGACATGCTGTAAAGGACTTTACTAATGTGGTGGCAAGAAGTGGGAAAATGGAAAACCTTCTATGATCAGTGCTGTGATTCAATCTCAGTCTTTTTAGTGAGTCTGTGCCCCTACACTGTGAACTTCACAATTGTTTCTCCTTTTTCTCCTCCCTTAGGTGAGACAGTATGACTAGAGTGGATGAGTGTGTGTTTCCCTTCTCCTACATGGAAGGCTAGCTGGAAGCTGGATATTTGACTTCTCTCAGGTAATTCAGGCTCTGATAAAACCTCAGCAAGTTAGACTCTGGTTAAATAATTTATCCTGAGGCAGCCTTGTTAAAAACAGTGTTCAGCAATGTTTTTAAATTGTTCATTTTCTCCTCCCACTTTCAGAATCGTGGGGAATTTTCTCCGATTTTTACTGTGAGAACCAGATTGGGTTCCCGGAGGTAAATTCACAAAAGTGTGGGCCCCTGATGACTGGGTCCTGTGGAATTTTTAACTCTCAGACTTGTCCACATTGCCTCCAGCAATTCATCAATTTACAGTTCAGGTTTTCCTACTCAGGCACTAGTTTCTGCAGAGGTTTCTACTCCAATAAGTTATGATTCTTTATATTCACCTATCTCTTCAATTTTGAGGGCAGTGGTTTGCCCTGTGACCTCACTTCTCTTAAATATTTAAAAAGAGTTGTTGAATTTTCAGGTTGTTCAGCTTTTTACTTGTTAAGATGGAATGGTAACACTTAGCTCCTTATATGCAGAACTGGCAACTGAAAGTCCTTTGTCTAATTTTTTAAAAACACACACAATATGCATGATAAAGGGGATAGTCTCTATCAAAAAAATACTACCTAGAAGTTAATTTATTTATTGGAACCACTAGGATTTGTTTTAATCATCAAATGACCTTTTCTTGTTTTCAACTGAGTAAGATGTGCCCATCTATTATTATTTACCCAGAAACCTTCCTGACAAGAAAATACAAAAGCATCAGCAGGCACGTTGGGGGCTGTGAGTGTGTTAGGAATTGTGAAGACAGGGAGAAGGGGTTAGTAAGAGGATCTCTTTCTCACCCACTCAGGTTTGCTCTGCATTTCCTTATTTGAATAGGAATAGGCAAAGGAAGTCAGAAAAAATACAAGAAAAAATTTAAAATGTGGAACTAGAAGAGACTTTATGGGTTATTTTTTATCTCTAAAAAAAAATAAGGCCTAAAACTTTTCAATGACTTACCCGAAGTCAGGGGTTGAGTAAGTATGATACTGTGATGTTGAAATCCATGTCTTCTTATGTCATGCTCTTTATACAGAATGTCCCTGTCTTTTGATCTCCAAGTGTCTCATAAAGTCTAATTGCAAAAGCTTTAAAATGAAAGGTTTACCAAACACAATATGTAAGAAACTGCAGTTTCTTACATATTGCCACCAAATCATGAGATCTTCTCCCCTGTCTTCACTAACATTTCACCCCAGGTTTACCAGAAATACCTTTTTTAAAGCTTCTCTTGAAGTCCAGGCTACACTTCAACTTCAAATCCAGATGGTTCTCTTAACTGTTGGATATTTTCAGCCATCAGGCTTTCTGGAGAGCCCACTTCAGTGTTGTAACATTTGTCTTTCAGTCCTATTCAAACTGCGTCCATTTGGTACCTGCACACTTTCGTGCCTTGATGGGCTTGGCCTGGAGACTTCCATGTCCTTATCTCTTTTCCTTTCTTCTACTTCTCTCCAGAACACCGGAGGTACAAAGACAAAACTTCAATCCCATGGTCTTAAAGATCCATTTTAGATGACTTAGACCCCTGACCCAACTATTTAAGAGTTTAGTTCTACAACTGTGCTCCAAAAATGACAGCTGGAGGCAAACCCCAACAGCCAATTAAATTCAGAAGTGACAGTAGAAAGCAGACCAAATATTTTTATAGAAAAGTTTTGTCCATTTGAGAAGTGGTAAAAAAAGACTGGGATTGCTCAAGAGCCCTTTCAACAGGTCCAATTTGGGACACAGAAATTTAATAATGAAATGATGTGGTATTTTGAGGGACATTAAAGATGCTACATACTGTTTTCATCAGGCACCCTGACTCAAGCACTGAATGTATTTTCTAATGTCATTTGTCAGAGCCCTTAAAGCCAATGCTGTTGACAACAGCTGAGGGGCCTATGAATCACCAGCTCCAGCCTGCAGGAGAATGCCGTGTACAAACTACGTTGACTTAATTGGACTGAAATTTAGAAGCTACACATTGACCTCCGAAGTGAGTACATTAGTTGTCCTCTGGAGTCGACCCTCAGTTAACAAAGATATGCATTTGGATTAACTCACATGCCCTTCATTTCTTTGAGTTCACTCAAGCGAAGCCATTTTTAAAGATGGTCATGAACAATGCCCATTGAGCAACGTCCTGAAATCAGCTGAGTGACCCTAAGGGCTACTTTCTAAAGTCCTCTTCTGTGTCACTCATTCTTTCTCTCCAGTCAACCAAACGCCATTTTCCTGAGCCCCGTGGGGATCTTTGGCTTGATACCTAATAGTTTGCTACTTTTGTATCCTGCAGGTGGTTGCAAGATGGAAGATAGGGATACATCTATTTCTAAAGTGTAATTTATTTTTTTTTAATTTTTATTTTATTTTATCCTTTTGAGATGGAGTCACCCAGGCTGTTGTGTAGTGGTGCCAACTCAGCTCACTGAAACCTCCACCTCTCCGATTCAAGGGATTCTTCTACCTCAGCCTCCCAAGTAGCTGGGATTACAGCACCTGCCACCACGCCCGGCTAATTTTTTGTACTTTACATTAGTAGAGATGGGGTTTCACCATGTTTGCCAGGCTGGTCTTGAACTTCTGGCCTCAGGTGATCTGCCCACCTCGGCTTCCCCAAAGTGCTGGGATTACAAGCATGAGCCACCGCACCCAGCCTAATGTAATTAATTTTAATACCAGGTGTAAATATTTGAAAACTGAAGAAGTCTGCAAAAACTGACATTTCTGATTATACCATGCTCCAAGAGGTATTTTATAGTTAGAGTTTGTTTCTGGGCACCTATGATAAGTATACTAGTCTCAGGAAAAAGCGAAGTCTTATCACTATTCTAAAGTTTCACCTACTTAAAAAAAACGCATCTGCGTAAGGAATTCATTTACAGTACAATTGTCACAATTGTACATTTATTTTTTCTACTTGATTTTGTTTTTTACTCTTTCTTGCTATTGAATAAATTTTATAAATCTACATAAATAATAAACCTCCAAATTTCAGGTTAAGATATGTTTATGTGTAAAAGACCCTTTTTAAAAATATCATGTTCATAATAAATGCTACAAAAATAGCCTACAATATTTCCAGTTGTATTAAATTTACCTAGGAGTTTAAAACTAACAGGGATTTAAAATAAACTTAAACAAAAAAATGTTGATACGTTTATCAAACTGGAGATTTAGTAGAACCAGCTAAATCTGGATGCCAGATCCCATAACATTTTTGATCAAGAAATATTTTGGCCCGTATAGTCAGTGTCTCTACGTCCTGGGAGACAGAACGAGAGACTCTGACTCAAAAAAAAAAAAAAGAAATTAGTAAAATCTCATTGCACTCATCATATGCATGGAGATGAAAATGTCTTGTAATGCGATGTAAATTTAATCAAGCTTCCTATTATTATTATTATTATCATCATTATTTTTGACACGGAGTCTCGCTCTGTCGCACAGGCTGGAGTGCCGTGGCCCGATCTTGGCTCACTGCAAGCTCCGCCTCCTGGGTTCACGCCATTCTCCTGCCTCAGCCTCCCGAGTAGCTGGGACTACAGGCACCTGCCACCACGTCCGGCCAATTTTTTGTATTTTTACTAGAGACGGGGTTTCACTGTGTCAGCCAGGATGGTCTCAAACTCCTGACCTCGTGATCCGCCCACCTCGGCCTCCCAAAGTGCTGGGATTACAGGCATGAGCCACCACGCCTGGCCCTAGCTCCCAATTTTAACACCCACAAGACATTGGGAATAAATACAATGGTGAACAGTCAATAGAACGTTTCTATTCTCCCAGGTAACACTAAAGCTCTCTTTTGGTGCTCATGCAGCTTAGTCTCCTCGCTCTAGGTTTATTTTCATTTTACTTTTCAACTCTTTAGAGATACCAACTATTTTGAACTTATAATCACGTAAAGCTGTGAATCGAGTTCCATTTTCTTTTTTTCTTTTTATATATCTTACAATACGTGGGACAAATTGAAAATTTTGAAGTTCTAAAATTCTGGTTTTTATTTTATCCATTTGTGCCTCAGGCACATGCCTTTGAAAACTTAAGATGACACTGAAAAATTCCCTTGGGGACTTTCTAAGATGACTGTCCCTTAGCTTGGTTTCACTAGCAAATTGCTGGCCTTCTGAGGTTGCTGTACAGCTCCATGTGCACAACAGCAACAGAAAAGGATGTGATATGGGTGAGCACATGTGACTCCACACACACTTTCTCCCTGGAGATAGTCCTTCAGATGACAGGGGAACCAAAACGTTTCCAAATATGATTTAAGAAAACCAAATATTTGAATTTTTTTAATGAATACTAAAATTCTGACTCAATATGGTACCACAAGCCAAGATGACAGAAGGTGACTAGTATGACTCAAGTCATGAAACCAACAAGCAAATAAAATTTCTGTTCACAAAAAGATATTCAAAATGTGGTCCTAGTGCATGATTTAGAATAATCCTAACTAAGGAGTGAAACTATATTGTTTAATAGAGTTACAGATCCATGAAGTCGTTTAGTCTCCAGAAATCTCAGTTTACTACACAGATGGATTTATAACAACCTCTAATGGGTGTAACTTAAGATGGAACAGATGACTCTACCAGTGGATTAATCAACCTCTTCCAAACTGCAAATTAAAAAAGAAACAAATCAAACACTGCATTTTCCTCACAGATGTTTAGCAAAACATATTCAGTCTTACTCCTATAATTACAGCATTAGGAGAGTTTTACCAGCATCAAAGTAAATAAAAACATATCAAATGAAAGTTGATGAAAAACTAACAAGAGACTGAATAATAATTTTTAAAGATCTCACGGCCAGAAAATCTTATTGATTTCAATTATATATTCATTACTTTCAAACGGGGAGCCCTGGAGTTAGAAAATGTGACTCTTGTGGGGACCTGAGCTATGTTCTAACCACAGTATCCAACAAAATTCGTCTCCAACATCTGCAGTTGATTAAAAAAAAAAAAAAAAAAAAAAAAAAGTTTTTTTTTTTTTGGTGTTTTCTTTTTTTTTTTTTTTGCCAAGATTCATTTGAGCTTTTTTAGCACCAGAGGGAAAGAAAAAAAAAAAGAAAGAAAGAAAGCAGTAGAGATACCCCAAATCTGGGATATTCAAAGCAAATATTATCAATTGACCTTCACATTCGATGTTACATTGAGTACAAATAGCAAATTTTCACAGGTGATTTTCTATTAATGACTCTCCTACACGACTTCCGGGAAGTAAATGAGTCAGAGAGGACTAACCTCTCAAGAGATGTATTAACAAACATCCCATTCCCTCATTCCTTCGTTTCCTAATGCTCACGTGACTTAACCACACAAAATCATGGTAGTGTTGCCTACAAACTGACCAAGGTTAGACATCACTTGCATTGTCTCAATCTCTGAACAGCAGCCAATCAACATGCTCAATACTCTCAACTCTGCTCAAGGCTCTTGGAAGATGGAATGATAGAGGGGCAGTCAATCAAAGCTATAACTACCTCAGCTCCCGCCAGTCTGTCTCCACTCAAAGTGTCCATTTAGCCGGGAAGCACAGCAAAATTTATAGCCAGGACTTTTATTGTGCAGAGCTTTAACACTGTAAGGAACCCTATACTCATGCCTGAAAGCCTTTAAGAAGGGCAGACCCAGAATTTGTTTTAACCAATAGGCAAGTTCAATAGCCTACGCAGTGATAAGCCTGAAATTAATCAGTTTGACATTCACAAATCTCCCAAGCTATTACTTTGCATTTTATATCTGATGATGCCACAGGTTAAAAAAAATACAGCATTCATCCCATTTTTTATACATTTTCTTTTTGCACAACATGTCTGAAGTGGCAATCTCTTTTTTTTTTTTTTTTTTTTTTTTTGAGACGGAGTTTCACTCTTGTTGCCCAGCTGGAGTGCAATGGTATGACCTCGGCTCACCACAACCTCTGCCTCCCAGGTTCGAGCGATTCGCCTGCCTCAACCTCCCGGGTGGCTGGGATTACACGTATGTGCCACCACGCCTGGCTAATTTTGTATTTTTAGTAGAGATGGGGTTTCTCCATGTTGGCCAGGCTGGTCTCGAACTCCCAACCTCAGGTGATCGCCAGTCTGGCCTCCCAAAGTGCTGGAATTACAGGTGTGAGCCAACGTGCCCAGCCTTCTCTCTCTCTTTTTTTTTTTTTTTAATTTTTTGTGTGTTTTGGGTTTTTTAAGTTAATTTTTTGTATGTTTTGTGGCGTTTTTTTTGTTGTTAATTTTTTGTGTGTTTTGTTGAAGAGGCTGATGGAGAGGCCCATGAAAAAACAGACCCACTTCTCTTTACTCCAACTTTTTTTTGTTGTAGTTATTTTTGAGATAGAGTCTCACTCTGTCACACAGGCTGAAGTGCAATGGCATGATCTTGGCTCACTGCACCCTCCGCCTCCTGGGTTCAGGTGATTCTCCTGCTTCAGCCTCCCCAGTGACTGAGACTACAGGTGTGCACCATCACACCTGACTAATTTTTGTATTTTTAGTAGAGACAGGGTTTCACTATGTTGGCCAGGCTGGTCTCGAACTCCTGACCTCAGGTGATCCACCCACCTCGGCCTCCCAAAGTGCTGGGATTACAGGCATGAGCCACTGTGCCTGGCCTTCTTTAATCCAATTTCTCAGGAGTCATGCCTTGGTGCACCACATAAAATGTCAGTGCTTCCTTCAACCCCGAAACACAAGTACATCATATCCCACTTCCCAGCTTTATTTTTTCTCCCTAGTAATCATCACTTTATATACACTATCTTATGTATTTCTCTTATTTATTTTGCTTATTGTCTGTCCTTTTCAGTGGACTGTAAGTTGCACCAGGATTGCAGGCAAATGCCTCTGTATTGCCTGTCAATAGATTACGATGTGGCTATGTGTTCATTCAACAAGTTATTGAGCACCTACTATGTGCCAGGCCTTGCTCTAGGTAAACAAAACAGACAAAAATTCTCCTTTTCCTGACTTTTCCATCAATGCTAATGTGCCTCACTGTGGGATTATCTATCAAAGCTATTGTGTTTCACTGTGGGATTATTGGAAATGAAAGCCATTTTTTAAATGACATTCTTAGCCTGATCTTTTCCATAGGCAGTTGATCACAGGAGACAAGCTGCTTGTAGATTAAGTTGACATAGGCACAAGTCAGGAAAAGAGATTATTGTGTTATGATCACTGCTGCATCTCCAGCACCTAGAGCAGGGCCCAGCACATAGCACATGCTCAGTAAATATTTGTTGAATGAAAGGATTTGCCCATCATCATAATTTACTGTCATAGGAAATGATTACTCTATTTCGTCTCCTCACTCTTAATGGGTTTCTAGCCTGGAATCCCAGTGTCCTCTCCTGAAGAATCAAGCCTAAACCTCAGCTTCTCACCCCACCTATATCCCAATCCTCAAATCTCACTAATTTAGTCCTGGTAGCTAATCTGATAAACTAAACCTGCAGAATAATAGTAATTGAATACGTCACCCTTTCACATATAATTAATGATCACTTTAACTATGACTTAAAGCCATAGACTCAAGCAGTGACTATTGTGGCAAATCAAGTTCCAAGTGTCCTACTCTTATCCCTACCCCTCTCCCTACCATTATAACAACATGGGTGATCAACTGGGCTAGAAGGAGTTTTCAGAGGCTTCTAATTAATTGCGCAATTGTCCTCAGGCTGGGCATCAGGCCAATCACATACAGGAGATAATTGGAGGGCAGCTATTAAACTAGGTAAGGAGTCAGCAAATCTTTTCTATAAAAGGTCAGATACAATGTAAATATTTCAGGCTTTTAGGACCATATTCCACTCTGCCATTGTAGTGCAAATGAAGCCACACACAGTATAGAAAAATATGTTCCTGGCTGTGTTCTGATAACACTTTATTTACAAAAAACAGGCTGTGGGTCAGTCTGTGTCCACAGGCCATGGTTTGTTGACCCCTGCTCTAGACCCAGGTGATATGTAAAATAATCCCAAACCCTACTCTCTAGGCCCTTAAAATTGAATATGATCCTGTTGCTTAATTAATTACAACTAAATGTATCACAGGTATCTGCACACCTAGTGGTTATTTTTCATAAAAGAAAAAGATGATAGTCATTTCCTGATAAAAATTAAATTGTCTCTCTCTCTCCCCTTCTCTTTTTATGTGTTCACCCACTCATTCTCCAGAATTCACCCCCACCCAGTGGCAGCTATGGTACCAGCTTAGGCCTCCCTCAGGAAAGCAACTTGCCACTCAGCCTCAAGGAGTGCTGTTAGGTGACAGTCTCCAGGGACAACGCCTTCAGTGTCTGCCACAGTGTCACTCTGAGCTATGGTCTTTCCAGGCAGCTCCCAGCCAATGACTGAGCATGGTGGAGCATCAGGACCCAGAATCAGCCCTGGCTGGTGGTGGACTCCTCACAGGCCAGCTTGGCACCAAAACTTCCTATTGGGTTGGCCAAGCTCTGTCAGATGTGAATTACAGCCAGAGAATTTCCCAGGCCGGGTCTGCTATCCTCTCCTTTTCCTGTTCTAGGCATCAGCTCTGGATCACTGTCTGATTTCCCCTGCCCAATCTGGTTTCCTATCTCTTTATCTTTCAGACATTCTACAAAAACAACAACTTCTACAAAACAACAACTTCCCCCACCCCAAGGGAAAAAAAAAAAAAAAAGAACACTGTACTCTTAATTCCTATGGATGAGTATTTGCCTCACTTCCCCTCCCCGCCAGCCCCTACTCACCTCCTATTCTATTGAGATCCTTAATACGTTTATGTTATTTTGAAAATCTCAAAGTGGGTCTATGAATACTTCAGTGAAAACAAGAAAAAGAAAGTTCTCCTGCTTCTCAGTGATACCTTGATATAGTTTTGATCTTATACTTAAAGATAAGTTTAAACTTACTCTTCCAAATGTTTCTCAAATCACTGTTAGGGACTGGGGGAGTGATCACAGTACCTGCTCGTGTCATCCAAAGTGGACAGAGGGTCAGGGCTGTTTTGAAGGGCTACACTTATGAATACAGGACACATCCAAGCAGTAATTATTGTCCAGAGACCCTGAGTTTCAGTACTAGGCCAAGACCCATACAACTAGCACCTTCCAAGATCTAGAAGAGATGGGATCCATAGGTCACAAACCTATTCAGATGAGAGCACCAATTAAAGGGAGGTTTTGTCACAACCACTTTGGAAACTATCTGGAAGCACAGGTGACAGAGTGTCCCTGACTTGAGTCCCTGAGCGATAGCAGTTGCCTGGGAACCACTAGAAGAAGCCAGGGCTCCCTTCTCTATATCCTGGAGGCAGAGTGCATTTCATTAGAAAGCAGTGCTTGAAGCCTACTTTAAGGAGCTCTGCTCAGCTCCCATAAAAGACACAGAAAAGCCCACAGTGCCTACAATGACACTGACAACTGGTCCCTTCTTGCAGTTAGCTGACAATATAAAAACAGAAGAAAACAAGAGGAGGTGAAGAAAAAGGAGGAGGAGGAGGAACAGAGAAGAAGGAAAAAGATGAGAAGAAAGAAAATTTAAAGTAAGACACAAAACCAGGTAGGACGTGAGATTTGTTGTTCAAGGCACAAGCAATTAATGAATCATTGCAATTGATTATTAACGTCTGTTCCGAGCTTCCTGACCGCCCAAGGCTTAGAGGAAAGGCAAGTCTTCTGATGAGGTGAACTCTTTGTGGGCCCAGATTTCTGGGAATCCATCCATTCATGAGAAGTGTAGCCAAGTCATTTCATTTTCCTGGGCCTCAGTCTCCTTACCTCAATAAAACTAGGGCTTGTATTAGATGAACACTGGTTACCATCACTGCTACTATTCTGTGATTACATTGAGCCCAGAAAATCAAGAGAATCTCTCAGGACTTATCAGCCACTCTACCTCCCCCCATTCCTATAAACCTATGGGAGTTTTTAGGGGCCAGGGGTGGATGTGGAATTTATATTTTCTCCCACATACTATTGGCCAGAGTTCAGTCATACCTTTACCCCATCTGCAAGAAAGGCTGGGATAGAATTCACCTGTGCACCCAAGAAGAACGACCCAGTTTGGTAAGCATCTAGCCAGCAGTCATTGAAGGCTCTGCTTCAACATTAACCAGTGAGAACTAACCACTCTCACTTTGAGCCTCCACTCTACTTATTCGTGTTTCAGTCACGATACCTTTGACAAAAGATTGCAAGTGTGTGTCTCCTTCTCCATCTCCTCTCATTGACTATAAGAACCTTAAAGATAAAGCGTATTTCTTACTTACCTCTGGGCTCCCAGTGGCTAGCACTATGCACAGTGCCTGGTGCATGCTAATTGTTCAATAAATACTGGTTTGAGAGAAAGAAGACAGGGGCAGCGGTGGGGAGAGAGAGGGAGAGAGAGAGACAGGAATAAGTAAAAGAATTGTGTAGATAATAACAAATTTACCTCTTTACTCAAAAACCATCAATAGCTCCCCATTGCTCGGAGGATTACATCCAAATTCCTCATTATGACACTCAAGATAATCCTTTCTTACCTCCCCAATCTTAATCCTATTACTCAATATCATGAAAGTGGTTAGCTCATTTTGTTCTTTCCTTCCCTCTTTCTTTCATTCCTTTCTCTTTTCTCTCTCCCTCCCTTTCATTCCCCTCTTCTCCTTGCTCTCCTTCTTTCTTTATTCTACTTTTACTCATTGACCTGACACTTCAGCACCTACTATGTGTCAGGAAACTTGCCAGCTACAGGAGATACAAAGATAAGTTGACTTCAGAGTCTGCTGCAAATAGACTTGGTGGACAGGCAAGTCCAATGTGCCCTGAAAGCTGAGGTAGTTTAGAAGCTCAGAAGAGGAGCAACTATGCAGACTGAGGGAAGGGGGAAGAGGGGCAGAGGGCACAGAAGGCTCAGAAAAAATGGCAATCCCTTAGTGGATTCTCAAAGGCTGAATGGGCTTGTTCAGACCCAAAATGGTGGGACGGAAATTGCTGGCAAGAAGTATGTACCCAGGTATGGAGACGAGTGCACGCACAGCACACCTGAAGAGCTCCAAGTACTTCCCTTATCTGCAGAATGAAAGCAGAAAGCTTTTGACAGATGGGGCGGGCCAGAAGCCAGATCACAAAGGTAACATTATGTTAATTAAGTTTTGCACAGAGGTAATGGGAGATGAGGAGATGAGTCCAGAGGGAGGAGTGCAGTGGCAGGAAGATACCGGCCTGCCCTGAGGCAAGGGCTCTGGGACCGGACATGCAGAGTCAAGAGATATTCAGAAGGAAAAATGACCAGACTTTGTGATTAACTGATTGAGAGACAGGCAGATTACAGCAGGAAAAAACAAAGGAGGTTAGGTTAGCTCCAGTGGCTTTGCTCTTGGATGGCCAGCTGGACAATGGCTCCCTTCACTGTGCCGGAAGATAGGAGAAGGAAAGTAAGTTGTAGGGACAAGCCTACAAGCCGATGAGGTCAATACTGGATCGGGTAAAAGTGAGCTAAGTGAAAGACTCTTAGGCAGAGATGGCAGGTAGGATTTTAGGGGTGATCTTTTTCAAACAGGGAAATTTGTGCCCAAAGAGGTTACGGGAATCAGTCGACTCCACATAGCTGATGAGTGGCAGAAAGGAACTCAAGGCCCAGCTGTGCCCAGGTATGCTACTCTAGTCCAGGGCTCTTTTCACTACACCCTCTGCCTTCACCTTCCGCCCTCCTGCCTTGCAGCAACAGCTCGAGATAAGGTCTCCACCACACAGTCACTGGCTGGTAAGTTACTCTTCTCTTTTTTTTTTGTTACTCATTTGAAGGTATGAGGAGGAAAAGCCCTCAGGAAACTTCATCAAAAAATCAAAAATCATTTTAGATTGTGAGCACTTAAACTAATTTTTAATTGATTAAGTTAACAATCAATAATTTGATCGATAGATGTGTTCTATTTTGAATTCGAAGTATGAAGACCCAAACTACTCAAGAAACGATTTGTTTCTAATTTCTCAAAGTTTTGGTTTATTGAAAATATCCTCAGTGGGACTCAAACAATCAATTTCAAGTAAATGTGGTAATAAAAATGTTATTGTAGCTTTGCCGGGATAGCCTGCCTTTCTGTCTCCATAGTTCAATTCCAAGTATAAAACACATGCAAATGGAAAGCCTGCTCCCAGAAACAGGTCCTTGCTTACTCCTATCTCCAGACAGACGGCCTCTGGGAGGCGGTGGTGGGGTTCACTTTATGGGAATTCATTGATCCTCAGATTTTCCCCATGGGAAAGTCAGAGACAGCAAATGTCATGAGGAAAGTCATATTTTCCAATGTTTTCACAGAATGTCTCACACAGTAACTATCCCCGTGAAATGATTTTCTCTCTAAACTCCTCAGAGAGTTGTGCTCAGTATGTGAACTTTTAGAATAATCATCTAAGAACCTAGCCGGGTGCAGTGGCTCATGCATGTAATCCCAGCACTTTGGGAGGCCAAAGTGGGCAGATCACCTGAGGTCGGGAGTTCGAGACCAGCCTTACCAATATGAAGAAACCCCGTCTCTGCTAAAGATACAAAATTAGCTGGGTGTGGTGGTGCATGCCTGTAATCCCAGCTACTCAGGAGGCTGAGGCAGGAGAATCGCTTGAACCCGGGAGGCAGAGGTTGCGGTGAGCCGAGATCACACCATTGCACTCCAGCCTGGGCAACAAGAGTGAAACTCTGTCTCAAAAAAAAAAAAAAAAAAAAAAAGAATCATTTAAGAACCGAAAGCATCACCAAAATGTGTTGTACTTTACCAGTCTATGTTTTCCAGGTCTCTCTGTGAGATTGTCACTGATTAAATGGTTAAACAGCAGCTTGAAACTGTAAGAGATACACTAGTAAGAATTTCTCAACCTACTTTTCAAAAGGCCAAATTTTTGGTACATTTACCCGGTCCTTTTTTTTTTTTTTTTCCTTTGTGCTTTTTCTGAGGAGCTCTCTGGTGAAACAAAAGCATTTTGACCTTCAACTGGAATTAAAAACTTGGTGGGCAGGGCAGGGGGAGGAACAATACCACCTCACCCGCCACCCAAGCCCTTTGTGGAGAAGAGCCTGAAGTAGCCCCAGAGAGGTTGACTCTATACTAGGAGTAGAAAGTATTAGCAAATACTCAATCTAATTTGCTGTATGTGGACCTTAATAAAAAAGATGGCCTAATATATACACAGCGTCTTCCACTCTGAGAACTCCAAACATGACCTCCCCTTTTCAGCAGGCCACCTTGGATTCATTGACCCATCCCTTTCCTACCAGCAGGGAGGTTCTCGCCAAGTCACACTCTGGTGGCTTCCTCCTCAACATCCCAGACTGGAGTCCTGTCTGTTAACACTCCTGATGCCCTGTTGGGATTCAGTCATTTCTCAACTCCTGACCTCTTTTTCCTCTTAGAGAAGCACAGAAACAGCCAGTGGCTTAAGATTTCATCCTGGCACAACTGTATCTCAAGAAACAGATTGCCAGCTCTCCTGGGGACAATCTCTATACCTTCTGTCAAGAACCCATGAGTTCTCCTCAGGCTCCCTTTAAGGTGGTTTCTCTTAAATGTTACCAACCTAAATCACTATTGTTTGAGATGTGTCCTACTTTTTATTTATACAGGCACGAGGTCACACTATGTTGCCCAGGGCTAGTCTCAAACTGCTGGCCTCAAACAATCCTCCCACCTTGACCTCCCAAAGTGTTGGGATTACAGGTGTGAGCCACAACATGCAGCTATACCTTCTTTTTTGAGATGGAGTCTCACTCTGTCACCCAGGCTGGAATGCAGTGGTGTAATCTCTGCTCACTGCAACCTCTGCTGCCCGGGTTCAAGTGATTCTCCTGCCTCAGCCTTCTGAGTAGGTGAGACTACAAGCACCTGCCACCATGCCTGGCTAATTTTTGTAGTTTTTGTAGAGATGGGGTTTCAACATCTTGGCCAGGCTGGAATTGAACTCTTGACCTCACAATCCACCCACCTCCGCCTCCCTAAATGCTGGGATTACGGCGTGAGCCACCGCGCCCTGCCGCCTTCTTTTTTATTATTACGTAAGATAGATAACTTCCAGTCACCAATTTGGTGTAATCTCCCTTTGCAGAATTGTCCCTAGAAAAATGTTCTTATTTTTTCATGTTTCCTTTCCAAGTTAAACACCTTAGATTTGCTTAGCCCATTTTCATATTTTTGCTGGATGCCATTTTCCACTATCTTCATCAGGCTTTGTTTTCCCTCCTCTCTTGAATGGTGAAGCTGTTAACTAAACACTGTCCTCTCTGAAGGGTCTGACCATTGCTAAATATGTCCAATGTCCTCTTGGCTGCTTCATTTAACATGCCAGCCTTGAACTGTTCTTTCGAAAACCACTTTTAGTACATTTCTGATTGATGTTTAACTTTTGAAACCTGATTCTTTGAACACCTGAAAAACCCAGTGTTGCATTGGTGCAGTTCATTTTCCTTTTTGCTCCATTGTCACCCTAACCTACCCCATTCATTCAGCTTCCTCCAGTTTGGCCAAGTGGTTTTGAGGTCTCCCTTTCCCTGTGGCTTTTCCCTGTCTGGGGATGTGAGCCTGGCCATGGAGAAGCAATTTCCATGAGGTCCCCATAATTTTTAGGCTTTTCTGTGTGCCATCAGCATCCCCCAGCCACAAATACTGTCTGCTTCCCCACTCTTAGCTTAGGAGAATTTAGAGAAATAGATAGAGCTGTATAATCCAAACCAGATTCTCAAGGCTTACATATGTATGTCTTAAAAAATTAATAAGGTACACATGGTAACCTAAATTATTTAATCAAAATGTTACTTAAATATCTATAAGCATAAATCCATGTACAAACCCCTTACTTATATCTATAGTTTTTATACAACTATCAAATAAAAATAAAATTATAAATTAAGTACAAACCACAAACCAAAATAATAATAATAATCAAATAAAGTAATTTAATGTAAGCTGGTCTTGAACTCCTGGTCTCAAGCGATACTTCCGCCTTGGCCTCCCAGAGTGCTTTGATTACAGGCATAAGCCACTGCGCCCAGCCAGGTTGTTTCATTAAAATGGAAACCTCTCGCTTGATGTGAAAAGGGTACTGATGTTAATGGCAAAGGTTCTTTTCAGTTCCATGCACCTGTAGTATTGTTTGTAATGTAAAAACTCCATTTTGCCACCGCATTTTTTCATTCAAATTTCTGCAAAGATTTTGTTTCTTCAGAGCAATAAAATGTCTTTTGACCTTGGGTTGATCTGAGCATCTTCTTCTAGCCCTTGAGGCTAGAAGACTGATGCCATATGTTATTTCCATGGTGTCACGTCAAAGTATCAATATGTTAAATCACTTAAGAAATGAAAGTCTTCTTTGGGAGACCAAGGTGGGAAGATCACCTGAGGTTGGGAGTTTGAGACCAGCCTGACAAACATGGAGAAACCCCATCTCTACTAAAAATACAAAAAAATTAGCTGGGCGTGGTGGTGCATGCCTGTAATCTCAGCTACTTGGGAGGCTGAGGCAGGAGAATCGCTTGAACCCGGGAGGTGGAAGTTGTGGTGAGCTGAGATTGTGCCATTGCACTCCAACCTGGGCAGCGAGAGTGAAACTCTATCTCAAAAAAAAAAAAAAAAAAAGAAAGAAAGAAAGAAATGAAAGTCTTACCTGGCCAGGTGTGGTGGCTTGTGCCTGTAATCCCAGCACTCTGGGGGGTCAAGGCAAGTGGATCGCTTGAGGCCAGGAGTTCAAGACCAGCCTGGCCAACATGGTGAAACCCTGCCTCTACTAAAAACACAAGAAAAAATGAGCCAGGCATGGTGGCAGATGTCTGTAATCCCAGCTACTCGGGAGGCTAAGGTGGGAGAATCGCTTGAACCTGAGAGGCAAAGATTGCAGTGAGCCCAGGTCACACCACAGCACTCCAGCTGGGGTGACAGAGCGAGACTCCATCTCAAAAAAAGAAAAGAAATAAATGAAAATCTTAACTTATGGAAACACCTTTTAGTTGAAAATTATTGATGTAAAATTAAAGTTTTGTCATTAATGAGATGAAATAATTCAACATAAATTTATTGGTAGATCCAGAATGTAGGTTATCAGTTTGAAAATAGAACAAACTAGCCTGGGCAGGTGGCTTACGTCTGTAATCCCAGCACTTTGGGTGACCAAGCCAGGCGGATCACCTGAGGTCAGGAGTTCAAGACCAGCCTGGCCAACATGGTGAAACCCTGTCTTTACTAAAAACACAAAAATTAGCCCAGCATGGTGGCACGCACCTGCAGTCCCAGCTACTTGGGAGGCTGAGGTAGAAGAATCGCTTGAGCCCAGGAGGCAGAGGTTGCAGTGAGACGAGATCACACCACTGCATTCCAGCCTGGGTGACAGGGCGAGACTCTGTCTCAAAAAAAAAAAAAGAAAAAGAAAATAGAACAAACAATCACAGGTAACTAGAGAAGCTTTCCAACTTACTAAATTTTACTTGAAATCCTTTTAGGATATCAAAAAGCCAAACTACATGTATTTAATACATTTGTAAATACAAAAATAAATGCAGGTGCTGAAATCAGCAGACATGGGTTTGTCTTTCATATTATCAAAAATTTAGTCCTTTATTATTAAAATGAAAATATAAAATTCAGGATTTTTCATTGTGAACTCAAAGACCCAGGAGAATATGTCCATAGACCTTGGAATGAGATAAATCTAGCTTGAGAAACAACCAAATTTACTGGAGTTGAAAGGAGCCCTTACAAAATACCTAGGGATTGATGGGTTGACAGGTGCAGCAAACCAGCATGGCACATGTTTACCTATGTAACAAACCTGCACATCTGGGGTACATCTTGCACATGTACCCCAGAACTTAAAATAAAAATTACAAAAAAACCCAAAAATTACCTAGGGAAGACTAGACCATCTTGGCCAACCTCCTCTCCTCAACTTGAAATGGAAGACTAGGGATCTGAAGAGCTTAAATGATTGGTCGGTGACAGATATGGGTCTCCAGATTCCAATTTCATGACCCTTCCCACTACATCAACACTTGCCAACTTGTCTTACATTTCATGATGTTGCATCCCATTAATACTTTGAATACACAAAGCCCGCTAATGCTCAGAAAATATTTTTATAATATTTGGTCATATTCATTGACCAAAGAAAAATCCTGCAAAATGGTAGCACTTCAATTTATTTAAATGATTCTTTAATGAATATCCATTTAGGAGGACTCTATTTATTAATTACATCTGTATAAACTAACACTTTGTTTTATTTTTTGTAAGATTACTTCTTTCCAGTTTCTAAGATTGCCTGGGGTTTATAAGTGTGTTCAAATCTCCACTATCCTAAAGGGATGCTGTGGTCTAAATGTGTTCTTCCAAAATTCACATGTTGAAATTTCATCACCAGTGTGATAGTATTGAGAGGTGGGGCCTTGACTCAGGGAGAAAGGGTGGGAAGGAGGGGAGGGATAAAAGACTACAAATGGGGTGCAGTGTATACTGCTTGGGTCATGGGTGCACCCAAATCTCACAAATCACCACTAAAGCACTTACCCATGTAACCATACACCACCTGTTCCCCAATAACCTACAGATATAAAAAATTAATTAATTAATTTTAAAAAAAGATAGCAATGGGGCTTTTAGAAGGTGATTAGGTCATGAGGGCTCCACCTTCGTGAATGAGATTCATGCCCATATAAAAGAGGCTTCACAGAGCATTGGTCCCTTTTGCTCTTCCATCTTTTCTGCCCTGTGAGGACACAGCAACAAGGCGCCATCTTGGAAGCAGAGAGGGCGTTTTCACCAGACATCAGATTTTCTGTTGCTTTAATCTTGGACCTCCCAGCCTCCAGAACTGTAAGAAATAAATTTCTGTTGTTTGTAAATTACCCAGTCCAAGGCCTTCTGTTATAGCAGCAGGAAAAGATTGAGACAAGGACCTCCCTTAACATTATTCCTACTCAAATTGTTCCCTCCCCCTCCCTCTGTGTCATCCAAGGTTTTTGAAAATGAAATAGAAAATTAATGTCTCCATTTGCTAACTTCCCATTCTCTCAGTAGCCCATGTAAGTGGTGTAAGGGAGCTTCTCTGTTCTTCTGTTTTCACTACTCCATTGAAATTGTCCCCTCAAAGGCCACACTGGTATCCTAATTGCCACATCTAGTGAGCTTGTTATGTATTATTGTACTTCACCTTTCCAAAGGGCACTTCCCTCTTAAAACTCTTCATCCATGGCTTTCTTGATGCTTGTCTTTACTTTGTCCATCTGCTCCTCTGATTTGCACTTTCTTTGTGTTACCTGATTTCTCTTCCCAACTTCATGAATATTGATATTCCTTAGGATTGTATCATTATTCTTTTTTCTTCCTTATTGAATGTCATCCCAATGATGGTTTCATGTGGACCCATCTTTTAATAATGCGTAAATGTGTCCCTTTAATCCATCTTTTTTCTCAGGTCCAGAGAAGTATTTCTAGAAAACATAAACATTTAAGAGATAAGCATGGGATTCTAGGTCTGCAAAAAAAGCTGGGGTTGTAATTACAATATTTATATTTAATCATAGTATTCCATATAGAAATACAAAAATATTTTTTATATGGAAAAGGAAAGAGGAAATGAAGGAAGAGAGAGTTTCAAGGAGGCAATAGTCAACTGTTTCAAATGCTACAGTCACGTCGAATAAGATAATAATGGAAGTATTCTTTAGTCTTAGCTACTTGGAGGTTACTGGAATCTTGGCAAGAGCAATTTGGTATCAAATCCAAATAAAAATTTGTTGAGGAGTGACTTAGAAGAGAAGAAATACAGACTGTGAATGTAGAAAATCTCCAGCAACTTAACTGTGGAAAAAAGGAGAGTTTATGATCTGAGGGGAACCTAGGGTCTGAGGAAGGGTATGCTTTATTGGTTAAGAAGGAGCCAGGACAGAGAAGGGGCAAAAGATAGGAGCGAAGGGAAGCCACATGCCTGACCAGATATTGTGAACTAATGAGTCTTAGGCAGGAAAAGAGGTACCTCTTTCATTGGCTAGGAGGAATGAACTTGAGGGTGGTTGTACTTCTTGTTGACTGAGGGAGCAGCCAAGTATTCCAAAAAGTTCACATCAAATAGTTTTTTTTTGTTCTATTCAAAAATTGCAAAATAAGAGGTGAGGTCTCCTTCTGATGTTCATAGAAAACATGATGAGAGATTTGAGGAGAGTTGATATTAAAGAAGGAACTGACAGCCTTCCATAATTTATGTTCTTATCTGTCCAACACCCTGCTGCTAGAGAGACATTTCTGAAATGTGGATCCAATCATGATGATTTTTGGCTCCCAGGTTCCCACAAGATAAATTCCTATCCATAACTTGTTCTGTACAGCCTTCCACAGTGCAGCTCCCACTAATCTCAAGCCTCATCAGCACCCCCTCCACCCCAGCTTCCAGCATCACCGTTATTCAAACATGGTACATGCCAGAACTCCCTGCCTAGAATTCCTTTAACCTCACTTCTCTGCCCAAAAACCTCCATCCACCCTGCAAAATTCAGTTTAAGAGTTTCTTCCGGTCAGGCGTGGTGGGTAATCCCAGCACTTTGAGAGGTCAAGGAAGAATTGCTTGAGGCCTGGAGTTTGAGACCAGTGTGGGCAACGTAGGGAGACTCTGTCTCTATAAAAAATTCAAATTTTAACATTCTTGTTCTTTTCAAAAGAAGTATCTTCTTACTCTGGATATATCTTACTTTTTCTAACCTGTTTTCTCTGTATACTGATTTTATTTATTTATGCACTGATTTATTTTTACTCTGTCACTCTTAGGTATTTTTGTATGGTGTTTCAAATCCCCTTGAGGGATATGTTTCTTCCATTAATTTAATTAACTAGCCAATGAATATGTATTCTGCAAAATATAGTGTATAACTTTAAGGAGCTCCAAGGAAACAGGCAGCCATAATTCAATGTAACCTGTGCTATAAAGAAAGATGGACAAAGCTGCCACAGGCTTGGAGTGGAGAGAGTAGTAGTGAATGGGGATGGGAGTAAAGGAGGCCACTGAAGGCTTCCTATATGCATGCTCATGCTTCTGTCCCTCTCACAAGGAGTTTCATGGTGAGTTCCATGAAGTCTAGGGCAGTGCCTTGTCCAACAGGGTGTCCCCGGGTTGCAGCATATTGACTATTACGTTGTGCCTGCTCTACAAGGTTAAACAGATGCTCGTATTGAGGAAGCAATTGTATAGCTTCCTACTTTCGGGATCTTATAGACTCCTGTTACAATTATTTTCAGCCGGAAAGATTAATTATTCTTTCTAACGTGTTGCCACTTCTTAAAATATCTGTTCACGGTTATTGAGAGGTGAAAACAAAAAAAAAAACCTTTTTGATGCCATTGGAAAGTCCAGTCATTACTGCTCTCAGCGCGGCCATCTGTTTATTGCTCTGTTCCGTGAATCCCTGACTCAGCTTCTCCTCTATCACGAGGGCCCTGCCAAGAGCAAATTCCTCTTCTGCACTCACCACCAAGGATTCGGCTTCTTCCTTCCTTCAATTCTTTTGTCTGTGCTAATCATTTGTTGTTAAGTTGCCTGAAAAGAAATGGATGTGATCATTGTATAGGACTTTTTTTTTTTAATAAAAAGAAAGAACGAAAAGGCTCTGCTTTCTCCTTGCACATCACTGTTTGGTGCTCAATCTAGCATGACTTCTGCTTTGTATATTTGGGTTGCTAAACAAGAGAGTCATTGTTATCCGCTTAATTTGAAATCATGATTTTTCTATGAAGCATTCTAATCTCAGCTTTACCAGCAGATGGGCTTACACCTAAAATAAGACTAGCTTCTCGCCTACCCATTTTGTCTGTTTAAATCCTTTTTATAGGAGTATGAAAGGCTAGGGGTTGAAATTTTCACATGTTCTGTGACTACTTGTTGCAGAAGTTTCCAGACTTGAAATATGCAGCTGTAAAATATTCAATTGCAAAGGCTGCAACACCTAGTCCCACAGCTATCAACATCTTGCCAGCCCCTGGAAATGTCTACATCAGGTCTGGTGGTCCCAGGCCTGTCTTACCTGTATTAGTACAGTGGCTCGTGATGGTTCTAGATTCCATCTTGTACTTCAGGTGGGAGTCATACTTTCTCCTGCCATAAAGCCCTCTTTCTTTCAGATCATTCAAATCTTTCAGATTGTTTGTGTATTCTCTTTTCCTCCCAAGACTAATTTCTAGCAACAAGCAACTGTTATGTTAAAATTCCTTTTATCAAATAGGAGTACATTTGGAATAGTGATATTCTTTGGAATAGCAATATAGCAATAGGAGTCCATTTGGAATAGCAATGGTGAGGAGGTGAGAGTCCAGAACTCCTAATAGAGTTACAGTAGACAGTCCCTGAGGAAGGTGGGTTCAGTCAACTGCAGAGTTGTTATTTTGTTTCCATGATATGGATATGCAACTTTGGGGTTGAAATGAATGTCTCAGGACAACAGAAAAGAAGTTAGAGCTGCCGCCTTCTTGGCTCTTCTCCCAGGTAGCCTTAAGCCTTTCTTCTAAATAAGTGTTTAGCAAATACTTTAACACTGTTTGAAGAGGTGCCAAATGATTAGCCTCTCCAGAGAACCGAATGTCCTGGTTCCCTTGCTTGCTAGTAACAGATAGCTCAGAATTCAGCACCTAAAACTAGCCTGTGTTGCATTTTCTCTAGGGGTCTCTCTTGTCATTGAACAGAACACAGACTCATTGGTCACATCTTTGATGACATGTACCCCTACCAAAGTTTTCTCGAGTGTTCCCTCTTTTGATTGACACTATTTCTGAGAAAGATTTCATTGTGAGCTCTCCTCCCAAACATGCTAAATAAAACAGATGTGCACCCTTTTGGGGTTCCCCTCCATATGACCTCCTTTTTCAGAGAAGGGCCCCATTTTCTCTGGGTGGAAGGTTGTAAACATATGGAATTCATTACTAGAAGCAGTGGTTCAGGCTGTTTCCGAACCCTAAGCCAGTTCCCTTACCATGACAAAACATTCCCCACAATCTCATCATGACTCATTTTTATCTTTAAATAACCTCTGGTGTGGAAAATTGTCAAGGTTTTTGAAAAGTTTAAGAAATGATGTCCGCATGCTTATTGACCCGCTCAGAGAATTCTAGTAGATAAAGCCTGTTGTCTCCTAACAGAAATCATTGTCTATGTTTGCTGAATAGTCCATGACTGCCCTGGAACTTACAAAGGTGAATTTATTTAAATCCTAATGTGTGTTCATCATTGTGCTCAACTCTAGGAGGGGAGAGAAAGAAGTATAAAGGCATGGTCTTTGGTACTAAACACCTTGAAATCAAGTCAGATGGATTAAAAGAAGTCACAAAATGATTAGCAAACAAGAAGATACATAAATGTGGTGGTGACTAACACTATAAAAGGAGTTCAGAAAATAAAGAAACAAGTGTATTAGAAGAAGAAGGACAAATCTTCAGAGAGAAGAGAGCCCTCAAGTTGAGTCTTGAAACCTAAGTAGGCTTTATAGAGACAGAGCAAAGGGAAGACTGCAGAGAGCTTCCAGGCATTCCAGAAATAAAAGGGAAATAGCATGAGAGAAGACTCAGAAGTAGGATTGTCTGGTCGCAGCAAACATGTAAAGGAGTCTGAGAAGTTCAGGATGAAACTAAGGAAAGCCTAGAACAGCAAGCCAGAATAGTGAGAACTTGATATGATACACAATAAATAGTTTTGAAAGGGCTTTAAGCATATTTAGGAATTTAGTATTACAAAGAAAAGAAGGTGTTTGGAAGTGAGAAATGGAAGCAGTTTATTGAAGGACTATCAAGACAAGCCAAAACTGAGAGTTTTTGTTTTGTTTTGTTTTTTTGTTTTGTTTTTTAATTTATGACCAGGCATGGTGGCTCATGCCTATAATCTCAGCACTTTGGGAGGCCAAGGAAGAAGGATCACTTGGGCCCAGGAGTTCAAGACCACCCTAGGCAATATAGTCAGAACCTATCTCTACAAAAAAAAAAAAAAAAAAAAAAAAAAAGTCAGGTGTGGTGGCACACACCTGTGGTCTCAGCTACTCAGGAGACTGAGGCAGGAGGATTGCGTGAGCCCATGTGGTTGAGGCTGCAGTGATTGTGCTGCTACACTCCAGCCTGGGCAACAGAGTGAGACCCTGTCTCAAAAATATATATATATATATTAGGATAGACTGAACATGAATGAAGACAAGTGAAAGAGCACAAGGAAAACTTGAAGGTAGAAAGAATAGTAATAATGGATGTGGAGTTCTAAAGGAATGACTACTGTTATTAAAATCTGTACTAGTTTCCTGGGACTGTCATAACAAAATGTCACAAACTAAGTGGCTTTAAATGACAGAATTCATTCTCTCCCAGTTCTGGAGGTTCTAAGTCTAAAACCAAGGTGTTGGCAGGGCTGTGTTCTCTCTGTGGGCCCTAAGGAGGAAACCCTTCCTTGCCTCTTTTGGCTTCTGGTGGTGGTTGGCAATCCTCAGCATTCCTTGGCTTGTAGCAGCATCACTCCAGTCTCTGCCTCCATCTTCACATGGGCTACATCCCACCATGTCCTGTGACTCTGTATGTCCTCTCCTCTTCTTGCAAGAATGGTAATCACTTTGGACTTAGGACGCACCTTAGTCCAGTATATTGCTTCTTAACTAATTACATCAGCAAAGATCCTATTTCCAAATAAAGTCACATTCTGAAGTTCCAGGTGGACTTGAATTTCAGGGGATTACGATTCAATCCAGAAAGTATATGAAGGGGTTAACCTTATAGGACCTCAAGGGAAGAGTCTCTCCCTCCAGGATTCTAGGGGAAATGAGAGGCGATTCAGGGCCAGTGAGTGTGAGAGTGAGAAGAGAGTCTGATCATCTGTAAAGCAGAACAGGCTTCCATTGAGAGGGGACTATGGTTATGGGAAGCAGAAATAGCAGTTTAAGAGGAAAGGGGGCCTGGAGGAGTCACAGTAGAGAGTAAAGGAGAGAGGCACAAAGGATCAATGAGTTCCCAGTGTCAGAGTGGGTCTGGAGGCTATGCGTGTTCAATGAATCAGGTCATCACAATATTTTTACTTCCTCTTATCCTGTTTTTATTTTTTTATTTTTAATAGATTTTATCTTTTAGAGCAGTTTTAGGTTCACAGCAAAATTGAGCAGAAAGTACAGAGTTCCCATGTGCCCTCTGCCCACCCCCCACACACTTAGCCTCCCCCAGTATCAACACCCCCCGCCATGGTATATGGTATGTTTGTTACAGTCTATGAACTTACATGACACATCATTCACCCAAAGTCCATGGTTTATATTAGGGTTGACTCTGTGTTGTACATTCTACAAGTGTTGACAAATATATAATGAATTTTTTTTTTTTTTTTGAGACGGAGTCTCGCTGTGTCACCCAGGCTGGAGTGCAGTGGCACAATCTCGGCTCACTGCAAGCTCTGTCTCCTGGGTTCATGCCATTCTCCTGCCTCAGCCTCCCAAATAGCTGGGACTACAGGCGCCCACCACCACGCCCGAATAATTTTTTTTTTTTTTTAATAGAGATAGGGTTTCACTGTGTTGGCCAGGATGGTCTTGATCTCCTGACCTCGTGATCCGCCCACCTCAGCCTCCCAAAGTGCTGGGATTACAGGTGTGAGCCACCGCGCCTGGCCTATAATGACTATTTTAAAATTTTGTTAATCCACCAGTTTTTCAGTTACGAGAGTTAGTCTTAGTCTGTAATTCCCATAGTATTTTCTGGAGCATTTCTTGTGTACAAGGGTCACATTGGTTTTAGGGAATAACAGATGTCACATTTTGGCCAGCAGATCCACAGAAGTACACTTGAGTCCTTCAAATTTTCTGACAAAATGCTAGTCGGTGAAAATGACCTTCTTTAGGCAAATACATTTGTATGAAAAAAAAAAAAAACTAAAGTACATGGATAGTTTTTTTTTCTCAAATAGGGTTTTAATCTAAACAGGGTACCCCAGTTTATTGTATGTATCTACTCTGGAAATTCAGTGGTTCATATTTGGAGAAATATATTTTATTTTTTAAGTAAAAAATGCAAATTCAATTCAAAAACACAATATTTTTCACGCATACACACTCACATACACCAGATAATTCTGAAGGATTTAACTGAGCTCCTAAAAAATAAAACGGGGCTACATGGTACTTAATTGAATTATTTTTATAAAATTTGATAATGATATCTTGAAAAGGGTTGGGAGGGTACTTTAATTTTTTTTTTTAATGTCTAACTTCTGTTTCTAGGGTCAGAGCTCCACTCAGCTGACCTATTGATTCATGGAGAGAAAACTATAAGAACCAAAATGTAGATTCACAGTGTAACCCTACTGCAGGAATTGTCTTCAAACATTGTACCCATGGAAAGAGCAGGGCCTTTGGAGCCAGAAAGCCTGAGTTAGAATCTAGACTTATTTATTTATTGAATTGATATCTCACTTAAATTATTTGCATTTATGCCATCATATAGGATTGAAATTTAATCTAAATTTTGATTCTGAATTTTTGCTTAAGGCATCTTCACCAAGTTAAAAGTATGATGTAGCATTTGAGGGTCACTTGTATTTTTAAAAATGTTTTACTTTGAAATAAAATGTAATCCCTGAGCAACTCTGCACCTGCATGACCCTGGGAGTGAGGGTGTCTCTAAATTTTGCATCCAATGAGCTCCATCCAAGAGACAGCCTTGTCCTAGTCTTGTGTGGAAAGGAGACAAAAGCAGGAACGGGCAAACGGAAAAGTCAGGCTGTCATGCAGATCTCAATGAAATCCTTGGCCAATCCCATGGCAGTCCTGAAGCGAGAAAGGAAATGGCTTTTCAGCACAGGCTCCTGCTGTCCAGAGCTCAGGCCAGGTCTTCCAGTCCTAAATCAGTCATTGGATTTGCACTGGACAAGGCAGCTCTCTGAAGCTGAGGCAATCCCTGTAAGGACTAAAGTCACCTGTGGCAGCCCTATCAGCAGCCATCAGCAGGTTATTCATTGAAGGGAGACCTGGGCAGGACTTCACAGCATCCTTTACACTATCTTATTTATTTATTAATTTATGTCTTTATCGTAGTTATTATCTAGAATGTTAGCTTTTTTTTTTTTTTTTTTGAGACAGAGTTTCACTCTTTGCCCAGGCTGGAGTGCAATGGCGAGATCTCGGCTCACTGCAACCTCCACCTCCCGGGTCAAGCGATTCTCCTGCCTCAGCCTCCCAAGTAGCTGGGATTACAGGCACCTGCCACCATGCCCGGCTAATTTTTTTTTTTTTTTTTTTTGTATTTTTAGTAGACACGGGATTTCACCATGTTGGCCAGGGAGGTCTCGATCTCTGGACCTCGTGATCCGCCTGCCTTGGCCTCCCAAAGTGCTGGGATTACAGGCGTGAGCCACTGAGCCCGGCCTGCTTCTTGAGGGCAGGGATTTTGATCTCTTTTGTTCACTACTATATCCTCAAACTTGATAGTTCCTGATACACGGTGGATACAAGATAAATATCTAAGAATATTCCAAATTCCTTTATGTACTGGCTCAAAGAGGGAAGGGAATTCATTTTCCCCAGCCGCTGGCCAAACTCTCAACTCAGAACTAAAATGAGTTCTCTAATGGGCCAATTCTCAAGCTTGAAAACTCATGTTTCCTATTCAGAAACATAAATATCTCATATTTTTTATAAACTGTATATTATAAAATCATTTAAATGTTTTACAATAATTTTACTTAACTATTAATTACATATATTTTTAAATTACTCTCCCCTCATCCTGTTTCTGATAACTTGAGGGTGGTGGAGGGAGGCTGACCTCACTCCCTTCAACTCCTCACTGAAGTCACGAATCCTGTCCCACCCTTTCACTAGGGGAGTGAGGAGACGGGGAAGTAAAGTACTTGGCAGAGAACACATCTTGTGAAGCAAAGGCCAGCAGGAACCCAGGCCATTCACCATCTCCTTGCCTGTATAATAGCCAAGCTTGGTTTGGAATTCCCAATCAGTCCCAGCAAATCATCACCATTTTTCACAGCTATTTTTGCATTGTTTCAGGAATATTCAGACAGCTGTTGTTGGTATTTTAAAGCCTCCCATGGCAGTGGGGACACCAGTTCTCCTGACGGTGTTGTGTAAATTCACTAGAACAGCTGGTTCACCCATGTTTTCCTCGTGATACTTTTGAATATAAACTAGCTGGAACAGGTTGACCCAGCTGTTGGTTCCTATTACTGGCACACAAAGGTAAAGCCACACCAAATAACTAGGTCACTGTTGAATCCACTCTGCCATCACTATCTGCCAAACACCTATCCCTGGACCCAAATTCAAGTTGTCCTGAAAGTCGTCAGAACTAAACTTTAAAAAAACCTCATGAGTTGTGTACTTTATTGCATGCATTTTTATATGTATATAAAGTGAGGTTTAAATAAAATCTATGGATTAACTGCCTATGTCACATGTAAGCACTAAGAACAAATGGAAAACCACATGTCATTTGAGTGGAGAGCCTAGATTTCTTGCACCAAATAGGAGTAGACATTTATTTCAACTTGAAAAAGCTCCCACTTCCACCACCTTTGATCCCAAGGACTAACATTTGATGGTTTTGATATTTCCAGGGATTTCTCCATGTACTTATTTTTTACATTAACAGGCTTCAGTAATAATTTTTTTCTTGTTAATTCAGCTGATCCTGGACTCAAAGGAAAACTGTAAACAAAAGGAAAATATACAGGGAATGTTGAGAAAAATCCTAAAGATAAACTTGTATCTTGTAGACAAACTTGTAAAAACTTGTATGTGTATATTTCAGGGAGAGGATTTTAGTAAAGATGTCCTGAAAATAATATTGCTTTTGCTATTCAATAATTAAAAACTCAACTATCCCAATGTTATATTCCAATATATTGGGAGTGAACCTTGTGCATACAGGTTAGAGCACAAGCTTTTGTCAATCCATCCAGGTTAGAAATTCTGCTGTGTCATTTACTAACTCTGACCTTGGGAGATTAATTAACATTTGTGCATCCCAGTTTCTCATCTGTAGATAGGGTTATAACATCTAAATCATGGAATGTTGGCAATAATTAAATTAAATTAGATAATTTAGATAAATCATTTAGCATAGCCGTACCTGGTACATCATAACATGATAGTCACTCAAATATTTTTATTATCATTATCATCATCATTACTAATATACTTTTCATAATTACTCCATGTGCTTCACCTCCTTTTATCTAAAAAATGTGTTTTCCTCAAAAATAATTTTCATAGCAGTTGCAGTAGTAACTAGCAGGGTTCTAGTGAAAAAGCAGGCCCCCCTCATATATGTTTGTTTTATAAACAGAACACTCCTACTACTCATTTATTCAACAGCTATTGATTGCATTTTATTATATATAAGGCAATATATATGTATGTCCTAGTCCAGTATACCTTTCCCCACCCTTCCCCACTTTCAGCTCACTTTTTTTAAAGGATGCCATGTATCTAAGTAACTGTTTCCAAAGGAACAATGTAACACTGGTTTAGTTAAAATACAACCGTCACACATGTGTGGCCTTAAAAGCCTCTCTCAGGATAAAGTGTAGTAATAGTACATTAGAATGGGCATCAGGAGCCTAGGAATGTAATCTCTGTTATGCAACAAGCAAATTAGTTTTGTGATTTCAGGCAAGTCATTTCACCTTTGTGGGCTTTAATTTCCTTGAAAAATGGTCCTCCAATTAGCCTGGTGGCTTTTAATCATTTTGGTGAACAGAACCTATGACTCAATCTAAGGATATCATTAGCTCTTCTCCAGAACATGAACATACACATGCAAACTCATAATTCACATTCAATTTCAAAAAGTTCCTGGCTTTCCTTGAAGCCCATCTGTGAACCTTGAAGGTTCATGGATGAGAGGTAAAGAACCCTTATGCTAGAATAAGGCTCTCTGCTTCACTATTTTGAAATTCTAGACCCCACTACCAACACATGATCTTCTACTCAAAAATAACAGGATTAAAGTCTCTTCCTAGATAGGATATCATTTCACACCTCCAGGATTATAACTAATCTTTCATCACCTTCTCTAATCGCCTTTTATTATTCCAAATATGCTGACAGGAATATATCTCAGAAAAAAATATTGGCAATCAAAACTCTGTACAGATCTTGAATAATCACTGAACTTTAATTCCATGGAAAACTAATTAACAAACTTCCCCTAGGCACTACAGCTTCCAAAGGGATTACCATGAAGAGAAATTGTGCTCATATTCTTAGGCCTCCAATATTTAGACCCAGCTATTTCCACCAGAAGAAGTCTGTGTCATTGTCTTCTTATATGAAAATACAGCCAAGGGAAAAGTGAAAGGCTTTTGGACCACAACATATTTTAAATTGGGAAAGAAAGAGTAGTGGGTTAAAAAAAAGAAAGAAAGAAAAAGAAAAAAAAGAGCAGAAGCCATCCCAGAGACCAGGCAATGAAAATATATTCATATTTTAAAATGGTGCCATTGCAGATGATCCTTGGCTTATGGACCAATTGAACTGACCTCAGAGGTCAGAATAATCCAACCTCCCACACATCACATATGTGACACATCATAAACTCTTACACACACACAACACACACACACACATCCTCACACACACACACTATTGACAACACCTGAGCTCAAGCCAAAGCCTTGATGTAAGGCAATGTCATAGGCAGGTTTCTAAGAGGATCTTCAGTGACCTTTACCCTTATGTAATCTCCTCCTCTCAAGTGTGGACAGAGTCTGTGAATAGACCGTCATGCATTGTTTAATGACAGGGATATGTTCTGAGAAATGCATTGATAGGTGATTTCATCCTTGTGCTAACATCATAGAGTGTATTCACACAAACCTAGATGGTATAGCCTACTATACACCTAGCTATATAGTATAGCCTATTGCTCCTAGGCTATACACCTATATAGTATGTTACTGTCCTGAATACTGTAGGCAACTGCAACGCCATGGTAAATACTTATGCCTCTAAACATATCTAAATATGGAAAAGGTATAATAAAAATACAATATTATAATCTGATAGGACCATTGTCAATACGCAGTCTGTTGTTGACTGAAGAGTTATGAGGCACATGATTGTCATGAGATACCACTCCTATGACTATGTTACATATATAGCAAAATGGATTTTGCAAATGTGATTAAGTTCCCAAATCAGTTGACCTTAAGAGACACAAATTATTCAGGTGGGCGTTACCTCATCAAGAGCCCTTTAAATCTGCATCTAGAGGTGAGAGACAGAAGAAGTAAGAGACTTGAAGCACAAGAAGAATTTACTGTACCATGTCATTGCAGGCTTAAAGATGGAAGGAGCCACATGGCAAGGAAGTGGGTGACCTTAGAGACTGACAGCAGCCCCCATCTGACAGCAAGCAAAGAAATGGAGACCTCAGTTCCACAAGCTCAAGCAACTAATTTCTGTCACCTAAGAGAATGAACTTGGAAGTGGATTTTCCACCAGGGTCTCCATTTGAGAACTCAGTACGGACAATATCTTGATTTCAGTCTTCTTGAGCAGAATCCAGTCATGCTGTGAAGGACTTCTGACCTACAGAGCTGGGCTAATGAATGGGTATTATTTTAAGCCTCTAAACTTGTTATTTGTTACCCAGCAATAGAAAACTAATACAGGGAAGAAATAAGAAAGATGTTTGTAATTTGATTCTCCATAGTCAGGCACATGGAAAAGTAAACTCTTTCTTCCTACTTCTAAAAGCCAAATTCATACACCCTCAGGCTATGTGTGATTTGCCTAAGCAGTCATATAAAGCTATTTTATGCTTTCAACAAATATTTATTGACCTTCAGGTGATACCTTGGGAACTGTGTATGTAGGAATGAGTAAAAATATTGGAATTTGATATTTTAACATTTTAAACTAGTTGGACCATTAGAGAACTAGTAGAAGTTCTTACCAAAAAGAAAAGAATGACTTATGACAGCAGTCCCCAATCTTCTGGGCACCAGGGACCATTAGAGAAGTGGAAGTATAGCATTTTAAATGATTTGGTTTAAAACTGGCAGCATCATCATAGTGTATGTCTGCCTATATTTTAATATAGATGCATAATTTATTTTTATAACAACTTTTATAATTTATTGGCAGTGTGTATGTTTTTGATAACTGATATGGTTTGGCTGTGTCCTCACCCAAATCTCATCTTGAATTTTAACTCCCACAATTCCCACATGTCATGGGAGGAACCCAGTGGAAGGTGATTGAATTATGGGAGTGGGTCTTTCCTGCACTGTTCTCATGATAGTGAATGAGTCTCATGAGACTGATGGTTTCAAAAAGGGGAGTTTCCCTGAACAGGCTCTCTTCTCTTGCCTGCCACCATGTGAGACATGCCTTTCACTTTCCACCATGATTGTGAGGTCTCCCCAGCCACATGAAACTGTAAGTCCAATAAACCTCTTTCTTTTGTAAATTGCTCAGTCTCAGGTATGTCTTTATCAGCAGTATAAAAACAGACTAATACAATAACTTTCATCATAAGTGGTTCTCAACTAAATCAATTGAACAATACATTAAATTGTGTATTGAATCTTGACGTTGTTTGGGGTATATTCATTCACTCACCAAGTATTTACTAAGCATCTATTATGTGTCAAACATGCTTTTAGGCCTTCAGTGTATAAAGATTAAAAAGAAAATTAAATATGACTTAAGGAGCTTACAGTCTAATGGAGAAGACCAACATACAATAAACAATTATACATGTTATTATATACATATTAATTATACATATACACATACAAAATTATATATGTATATATTCATATATACAATTAAGCTATAAGCTCCTTCATGTGTGTGTGTGTGTGTGTGTGTGTATATATATATATATATATATATTTGAATCTCTTTTTCCTCTTTAAGGACAGACATAGACCTCTGCAATAGTACTGTTGTATCATGAATGACCTTTAAAGACAGATACCAGAGTTTAGAGCAACTAGAGACTCAATCCCCTGATCTCAATCCTAGGCCTGCTACGGGGCTCATCAGGGCACGAATGTCAGCAGCCAGTCCAAACGAGTCTGCTGCCTGTGTTCCAGCCAGTAGCCAACTTCTCCACCAACTCCTTGCTACCTGGCCATTGGAAGAACATCTGTATCATGTGCTTGGGAGCTAAGACCATCTGCCAAAGAAACTAGCAAAAACTCTAGGGTTTGGGAAGATAGCTCTAAGTGTCCCACCCTCTGAAGGCCTTTCTCTTCCTATTCTAGAAGCCAGGCCCTAGACCATCAAAACTCTGCTGTCCCAGCAAATTGGGAATCTGGGAGATATGGACAGCCTACTTGAGGGCACCACAAGCTGAGATCCTCTGGCACTTGACACATATAATATTCTTTTTATTGAATGCTTTTTTAGTTCAAATAAATCATTTGTTTTCTTGCTCAAGTGCAAATGATTAGGATTATTACCCCCAGCAACTCCATAGCAAGGAAAAGTACATGCACTTGGCCTACTGGTTAGGAAAAATATGAAATGGAAGAGCAGTGAAAACAGAGATGGGTCAGGGAAAGAGACCTGTGGTCTGCAAACATCATGTGCAGAGGTCAGGAAGGAGGCCAGAGGTTTTTTTACCAGAAAAAAAAGCACACCTTATGGCAGCCATCCGCAGCCTTTTGGGCACCGGGGACTGGTTTTGTGGAAGACAATTTTTCCACAGACCAGGGTCAGAGGGTGGTTTCAGGATGATTCAAGCACATTACATTTATTATGCACTTTATTTCTATTATTATTACATTATGATACATAATGAAATAATTATACAGCTCACCGTAATGTAGAATCAGTGGGAGTCCTGAGCTTGTTTTCCTGCAACTAGACAGTCCCATCTGGGGGTGATGGGAGACAGTGACAGATCGTCAGGCACTAGATTCTCATACAGAGTGTGCAACCTAGATCCCTCACATCTGTAGTTCACAATAGGGTTCACACTCCTATGAGAATCTATTGCTGCCACTGATCTGACAGGAGGCAGAGCTCAGGAGGTAATGCAAGCAATGGGGAGCAGCTGTAAGTACATACAGATGAAGCCTCGCTCACTCATCCCCCCCACCACCCACCTCCTCCTATGTGGCACAGTTCCTAACAGGCCACGGACCAGTACCAGTTTATGACCCGGGAGTTAGGGCCTCCTGCCTTATGGCACAGAGAAGAGAGCAACTTGTGGAATTTGCCAAAACTCAGTTCTCACTCAGTATTATCAATATTGATCAATTTGCCTGTTTTTCAGTTTACCAAAAACTTAATTAACTTTCTCCAAATACTATAGCAAATCATTTCCCTTAAATGGTTGCAACAGCCTTTAAGGATTTTTTTTCACCATTTAGTTTACCTTTTTAGTTGAAGCAATTTGAAATTCACAAGAAATCTTCATTCCCCAAATCATAAATTTAAAGTACCTAAAATACAGAACTTTGGCTCACTGCTGATAATTGAGTAAATTGACTTTGTGAGGTTAAACTAACTGAAAACTAATGAAAAGCTGTGTTTATATGTGGTTTTATATCACTTTACCTTTTGGTTTCCTCTATTTCTCCCAATTGCTACCACATTGACATTTATTATTCTTTTGGCAACTTACATCTGAATCCTGTTTCAATGGGGATGTCTTCTAATGAGAGAGAACATGGCTCCTGCTAGGAAAGGTAAAAATTCCAGTTACTCCATTCTCTTGCTTTCCTTACAGCTAGGGCAGGGCTATGCGAATTGCTATAAAAGGTATCAAATGCTATAAACATTACTTTTTAAATCTCCTTAAATTTTATCAAAGAATTAGACACATTCTTCCCCTAGAGCTTTTCATGTCTGGCTCCCTCCTACGATTCAGTTACTAGAAATCTTTTCCTAAAACCCCTGATCCCAGCACCACCACACACCTCCCACAATGAAAAGCTGCCTCTCCTTATCCTGTGCCATATTAAATCAGTAGATTAATTAATTATAATTGTAAAATTGAATTTCAATTCCCTAAAATGCTGCTGTGAAAGCAATAAAATGAAAACCAGTCAACTAAAGCATTGCAGAAATCATCAGAAGTTATTTAAAAAATCCCATCTAATATAAATTGCCATAAAGTTTATAGTTTTTTTAACACATTTTTTTGGAAAATTAGTATTTGGGGTATCTTAAGGATAATTGATTCCTTGGTCAAATTCATTTCTAGTGAATCGATGTTTGGTGACTTTGACCTAGAAAGCAAGAGATGATGGATAGAGCCATGCGCAAAGACCAGCTCATGGCTTATCTCAGCCATGCTAAGGGGTCTGAACTCGATCCTGAGAACATCTGAGAATCCCTGAAGGAAACTGACTTGCTACGACTGTATTTTGGAAAGATCTGAATGTAGCTGAATAAACTTAACAGTAGTTATATGGGGGTGGGAGGGGAGGACAAGGGAGGAATTGGGGAGATGCCAAATTATCTTTTTGTTTGGCTTCTCTAGTTTCCCAACAGTGTTACTGCAATGATTTGGGAGAGGGAAAGGAGGAAGAAAAGTAAGGCAAAGAGCCTCAAGTTTTCCCTGGGCTTTTTGTACAAAGAAGTGATGCTGGCTAGATAGCAATTTGTACCTTTTTTTACTTCTTTGTACATATTCTTACTCTACCTTCACTAAGAAAAGCAAAAATCAATATTCCACTATCAGAAAGAGAACTTTTTTCATGATTCTTCTAATAATTATGGATATTACACTCAGCTACAGAGGTACTCTCTTCTATTAATAATAAACAACATTAATCCAGTAGCTGCTCAATAATTAGCTGTCTGTGGCTAAATTCTGGTTCACTGCTGTCCCAGTGTTTCTCAAAGTACATTTCTTTGACACACTAGCAGCAGTTTCACCTGGGATGCTCACTAAAAGTGTTAATTCCTGGATCCTGAGCCAGCTCCACTGAATCTGAATCTCTGGGGTTGGGGCTTAAAGGTTTGCATTTTAATAAACTATCTCTCTGATTCTTAAACAAGATAAAATTAGGGATCTTCTACCCAGACTATCTCTGGGCAGTGGTTCCCTAACCAATAGCAAGCTGGAATCACCTGTATTGAAAACACAATCCTGGATGTCTCCTAAAGATTTTATTTCATAGGTCTGGCCTGGGGCTCTGGATGGCTGAGAATCCTCTGAAAATCAGTGGATTTACCTGGTACACTTGATGGCACTCATACAGGTGGTCCAAAAGAAATGTGAGCACTTCCCACAGAGGCTCTCTTCACTTTGCCACACTGATTATCTAATCTTTTAATTATTCACCACTAAAAGGAGGTTTGATATGAATCCACAAAACATCTGCCTGCATGTCAACTGAGTATTTCTATGTATGTAAAAAACATTAGTGGTAATGACAGAGAAACTGAAATAAACTCCAATAACTAGAATTCACAAAGATCCAGGTGTGGATTCTCCTTGTTCACAGATAGCCTGACATACATTGTAAAATTCTTGGAGGCTTCAACCTAAGTGTAGTCTTTACTTGACCAAAAAATTTTTTTCTCTTTTTCAAAAATGATAACAGAAGTGAGTTACAACGAATATAGGCCTAAAATATCATTTTTCCAGTCTGTCAAGGTGATGATTAACCTAATGGCATTTCAGAGGTAGAAGTAGTCATCTTCATAGCATTAAAATGGAATTTCAGGCAAATTATTATTTGCTGGCATGAAAAATATATAAAATTGACTTGCGCAAGATGGCTAAATAGGAACAGCTCCAGTCTGCAGCTCCCAGCCTGATCGATGCAGAAGACGGGTGATTTCTGCATTTCCAAATGAGGTACCTGGTTCATCTCATTGGGACTGGTTGGACAGTGGGTGCAGCCCATGGAGGGTGAGCTGAAGCAGGGTGGGGGCATCGCCTCACCCTGGAAGCACAAGGGGTGGGGGGAATTCCATTTCCTAGCCAAGGGAAGACATGACAGACTACCTGGAAAAATGGGACACTACTGCCCAAATACTGCACTTTTCCCAAGGTCTTAGCAACCAGCAAACAAGCAGATACTCTCCCGTGCCTGGCTCAGCAGGTCCGAAGCCAACAGAGCCTTGCTCACTGCTAGTGCAGCAGTCTGAGATCGAACTTCGAGGCACACCCTGGCTGGGGGAGGGGCGTCCGCCATTGCTGAGGTTTGAGTAGGTAAACAAAGTGGCTGGGAAGCTCGAACTGGGCAGAACCCACAGCAGCTCAACAAGGCCTACTGCCTCTAGAATCCACCTCTGTGGTCAGGGCATAGCTGAACAAAAGGCAGCAGACAACTTCTGCAGACTTAAAAGTCCCTGTCTGACAGCTCGGAAGAGAGCAGTGGTTCTCCCAGCATGGCATTTGAGCTCTGAGAATGGACAGACTGCCTCCTCAAGTGGGTCCCTGACCCCTGTGTAGCCTAACTGGGAGACACCTCCCAGTAGGGGCCAACAGATACCTCATATAGGTGGGTGCCCCTCTGGGACAAAGCTTTCAGAGGAAGGATCAGGCAGCAATATTTGCTGTTCTGCAATATTTGCTATTGTGCAGCCTCCGCTGTTGATACCCAGGAAAACAGGGTCTGGAGTGGACCTCCAGCAAACTCCAACAGACCTGCAGCTGAGGGACCTGACTGTTAGAAGGAAAACTAATAAACACAAAGGAATAGCATCAACATCAACAAAAAGTTCATCTACATCAAAACCCCATCTGTAGGTCACCAACATCAAAGACCAAAGGTAGACAAAACCACAAAGATGGGGAGAAACAAGAGCAGAAAAGCTGAAAATTCTAAAACTCAGAGCACCTCTTCTCCTCCAATGGATTGCAGCTCCTCGCCAGCAATGGAACAAAGCTGGATGGAGAAGGACTTTGATGAGTTGACAGAAGTGGGCTTCAGAAGGTCAGTAATAATAAACTTCTCCAAGCTAAAGGAGGATGTTTGAACCCATTGCAAGGAAGTTAAAACCTTGAAAAAAGCTTAGATTAATGGCTAACTAGAATAAACAGTATAGAGAAGACCTTAAATGACCTGATGGAGCTGAAAACTGTGGCTCGAGAACTTCGTGTTGCATGCACAAGCTTCAATAGCTGATTCGATCAAGGGGAAGAAAGGGTATCAGGGATTAAAGATCAAATTAATGAAATAAAGTGAGAAGACAAGGTTAGAGAAAAAAGAGTAAAAAGAAACATACAAAGCCTCCAAGAAATCTGGGACTATGTGAAAAGACCAAATCTACATTTGAGTGGTGTACCTGAAAGTGACGGGGAGAATGGAACCAAGTTGGAAAACACTCTTCAGGATATTATCCAGGAGAACTTCCCCAACCTAGCAAGACAGGCCAACATTCAAATTCAGGAAATACAGAGAACACCACAAAGATACTCCTTGAGAAGACCAACCCCAAGACACATAATTATCAGATTCACTAAGGTTGAAACGAAGGAAAAAATGCTAAGGGCAGCCAGAGAGAAAGGTCAGGTTAACCACAAAGGGAAGCCCATCAGACTAACAGCAGATCTCTCGGCAGAAACCCTACAAGCTAGAAGAGACTGGGGGCCAATATTCAACATTCTTAAAGGAAAGAATTTTCAACCCAGAATTTCATATCCAGCCAAACTAAGCTTCATAAGTGAAGGAGAAATAAAATCCTTTACAGACAAGCAAATGCTGAGAGATTTTGTCACCACCAGGCCTGCCCTACAAGAGCTCCTGAAGGAAGCGCTAAACATGGAAAGGAACAACTGGTACCAGCCACTGCAAAAACATGCCAAGTTGTAAAGACCATCAACACTATGAAGAAACTGCATCAATTAATGGGCAAAATAACCAGCAAACATCATAATGACAGGATCAAATTCATACCTAACAATATTAACCTTAAATGTAAATGGACTAAATCCTCCAATTAAAAGACACAGACTGGCAAATTGGATAAAGAGTCAAGACCCATCAGTGTGCTGTATTCAGGAGACCCATCTCATGTGCAAAGATGCACGTAGGCTCAAAATAAAGGGATGGAGGAAGATCTACCAAGCAAATGGAAAGCAAAAAAAGGAGGGTTTGCAATCCTAGTCTCTGATAAAACAGACTTTAAACCAACAAAGATCAAAAGAGACAAAGAAGGCCATTACATAATGGTAAAGGGATCAATTCAACAAGAAGAGCTAACTATCCTAAATATATATGCACCCAATACAGGAGCACCCAGATTCATAAAGCAAGTCCTTAGAGACCTACAAAGAGACTTAAACTCCCACACAATAATAATGGGAGATTTCAACACCCCACTGTCAACATTAGACAGATCAATGAGACAGAAAGTTAACAAGGCTATGGAGGACTTGAACTCAGCTCTGCACCAAGCAGACCTAATAGACATCTACAGAACTCTCCACTCCAAATCAACAGAATATACATTCTTCTCAGCACCACACCACACTTATTCTAAAATTGACCACATAATTGGAAGTAAAGCACTCCTTAAAATGTAAAAGAACAGAAATTATAATAAACTGTCTCTCAGACCACAGTGCAATCAAATTAGAACTCAGGATTAAGAAACTCACTCAAAACCGCACAACTACATCGAAACTGAACAACCTGCTCCTGAATGACTGCTGGGTAAATAATGAAATGAAGGCAGAAATAAAGATCTTCTTTGAAACCAATGAAAACAAAAACACAATGTGCCAGAATCTCTGGGACACATTTAAAGCAGTATGTAGACGGAAATTTATAGCACGAAATGCCCACAAGGGAAAGCAGGAAAGATCTAAAATCAACACCCTAACATCACAACTAAAAGAACTAGAGAAGCAAGAGCAAACAAATTCAAAAGCTAGCAAAAGGCAAGAAATAACTAAGATCAGAGCAGAACTGAAAGAGATAGAGACAAAAAAAAAAAACCCTTCAAAAAATCAATGAATCCAGGAGCTGGTTTTTTGAAAACAGCAACAAAATTGATAGACTGCTAGCAAGACTAATAAAGAAGAAAATAGTGAAGAATCAAATAGATGCAATAAAAAATGATAAAGGGGATAACAGCACCGATCCCACAGAAATACAAACTACCATCAGAGAATACTATAAACACCTCTATGCAAATAAACTAGAAAGTATAGAAGAAATGGGTAAATTCCTCAACACATACACCCTCCCAAGACTAAGCCAGTAAGAAGTTGAATCTCTTAATAGACCAATAACAGGCTCTGAAATTGAGGCAATAATTAATAGCCTACCAACCAAAAAAAGTCCAGGACCAGACAGATTCACAGCTGAATTCTACCAGAGGTACAAAGAGGAGCTGGTACTATTCCTTCTGAAACTATTCCAATCAATAGAAAAAGAGGGAATCCTCCCTAACTCATTTTATGAGGCCAGCATCATCCTGATACCAAAGCCTGACAGAGACACAATAAAAAAAGAGAATTTTAGACCAATATCCCTGATGAACATCAATGCAAAAATCCTCAATAAAATACTGGCAAACCGAATCCAGCAACACATCAAAAAGCTTATCCACCACGATCAAGTTGGCTTCATCCCTGGGATGCAAGGCTGGTTCAACATATGCAGATCAATACATGTAATCCATCACATAAACAGAACCAATGACAAAAAACACATGATTATCTCAATAGATGCAGAAAAGGCCTTTGACAAAATTCAACAGCCCTTCATGTTAAAAATTCTCAGTAAACTAGGTATTGATGGAGTGTATCTCAAAATAATAAGAGCTATTTATGACAAACCCACAGCCAATATCATGCTGAATGGGCAAAAACTGGAACCATTCCCTTTGAAAACCAGCACAAGATGGCCAGGCGCAGTGGCTCACGCCTGTAATCCCAGCACTTTGGGAGGCCAATGCGGGTGGATCACGAGGTCAGGAGATCGAGACCATCCTGGCTAACAGGGTGAAACCCTGTCTCTACTAAAAAAATACAAAAAAAATTAGCCAGGCGTGGTAGCAGGCACCTGTAGTCCCAGCTACTTGGGAGGCTGAGGCAGGAGAATGGCATGAACCTGGCAGGCAGAGTTTGCAGTGAGCCGAGATCACACCACTGCACTCTGGCCTGGGCGACATAGCAAGACTCTGTCTCAAAAAAAAAAAAAAAAAGAAAAAGAAAAGAAAAGAAAACCAGCACAAGACAAGGATGCCCTCTCTCACCACTCCTATTCAACACAGTATTGGGAGTTCTGGCCAGGGCAATCAGGCAAGAGAAAGAAATAAAGGGTATTCAATCAGGAAAAAATTAGAAAAAGAAGTCAAATTGTCCCTGTTTGCAGATGACATAATTGTATATTTAGAAAACCCCATCGTCTCAGCCCAAAATCTCCTTAAGCTGATAAACGACTTCAGCAAAGTCTCAGGATACAAAATCAATGTGCAAAAATCGCAGGCATTCCTATACACCAATAACAGACAAACAGAGAGCCAAATCAGGAGTGAACTCCCATCCACAATTGCTACAATGGGAATAAAATACCTAGGAATCCAACTTACAAGGGATGTGAAGGACCTCTTCAAGGAGAACTACAAACCACTGCTCAACGAAATAAAACAGGATACAAACAAATGGAAGAATATTTCATGCTCATGGATAGGAAGTATCAGTATCATGAAAATGGCCATACTGCCCAAAGTAATTTATAGATTCAATGCCATTTCCATCAAGCTACCAATGACTTTCTTCACAGAATTGGAAAAAACTACTTTAAAGTTCATATGGAACCAAAAAAGAGCCCGCATTGTCAAGATAATCCTAAGCCAAAAGAACAAAGCTGGAGGCATCACGCTACCTGACTTCAAACTATACTACAAGGCTACGGTAACCAAAACAGCATGGTACTGATACCAAAACAGAGATATAGACCAATGGAATACAGCAGAGCCCTCAGAAATAATACCACACATCTACAACCAACTGATCTTTGACAAACCTGATGAAAACAAGAAATGGGGAAAGGACTCCCTATTTAATAAATGGTGCTGGGAAAACTGGCTAGCCATATGTAGAAAGCTGAAACTGGATCCCTTCCTTACACCTTATACAAAAATTAATTCAAGATGGATTAAAGACTTAAATGTTAGACCTAAAACCATAAAAACCCTAGAAGAAAACCTAGGCAATACCATTCAGGACATAGGCATGGGCAAGGACTTCATGACTAAAACACCAAAAGCAATGGCAACAAAAGCCAAAATTGACAAATGGGATCTAATTCAACTAAAGAGCTTCTGCACAGCAAAAGAAACTACTATCAGAGTGAACAGGCAAGCTACAGAATGGGAGAAAATTTTTGCAATCTACTCATCTGACAAAGGGCTAATATCCAGAATCTACAAAGAAGTCAAACAAATTTACAAGAAAAAAACAAACAACCCCATCAAAAAGTGGGCAAGGGATATGAACAGACTTCTCAAAAGAAGACATTGATGCAGCCAACAGACACATGAAAAAATGGTCATCATCACTGGTCATCAGAGAAATGCAAATCAAAACCGCAATGAGATACCATCTCACGCCAGTTGGAATGGCAATCATTAAAAAGTCAGGAAACAACAGATGCTGGAGAGGATGTGGAGAAATAGGAATGCTTTTACATGGTTGGTGGGAGTGTAAACTAGTTCAACCATTGTGGAAGACAGTGTGGTGATTCCACAAGGATCTAGAACTAGAAATACCATTTGACCCAGCTATCCCATTGCTGGGTATATGCCCAAAGGATTATAAATCATGCTACTATAAAGACACATGCACACGTATGTTTATTGCAACAGTATTCACAATAGCAAAGACTTGAAACCAACCCAAATGTCCATCAATGATAGACTGGATTAAGAAAATGTGGCACATATACACCATGGAATACTATGCAGCCATAAAGTAGGATGAGTTCATGTCCTTTGCAGGGACGTGGATGAAGCTGCAAACCATCATTCTCAGCAAACTATCACAAGCACGGAAAACCAAACACTGCATGTTGTCACTCATAGGTGAGAATTGAACAATGAGATGACTTCGACACAGGGCGGGGAACATCACACGCTGGGGCCTGTCGGGGGGTCAGGGGGCTGGGGGAGGGATAGCCTTAGGAGAAATACCTAATGTAAATGATGAGTTGATGGGTGCAGCAAACCAACATGGCACATGTATACCTATGTATCAAGCCTGCATGTTGTGCACATATACCCTAGAACTTAAAGCATAATAAAAAGAAAGAAGAAAGAAAGAAAGAAAGAAAGAAAGAAAGAAAGAAAGAAAGAAAGAAAGTTTAAAAAAATAAAATAAAATAAAATTCTGAGTGGCAGATGAGAGCCAAGGCTTGAGAGGGGCCATAAACCATGGAGAGATTGCTATCAGTGAAAGATGATTAATTCTCATAGAGACTAATAAATAAAGATAACAATATGTTGTATTATGCTTAGCACGTCTGGTACTTCAAAACTCATAATCAAAGCACAAACTGAAATTTGAGTCAGCCATCCTCACTGGGGAAGTTACCTCAGAGGTGACTCTGAACTGCTTTTTAATGAAATCAGCACTGCATGGGATGTAATCGCTGGCCTTCAGCTCAGGACAATGCAGTAATTGCAGGTGGTGAAAGGGGGATTATCAGCTTTCAAGCGGCTAAAGAGTCAGGTGGCATCAACTTTGTAAAGTGGATCAATATTTGTACAATCGATTTTTCTCTCTTTCTTTGGTCTTCAAATGTTAAAGGGTCAGAGAAAAGCATAGATGTATTGCAAGTTAAGAACAAAAAAAAAAACAAGAACATACATCTGAGTCACTTTTCTTAAGTTGTTGTCATCATGAAGTAACCACATATTAGTTATTAAAATCGGAATTTGAGAATTGAATGGGCAAGCTAAAATCCACTTAATCCAACTTGCTTCCTTTCTGGATGTAGAAACTTATGATCAGCTGAAATGAACTTATCATTTTAATGAATGTAGTATTTATTTCTTAAATACAAGTTCTATTGGAGCTATCCCATTGATTATTTTTAGGATTTCTTAAATTGAGATTCCATCTTTATATAAAATTCAACTCAGTTTTTTTCCCTGAAATTATGCTGTGTGCTTTAAATTATAACTTGTTTTTTTAGAAAAGGAAAATGTTACATTATCAGGAAGAGGCATAGAAATGACTATTTGAAAAACTCCTAAGCCATATAAAACTCTCATGAGACATTAATTGATCAAATTGTTCTTAATCATGATCTATGTGCCTGACACTGGGTTCATTGCCAGACCTAAAGGAACTAATAGCCCATAAAGGAAAAAAGACACCTGAACAAATATTTAATAAAGTGTTTCAATAAATATATGGTAAATATTGTGGTAAATAAAGATGTGGTAAATATTGCAATATTGGTACATAAATGCTGTGAAAAGAATTGGAAGTAAAACATCTTGAAAAAATAGTAACCTGTGTAATCTGGAATATTCTGTGGCAACATTTCCAAGGAATAGTATTAATAAATCACTTTAATTGCCCTTATCCAAGTCAGGATGACAAAATAAATGCTTTATATGAAATGGTGAAAAGCAGAAAAAATTAAAATTGGGGGACTTTGTTATTTCATAGGCTGTAATTTCTAGATGCTATTACTACAAAAAATACTTCATGGTAGAAATAATTTATGGACAGCATAGTACTTCATGTGGAATTATGCTGGCTGATAGAGATACAGAATTACTGAGTTCTGTTCTTGACAATCTCACAGTCTTCAGAGAGAAAAGACAGGTAAATAAATAACCATAAATGCTACAATAACTAAAGTACAGAGAAATGTTTCTCTTGAATCTGTTTTGGCTACACAAGATAAATCTCTTTGAAGGATATCAATGAAAAGTACAATCATAATTAGGAGCAGAATCCAAGCCTTGTAAATAGGAAGCAAGGTAGAACACACATTCTGTTGCCTACTCTGAGTTGGCACAAATCTGGCAGGTGTGGATTTGCATCCAGGTAACCACCTCAGGTTCACACAGGTCAGCACCTGCAGCCACAAACACAGTGATGGTTGGCAGCATTTTTGAAACTTTACCTACTAAATTAGTCTCCTGTTTCCACCTTCCAAATACCACCGTATGTATGTTAGTCTGGCCTTATTTTCTATCCTCCTTAAAGAGAACTAGGAATTTCAAACCTTCCAAAGGGCTGTGAAACCCAAATAAAGTGAATTTCCTGCTCCAGTGGTTCTCCAACTCTGACCATCAGTTTTTTTAAATGCAAATTCCTAGGACAATCCCGTATCTATCAAATTAAATCCACTGGGAGTAGAGCCGGGGGAACTGGTGGGTTTTTTTCAGGTACCCCAAAGGAATTCTGATATAGGTAGTTTATAAGCCTCACTTTGAGGAACACCACCTTAGGTTATACAAATATGTACATGCTAGTCAGATACCATCAGGTATTTTGATCCAAGAGTAAGGTGATAAAATGTCTCAGCCATATTTTTTAAGTGATTAAAGTTATGATAGTTTTCAGTTATATTCTGCAATTAACATGGCCTTGTATGCTTGTTATACACATTCACGAATGGGGAATTACATACAATAAACACTCTCCCCTTCCTCCTCCTCCCACTAGGCCACTTTCCACCCCAGAGGCTGAGCACTTGGTCACTGCATACAGAGCCTTCCAGGCCTGTTTCTATACAAGCACATATCTATAACTATGATACAATTAAGATTTACTGTGTTTTAATTTTACAGAAATCAAGCTTTTTTATTTTTCACTTAAAAATTTATACAGATTTTTGAAGTTAGAATTTATGAATACATTTCATTCTTTTTATTTATTCTATTATATTCTAGTATAAATATACCGTAAGTTGCTTAATTATTCTCAACAGATGTACATTTAGGTTATCTCTTTCCTTTGCTATTACAGAAAGCATTTCAGTGAAACATCTTTATGTATGCCTCTTTGTGCAAATGTGCAAGAATTTCTTAGGGATAGCCACATAGGTGTAGAATTTCTGAATCCAAAAGTATATACATTGTAAGTATCAATTGCCTTCAGACACTACCCTTTTACCACCACATAATAAAACCTAAATAAGCCTGGTATAATGTCTTGAGCCTGTAGTCCCAGCTACTTAGGAGGCTGAAGTGGGAGGATCCCTTGAGCTGAGGAGTTCAAGCCTAGTCTGGGCAACATAGCAAGACCCTGTCTCAAAAAAAAAAAAAAAAAGCAAAAAACAGACCTCTCTTTTAGCTTTATTTGGACCTTTGTAAAAAACAAACTAACTAAATAAACTTTTTTAAGCCAACTTGATGGGTGGAAATTATATCTTATGCGTTTAATCTGTATTTCCCTGATCATTACTCAATTGAGATTTTTTTTGAGAAGTATATGGGTCATCTGTGTTATTTCTGTGAATTGCCTACTCATATCTTTTGCCCACTTTTCCATTCGTCTGTTTATATTTATCTTGTTGGTTTATGGGCATTTTAAATAGTCTTGGTGGTAATAATATCTATGAAATAATGCTGAGAAAAGTAGAAAGAAAACCAACAATCACATAATAATTATAGAATTGGGGCTATAAATATGAAATTAATATTATAAGCAATATTTCAGTGTGTCTATTATATGTGTTTTTATTTTATTTATGATGCCTACTGTCATACAGAGCTGTTTTCTATTTTATGTAGTCTAACCTGTCCATCATCATGTCTATAGAGTCTAGATGTACTTACTGTCTCTGTTGCTTTCTGGATGTGCATGGGGGTGGCTGCTGGGGCGAAGAAGAGAGGCAGGGTAAAAATTGATCAGGGCTTTTTAGCTTCAGTGACTTCACAGTGAGTGGTACCATTAACTGACATAGGAGATGGAGGGAAAAAAGCAGACTTGAGAAGGAAAACCATTGTTGAGTTCTGTGTGGGGTACGCTGGGTTTCAGATTCCAGATGAAAATCTTGATTGCGATGCCCAGTACAAAGTTGAAAATGTACCCATCACTCACCAAAAAAGCAATTTTTTTTTTTTGAGACAGAGTTTCGCTCTTGTCACCCAGGCTGGAGGGCAATGCACGATCTCGGCTCAGGGCAACCTCCGCCTTCCAGGTTCAAGTGATTCTCCTGCCTCAGCCTCCCGAGTAGCTGGGATTACAGGCATGCGCCACCACACCCAGCTAATTTTTGTATTTTTGGTAGAGATGGGGTTTCACCACACTGGCCAGGCTGGTCTTGAACTCCTGACCTCAGGTGATCCACCCGCCTCCAAAGAAGCAATCTTTTTATAGATGTCTGTGGCCCCTGACTGGTGCTCACCTTCTAGTTTTGCTGTGTGAGCCTACTTTCTTTTGTTTACATGAGACTGGAGTCCAGCCATCAGCTCAAAGCACATGATGTCAAGTTTCTAGAACCAGATTGACTAGAGCCTGCTAATGAGCTCACTCTCATGGTCTGTGTTCTTGCCTGGAAATACAATATTGCATACATTTTTAAAATAAGCCCACTGGGGCAAAAATTATTCCTAAGCTCCTTGCAGAGGTTACTACCTGTTTGTTCTAATTTTCACGGTTTTTAAACAACTAGATAAACAGAAAATATTGGTGTTTCAGCAGCTACCTACTCTTTCTGCTTCAAGGCTTTTTACATTTTATGAATATGGACAGTTTAGACCTAGGTATAGGCTGTAATTATCAATATATTATTGACTTACCAGCTTGATATTTGCAAACTTTCCTATAGCCCTCAAATTTTACAGAGACACTGAAGCTTAGAGAGATTGAATGCCTTGCTCAACATCATGCTGCTAGTAAGTGAAAGTGCCCAGATTTAAACAAAATATGTTCCTTCATTTCTGGGAATAATGGTTAAGCCCTGAGCTCAAGAGAGAGGTCTAGGCTAGAAATATGGACCTGCGATACATTTCCTTGAAGATCTGGAGCTGAATACAGGTTTGGCTTCATGGATGTACAACTTGTGTAGTTATAAAGGAATGCTGTGTCCTCACCAAAACTCATGTGAAAATTTGATTCTCAAAGTAGTGATGTTGGGCAAGGGAGCCTAGTGGGAGATGTTTCAGTTATGGGGGCAGATCCCTCATGAATGGCTTGGTGCCATTCTTACAGTAGTGAGTTATCATCCTAGCGTGACTGGATTTGTTCTCCAGGAAGATCAGTTTCCATGTCAGTGAGTTGTTATAAAGCCAGCATGCCCCTCAGATTTTGTTTGTTCACAATGTATCTGCTTCCTTTTCAACCTTCTCTGCCATGTTATGATGCAGCACAAAAGCCCTCTCCAGAAGCCAGGGCCATACCCCTTGAACTTCCCAACCTGCAGAACTATGAGCTAAATAAACCTCTTTTCTTTATAAGTTTTATAAGTTATCCAGTTTCAAGTGTTCTATTATAGCAACACAAAACAAACAAATGAGGCCATGTCTGGCTTAATGTTCTGCTATTGCCATCTTGAAATTTTTAATAATTGTTAAGCAAATGACCCTGCATTCTTATTTTACACTAGGCCTCACAAATTATGTAGCCAGTCCTGGCTGAATGAGATTGTTTAAGGGATGTGAATAAATTAAGACTCACAGCAAGACAAGGGACAGAATCCTAGCAGACCCAACTTGGAAGTATTGGCAGAAGTAGAATTGTCCACGAAGAGAATTTTGAAATAATGATGCAAAAAGTAGAAAGAAAACCAACAGGCAGGGGTGTGGTAGGAAGTGAGGGAGGAGCTCAATAAAGGAAGAGAGGATCCACAGTGTCACCTGTTATAAGGGGTCCCCAGGCCACTAAAAACTAAAATGAGGCATTTGTCTTTTGAGGGGTCAGAAAGTGAGAAACGGTGCTGGCAGAGGCCAGATGCAGCTCAAGTGTGACAAGGAGGTCATGAAGTGAAGCTGGTGTGAATAGACTATCCAAGGAAGAATTTTGGGAAGCAGTTTGGAGGCTATGCAGACACAAGGGACAGCAATTTTTTAATGGGAGAAATCAGAAAATGTCTATGCCTGGGGGAAGAAGCAAGAAAGGGGAAATAAGTAGAAATAAAAGAACGGATGATTCAAGAGAAATTAGCATTATCATGAGGTCTGAGGTCATATGTAAAAGAATGAGGTAGATGATGGGCATGCAGTTAGACAGAAGAACAGAGAGAAAAGAGAATGAGTACAGATAAACAAGGGAAGGTGGAAGGTAAGGAAACTTAAGGAGTTTATGCTGGGTAACCTCTGTTTTTTTCTAATTACATAGGAACAAGACTTCAAATGTGAAGATAGGAGGAGCAAAGATAAAAGTCATTTCTAATTGGAAAGAGAGCCAACCATGCATGAGTAATGGAAAAGTCAGGCTGTGCGGTTACTGACTCCCTGAAATTTTTGTCAGACCACATGCAACATTTTCTTGCATGGCTATGAATCAAACAGGAGAGAGTCATCTTCACATTTCTGTCCAGTTGGTTTTAGTTGTTCAGAATTATTTACAAAGTGACATGTTTCTTGAATGCTTTCTTATATTCTAGATCTGAGAATTATCAGAGGTAAGGCAGAAAGAATTAGCTTAGCTCTGCTTTTGGCAGCATGAGGATTCCAGGAAGTATTGATATTCAAATTCTCTAATTATACTAATTTTTGAATCTGTGTCACTTCTTTTTCCTTTTCAAAAAAATTTTTTGTAGAGATGGGGTCTCACTATGTAGCCCAGGCTGATCTTGAACTCCTGGCCTCAAGTAATCCTCCTGCCTCAGCCTCCCTAAGTGGTGGGATTACAGGTATGAGCCACCTCACCCAGCCTGAGTCTGTGGCATTTCTGTGCAAGCCTACTAGGCTCCAGACATTTTTATATACATCATCTCATTTAATCCTTGTAAGATTCCTATGTCATTATCTTAATCATGCAGAGAAAGAAATTGAAACTCCAAGAACTGATAATTAAGTTCAAGGTCACAGGTAGTACCAATCAGGATTCAACCAGACCATAACAACACTGTGGCCACTGCCCATTCCCCAACCATATGCATTAAAATCACCTTATGAGTTATAGTAATTTTGCACAGATGGTCCCACATGAAGTTTATAAACAACCCTGAGAGGTAGATATTATTATTTTCAGTTTACAGATAAGAAAACTGAGATTCAATGTGACTTGCCCCAAATCACTCAGTGGGTGAATTCAGCCTTTTTAGCATAAAAACCCATGCTATTTCCAGAAAATACATTTAGGGCAGCATTCCTCCCAGTGAACCATATCAGGTTTGCATATAGCCACTGAATTTATCTTGAGATGATACTGTCTGAGAATGCACAGCCTGCAGGTGTGGTTACCTAAAGAGAGAAAGTGTATAAGTTGATGGGAACTGAGACTTTCCCCAAAGGGTGTAGAGTGTAGAATTAAAAAGGAACCAGGGTCACATTGGGCAAATGTGACCGTTGTTCTCTGTGAAGAGTTACCCAAAGATTGGAATATGTCCTTGGGGTTGCCGAGGTGGCAGCTGTGTATCCAGGATGGAGAAGGGGAGAGTAAGACAAAGTTCCCCTTTTGCTTAAAAGGACCAGGTGGAGGTCCATGAAAGGACAAGCCTGTAACCCAGAAACTGCAGGGAATCCAAAGAGCCAGTGGTGGCAGGGGAGAAAGCCCACGATCCTCTAAGGGGGCCCCTGCCTTGTTTGAGGCTGAAAACTGAGTGATCCTGAGAAGTCAAAGATAGAGGAAGAACCCTCTTGCTGGAGAGAAGCAAAACAGGGAGGTCCTGGCCAAATTTTTTTAAGTTAATTTTAAGCCTATGCTAAACTATAACTTACCAAATCTCTATATTGCTTGGATGCCCTGAAGTGTTGTGCATCATAGTTTGAGGCAATGTGTTCTATTTCATTTACATGGTTTGGGGAACAGTTCTGCAGTAGAATTAAATGGGGAAAGTCAGAAGCTCCTCAAAGGGCCATCTTTCAAGGAGAATTTCTTCTTAGTTTGAATGAGTGGTGATAGCAGAAAGTTACCAGAATAATCAGCAGCAGTACGCAGGAAAGCACCTTCTACACACAGGCTGCCTTCCTGGCACCTTTTGTCCCTCATAGTGATCTATTCACACTCCCAGTGGTTACTGTGCGACCCCAGGATCTCTTCCCACAGTTTCAGTCCAGAGTTCATCTGGCCTCTCCCACCAATACACATTGACCTCCTGTTCCTCCTAGGTCTGGCTCTGCAAGCTTACTAAATCAATGTCACAAGTTTCTCACCAGGGTTAGTAACTTATAAGTGAGAAGTTGCTCAGATTATCATTACTAGGACAATAATTATGACCTTCAGTCTTATTGGAGCAAGAGAAAATGTCTAGGTTTATATATGTAATTCTATGTATGAATATGTGTGCGTACACATATATTTACACACACACACACAGTGCCATCAGCAGTTTATCTGAAATTGATTTTCATTATGAAAGGCAAAATGAAAATTGGAAGCTTCATCAAAATAAGACGACATGAGTATTGCATGTTGCCAAAACCATTAAAATGAATGAGATAGTTATGCTCCTAGCACGGGGCCACCAGCTTAGGGTGGAGTGTTATCACAGCCCTGCTGGTTAATCAGCAGTTCTCCAAGGACAGCTGCTATTTGGTTGGTTAATGTATTTCTGTTTGGCATGTGCCCTCATGTTGTTGAATATCTGAAGTGTGTAGTTTAGCAAAGCAGACACAGAAGGATTATATTCCTATGACTTGACTGCAGACATAGCTGACTAGACATAATTTTTCTTTACAAACTTTATCTTGTACTATTAGCAATATTTAACCCAGCATATTTTCCATTCATGTAATTTACCAAAAAAAAAAAAATAGGCATTTAAAATGTTCAGAGTAACACACCACTTTGGAAAAGAGTTTGTCAGCTCCTTAAAAAATTAAATGCAAATCTACCATACTAATTCAGCCATTCCTCTCCTACGTGTTTATCCAAGAAAAATGAAAGCAAATGTCCATACAAAGATTTATAGAACAAGAATGTTCACAGCAGCTTTATTTATGATAGCAAACATCTAAAAGCAACACAAATATCCATCAGCAGGTGAATAGATAAGCCAATTGTGGTACATGCATGCAATGAAATACTACTTGGCAATAAAAATGAATGAGCTGTTGATACAATGAAATCACACGAATGAATCTCAAAATAATTATGCTGAGTGAAGGAAGTCAGACAAAAAAAGAATACATATTGTCTGACTCCATTTACATAAAATTATAGAAAGTGTGAACTGATCTATAGTGATGGAAAGCATATCAGTGGTTGAGTACACAAAGAAACAAGTTCATTAACTTGATCGTGGTGATGGATTTATAGGTATATGCATATGTAAAAACTTATCAAATTATACAATGTTAAAGATGTGTTATTTATTGTATTTCAATTATATCACAATGGATTTTTTAAAAGTAGAGACTGTATGTAGGAATGTGGACAAAGTAAACAAGATTGGCAAGGATATCCTTGCTCTATAGGAGCTGTTTGGTTAAGAAGGCACTACATGACCAACTCAATAATAGAAGGTGAGAGAAAATCATGTATATGCTTATTTTGCATTAGTTACATATTTCTTTTCACCATCTCTACGTCTTCTTCTCACCTCCTGCCCCCAATCCTCTCATTGATTAGTAAGTGCTATTATTGAAGCAGAGATATTTTGGTTCATTGTTAGCAATTTCAGCTTCTGTTAATATCTTTCTTCCTCTTGACTTAGGGTGGAAATTTAGCATTACAACTGTAAAAAAAAATATTAGGAGTAGAAGTTGAAACTGAGGTTGAGAGAGAACAGTTAATAGAGCAGTTTAGTAGTAGGTAGAAATTAGAATTTGGGAAGTTTGCCTTGGAAAGAAGGGCGGATACTTTTGTTTAGGGAAATGGGACCAAAGGAATAGAGGAGGAGATGGAGGGATATTGAAGGAGTTGGAACACCGCTTAGCAAATGGTCTTTTTTCTGACATGTTAATGGAATAGTCTTAAGATAAAGATAAGGAATATAAAAAAGGGGCTGGGATTTGAGGCAAAAGAAGAATTTGGGAATAGTCCCATGGGAAATCACTAGGGAGTCAACAAGAAGTGGGGGGAAAAAAAGAAAAACAAAAGCTTTGCTGAATAGCACCGAAGCAGCACTTGAACTCAACTAGCATGAATTTCTGTGGAGTGCCCTTAGCATGGTTTAGAAAATTTTCAACAATATTAGTGGTATTCAGTTAGAGGCACAATCAGCCTTCATTGTCAGAAGCAGAAAAAAGTGTTTGCACCTTTAAAAAAATTAAAGTTCATTCTCAGCCAGATAAACTATTATATTAAGAAAAATTGAGGGGCTGGGCAAGATGGCTCACACCTGTAATCCCAGCACTTTGGGAGGCTGAGGTGGGTGGATCATGAGGTCGGGAGATCGAGACCATCTTGGCTAACACAGTGAAACCCTATCTCCACTAAAAATACAAAAAATTAGCCGGGCGTGGTGGTGGGCACCTGTAGTCCCAGCTACTCGGGAGGCTGAGGCAGGAGAATGGCGTGAACCCAGGAGGCGGAGCTTGCAGTGAGCCGAGATCGCGCCACTGCACTCCAGCCTGGGCGACAGAGCGAGACTCTCTCAAAAAAAAAAAAAAAAAAGAAACTTTGAGTTATGCTTTTCAAAATGTTTGCTCACAGATTTTCAACTACTTTCAGTAACGTATATTGTTTCCCAAACATGCACTTTATTGTATGTAGCAACTGAGTATTTTTACAACTAACTATAAATAAAGCTATTGTAACCAGCTTATTTACTTCCTGGTTTCAATGTGGTAGGCACTACTTTAGGCATTTTAAATATATTAACTCATTTAATGCTCATAACAATGCAATTACATGCTTCACAAAGGAGAAAACTGAAGCACACAGAGGTTAGACTTCTGATAAATGACAAAGCTAGGATTCAAGAATCTGGCTCCAGGGCCCAGTTTCTAACCTATATAATATAGTGCCTTGCATACAATTATGATATTACATTATGTTAGTCATGTATGTCACAATTATACCAAATAAGCCAGAGTCATGGAATACAATCAGAAAGCAACTTTCTTTTCATCCCCCACTGTACTTTTACATTTATTCAGTATGTCTAGTCCATCCCTATTTCTGAATGAAATTTAGGGCAATCTCATGACTTTTAGAGTTACTCTTAATAATTTAAGATCGTGCAATCAGTAATATACACATCCAGTCCAGTGCAATAGCTAGCATTTAAATTTCATCAAAAGCTGATTCTTTTTTTCCAGTGCAGGCCTAATCACCCTAGCAACCTATGAAAATGGTAGTAGGAAGGAAGTTTGACTTTTTCTCTCTCTTTCCCACCTTGCACTTTTATACTTCCTGACCTGCCTTGTTTACTGTGCTTTCTGACGCCTACCTCCAAGGTCAAAGGGGGAAGAGGAGCTTAAGTGGCAGCAAACGTCTAACTAACAACACTGTGGTATTAGTGCCTTGCAGTTATGGGTTCACAGCCTACCATCTCCCAGAGGCACTTTGGTGGTCTGTTTGCAATTCTTTCCTTACCACCAGGGATTTCTTACTTGCAGTTCCCTTGAGTAAGGCAAGCCCAGCTGATCATTAGCTACTTCCTTGACTTTCTAGGTAACTGACAGTTTCCTTCTGTTGGGGTATGCACACACTTAGACAGTTCTCTTGAACAAAACTTAGGTGGTCCCGTACAGGCATTCTTTCCCATTGAACCATATGTGATCCATGAGAAACATTCAAGCATCATTTGTCCTGACCAACTCCCAATGGTCCAGGCCACTAACATAGCCATCTCTCCTTTGATAAGCCACCTCTTTTACATTTTCCATAAAGGATTCGGGAGCACAGTTCACCTAGAACTGTAAACTGTAGAGAATAGTTTATTCGGTTCTTTAAATCTCTCATATCTTGACTTGAGGTGAAGGAGAAAGTAGTTCCCAGGCAACCTCTTCCATTTAGGTTAAAGGACTTATAGCACACCCCTAGCTGTCTCCAAAAAATTCTCCTATAATCTTTGATCCCATCTCCTTTTGTTTATTTATGAGAGTGCATTAAGAGTTACAAACCTAAATTTCTAACAATCAAATTCAGCAAGTTTGCTGGATATAACAGCACTATACAAATTCAATAGTGTTCCTAGGTGGTTATCAGTAACCAAATACGTAATATTTATAAGCATAATAAAATATAATTTAGAAGCCATTCACAATAGCAACAAAAATTACAAGGCATCCAAAAATAAATTTACTCTATATAAGATAGTTATGGGAAGGCACAATATCATAAAGTCTGTTCCTCCAACATTTTCTATAAATGCAATAATATTCCAAAATTTTTAATAACTACAATGAAATGTTTCATGTCATTTAACAACTAATGAAAAATATATACAAAAGATTAAAGGGTGGGAGTTCTAAACAATTCTGAAGAAAAGAAAATGGTGGGAAGTCTTGATGTACAAGCATGCAAGTCTTTTTTATTTTCTTATTTTATTTTATTTTATTTTTTTTTTAGAGACAGAGTCTCACTCTGTCTCCCAAGCTGCAGCCTTGACTCCCTGGGCTTAAGCAATCGTCCCACCTCTGCCTCCTGCATAGCTAGAACTACAGGTGTGCACCACCATGCCTGGCTAAAAGACTTATTTTAAAGTTATGGAGAAGTAAAAGTGAAGTATTGGTTCAGGAATAGACAGATAAAGAACAGAACAGAGAATTTTTTAAAGTCCAAGCAAAAATGAGATATTGTTATAAAATGTGGGACTAAAACTTAGCTGGAAAAGGATGAGCCATTCAATAAACTAAAACAAGAGGACAAATGAAAATAGGTCTCAGTCAAAAAAAATTCAAACAAAAATTCCATAAAGACTAAAACAAGTGTAAAATTCAAACTTGAGGAACAAAATATCAACTATCCCATGATATTAGGAAAGGTAGAGATTTCTTATAAAAGCCACCAAAAGCACAAAACTAAGAAAAAGATGGAAAATTGTGACTACTTAAATGCAAAACATCTGGCAGTCAAAAGATACCATAACCAAGTTAAAGCAAGCTACAAAGTGAAGAAACATATTTACATATATACAACAAGCAAAGGCTTATATCCAGAATACACAAAAAGCTTCTACCGCATCATTAAGAAAAGAAATAGAAAAATACTGGCGGGGAGAGCAAGGTGGCTGTCTAGATAGAGCCAGGTGGAACAGCTCTCATGGAGGGATTGAAACAATTGGCATCCTCCTAACAGATCTTTAGAGGAAAGACACCAGGAGTAGACAGAGGGAAGACACAGAAGCTGGGCTGAAGGGGAAGAAAGCTGGGAACCCTGAATGGAACTACCATGCACTGGGACTCATTCCTGACCCACAATGGCTCTGGGGGAATAGATGGGTTGAACTGGGAAGGAGAAACCCGCTCTCACCATGGGCCTCTGGAACCCTAGTAGGAGACACCTTGACCACCATGGACACTTGAGTTGGCAGGGAGAGCTGCTTAGAGAAGTGGTAGGGGCAGCAAGTCAGCTGATGTGGAGCCCAGAGGGTTTGGTGCCGGAATGTCTATAGCAGAGCACAGCCAGGGATAGCCATCTGCCTAGGCTCAACTTGCTCCCATAGGAGACTTTAGCCCTTAGGGAACTGTCAGACCTGATCTCTGCAGGATGCTCTTGCCCATCAGAAGATGCTGGTCTGACCTGAGTACCTATTGGTCTGTTGGCCTCTCCCAGGGCCCCAGCCTGACCACACCTGCTTTAATGGCAGCCTTGGGTGTCCTGGGGACCTGCACCATAGCTTCTATGCTGGTGGACCATGCCTAACCAGCAAAGATCTCCAGAAGGGTGGCCCTATGGCCATGCACCAAACTGCCCTCTCCCTCCCCATACTGCAGCTTTTCCCAGGGCCTCGAAAACTCTCCACATCACTTTTCTGGCACCTGTCTGCACAGGCAGGTCTTGCTTTCCTTGCCCTGCCAGTGTGGGAGTGCACCTCACCCCTCTTCCCCTGCTGATCGCCTTTGCAAACAGAGCCTTGGCAGGCACAGAGCCATCCAGCCCCACCCCGACCAGTGTCCCACAGTTGCACTAATGCTGTGCAGAGAACAGCAGATCCTACCCTGCCCTGAGTGATCACTCCTGCTTGCAGGGCACAGAGAAGGCACCCAGACCTGTGTCCGCCAGTGCCCTCCTCCCGAGCAAACACCAACTCCAGTGAGACTGTGTTCAAAATTGCCAGCAGGGACTCCCCACACCCCCTACAGCTGCATTGCCTTTGCCTCTGTGGTGAACACCTGCAGGGAAGCAGGCACCCTGGGAACTGGTAGCACTCTGTTGCAGCTGCCATACCTCAGCCCCACAGTACAGTGGATTCCTAATCTCAAGGAGCCAGAGAACAAAGTTGGGGCCCAATACAAGCTCCCCAAAGTTAGAGCATGCAGTACGGGAGTTGAAAGCTGAGTGTTGGCTCCCTAAAATCCTCTAGAAACCAAGCCAGTCAGCTGAATCCACCTTAAATCAAAATCAAACCCTCAAGGTCATAGGATAAAAGAAAAAGAAACCCACCCAAAGGTCGGCAACCTCAAAGATTGAAGGTAGATAAGCCCACAAAGATGAGAAAGAATCACCACAAGAGCCCTGAAAACTCAAAAAGCCAGAGTACCTTCTTTCCTCCAAACAACCACATCCCTTCTAAAGCAAAGGTTCTGAACCAGGCTGAGATGGCTGAAATGACAGAAACAGAATTCATAATATGGATAGGAGTAAAGATCATTGAGCTACACGACTACATTGAAATCCAATCCAAGGAAACTAAAAATCATGCTAAAACAATGCAGGAGCTGACAGACAAAATATCTAGTATAGAAAAGAACATAACCAACATAATACAGCTGGAAAACACACTATAAGAATTTCATAATGCAATCACAAGTATTAAGAGCAGAATAGACCACGCAGAGGAAAGATTATCAGTGCCTGAAGACTGGCTTTCTGAAATAAGATAGTCAGATGAGAATAGAGAAAAAAGAATAAAAAGAAACAAAACCTCAGAGAAATAATAAATTATATAAAGAGACTGAATCTATGACTCATTGGTGTCCTTGAAAGAGATAGAGAAAATGGTACTAACTTGGAAAACATATTTCAGGATATCATTCATGAGAACTTCCCCAACCTAGCTAGAGAAGCCAAGATTCAAATTCAGGAAATGCAGAGTACCCTAGTAAGATACTTCACAAGATCATCCCCAAGACACATAATCGTCAGATTCTCCAAGGATGAAATAAGAGAAAAAATGTTAGAGGCAGCTAGAGAGAAATGTCAGGTCACCTACAGAGTGAAGCCCATCAGATGTAACAGCAGTTCTCTTAGTTGAAACCCTGCAAGCCAAAAGAGATTGGGGCCAATATTCAACATTCTTAAAGAAAAGCAATTCCAATCCAGAATTTCATATCTGGCCAAACTAAGCTTCATAAGCAAAGGGGAAATAAAATCCTTTACAGGCAAGCAAATGCTGAGGGGATTCATTCCCACCAGACCTGCCTTACAAGAGCTCCTGAAGGAAGCACTAAATATGGAAAGGAAAGACCATTATCAGCCACTACAAAAACAAAATGAAGTGCACAAACCAGTAACACTATAAAGCAACCATATAAATAAGTCTGAAAAATAACCAGCTAACATCAGGATGATAGAATCAAATCCACACGTATCAGTAACAACCTTGAAAGTAAATGGGTTAAATGCCCCAATTAAAAGATGCAGAGTGGCAAGCTGGATAAAGAATCAAGACCAATTGGTATACTGTCTTCAAGAGATCCATTGCACATACAATGACACACATAAGGTCAAAATAAGGGGATGGAGAAAAAGACACCAAGCAAATGAAAAAACAGAAAAAAGCAGGAGTTGCAATCCTAGCTTCAAACAAAACAGATTTTAAACCAACAAAAGACAAAGAAGGGCATTACATAATGGGAAAGGGTTCAATTCAACAAGAAGATTTAACTACCCTAAATGTATATGCACCCAACACAGGAGCACCCAGATACGTAAAGCAGGTTCTTAGAGACTTTCAAAAAGGTGTTAGACTCCTACACAATAATAGTGGGAGATTTTAACACCCCACCAGCAATATTAGACAGATCATCAAGTCAAATCAGGAATGTAATCTCATTCACAATTGCCACAAAAAGAATAAAATACCAGGAATACAGCTAATGAGGGAGGTGAAAAGGCTCTGCAAGGTGAACTACAAAACACTGCTCAAAGAAATCAGAGATGACCCAAACAATTGGAAAAACATTCCATGCTCATGGATAGGAAGAATCAATATTATTAAAATGACCATACTACCCAAAGCAATTTATAGATTCAATGCTATTCATAATGAACTACCATTGACATTCTTCACAGAACTAGAGAAAACAATTTTAAAATTCTTATGCAACCAAAAAAGAGCCTGAGTAGCCGAGGCATTCCTAAGCAAAAAGAACAAAGCTGAAGGCAACACACTACCTGATTTGGCTGTGTCCCCACCCAAATCTCATCTTGAATTGTAGCTCCCATAATCCCCATGTCATGGGAGAGACCTGGGGGTGGGGGGTAATTTAATCATGGGGATGGGTTTTTCCCATGTCGTTCTCATGATAGTGAATAAGTCTCGAGAGATCTGATGGTTTTATAAAGGGCAGTTCCCCTGCACATGCTCTCTGTTGCCTGCCACCATGTAAGACATGGCTTTCTCCTCCTTTGCCTTCTGCCACGATTGTGAGGCCTACCCAGCCATGTGGAACTGTGAGTCCATTAAACCTCTTTTTCTTTATAAATTACCCAGTCTCAGGTATTTCTTTATAGCAGCATAAAAATGGACTAATACAATACTATTTTAAAATTCTTATGGAACCAAAAAAGAGCCTGTGTAGCCAAGGTATTCCTAAGCAAAAAGAACAAAGCTGGAGGCATCACACTACCTGATTTCAAACTGTATTACAGGGTTACAGCAACCAAAACAGCATGGTACTGATACAAAAACAGACACATAGACCAATGAAACAGAATAGAGAACCCAGAAACAAGGCACACACCTACAACTATCTGATCTTTGACAAACCTGACAAAACCAATGGGAAAAGGATTCCCTATGGTGCTGGGAGAACTGGCTAGCCATATTCAGAAGACTAACACTGGACCCCTTTCTTCACCATATACAAAAATTAACTCAAGATGGATTAAAGACTTAAGTGTAAAACCCAAAATTATAAAAAACCCTGGATGACAACCTCAGGCAATACCATTCTGGACGTAAGAATAGGCAAAGATTTCATGACAAAGATGCCAAAAGCAATTGCAACAAAAGCAAAAATTGACAAATGGAATAGAATTAAAGAGCTTCTGCACAGCAAAGGAAACTATCCACAGAGTAAACAACCTATAGAATGGGAGAAAATTTTTGCAAACTATGCATCTGACAAATGTCTAATACCTAGAATCTATAAGGAATGTAAACAAATTTACAAGGAAAAAAACCATTAAAAAGTAGGCAAAGGACATGAGCAGACACTTTTCAAAAGAGGACTCCCATGCTTGTTGTAACTCTCTCACCTATTTCTCTCTCTGTCTCTGTCTCTCTCTGTCTCTCTCTCTCTCACACACATACACACACACACACAAACACACACACCACTCCCAAGAAGACTGTAGTATTTTCTAAAATTTCTGGCTCATAAGAGTCACTCAGAACGTGTACAAAAGCCAGACCTCTAGCTCCACTTCAGAATTGTGAAATCAGAATCTCCAGGGAAGGGGCCTTAGAACCTGTGTGTTGGTCGGGCATAGTGGCTCACGCCTGTAATCCCAGCACTTTGGGAGGCTGAGGCGAGCGGATCACCTAAGGTCAGGAGTTCGAGACCAGCCTAGCCAACATGGTGAAATCCCATATCTACGAAAAATGCAATAATTAGCCGGGTGTGGTGGTATGTGCCTGTAATCTCAGCTACATGGGAGACTGAGCCAGGACAATTGCTTGAACCCGGGAGGTGGAGCTTGCAGTAAGCTGAGATCGTGACACTGCACTCCAGCCTGGGCGACAGAACAAGACTCTGTCTCAAAAAAAAAAAAAAAAGAACCTGCATGTTGAACAGCTGAATCTTAAAAGCAGGCAAGTTTTGGGAACCAGAAAGGGAAGCCACATCTGAGCAGGTTTGCTAGCACCTGATTTGAGCTCATGAGACAATCTGAGCCAAAGAAGCTCATGCGTAAGCCCAGTGTTATAATATTGGTAGAATCATGTCCAAAGAAGCAAATAGACCAGAGGGAGAGTTTCACCTGTGTACCATGGCAGGGGAAGAGGAAAGACAATAATAATACCTATGAAAGGCATTAAAACTGTTCACAGCGGTGGAAGGCTGTGAAGACCACAAACCTTACCTCCCATTTATCAGTGCCCCCATTTTATTTTATGTTCATTGCTTCTGGGCTTCATAAAAGGCTCCACCTCTCCCTGGGCCTCAGACTACTCACTTGACCAAAACCACTGGAGGAGTGGGGCAAGAAGAGGCAAGAAGAGAGGAATAGCTGAGTGTGTCATCTGTGCCGAAGTCATAACCACTTTGTGTTCTATCACTTCAGAAACTTGGTGGCATTAGAGGAATTTTCAAGTAACAACAGAGGCCTGTTACTAGCCCTCAGGAGCAATGATTTGTGTTGGAAAGATGCCATAAGTTTGGAAAACTGCTCACATTATGAGCCTTCAAATCTCATGGAAAAAAATAGTAAAGGGATGGGGGTTAGAGGGATGGGGGTTAGAGGGATGGGGGAGCCAGAAGCTGAGAAGGAACTGAGAAGCTGTTAGTTTATCAATCTGCAAATCTGGAGCCAGGCCAAATTTGGTAGCTGTCAAATCAAGTATGCACCTAAATTAAAAAGACATATCCATCTGTAATGATTCATAAGAGGGCCCTTATAGAAATTCAACTTATAAAAATTCAAAAGGATCGGCCGGTGTGGTGGCTCACGCCTGTAATCCTGCTACTGTGGGAGACCGAGGTGGGTGGATCACCTGAGGTCAGGAGTGCAAGACCAGCCTGGCTAACATGGTGAAACCCCATCTCTACTAAAAATACAAAAAAAAAATTAGCTGGGCGTGGTGGTGGGTATCTGTAATCCCAGCTACTCGGGAGGTTAAGGCAAGAGAATCGCTTGAACCCGGGAGGCAGAGGTTGCAGTGAGCCGAGATCGTGCCATTGCACTCCAGCCTGGGCAGCAAGAGTGAAACTCCATCTCAAAAAAAAAAAGAAAAATTCAAAAGGGTCTATGTAGGCATTTTATGCTACAATTGGGGGAGGAGTTAACACCTAACCATATTTCATTTGGCACTTATTTATAACATGTATTGTAAAGTAAATAGTTATTTTAGAAATTGAGGACATTTTGGTACTATTGCTAAACCTGGGGAACATATAATTAGTAATAATAATAATTGCCTGTGTAGCATAGACTCTAGGCTAATTACTGTATGTTTGCTGTCTCATTCAGTCCCCAGTCCTCAGAACAGCCCTCGGAGAGAGTGACTATCTTTATGTCCAGTTTATATACCAGCAAACTGGTGCTTGGAGATGTTAGATTACTTTCCCAAGCAGAATGCTTTCGAGAGTTCATATGGCCAACAACTGTGCTCTTCATCAACTCTAGCTGTTTTATTGGTAAATTTCTTGGACCTGTATCCCACTTCTTTAAGGTGCTTTCCTCATTTCTGTGTATACCAACATCTCCTCCTCCCAGCTTATCCTGATATTCACTGTGACTCTTTCTGCTCCTTAGTTCAGACACACTCAAATGTTGCTATTTAAATGGTGCTTTGTTGGTGTGTTACACCATCTTCACTAGCTCCCAAGCTACCTGGGGGCTGAGATCATGTCATATTAGTTCATCTTCTTCTTTCCTGATCTCTCTCTCTTTTTTTTTTTTTTTTTTTTTTTTTTTTTTTGAGACGGAGTCTGCTGTCTCCCAGGCTGGAGTTCAGTGGCACAATCTCGGCTCACTGCAAGCTCTGCCTCCCGGGTTCTCGCCATTCTCCTGCCTCAGCCTCCCCAGTAGCTGGGACTACAGGCGCCCGCCACCACGCCCAGCTAATTTTTTGTATTTTTAGTGGAGACGGGGTTTCACCATGTTAGCCAGGATTGTCTCAATCTCCTGACCTCGTGATCCACCCACCTCGGCCTCCCAAAGTGCTGGGATTACAGGCGTAAGCCACTGCGCCCTGCCCTTTCCTGATCTCTCTAAGTAGCAGATATTCGTTAGACAATTATTAAATACATGTTATGTCACTGGAGGTTATAACACTTGTTATTCTAGCTGAAAGAATGAAAAAATTACTAATTAGGGCATTTTAAAAACCAACCAACTTATTTTGCTATTAAAATCTGATATTCTCAGTGAAACAGTTTTCAGACACTAGAGTTTATGGCTCAAGATTATTTTGTTATTAGGAGAAATAAATTTAAAAGAACCTACAAGCTTGATGGCCCATATGTAATGAAATATACATTTCGTAAATCATTTCATTGTCAATCTCTGCTTAGTCAACCTCGTCTTGCCAGTAGTTAATGGCAAGTCTATTAACTCTACTAAGAAGTAATGATTTGAAAAATGAAGATTGATTGAGCTGCAGTATCTTCAGATAACCATTTATCATCACTAATTACACTTCTGACTTTGTAACTATTTCAAGGTAATTTATAGGAACTAAATTCATTATTCACAAAAACCAATGACAGATGTCAAGGATAGAGGGTTACAGCCCAGCAGGTCTCACTAATCAGCATTTCCTTTCTCCAGCTTGCCTGTTGCTCAATTTATGCCCGATCTCCATGATCTTAGGTAAGCATTATTCATAGTAAGTCTTAACAGAGAAAGAAATCTGAAGGCAGTTTTCAGAAAATCACAAACAACCTCTACCGTTCAGCTCTTTCAAATAAAATATCAAAAGTAAGTTTCCTTGCTTTACTTCAGTTAGAAGAATTTTTCCAAGGTATTATCAATGAAACAGGTCACAGTGCTCTTTGAGTTACCTAAGCGGGCAGCTAAGCTCCCCGTTGCATCATTAATGACATACACAGTGAGATGTCCCTTTTAAGAGCTGCTATTTAATCACTCATAAAATGATTGTTTCTTTCTGTATCTTATATAGTGAAAAGTAATTGTCTTCAGTGGAACACCAAAGCAGGTGGCTTTTTGATGGGCTAGAATCCAGTCTTTTGCCGTTCACACCCCTACTTCTGTGGAGTCTACTTTGGTGGAGGTTTTAAAAGGTCATGGCTTTATATATATTACACCCTAAGTGTTGCTTTTGTATGTGTTCAACTTGCCACTTAGTAAGTCACCATATCTAGATTGTATCTGCTAAATTAAATCAATTCGATATGCAAAGATGTCACAGGTTTGACCTACTGAAATGTGAGTGTGTATGTGTGTGTAATTTAAAAAAAATCTTTATTAGATTGGAGTGTATTTTTTAAAAGCACAAAATATATGGAGGAGATCTAATTTTGTTCACAAGAATAGTACACATGAAAATATATCTCCCTGCTACAGACAGAAGTCATGCCTTTTATTTTATTTTATTTTATTTTATTTTATTTATTTATTTATTTTTTGAGGATGGCACGGGGGAAAATTGTGCAAGAACAGTTAATCCCAGAGAAAATATCTCTGTTGGAACACTAGCAAGGTCAGTGTTCCCTTAGTTATTCACTGTCAAATGTCAGTCTGATTGCAAATAATAGATTAGTCTTGTATGTTGAAGGTCTCTGAATATCTCTGTATCTCAAAGTTGTTCTCGACTCTGTATGATCTAGACTTCAAGAGCAGATGCCAAAGCAGTGGATGTCTCTTAAAACCACTTTTGCTGAAAAGAGGATTCCCCCTTTTATGTGTCCCTAGAAAAAGGTATTGGGTAATGCTGCTGACACCGTGATTTTGTACTTCTGGCCTCCAGAACTGTGAGAATAAATTTCTGTTGTTTTAAGTCACCAAGCTTTTGGTAATTTGTTATGGCAGTGTTAGGAAACTACTACAGGTCAGTAACATTGTCTTTATAAATAAAGTGTCTATAAGCATCACCTCCACCATCTGATATCCAAAGACTCCTCTGAGGATGGCTACTTTATCAAGAATTGGTGCCAAAAATTAAAAATCAACTTCTCCTCTTAAGGATTCATGACATGAAACCTAAAATAAAATGTTTATAGACTGGGCGCAGTGGCTCACGCCTGTAATCCCAGCACTTTAGGGGGCTGAGGTGGGCGGATCATGAGGTCAGGAGTTCAAGACCAGCCTGGCCAATATGGTGAAACCCTGTCTCCACTAAAAATACAAAAATTAGCCGGGTGTGGTAGCGCACGCCCATAGTCCCAGCTACTCAGGAGGCTGAGGCAGGAGAATTGCTTGAACCCAGGCTGGTGTGCAGTGGCACGATCTCGGCTCACTGCAAGCTCTGCCTCCCAGGTTCACGCCATTCTCCTGCCTCAGCCTCCTGAGTAGCTGGGACTACAGGCGCCTGACACTACGCCAGGCTAATTTTTTGTATTTTTAGTAGAGATTAGGTTTCACCGTGTTAACCAGGATGGTCTTGATCTCCTGACCTCGCGATCCACCCGCCTCAGACTCCCAAAGTGCTGGGATTACAGGCGTGAGCCACTGTGCCCAGACTGGTTAACTCTTATTCATCATGGATGACTTGGGTCAAATGTAACTTCTGTAAAGCCTTCTCTGACCTCACACCCTGCTTCATATTCCCACTGGACCATTATACCAGTTCATGTTTGTATGTTGCCTCTCCCACTAGTCTGTAACTCCTTGAAACCGGAAACCTCTCTTATTAAAAATGAAAAGTTCAGTCTCTGGAAACAGACAGCCCAGATCCACACCTAACACCAACAAGCACTGCTGTGTACCTTTCAGCAATTTTATTTAATCTCTCTAATCCTTGATTTTCTCATCTATAAAATGGACATAATACTAATACCTACCTCATTCAGGTATCTCTGAAAATTAAATAATAGACATGTGAAGGATATATCTATTACATGGTAAAGACCTATGATTATTAGCTATTATCTGTTTTTATAAACTTTGCATATCCAGTATTTAGCATTCTTTTGAGCAATGAAAAGGTGTGCAATAATGTTAAGTTGAATGTAATCAGAAAGACTTGAACTGAGTTGAAATAGACTGAAGCCAAGTTGGTTAGGACGGAAAGTGGGACAAGAAAAAAATGAAGGCACAGATGGAGAAAGAGGTAAAAACTGTACTGAAATTTGCAATCTTCAATGTGCTGACTGGACATAGAGAACACAATAAGGAGGGGATCAAAAGTGACTTCAATGATCCCAATTTGTGGATGTATGGTAATGCCATTGCTCATTGCAAGAAATATGAGAGGGAAAGCAGATCTGTATGCAAAGATAAAGAATTCCATACAGATCTTTCCAAACATTCCAGTTTCAGTTGTTTTGAATCTGAGGTGCCAGTGAGATAGCAAAGTGTAAATGTCCACTGGGGCTAAATGTAAGGGTATGGAAAGCAAGGTCATGCTCTGGTAGGGAGAATTGTATTGGAGCTGGAGGAAGATTGCTTCAGATGGAGACCCAAGGACAAGAAGAATAGTGAAGCCCTTGGCTTTCTGCTCTTTCATCACATCTGCTGCTGGTCCTGTCTCCAGTGTGAGCCTCAAACATTTTCATAATCAGAGTCAAGGATTCTACGCAACACATCAAAGTGAAAGAAAAATTTATTTATTTCTAGATCTGTATCTATTCATCCACCTTCCCATAATAAAGCTTCCATGCCTTCTAGATTTGAATCCTGACCAAAATATTAACCTGAGAAACCCAGGAGACACACAGCCTAAAAATTGACTATCAGGATGCTAGTGACTTTACCTGTGTGGACAGTACATTTGAGAAATTAAAATAAGTTTGTTTCTTGGGTGTCCTATACTTAATTTCTTTTTGAAAGACCTTATTTAAAATCCACTATCTTTACTTATTGAGAGTTAGAGGAACCACATGAATGAATTACTTTACTGCACCACTGCAGCTGAAGGTATGGAGGTGGGGTTGGTGAGGTGAACAAAGTGGCCCAACCAAAACACTCTTGGTTTTACTTTAATAATGAACTGGATTAACCCGGAAATAAAATGCCATGGAAAAAAGCTAAGAACTGAATCCATGAGCAGATTGAAGGGGCTTTCCTTAAGCCATCTTAAGGAATTGGTTTAGACTATAGACCAAGTCTAAACCAATCTCACCCTCCTCACTGACAGCACCTCCCTTCCCTCGTCTTCCCAGTTCTCCCTCTCTTGAGAGACAAAAGGAAGTTGACCAAGGCTGGAATTACCCCAATTTTGTTTTCCTTCCTTCCAATGTCTTTTTCATTTTTATTCATTTGTTTATTTATTTTGAGACAGAGTCTCGCTCTGTCACCCAGACTGGAGTGCAGTGGCACAGTCTTGGCTCACTGCAACCTCCACCTCCCAGGCTCAAGTGATTCCCCTGCCTCAGCCTCCCCAGTAACTGGCATTACAGGCATGCACCACCACACCCAGCTAATTTTTGTATTTTTAGTAGAGACGAGGTTTCACCATGTTGGCCAGGCTGGTCTCAAACTCCTGACCTCAAGTGATCTGCTGGACTCAGCCTCCCAAAGTACTAGGATTACAGGGGTGAGCCACCGTGCCCGGCCCCAATGTCTTTTTCAAAATTAATGTTCTATTATTGTCTTATTTTGTTACAAATGGGGATATACTCATCAGAAAACACAGACAGCAAAAATAAATTTCTTAACATCCATAATCCTATACACCCAAAGATATCCAATGTAAACTCTTTGTTGTATAGAGTTTGTTTTTCTTATAAAGATCTAGACAGATGTGTATAGACCTAGATCTACATAATAGATTATAGCTATAGATATAGATGTATTTACAGATATAATTACATTTATAAATATAGACGTAGCTATGTTTATAGATACAGATATCTGTATATTTGCAGGGCTAACTCATGCAGCAGCAGAGGGTGCTGAGAGTAAAGGCACTTTATTCGGTGGATGGGGCATATTTTGACTCATAATCTGCCTTTTTCATTCAAATTAAGACACACTTTGTTTAATCCTAAATTCTTTCTAGATTCTTGGTTGTTCCCCACCACCCCCAGTCCAGCTTTGCCCTCCCCAACTAGAGTCCATCCTTAGCTGTGGCCTCTCCAGTGAACCCAGCTCTGCTGTGGGTAACCCAGTCCAGGGAGTCCTCAGATTTTCCTACCACAGAGAACTGGCTGCTCCTGTTATGTCTGGGATGAAGGGAACAAGGCCTGCTAATTTCAAGCCAGTACATTCAACCAGCAGCTCTGGTTTCCTCTTACCCTCTCATACACTGCATGATCCTTGAATGTGTTTTCCAATGGCAAAGATTCTTTCCAAAATAAGGCTGAGTGGAGTCTTAGATGTAAAGACAGAAATACTAACAATACACTAAACATTGAGTGTTATCTATAAAGCTGAGGGCTTTATAATTAACCCTTAAAGCAACTTCTTAAGGCAAATATTGCTATTATCCCCAGTTTACAGATAAGAAAACCAAAACTTAAAGAACGATCTGAAGTTTGATTCAAACCCAGGATTGCCTGACTCCCTAACATGAATCACACTACACTGCTTCTGTCTGCGGGAGTGTCTCGCAGGAGATTTCGCAAATGCCCACGACATGGATTCTGTGTTAAACTCCTCTTTCCCAAGGCTTCAGTTCTTTCTGGCTGAGCACGAGCAAGGTCTGCAGCTATGCAGAAGCATCTTGGTGAAGGGAGGCAGGACCCCTGCTGAGCAATCGTGTATCCACCACAAAAGTGCTGGTGGCGCCAGCTTAGTAAACTTAGAGTTACATCTTTCTCCCTGAGATGGTTCAGAAGTTTGGCTTAGTGATCATCATTTGAATGACAGAAATTCTGTGTACCTGATGGCTTGGGTAATCATCTTCAGAGTGCTGAATGCCAGGCTTGGCACTGAGCCGGGTGGGGCTTTACCTAGGCTAGCTTGACTCAGGGTGCTTTTTCCCCAAAGGCCATTCCTCTACGGAAGACTTAGCAAGTATATGAAAAAACCCTGAGTCAGGCCAGTTTGTATATATAATCTAATATTGTCAAAATAAATTGATTTGGAATGAAGAGCTTCCTGTTTCTGCAGATCATTTTCCTTTGTTGAGGATCATCTGAAGCTCCGTTTTTATTAACTTTTATGAGCACCTTCTCTCCTGTTCTCCTGTCAACAGATTGTTGATATTGGCCCTGATTGTTCCATGTATGGGTAAATGTGAACCTTGTTCTCTTAAATCCTAGTTTGATAAGAACTAACAGGAAACCGAAAAAAGAAATTAAATAAAAAGTGTAAGTCCTGGGTACGTTAGCAATGCAGAATCCAAAATAGAATATGGAATAAGGTAGTCAAGAAATTAGCACATTTGTATCTCATCATACAAATCTTACCACTTGCCCCCAGATTTTTAAATAATGAGCCCATGAAGGAGCGCCTAGATTTAACAGTGAGATCCAATTATAAGGGTAGATATTAGGAAATAGTTACCCAAGCAATGACCTTAAAGGGAGAGGATGCAGAAGCATGGATTCCAGCTGACACGTGGAAACCTCCCTTTTCCTCATGAAAACTGCTTCAGCAACCCAGAAGAATAAACTTTATTCAGGGAAGGAACACCTTTTCTACTGCAGCTGAAGGTGTGGAGGTAGGGATAGTGAGAAGGCAGATATTTCATAAGAAGGAATCCTTGGGTTTCGGGGATATCATACATGACGGCTTTAATTTTTTCTATGAAATAAGGTGCAGAGGAGATGGGGAGGGTAGCTTGAAGAGAGTAGTGAAAGTCTGGCCCCGGTAGAGAAGGAGAGGGGATCTGAAAAAGGCAATTTTTTAAAGGACACAGAGCACTCTGAGGACCAGTCTGGGTTTGGAGACCCTGAATGTACAGGGGCAGCAATAAGTAGTGGAGTGACATACCAAAGTAAGAGACAGCAGAGAATCAGGATGATCCACTTGTGGAAATTGGAGAGACAGGTGCAGCAGAAAGACAGTGGTTCAAGAGACACAGCCCATATTTAGTTTGGATAAGGAAGGAAACAAGCCACAGGTGAGGATATTCAATGGGAAGGGAAAGGAGCATTTAAAGGGCTGGTGTATTGAAATAGAATGAGGTTGAATAACAAACACTGGGGTCATGAGAGGCAGAGAACAGAAAGGATAGAAAGTTGGTTAACAATTGATAAAGGAGAGCTTAAGATATTAGAGGAGGTGGAGCTCCTCTTGGTAAGACCAAGGTTGGATCTATCAAGGAGAATGGGTAACTGAGGCAGAGAGAACATAAACTGTTGAAGATGCCAGAATCTTGAGGCTAGTTTGTTGAAAAAGTGGACCAGCAGGATTTGAAGACACCTATAATGATGACAATGCTTTCTTTTTTCTTGTAATATTGTATCATTATTTTATGGCATGCCTTCTTGTTATAAGCCATTTCCAAAACTTGTGGAGCAAGGAAGAAAACAAATAAAATAGGAAGAGAGCCAGCGAGATCAACAAAATATGAAAGTCATCACTGGATATAGGAAGTGCCCAAAACTATGTGAATTAGGTAGTTGAGGGATCTTAATTTCTTAATATTTTGGGGATTTAAAAATCTGCTCTTCCGGGCTATGGATTCATTGAAGGGAGATCTATGACTTATCATCTGTGCATCCTATTATGGTTCTGAGCACAGCTGCCTACACAAAGCTATTGTTCAGTAAAACTTCGTTCATGGAATTAAGTTTGCAAATGGTTCTAATGCATCCTTAGATGTTCATATACTTTATTTATTTATTTATTTTTTTGAGACAGAGTCCTGCTCTATCATCCAGGCTGGAGTGCAATGGCACGATCTCAGTTCACTGCAACATCTGCCTCTCAAGCTCAAGTGATTCTCCCACCTCAACCTCCTGAGTAGCTGGGACAAAAAGCATGAGCCACCACACCTAGCTCATTTTTGTATTGTTGTAGAGACATGATCTCCCTATGTTGCCCAGGCTGGTCTTGAACTCCTGGGTTCAAGCAATCCACCAGCCTCAGCCTCCCAAAGTGCTGGGATTACAAGCATGAGCCACCAGGCCCAGCCGTGCTGTTTTGATAAGTACTTATATTAATGCTCAAGCGTTCACATAATGATTTCTACATGTGCAGCTTTAGCCCACTTGCATATTTGGAGGGTTCCGGATGGTAAAGAGAGCAGGTGTGGATGCTGCTGAAGACAGATAAGATCTCCTATAGCTTCTAGACTCCCCCCACCCCTCCAGTACAGGGCTCAGAACTTAATAAATGCCAATGAGTCCAAGATTAGAAAGATGACTCCCCACCTTGCACAGATTCTGCTTCTAACTAACTAGACATTGGGAAGCAATGACGATCAGTATTAACAGGAGCACAGACTCTTCTAAGCATCTTCAGTACTGCTCACAGAGTCAAGCTCAGACAATGCTTTTTTTGTTTGTTTTAAGATTAACCTACCATGGTCCTGGCGTAGTGGCTCAAGCCTGTAATCCCAACACTTTGGGAGGCCAAGGCAGGTGGATCACTTGAGCTCAGGAGCTCGAGACCAGCCTGGACAACATGGTGAAACCCTGTCTCTACAAAAAAATATAAAAATTAGCCGGGTATTGTGGCACATGCCTGTGGTCCTAGCTGCTCAGGAGGCTGAGGTGGAAGGATCCCTTGAACCCGGGAAGTGAAGACAGTGCAGTGAACTGTGATCATGCCACTGCACTCCAGCCTGGGCAACACTGAGATCTTGTCTCAAAAAAAAAAATAAAAAGATTGATTAATCTACTGTGTATCTTTTTCTTATGAGAGGAGATACTTGAATTATTTTATAAGTAAATAAATAAATTCACAGTTGGGAGGTATTTACCATATTGTAGGATAATGTGTTCCAAATGTTGGTGATTTCAAGCCCAGTAATGTGGTTTTGATACCATTCCACTGACTTTCTGTTCCTAACCAATCTGTGAAATTGTTGGTGTGTCAGGAATGCTTCAAGTCAGTGAAGGGACATTATGACAAAAAGGCAAAATTCTTATAAACACTGGAGGGACAGTCTTGAACTGGGCTGGGCCTGGCCAGGCAACCTTCCTCTTCATGAGCACTATGTTTAGAAGCAGGAGAATTGGAGTAGCAGGGTAGAAGCAAGGCCTCAAGCTGTACATCAGGATCTATAGTATGTCAATACATATTTTTTGGTGACCATCTGGGGATTAAATTAACATATTTAAAGTTCAAAAGGGAAGAGAAATTCATTACCAGAAAGGGAGAGGTCATTTTTTTCCTGGATCACTCCCAAACATAAAATTGTGAACAGGATTTGTTGCAGTAAAAACCCAAAGGGATTGGTATTTTCCTTCAACAAAGCCAGCAGATGTTTTCATTCTTTTTAGAGCCAGCTCTCGGTTAATCAGCACTTGGTTGTTTGGTTTTCAGTTATTTAGTTTTGCTTCTCTTTTTCACGCCCTCAAGCCTGAAAATAACCTCTCTCTAGTCAGTATTTGAAAGATTCTACTGTTTGTTAGAATATCTACTACCAATTGGACAGAGCAAAATGACAAATGAAAAGCAAATAAGGTTTACTTTCCTATTTAACAGCATTTTGGCCTCCTTCATTCACACCTTCTCATTTTTCCTCTTTACCATCATATTCTCCCACCATCTCCTTCATGCCAGCATGTGGACAGGTCCTCGGAGTCTTACTGCCCTCCTGTCCTCTCCCCAACACACATAGCCTTCCCAGGAGAGCTCACAAGCACTTCCTCCTCAGGTAGCATGACATGGGATAATTAGAAATTCAGGGCAGGTCAAAGAATTTCAAAATGCTGAATAACACTGCAGTGAATAACCACTGGAGACCTAATTTACGGAAGTAACTTTCTGTTTTTCAATTTAAAGATTTTTTTTTTAATTTAGCAACAAACATAAGATTGCCATTTGGTTGTAGTATCAGATCAAAAACTCAGAGTGCCAAGGTCATTGGCCCCTGGATGCACACATCTTATAATCTATGGCTGCCATATAAGACAGAAGAAAGAAATGTGCGCTGTGCCTGCTGAACCCTTTTATATCACTATTTTATTTAATTTTCTCAACAATATGCTTGGATCATCTCATGAGCTCTATTATACAGATGAAAAACTAAAATTTGAAGAGATTAAGTAGTCCAAGTTCATGCAGCTGGTAAGTGTCATCAGCTACCATTTAAGCTCAGGTCTGTCTGGCATCAAAGTTTGTACCATACCTTTACCTCCTAATTCAAGAGAGGACATACAACAATTTTCATTATAGTCCACCCTGATTTATTTGCAAGTATATTATCCTTTTTTCAGTGACTATGGATCTTAGGGGCCATCCAGTTTATAAGCTCTTAAAGTGATGATATCAGTGGTATCAGTTTTAAAAGGAAACTTGGAAAAAATACAGAAAAGTGAAATGTGTATGGGTGTTATATTAGTCAGGGTTCTCTAGAGGGACAGAACTAATAGGATAGACATACATATAAAGGGGAGTTTATTAAGGAGTATTGACTCACACAATCACAAGTAAGGTGCCACAATAGGCCATCTGCAAGCTAAGGAGTAAGGAAGCCAGTCTGAGTCCCAAAACCTCAAAAGTAGGGAAGCCGACAGTGCAGCCTTCAGTCTGTGGTCGAAGTTTCGAGTCCCAAAGCTGAAGAACTTGGAGTCCAATGTTTGAGGGCAGGAGGGATCCAGCACAGGAGAAAGATGGAGGCCAGAAGACTCAGCCAGTGTAGTCTTTCCATGTTCTTCTGCCTGCTTTTATTCTGGCCTGGCTGGCAGCTGATTAGATTGTGCCCACCCAGAGTGAGGGTGAGTCTGCCTTTCCCAGTCCACTAACTCAAATGTTAATCTCCTTTGGCAACACCCTCACAGACACACCCAGGAACAATACTTCGCATCCTGCAATCCAATCAAGTTGACACTTAATATTAACCATCACAGGTGTGTTTATGTTTGACTATTTGAGCTAATGTGAATATTGCCTGACATCCAGAAGTGAAAAAGCACTGGGGTTTTGTGGGGGTTTTTTTGTATTTTTTTTGTTTGTTTAGTTTTTTGTTTGCTGGCCTGAAGCATGGATAATTAGGAGCAGAATTTATGACTGAGCCCAGGGTCACAGATGTTGAGGGTAATAACTATAATGATATCATGGAAAGTTAGAGATGAAAGGGATGTTAAAAACCAACTAGTTAACCCTATCATTTTGCAAATGGGAAACAGAGGACTAGACGTGTTGTGACTTGTGATGTCTGTCAGAACACCTTCTGAGTAATTAAGGGTTGAACTGAATCAGGAGGTTGAAGACAAGATCAATTCAATGAACTGCCCACGACTACAAGGCTAAGCCATGCTCACTCAGCCTGGACCAGGTCTCCTTGTATTCTTGGTCATTTATTCCTTCATTTAGCAGTTTGCTTGCTTAAGATACCAGTGGTTGGGAGCATATGCTGCTTATCAGGCACTCTGATAAACAAGTTTATTTGGATTATCTCACTTAATCATCACCACAACTCAGTGAAGCAAGCAACATTATTATTCTAATTTAACATGGGAGGACATTGATTCTTAGAAGGATTAGGTAACTTGACCAAGGTCAAAATTAAATAGCAGAGTCAGCAGTAAACCCAGGTGCATCGACCCTATCCAGAGCTCTGAATTCTTGCAGTATTTCATAAAGAGATGGAGGGTAAGCTATTATCACATAAATTTTTTTCCTGAAGAATTGAGATCTTCAACAATATTCAAACAATACTGTTAAAATATTGTTTTAACAATATTAAAACAATGTCAGCAGTCTCCCCCGTAGCCCACAGAAAGTGGGAAAACCGCAGCCAGATTCAGGTTCTCACAGCCCTCCACTCTGAGCTCTTCCCTCATGCCTTGGGCTACAGGTCCACATTTTTTATATCAAGATCTTAAATGCCTCACCCAGGCAAAGTAGCTTCCATGGACAGCCTCCGCTTTCACCCCTAAGACAATCTGAAATCATCCCCAGCTGATAATGATAAGTCCTTCCAAAAGGTCCAACCTCACCACACAACAATGAAAAAAAAATTGATCTTTTACTGAAGACTCTGAAGAAAACCAGAGAATCATCCTCCACAGAGTAGAACTCATCACAATATCATGAAACATTTTGATTCTTTCCTGACGGATTTCTCCTGCTTCTAGCTGATTCTTCTATTTTTTTCCCTTGCATATGTCTACCAACCTTTTCTAGTGGAGCAGTTCAACTCTGGCCTTGCCCAAAACCCCTTCAACTCCCCCACCAGCAACATGAAAGCCTAGTGGTTAGCTAAACAGTACTAAGCCTGTCTCCAGAGATTCAGTTCCTGTCACTACAAAAGCCTTACCTGGTCAACCCTTAAATCCACTGTTGTTGCACCAACAACCACTCTACATGTCTCACCCCTTTTCTAACCTCCTTTCTCTCTTCATGTTCTCCTCAAGGAAGAGGAAAAGGGGTCAAGGAAGTGATTCTGAACAAGAAATTCTTACAGCATCTCTTCCCCCACCATACTCTGCCCCTGCACACATGTACACACATACACACATGCAAACACACACACACACTTTCACTCCAGAGATATCTAGCCTTCAGAGAAATTTAAAGATGTTTCTCCTGCTAAGCACTTTTTTCAGTTGCCTGATCACAAATAAACTAGATTTTAATGTTAAAAACTAGAAAATGAAACAAAGCAAGAAAAATAATACCCTACATTCCAGAAACTGAAAAATTCTTGTAACAAAGAATAAGTCAAATCAGAAACTGAAAAATGCAGATAATAAAACACAACATAGCAGAATCTATGGAATATAATTAAAGCAATGCTGAGAGGAAATTTTATATTTATGTAGTTAAAAGGAAAAGTTTAGACAAAACAAATTTAACAGAGTTTATTTTAGCATTAAATGATTCATGAATCAGGAACACTCAAAACCGGAAGAGGTTGAGACAGCTCCACTGAACCTGCATGAGCTGCAGGCCTTTATAGGCTGAATTGAGAAGCAAAATAATCAAATTACTTGATTGGTTATAGCTCGGTATTTGTCTTATTTGGGTCTGATCCAGTGGAAAGTCCCTACTTAGAGGTCGGTTGGCAGTTTCTGACTGGTTAAGTGTAACTAGTGTAACTTTCATTTTACTATGTACATGGGATTGGGTTTTGGTTTGTCTACATAGGAACCCCAGGCGCTGGCACCATCTCAGCCTAATGGCCTCCCAATTAATTGTTTTAACAATATTAATAAATAAGAAAGAAGTAAGTACATAATTCAAAAATTTAGAAAATGAACTATCAAAGAAACCCAAGGAAAGACTAAGTGAAAATAAAAGCATGAGTCAATTAATTATAAAACCAAAAGTATTATAAAATCAATAAATAAAGCCAAGAACAAGAAAAACAATAAAAGAGAGCCCATTAGCTAGTCTTTTTTTTTTTTTTTTTTTTTTTTTTTTTTTTTTCTGAGACAGCCCCATTAGCTAATCTTATCAAAAGCAAAATAGGGGCTGGGTACCATGGCTTACACCTGTAATCCCAGCACTTTGGGAGGCCAAGGCAGGAGGATCACCTGAGGTCAGGTGTTTGAGACCAGCCTGGACAATATGGTGAAACTCTGTCTCTACTAAAAATACAAAAATTAACTGGGCATGTTGGTGGGTACCTATAATCTCAGCTACTTGGGAGGCTGAGGTGGGAGAATCGCTTGAACCTGGGAGGCAGATGTTGCAGTGAGCCAAGATTGTACCACTGCACTCCAGCCTGGGTGACAGTGAGATTCAGACTCAAAAAAAAAAAAAGTCCTAGCCAGAGCAATCAGACAAGAGAAAGAAAGGAAAAGAAGTCAAATTATCTCTCTTTGTGGAGGTTATGGTTCTATATCTAGAAAACTCTGAAAACTCTGTCAAAAGGCTTCTGGAACTGATAAATGACTTCAGTAAAGTTTTAGGATACAAAGTCAATGAGCAAAAATCAGTACTATTTCTAAACACCAATAACACTCAAGCTGAGGGCCAAAAAAAAAACATAATTCCATTTTCAATAGCCACACACAAAAAAATAATACCTCAGAACATATCTAACCAAGGAGATTAAAGATTTCCACATGGAGAACTGCAAAACACTGCTGAAAGAAATCATAAATGACATAAACAAATGGATAAATACTCCATGTTCGTGGTTTGGAAGAATCAATATCATTACAATAGTTATACAGCAATCTACAGATTCAATGCTATTCCTATCAAGCTAACAAAGTCATTCTTCACAGAACTAGAAAACACTATTCTAAAATCCATATGAAACCAAAAAAAGAGCCCAAATAGCCAACACAATCCCAAGCAAAAAGAACAAAGCTGGAGGCATCGTGCTACCTGACTTCAAACTATACTACTGGGCTACAGTAACCAAAACAGCATGGTACTGGTATAAAAACAGACACAGAGACCGATGGAACAGAATGGAGAACTCAGAAAGAAAGCGGCATACCTACAGCCATCTGATCTTCAACAAAGGCAACAAAAATAAGCAGTGGGGAAAGGACTCCCCATTCAATAAATGGTGCTAGGACAGTGACTAACCATATACAGAAGAATGAAATCAAACTTCTACATTTTACCATACACAAAAATTAACTCAAGATAGATTAAAGATTTAAATGTAAGATCTCAAACTATAAGAATCCTTGAAGAAAACCTAGAAAACACCATTCTGGACATTGGCCTTGGGAAAGAATTTATGACTAACTCCTCAAAAGCAATTGCAGCAAAAACAAAAATTGACAAGTGGGACCCAATTAAACTAAAAAGCTCCTCCACAGCAAAGTAAACTATCAACAGAGTGAGCAGAAAACCTACAGAATGGGAGAAAATATTTGTAAACTAAGCATCGGACCAAGTCCTAATATCCAGAATCTATAAGGAACTTAAACAATTGAATAAGCAAAAAATGAATAACCCCATTAAAAAATGGGCAAATGTCTGCTATAAAGACACATGCACACCTATGTTTATTGCCACACTATTCACAATAGCAAAGACTTGGAACTAACCCAAATGCCCATCAATGATAGACTGGATAAAGAAAATGTGGCACATATACACCATGGAATACTATGCAGCCATAAAAAAGAATTAGTTCATGTCCTTTGCAGGGACATGGATGAAGCTGGAAACCATCATTCTCAGCAAACTAACACAAGAACAGAAAACCAAACACCGCATGTTCTCACTCATAAGTGGGAGTTGAACAATGAGAACACATGCATACAGGGAAGGGAACATCACACACCCGGGCCTGTCGGGGGGTGGGGGGCTAGGGGAGGCATAGCATTAGGAGAAATACCTAACATAGGTGACAGATTGATGCGTGCAGCAAACCACCATGGCACATGTATACCTATGTAACAAACCTGCACGTTCTGCACATGTACCCCAGAACTTAAAGTATAATAATAGGAAATAAAAAATAAATAAATAAAATGGGCAAACGACATGAACAGACACTTCTCAAAGGAAGACATAGAAACGGCCAGGTGCAGTGGCTCACACCTGTAATCCCAGCACTTTGGGAGGCCAAGGCAGGTAGATCACCTGAGGTCAGGAGTTTGAGACCAGCCTGGCCACGATGGTGAAACCCTGTCTCTACTAAAAACACAAAAATTAGCCAGGTATGGTGGCAAGTGCCTGTAGTCCCAGCTACTTGGAAGGCTGAGGGAGGAGAATTGCTTGAACCAGGGAAGTGGAGGTTGCAGTGAGCCAAGATTGTGCCATTGCACTCCAGCCTGGGCGACAGAGCGAGACTCTGTCTAAAACAAAAAGAAGAAGAAGAAGACATAGAAGCAGCTAACAAACATATGAAAAAATGCTCAACATCACTAATCATCAGAGAAATGCAAATCAAAACCACAATGAGATACCATCTCACACCATTCAGAATGACTTAATAAAAAGTCAAGAAACAGCAGATGTTGGTGAGTCTGTGGAGAAAAGGGAATGTTTATACACTGTTGGTGGGAATGTAACTTAGTTCATCCACTTGAAAAGCAGTTTGGAGATTTCTCAAAGAACTGAAAACAGAACCACCATTTGACACAGCAATTCCTTTACTGGGTATATATCCAAAGGAAAATAAATTGTTCTACCAAAAAGACATATGCACTCATATGTTCATCACAGCACTATTCACAATAGCAAAGATGTGGCTCAATCTAGGTGCCTATCAATGGTGGATTAAAGAAAATGTGATACATATACACCACGGAATACTATGCAGTCATAAAAAAGAACTAACGCATGTTCTTTGCAGCAACATGGATGCAGCTACAGGCCATTATCCTGAGTGAATTAACTCAGCAACAGAAAACCAAATACTGCATGTTCTCACTTATAAGCTGAGAGCTAAACATTGGATACTCATGGACGTAGACAGGGACAATAGAAACTGGGGACTACTAAAGGTACAGGGTGGGGACAAAAGTTGAAAAACTGACTACTGGGTACAATGCTTGGTACCTGGGTAACGGTATGATTCATACCCCAACCTCAGCATTACACACTATATCCAGGTAACAAACCTGGACATGCACCCCCTGAATCAAAAATAAAAGTTGAAAAAATAAAATAAAAATAAAGAACAAAATTAAGCAAGCAAAAATATATTCAAGAACAAATGAATGAAAAATAATCACACTACAAAGGCAATACAAAAAATAATAAACTCAGCCCCAGATAAGTAGAAATAAAAATCTGGATAAAATGTGTCATTTTTTAGAATTGACTCCCAAAGAAAGGGGAAAAAATCAAATAGGCTAATTTGTAAAAGAGAAATAGGAATACATGTGAGCTACTCCCTAAAAACATCCTTTGGCCGGGCACCCTGGCTCACACCTGTAATACCATCACTTTGGGAGGCCAAGGCGGGTGGATCACAAGGTCAGGCTTTTGACACCAGCCTGGCCGATATAGTGAAACCCCATCTCTACTAAAAATAGAAAAATTAGCCGGGCATGGTGGGGGGCGCCTGTAGTTTCAGCTACTTGGGAGGCTGAGGCAGGAGAATCGCTTGGACCTGGGAGGAGGAGGCTGCAGTGAGCCAAGATTGCGCCATTGCACTCCAGCCTGAGTGAAAGAGCAAGACTCTGCCTCAAAAAAAAAAAAAAAAAATCCTTTTATTGTTATGTTTTTTTTTTTTTCCTATTCAGATGAGTTTAAATAGTATTGGGGTTATCTGTTCCACAATAGTTTCATAACACTTAGCTATAAAACCTAATTTGGACATCACATTCTTTAGGGAATCAAATTATGATTAAAGTAGCATTACAAATCAGTGCGAAGAAAAATTAAAATTATTTATGTAATGGTGTAAGGAGAACTGGGTAGTCACTTGAGAAAAAAAACATTCAGTCAATGCCTTGCTTGTTACATTAAAAATATGTTTAAGAGAAATCAAAGATTTAAGTGTAAAAAATAAATAAAAATACCAAAATAAATTAAAAAATGTTTTTGTTTGTTTGTTTTTGAGGTGAAGTCTCACTCTTGTTACCCAGGCTGGAGTGCAATGATGAGAGCTTGGCTCACTGTAACCTCTGCCTCCTGGGTTCAAGCAATTCTCCTGCCTCAGCCTCCCAAGTAGCTGGGATTACAGGCATGTACCACCATGCCTGGCTAATTTTGTATTTTTAGTAGAGAAGGGGTTTCTCTATGTTGGTCAGGCTGGTCTCAAACTTCCCGACCTCAGGTGATTTGCCCACCTCAGCCTCCCAAAGTGTTCGGATTACAGGCATGAGCCACCGCGCCCAGACTATAAAATGGTTTTATAATCTCAGAGCATTAATTGCTTCACTATGACACAAAACCTAGAAAGTATTTTTAACTGAAAAATTAGAATACATAAAAGTCAAAATTTTCCTGTAAAAATATACCATAAACAAGATGAATAGAAAAATTATTAACTAGGTAAAAATACTGGTAGAAACATAAAAAATGGCCAATTTTCTTAATATTAATATTTAAATATTTCCTAAAAATCAATTTTTAAAAATCCAAATACCCATCAGGAAAACAACTAAAGACACAGTTCCAAAGAAGCAAATACACATGGCTCTTAAGCACATAAAATACCATTCATAATGAGAAAAGTGTAGATTTAGGCCAAGCACAGTGGCTCACACCTGTAATCCCAGCACTTTGGGAGGCAGAAAAGGGAGGATCACCTGAGTTCAGGAGTTCGAGACCAGCCTGGCCTACATGGTGAAACCCCATCTCTGCTAAAAATGCAAAAATTAGCTGAGCAAGGTGGCAGCAGTCTGTAATCCCAGCTACTTGGGAGGCTGAGGCAGAAGAATTGCTTGAACCTGGGAGGCAGAGGTTGTGGTGGGCTGAGATTGCACCACTGCACTCCAGCCTGGGCTACCGAGTGAGTGAGACTCCATCTCAAAAAAATAAATAAATAAATACATGAATAAAAAGAACAAGGAAAATGTAGATTTAAACTATCAAATGCCTTTCTTCATCTATCAGATTGGCTGTTGTGAGTTTGTGGGGAAATATGCAGTCTGTCATACACTTTTGGATGGAATGGTAAATTAGCACAATTTCTTTGGATGACAATTCATGAATAATAACAAAAATTGAAATGAGGCTGGGCATGGTGGTTCACACCTGTAATCCCAGCACTTTGGGAGGCCAAGGCGGGTGGATCACTTGAGGTCAGCCGTTCAAGATCAGCCTGGCCAACATGGTGAAACCCCATCTCTACCAAAAAATACAAAAATTAGCCAGGCATGGTGGTGAGTGTCTGTAGTCCCAGCTACTTGGGAGGCTGAGGCAGGAGGATCGCTCGAATCTGGGAGGCAGAGGTTGCAGTGAGCCAAGATCCTTCCATTGCTCTCCAGCCTGGGCAACAGAGTGAGACCTTGTCTCAAAAAAAAAAAAAAAAATTGAAATGAATGTTCACATCTAGATTATGTTTAGACATGTGAAATTGATACTGACAGTTGATTTTAATAGGAAAACCTGGGAATAATCTAGATACCCATCATGAGGGAACTAGTTCAATAAAACATGGAACATCCAACTTTGGAATACCATGTAACCATTAAAAGAGAAGAAGGTCCCCTAATCTGTCAGACGTAGAATAAGCTCTGAAGTATGTTGTGTTAAGTGGGAAAAGTAAAGAGGAGTAAGACGTGTAACATGCTGCACTTTGGTGGGTTTTTCTAAACCCACAAATATAAAACTAACATATTGAATAAGAATGACTCATGGAGTGAAATCACAAAGCAACTTTATTTTGTGTCCCATTGACCCACTAAAATATACTCAGTGGGGAAGTTCTCCCGATTCTGAATGAAAATTCAGAAAGTTTTATAACTTTTCTAATCACTTGAGAAATACACACTTTTATATCACTTTAGATCACCGACTTCATCTCAATTAAGAAATTAAAATGCCCAGTCTCATGTCATAGTCAAACCTGCCAACTCAAAGTTATTCTTACACTCCTCCCCCAGGTAAGGCTTGCTTTTTCTAGCTGGACATTTCTGCTAGTCGTTTCTCACCATTCCAGGGTGAAATGACAAGAAGTAAGAGAGCCTGAAAGTAAGAACTTGACTCTACTGTCTTAAGATAGCTTTACACTCTGTAGGTATGACAAGTATTTAAAGCTTACATTTTAACTTAGTGGCAGGATGACCAACTTACCCCGGGTTTCCCAGGACTTTCTTGGTTTTAAAACTGAAAGTCTCATGTCTCTGAAACACCCTAAGATCTGGGCAATACAGGATGGCTGGTCTTCCTACTCAAGGAACACTGTTATTGCCTTTTGGAGGCATCTCCCTCACCGATGGAGATATCTCACCTGCATTCCCCTGATGCATACAATGATGTACTCTTAGGAGCACTCTGCCATTCTTCCTCCTGGGAAACTTGCAGTTCACCCTCATCTTTTAACTGCTAAAGTCTCGTGCCCATCTGCATCGACTATCGTGCATATGCATGACTGCTCTGGTTTGAATGTGTGCTTCCTCCAAAATACATGTTGAAACTTAATCTCCAGCATGGTAGTGTTAAGAGGTAGGGTCTTTTGTGAAGTGATTAAATCATGATATCTCCTCCTTAACTAATGGGTTAATGCCCTTACAAAAGAGGTTTCAAATCCCAGCACTTTGGGAGGTCAAGGCAGGCAGATCACCTGAGGCTGGAGTTCAAGACCAGCCTGACCAAAATGGAGGAACCCTGTCTCTACTAAAAATACAAAATTAGCCGGGTGTGGTGACACCTGTAGCCCCAGCTACTCAGGAGGCTGAGTCAGGAGAATCGTTTGAACCCACGAGGTGGAGGTTGCAGTGAGCCAAGATCACGCCATTGCACTCCAGTCTGGGCAACAAGAGCAAAATTCCATCTCAAACAAAAAAAAGAAAGAGGTTTCAGAGAGTGTGTGCCTCTCTTGCCCTTCCTTTTTCCACCATGTGAGGACATAGCAACAAGGCACCATCTTGGAAGCAGAGAGACCAGATGCTCAGCATACACCAAACCTGCCAGCACCTTGATCTTAGATTTTCAGCCTCCAGAACTGTGAGAAATAAATATCTATTGTTTATAAATGACTCAGTCTCAAGTATTGGTGTTACGGCAGCACAAATGGACTAATGACCTCACAAAACTTTCTCTCTCTCTCTCTCTCTATCTCTATCTGTCTCCCCTGCATGGCTCACATCTGCTGCAGGAAAATCACTCACACATATTTTGCCTTGACAAACTCTGAGCATGCAAACCCAACCCACATGGCCCACACTCCCATTGCTTCACTATCAGTAGCCAGTCCAACTGTTGCCCCTGGTTCTCAGGCGAAAGTGAAACACTGTTCCTGGTGTCTGCCACTCAGCAAGGCCACAAATCAAACTCTCAAAAGTACTGCTATGGAAGGCTCTTCTCTCTAGGCCTGATGTTGGTGGGAAATGCAACATACAGCACAGTTTTATCCGAAGAAATTATCTTCACAATCATAGCTCTATTTCAGTTTATTTTTTGCCAACAGCCTACCATTGCATATCCTCAGTCTGGCTAAGAAATTTAAGGCTCATGAGACTGGTTTCTGAGTGTTTCCATTGAAGATTTCTATTTTTATACGGCACTCACGTTGGTATCTGAATATCTAATATCTGTCATCTTAGAGTTTTAGCTGAAAGTGTCAGCTTAGTATCTTATTTCTATGCTTACATATGCATAGAATAGCACTGGAAAGACTATGAAAAATAGCAATTGCTTCCAGAGTGGGGAAGTAACTGGCAGAGAAAGTAAAGGAAGAAGACTCACTTTTCACATTTTACAATCTTGTATCATTTGAATTTACACACTGTGCATATATTACCTGTGAAAACACTGAAGTGAGTTAATGTTTCTAAAAAGGGAAAGGTAGAATACTCATGATTAAACCTGTATAAATATAATTGCCAAATTTTGATAAAAATACCCACTAAATTAATAATAATTAATAAATGTGCTTCCATGCAGGAATAGACAGATGAATCAATAAAATGGAATAAATACAAAGTACCAAAACAAGCCTTAGGTTACATACAAACTTACTGTTCGATAAGGTGCACCTCAAATCAACAGGGCAAGATGGATTATTTAGTAAGTGGTGCCTAAGCAATAGGCCAGCCATTTGGATAAACTTAAAATGCGGTTTATGGCTCACTCATAAACCAAACTAATTTCAAATTGATCAAAAATTTTAATGAAAGAAATAAAATCATAATAGTAGTAGATAAAAATACAACTGAAAGTATTACAATCTTAACGTGGGCAAGGACAAGTATGATACAAATAGAGAGGCTATAAAGGAGAAGTGAGGTAATTACATAAAAATGAAAACCTTCAAAATGTCCCAAAATATAAATAATGAAAACAAATAAAAAGATCACGCACACATAATCTATAAGACTATATACAATAATGTTAACAGTAGTTTATGTTTTCATGGTAGTATTACACATGATTATAATTTTTTTATTTCCTTGTTTTTTCTTGAAACTAATATGCAATATTTAGCAACAAACTTATTTTAAATTACATCGAAAGTAATGAGCGATGCAACAGCCAAAAGACTCACTGTAGAAACAGTATTTTCCAGTAAAATATGAAGATAAAATACATTTGCTCAGGTAAAGGAAATGTCTTTTTTTTTTTTTTTTTTTTTTTTTTGAGACAGAGTCTCACTGTGTTGCCCAGGCTGGAATGCAGTGGCATGATCTCGACTCACTGCAACCTCCAACTCCTAGGTTCGAGGGATTCTCCTGCCTCAGCCTCCCGAGTAGCTGGGATTACAGGCATGCGCCACCATGCCCGGCTAATATTTGTATTTCTAGAAGAGACAGGGTTTCCCCATGTTGGCCAGGCTGGTCTTGAAACCCTGACCTCAGGTGATCCGCCCATCTCGGCCTCCCAAAGTGCTAGAAATACAGGCTTGAGCCTGCGCCCAGCCGGAAATGTCTTTATAGCAGGTTATTTACCCCAGTGGGCCTATTCCTAGAGCTTGCCGTTTCTCATAATGGAGAAAGGGCTGAAGCTTGAATCCTTTTATGTGCTTACTTTCTTTGAGCTGATGTTAATAGAATGATGTCCACAATAACATAGGAGACAGGATCTGTTGATGAATCCGAAATTGGAAGCTCTGGTATAAGCACCTCCCAACAGAATGCTATTGTGGAGGGTGTATGCACTCTAATTGACTTATTCTTTCACACGCAGGTTCCGTTTTTCTTATTCCAGCCTTATAGAAGAGGACAAGGGAGATATTTTAGCTAGAAAGTCAGAAAAGGAGAAATGATGATTCCTCTACCTTAAGAAGTCAGCATTTCCAGTATTCAGAAATTCTAACAAATACTATATTCACAACAGAAAAGTAACCTATGTGATAAAGTACTAATAAGGACGACAAAACAGATATGAACATGCTACATTAATCGCAGTGACAGTGACATTTACTGAGTGCCTATTATGTGCCAGCTGCTGTGCTGTATGATTTATAAACATTATCCTTAGCCAGAAGTAGTTTCTTAAAAAACAAACTTCTTTACTAATTACTTTTCAAAAAGTTAATTCCATAAAAATTAGATTTGGGGCCTGTCCATCACATTATCCTGAAAATTAGTGCTATTGAGTACAAACATAAATAATTACTAAGGTCCTAATACCAATTATAACTTCCCTAAGGAATTTTCGGGCTATAAATGAAGCTCTTTGGGACTATGTAGTTTTCCATAGTGAAAACAAAGTTTATAGCGAAAACAAACGGGTCAAACACGTAGATTCCTACAAGGGGCTGGGAGATGATGATGGTGATGGTGATGATGATGATGATGATGGTGATGCTGACAATAATGATGATGCTAGCTAGTACTTAAGGAACCCTCACTGTATGTCAAACACTCTTCCCAGTGTTTTACATGTATGAATTAATTTGATCTACCCAACAACTCTATGAGGAGTTACAACTATTAACTGTTTTAAGAAAATGGAACTGAAACATAAAGAAATGTTAAGACTTATCCAAGATCATGCAACTAGCAAACGACAATACTGGTAATTGAATGCAGACAACCTGACTCTAGAGTTCTTATACAATACACTGTGCTGGCCGGGCACGGTGGCTCACGCCTGTAATCCCAGCACTCTGGGAGGCCGAGGCAGGTGGATCACCTGAGGTCAGGAGTTCGAGACCAGCCTGACCAGCATACCGAAGCCCTGTCTCTACTAAATACAAAAAATAATTAGCTGGGTAAGGTGGTGCATGCCTGTAATCCCAGCTACTTGGAAGGCTGAGGCGGGAGAATCGCTTGAACCCGGGAGGTGGGGATTGCAGTGAGCCAAGATTGAACCCCATTGCACTCCAGCCTGGGCAACAAGAGCAAAACTCCATCTCAAAAAAAAAAAAAAAACCAATATACTGGGCCTTGGAGTCTGACCCCCCATCTCAGAGCCCAGTAGGGTAGTGGGAAGATCTACTTATCAGATTTTTAGAAATAGGTCTGCCTCCTTTTACTAGCATATCAAAATGAATAACTGAAACAATATTTGGACAAAATTACCCCTCACTCAAATACGGAATTAAACAAAACTTGAAGAGGGGGTGCCTAAGTTGCTGAGGTAATTGCCTTGGGGTTTTTTTAGCCTCTGCTAGAGGACACTGACCTAGAAGGCCGCATTCTCTTGAGTGCCTGCTTTCTCTGTGACTTTAGGGCCAGGTTTTCACTTTATGTCATTGTTCTTACCCTGGGAAAGCTAGTTTGCCTCTTGTCTAAATCAGTAAGGCAGTGACTGAAATGACAGCATTGTAGAAATATAGAAAATACACACTAGTATACAGAGTAGAAATATGAATTTTCTACACACCCATATGTTGTCTCCTAAAACACAGTTGAGTCCATGTCATGTAATGATTAAGGACATGGACTCTGCAAGGTAGATAGAACTGGCTTTGAATGGTGGCCCTCAACTTATTAGCTTGAGACCTTGAGGAAGTGACTTAACCTCCCAAAGCCCCAGTTTTCCCATCTTCAAGATCGGGATAATACATACCTACTTCACAGAGTTGTTAAGAGGGCCAGATGAGGTAACATATCTAGTTTAGTTACTAGAGCAGAGTAAGTGCCATCATTGTTGGCTGCTGTTATTTGCATCATCGTCACCTTCAATACCTTCATTATAATTAGCCAACACCTACTCTGTTGTCAGCATTCTTCCACATTCAAAGTGATTTCCAGTGTGGCTGTCTTCCTTGCTTTTCATTATTAACTAGAGTTGGCCCTCAGTATCCAGGGGACGGGATTGGTTCCGGGATCCTCTCAGATACCAAAACCTGGGACGCTCAAGTCTGTGATATAAATTGGCATAGTGTTTGCATCAAACCTATCCACATTCCTCCCTTATACTTTAAATCATCTCTAGATAACTTATAATATCTAATACAGTATAACTGCTATGTAAACAGCTGTTACACTATATTGGCTTTTTGTTTGCACTTTTATTGTTGTATTTTTTTTCTTGAATATTTCGACCCACTGTTGATCAAAATCCTCTAAATTTGTGTATGGAGGGCCAAGTATAAAGATAATGAGAGGTCAAGATGCAAAACAAAGCGTCTCATCAAGCTATTGAATTTTCCATCTAAAGCACCTTGTAAATCTAAGGGAACAAAGAAAGGAGAAACAAGACAAGATGATAATGAGGAAAGTCCATCCCACAGAGGATCTTGTGGCCCAACATCTTGCAATAAATGCAAAGCACATAAAATGGAATGTCCCCTTATGTCACAACGAAAAACTGTAACATAAATACTTTTGTCAGTTGGTTTTATTCTACAGATGTTTTTGAGAATTTGTTGTTGAAACAGCCAATTCACTCCTGAATTAAAAAAAAAAAAAACTTTTGGCAATACTCAAAGTGTCAACTAATTAGATCCAAATTACAGCTGAACATTTTGAAATATATGCATCACCCACGTGAATACTGATTGAATTTATTATAAATAGAATTTCAATTGCTGTGAAAGAAGGATACAATGGCATGGGAGTAAACTAATTTGTGAGCTTTTATTAAACACCTTATTAAGAGCTCCCCTCACAAGGGACAGTAAACAATGGATTAAATGACGGTTATTCCAATGCTGTGCTCAGGGAAGGCACTCTGTGTTGAGTCACAAAACCACTGGAGGTTTTCTTTCATATGGAACTTGATTCTAATCCTATCTTGGCTACTAAATTTGTAAAGCTTAAAAGTTGCTTATCCTTTTTATAAACTGGGCCCCCAACCTGTCGGCCTAATTCTCTCTGCAAACTTCTTTAAAACTGAATGTGACTGATTTGACGTGATGTCACCAATTTTCGTTCATGGTAGCCACAGTTTTTCCTTTGACCTCAAAGGGAGATTTCACCCAGTTGAGCTACCCGCTCGCTTTGTAGATGGTCAGTAACCAGAGCCTTGATTTGACCTTTTGGGATTTCAGTTTCTGTCTTTGAACAATATGAACTTTCAGTGAGTCATTTGCCAAAGTATATCATGGTATGTATTAAAGATGACAGAGTTCTAGACTGTTTATAAAAGTTTAAAAATGTGGCCAGGCGTGGTGGCTGATGCCTGTAATCCCAGCACTTTGGGAGGCTGAGGCAGGTGGATCATGAGGTCAGGAGACCGAGACCATCCTGGCCAACATGGTGAAATCCCGTCTCTACTAAAAATACAAAAATTAGCCAGACATGGTGGTGCATGCCTGTAGTCCCAACTACTCAGGAGGCTGAGGCAGGAGAATCCCTTGAACCAGGGAGGCAGAGGTTGCAGTGAACCGAGATCGCACCACTGCACTCCAGCCTGGCGACCAAGCAAGACTCCATCTCTAACTAACTAAATAAATAAATAAATAACAAAAAATGTAAACAACCAAACAGACATATCTGTCTGTTCATTATAAGGAAGAACTCTATAACTTTTAAAACCAGCCAGCAGTGAATCTACCTGTTCTGTTAGGTAGTGAATGCCCCATCACTGGACTCTCCCAGCCCAAGACCATTAAACTACCTGCAAAAGGTTTGAAGAAGAGGCTTTGGTATAGACTGGTATGCTTATTAATTTCCTAGGGCTGCTGTAACAAAATACCACAAACTCGGTGGCTTAAAACAACAGAAATGTATTGCATTACAGTTCTAGAAGTCCAGAATTGGCAGAGCCATGATCCCTCTGAAGGTTCTAGGAAAGAATCCTTCCCTGCCACTTCCTAGTTGCTGGCAGTCCTAGAAATGCTGGGCATTGGCCGGGCGCAGTGGCTCACGCCTGTAATCCCAGCACTTTGGGAGGCCGAGGCGGGCAGATCACGAGGTCAGGAGATCGAGACCATCCTGGCTAACGCGGTGAAACCCCATCTCTACTAAAAATACAAAAAAATTAGCTGGGCGTGGTGGCGGGTGCCTGTAGTTCCAACTACTCGGGAGGCTGAGGCAGGAGAATGGAGTGAACCTGGGAGGCAGATCTTGCAGTGAGCCGAGATCGCACCACTGCCCAGCGTGGGAGACAGAGCGAGACTCCCTCTCAAAAAAAAAAAAAAAGAAAAGAAATGCTGGGCATTCTTGGCTGGTAGCTGTTTCACTCCAATCTCTGCTTCTGTCTTTATGTGGCCTTCTTCCCTCTGTGTGTGTGTGTCTCCAAATCTGTCAGTCCTTATAAATACACCCGGGATTGGTTTAGGGCCCATCCTAATCCAGTATGACTCCATTTTAACTTGATTACATCTGCAAAGACCCAATTTTTAAATGAAATCACATTCATAGGTATCAGGGGTTAGGACTTCAACATACCGCGGGATGAGGAGTAATAGTTGGGAAGATATAATTAAACCGCGCTTAGGTATGACTAGTTGACTGATATGATGATCCCACCTATGGTGAGATTTTAGGAGTTATATAAATCCTCTCTTACCAAAATGATGTCATTAATTTGTCCAACAACCATTAACTAGCTTCATTCTCTAGTACTATTCTATTTTTCAAAAACATGACATCTTACTAACGCTTTAAGTCTTGTATTTTATGGATGCTTGAGGAACCTTAGACAATGCCTTGAGTCAAAGCCCAGAGTACAGGGTGCTATAATTACTGTGTCTTTTACTTCATGTTCACATTCGCTGGCCTCACATTTGCTGTGTATTCGGAAATACAAATACAGATTACAATACCAAACATGAGTTATATGTTGAACATGAGATAGAATGAATTTCTAAAACTCTATTAGTTTTAATGATAAACTAGAGCTTAAAAATTAGCCCTATATTTTCCCGTAGAAAATTACAAGCTGAGGGCCGGGCGCAGTGGCTCACGCCTGTAATCCCAGCACTTTGGGAGGCCGAGGCGGGCAGATCACGAGGTCAGGAGATCAAGACCATCCTGGCTAACACAGTGAAACCCCGTGTCTACTAAAAATATAAAAAGTTAGCCGGGCATAGTGGTGGGTGCCTGTAGTCCCAGCTACTCAGGAGGCTGAGGCAGGAAAATGGAGTGAACCTGAGAGGCAGAGCTTGCAGTGAGCTGAGATTGTGCCACTGCACTCCAGCCTGGGCGACAGTGCAAGACTCCGTCTCAAAAAAAAAAAAAAAGAAAATTACAGACTGAGGCCGGGTGCGGTGGCTCACACCTGTAATCCCAGCACTTTGGGAGGCCAAGGCAGGTGGATTACCTGAGGTCAGGAGATTGAGACCAGCCTGGCCAACATGGTGAAACCTTGTCTCTACTAAAAATACAAACATTAGCCGGGTGTGATGACACCTGCCTGTAGTCCCGGCTACTCAGGAGGCTGAAGCAGGAGAATCGCTTGAACCCAGGAGGCAGAGGTTGCAGTGAACTCAGATTGCATCACTGCACTCCAGCCTGGGTGACAGAGCAAGACTCAGTCCCTCCAAAAACAAAAACAAAAAATTACAAACTATTCTCTCTAGTGAATCAGAAAACAGCTTTCATGACTTAAACCTAGTATCTTACTCTAATCTGTATGCATCTTGGCCTTAAAATGTAGCATTTTGGATACATACACTTAGGTGATTTGGCTTCATTGTTTTGTTTTGACAGGCAGCTTTTGTATCTGTCTTCTATAATTTAGTCTAGGGCTTCTCAACCTCCACACTATTGATGTTTTGCGCTTGATAACTCTGTTGTGGGAGCTGTTCTGTGCATTATAAGATGTTCAATAGCATCCCTGGCCTCTACACACTAGATGCCAGCAACACCTTACCTGCCACCTCCACCCAATGGGACAACCAAAAATGTCTGTGGATATTGCCCAGTGTCCCTGGAGGGGAGGTTGGGCAATATCATCCCAAATTAGGAATCACTGCATATTTGATGAAAATTAACTGCATTTTTTTAAATAGTGAGAAAAGTAGCATTGTTACATCATTGCAAAAATGTTGATGTCTGTGTGCACATGTATGTTTATTGCAGCACTATTCACAATAGCAAAGACTTGGAACCAACCCAAATGTCCATCGGTGATAGACTAGATAAAGGAAATGTGGCACATATACACCATGGAGTACTGTGCAGCCATAAAAAAGAATGAGTTCATGTCTCTTGCAGGGACATGGATGAAGCTGGAAACCATCATTCTCAGCAAACTAACACAGGAACAGAAAACCAAACACGGCATGTTCTCACTCATAAGTGGGAGTTGAACAATGAGAATGCATGGACACAGGGAGGGGAACGTCACACAGTGAGGCCTGTCAGGGGTGGGGGGAAAGGGAGGGAAAGCATTAGGACAAATACCTAATGCATGCAGGGCTTAAAACATAGATGACAGGTTGATGGGTGCAGCAAACCACAATGGCACATGTATACCTATGTAACAAACCTGCACATTCAGCACATGTATCCCAGAACTTAAAGTAAAATTTTAAAATAAATAAATAAAAACCTTCATGTCTTGCTTAATAGAAGACAGTTGGATTCTCATGTCTACTACTTCTTTCATTCTGCTGATATAGTTGGAAAATGGAGGAGTATTTTAATAGCCTTTTTAAATAGTTGTGGATATTTTTCTTTAATATTACCCCAAAATCACCAAGTAGTAGTTTCTTAAACGTTGCTTGTCAAATTAAAATTCTTCTGTCTATCTTTCACTTTGAATGGATCTCTTACCCATGCATTGATCATTTGGAAAATACTGGTTCAGTGATTTACGTTGTTCTTCCCAAATTTGATGTGTTTTATTATCAATGTTATTATTATTATTATTATTTTAATATTTTAAAAAATTACAATTGTTAGCTGGGCACAGTCAGGTTTACCTGTAGTCCCTGCTACTTGAGAGGCTTAGATGGGAGAATCGCTTGAGCCCAGGAGTTCTAGTCCAGCCTGGGCAACATAGTGAGACCCCTTCTCTAAAAACATTTTTTTTTTCTAAATCACATTGTTAACATCATCACCAATCTCATCAGCAAAGCCTTAAGTATTAGGATGTTGTCAAGCCCACAGTGGTGAATACGAATTTTCTGATATTCTATTTTTTACTTGAAAGCTTAAATTTTATCACTGGCAACAAATACCGCCAGTTGTTTTCCTTGAAGTGACAGACTCACTTCATTAATTTTTGAGAAAATGTCTGACAAATACTCAAGTATGAATAACTATAATTTGTCTGTCAGTTGTTCTTTCAAGTAAAAAAAAAAAGTGTATTGTGAAAAATGGCTCTTCAGCTTGTATCTCATACAATTAAACATGCACTTTTCCTCACACCGACTGTCATACTTCAGCATGCAGCCACAGCGTTTTCTGTGCAGTTCCCATTTTGTCATACAGAGTATTTTTAAAGTGTACATAATGGTTGAGATTTAAGAAGTTTTTTTAATGCTGTTTCAAAGACATTCTTTTTTAAAACTATAGACGGCTTCACAAATGTGTATGCCATCCTTGCATAGGGGCATTTCAATTTTAGTATATGTGCTGCTGAAGCGAGCACTCAAAGACATTCTTTTTTTTTTTTTTTTATCTATCAAGCTTTTATTTAAATGCCATAATCCAGGATGGATTTTAGATCTTGTTGAAAGCAGCCACATCCATGGACTGCACATAGTCCTCAAAAGCAGTGATCTGCTCCTCCAGAATATCTGTTCCAACTTTATCATCTTCAACTACACACTGTATTTGGTTTCTTAATTCTGTATCCCACTGGAACTAGTTTAGATGAGCCCCAGACTAAGCCGTCTGCTTGAATGCTTCTGACGCACTCCTCTAATTTCGCCAGATCTGTCTCCTTATCCCAAGGTTTCACATTTAGTAAGATGGAAGACTTGGCAACAAGTGCAGGGTTTTTGGCTAACTTTGATTCATATTGTGCAAGACTTTCTTCCCTTAGCCTCTTTGCTTCTTCACTTTCCTCCTCATCATCAGATCCAAAGAGATCAATGTCATCATCATCTTTACTATCTGTACCTCCACTTCCTGTAGCGTCTTCCACATTGGCAGGACCATACTTGCCCAAAGCTTTCTTCACTCCTGGCAGGCTGGCCTTTTCCTTTTCATAAGACTTGACATGATTATACCAACGTAGGGCATGACACAAGCCAGCAGGCTGTGGGCCGGACACGGCTTCAAATATTGCCACATCTGCTTGTGATGGCACATACCCCTCAATGTAGCTCTTGTCCACCAGGTAATCGTTGAGCACCTGGAGGCCCGCGGGACTTTTCAGGTCTCCGAAACCCATGGTGTCGGCTGTATCTGAGAGCTGGGGAGCAGCAGAAAGAGAGCGCGCAACTTGTGGGCACCCCGCGCTGAAGAGAGGAAAAAGCTCAACGACATTCTTAAGTGAAACAGTGAAACTGGTTTGTTTTTTTTTTTTTTTCTGCAAGAGCCTTGTGGTGAAGAATACAGTATCTGCTGGCATAGTTTTATGCTACTGTTATGGTTTACGCTAAAGCACAAACACCATTGATGTAAATATCAACACAATGAGAAAGGCTATTATTAATAATACTAATATTATTAATACTAAGGCAAACAATGTCTTAGTATTACTATAAAAACTAGTTTTGACCTTGGGGACCCCCAGAGGCCCAAAGACTACACTTTGAGAACTGCTGGTCTATGAAGATCATTCCGCTCCACACTTAATTTGAACGATATAGAAAATATCTGCTGACAGACTTGCACGATAGTAGATACACTTCATCAAAGTAGAATTTAGTATATTCTAGGAACTGCATGTAGCATTGCAGGAACATACCTCTCACTACCAATCAAAATTGTTGAAAGACTGCTGGGCACGGTGGCTCACGCCTATAATCCCAGCACTTGGGAGGCTGAGGCAGGTGGACAGGTGGATCACTTGAGGTCAGGAATTCGAGACTAGCCTGGCCAACATGGTGAAAACTTGTCTCTAAAAAATACAAAAATTAGCCAGATGTGGTGGTGGGTGCCTGTAATCCCAGCTACTCAGGAGGCTGAGGCAGGAGAATCACTTGAACTCGGGAGGCGGAGGTGGCAGTGAGCAGAGATCACACCACTGAACCTCAACCTGGGTGACAGAGCAAGACTCCGTTTCAAAAAAAAAAAAAAAAAAGAAAGAAATTGTTGAAAGACTTGTTTGCTCTCTTTGTCAAGAGTCTCAGAGGTTAGAAATATTTCCACAACATTTTAGTTTGTCTCGATGGAGCTGACAATTATGTACTTTCCTATATCTTTTTTGAAACTGTTTCCACATTTGGCCTAGACCCTCTTGGAGTAATGAGTTTCAAAACCTTGTGTGTGAGCACTCCTTTCTGGGATTTGTAGAAAACTTGATTTTTTTTTTTTTTTTTTTTTTTCTCAAAGAGTAGGTCGCAGTTCCAAGGAATTTGGTAAGGAAGTGTGCATTCTCTCAATTTCTAACACAATGCCTTGTTCAAATTAGGCACTCAATAAATATTTGTTGACTATAAAACTTAACTGATTGACCTCTTTTACGATCTTGGTAGTTTTATGATCTGATGAGATGACTCTCAACCTTCATCCATCTAGACTGGAGAGGGCAATTTTTTAGACCCCTGGAACATTTGAAGGTGAAAGTAAGGCTCTTTATTGAAAACAGAGTGATTAAGGAAACATCTGCATACTGAAGAGTAAACCCGCCCCTTCCCCAAGGCCTTTCCAAAACGCTTGCTGCCGGTCTTTCATGCACACCCTACCATCAGGCAACTGAATGATTCTGTCTGAGAAAGCTGATAAGCCCAAGAGATAAATCTTAAAGATAACTGGCATTTGGGATTCCACAAAGAACCAGATGGGCCTTGTGTACAGAAAGGCCTACCATATGACAAGCCCCACCCTAAGCACACAGGAGAAAAAAGGAAGATGGTATCCCACAGAAGAAAAGAAGTGATGAGAATTTCTAGGATGATAGTCAAGGAAGTCTGGGGATAACAACTCTTCAGTAAGCCAGATTGGAATAAGAAGATGGAGTACTCCAAGAGGGATGTCTTCAAGGGGGGAAAAATGGAACATAGAAATTACCAATTAAATTTGACAACATTGAGGGGCATGTTAGACACTTGAATGGAGAATTTAGGGATAACTTATTGCTATGTGAATAGAAAATTATAAATACAAAAGAAGCAATTAACCCCTGTAAAATTTAGAAGTTATACAAGGAAAAAATGTGTTCACAGGGTACCACATGGCTCAACCGAGAACAATACTTACATGATCAAAATAATGTAAATACTGTACTCTGACTTGGCTAAAAATTGTGAAAGATTTATGTTGGGAACATAAAGATGAAGAAGTAATTGTGTGCAGTAAAGTCTAGGGATGGTAGTTATTAAAGAACTAAATCCTAATTTAATAGAGAAAATCATGTCTAAATCAAGAAGTAGCAATATAAGCATGTTTCTTCAAAAATGGAATTTAAAATCAGAAAAGCCTGAAAGTTGAAAGTAGTTCCTCTAGGTAGTGGAACTCAGGAATGGGCAGGGTTAGACAAGATTAATTCTTTTTCCTTGTAAACCTTATAGAGTGATCAAGTTAAAAAAATGCCTACATATATTACCTCAAATTACCTAATAAAAATTAAAAATAAGGCCAGGCACGGTGGCTCACGCCTGTAATCCCAGCACTTTGGAAGGCTGAGGCGGGTGGATCACGAGGTAAGGAGATCAAGACCATCCTAGTTAACACAGTGAAACCCCGTCTCTACTAAAAATACAAAAAATTAGCCACGCATGGTGGCAGGCTCCTGCAGTCCCAGCTACTTTGGAGGCTGAGGCTGGAGAATGGCATGAACCTGGGAGGTGGAGGTTGCAGTGAGCCAAGATCGTGCCACTGCACTCCAGCCTAGGCGACAAAGCAAGACTCCGTCTCAAAAAAAAAAAAAAATTAAAAATAAGTTAGTAAGTCAAAGATGTTTTACTTTGCACATAGATGGATCTGACTACATAATCAGGCTTTTGCCTAAAAGTTTGTGGTAAACTATATATACTATTTGAATTTTTTCTATGTAGGCACAGAGAGCAGCCACACGTCAGACTTTCTTTGACCTTCTCCCATAAGAATGTATCTGCAGTGTGTCTTATCTTCTCAAAATTCATATATAGTTAATTGAATTAAGAATTTGGGCCAGGCACTGTGGCTCACGCCTGTAATCCCAGCACTTGGGGAGGGCAAGACAGGCAGATTACGAGGTCAGGAGTTCAAGACCAGCCTGGCCAACATAGTGAAACCCCGTCTCTACTAAAATTATAAAAATTAGTCAGATGTGGTGGCGGGCACCTGTAATCCCAGCTACTCGGAAGGCTGAGACAGGAGAATCGCTTGAACCTAGGAGGCAGAGGTTGCAGTGAGCCGAGATGGAGCCATTGCACTCCAGCTCGGGCAACAGTAAGAAACTCTGCCTCAAAAAAAAAAAAAAAAAAAAAGAATTTGATCTAACTTCCTTTCCAACCTGATCTGCTTGACATATCCCATATGAACAATTCTCTCTAGACAGACTGGTCTACTTCTTATGATTTGATTATGCCATTTGGCCAAAGTTAAAATTTCTTTCTCCCCTTCTCCTTCCAGAGCTTTGCCTATCAAATTTTTGATAATAGTTCAAAACCCAATTCCCTGTGGAAACTACTCTTGCCCTTTTCAATTGGAAGTGATTGCTTCTTACTGTATACGATCTGGTTTCATTATCTTTTAGCGTTTTTGAGAGATCTACCTTAGATACAAAAAGTATGCATCATTTATCCTTACAACTTAGAATAAAATAAACATCCAATAACTCACCTCTTAGCTTAAGAAATAGAACATTACTCTTCATGACTGCATCTTCTCTCCCCACCCTACAGAGAAAATTGCTATCCTATTTTGGGTTACTCCTATTCTTGCTTTTCTTTATGGTTTTATCATAACTAGATATATCCCTAAACAATGTCTTAATTTGTTTCCCCTGGAACTTTATTTTTCTCAAATTTTCTTCTTTTGCTCAAATATTGTGATAATTAGCTATAGTGGTGCACAAAGCTGTAGTTCATTCTTTGTCATTACTATATAATGTCCAATTGTCTTAATATACTATGAGTTATTTATCGTTTCTGTTGTTGATTGCCATTATGGGTTGTTGCCAATACTTTTCTGTGATGGTCGATGCTTCTATAAACTTTCTTATATATACATTCTATACTATACTATAAACTTTCTTGGTGCATACGTGCAGGACTTCTGTGCAGTACTAGTTCTCAAGGGGAGAACATTCTGGGAATGGGAATTCTCAGGCCCTACTCAACCTACGGAATCAAAAACTCAAAAACTCCCAGGGTGGGACCCAGCAATCTGTGTTTTGTTTTTTTGGTTTTTTGCTTTTTTTTTAAGATGGAGTCTTGCTCTGTTACCCAGGCTGGGGTGCAGGGCACCATCTTGGCTCACTGCAACCTCTGCCCCCAGGGTTCAAGCAATTCTCCTGCCTCAGCCTCCTGAATAACTGGGATTACAGGCATGCACTACCACGTCTAGCTATTGTTTGTATTTTTAGTAGAGACAGTGTTTCACCATGTTGGCCAGGCTGGTCTCAAACTCCTGACTTCAGGTGATCTGCCCACCTCAGCTTCCCAAAGCCACCACACCTGGCTGCAATCTGTGTTTTAACAAGCCATCAAGGTGACTCGAATGCTCACTGAAGTTTGAGAACTGCAGATACAGTGTGACAACGGATTTGTCATGTCAGTTTCTCCTTGTAGCTCTTTTCATATTTATTTTATATATTCTGAAGCCATATTATTGCACTATATGAATTAGAGTAGCTATATCTTCCTGATTAATTAAAACTATTTCAGTATATTTGGTAAAGGCTTTCAGGCTTAAAGTCTACTTTGATACTAAAATAGTCTTGCTAACTTTCTTTTGATATCTGCTTATTGTCTAGTTTTCCATCTTTTGACTTTAAATCTTTCTCTGCACTTAAGTTTTGGCTGAATGTGGCATTTGTAAAATAGTGAATTACCTTTTTAAAAAAATTCAATCTGATAGTATCATAATTGGGGATTTTAGTCCACCTACCTTTTAATTCATTTCTACCATCTCACTTTCACAGTCTATACACTCCGATTTTTCTTTTTCTTTCTTTCTTTCTTTTTTTTTTTTTTTTTTGAGACAGTCTTGCTCTGTCACCCAGGCTGGAGTGCAGTGGCATGATCTCAGCTCACTGCAACCTCCGCCTCCCGGGTTCAAGTGATTCTCCTACCTCAGCCTCCCGAGTAGCTGGGACTACAGGAACTTGCTACCATGCCCGGATAATTTTTGTATTTTTAATAGAGACAGGGTTTCTCCATGTTGGCCAGGCTGCTCTCGAATCCTGACCTCAGGTGATCCACCCGCCTCGGCCTCCCAAAGTGCTGGGATTATAGGCATGAGCCGCTGTGCCTGGTCGATTTTTTTTGTTTTGTTTTGCTTTTCCCCATTTTTACTTCTTTGGGTTGTTTCAGATTTAGTTTTTCTTCATTCCATTTTTTCCACTGTAGTTTTTGTGGTTATCCTAAAATTTTTAACTTGCATATTTAATTTTCAAAAGTCCAAATTTAATTAATACTTCTAATCTGAAGAGTATAAGAAGCTTATGATGTTTTAATGTTAAATGGCATTTCTCCTGACATATGATTTCTTCTTGTTTTGTTTTGTTTTTGTTGCCGTTTTGAGATGGAGTCTCGCTCTGTCGCCCAGGCTGGAGTGCAGTGGCCAGATCTCGGCTCACTGCAAGCTCTGCCTCCCGGGTTCACGCCATTCTACTGCCTCAGCCTCCCAAGTAGCTGAGATTACAGGCGCCTGCCACCACGCCCGGCTAATTTTTTGTATTTTTAGTAGAGACGGGGTTTCATTGTGTTAACTAGGATGGTCTTGATCTCCTGACCTCGTGATCCGCCCGCCTCCTCCTCCCAAAGTGCTGGGATTACAGGCATGCGCCTGGCAGATATGTGATTTCTTAATCGAGCATTTTGTTTTAAAATTTATTTGCAACTCCAGAAATTAGATGTTATTGTTTAATTCCATCTTTGCTTTTAGATATTAGCATATTATTTTCTTGAAATTGAGATCCTCCAAGATCCATTTTCTTCTTTACAAAATCTATCACGTAGGAGTTCATCAAATCTTTTAAGTTTTGATGGTGGTAAACTTTCTCAATATTTGTATGAAAAATTCTTTATTTCATCTTTCTATTAAATGGTAGTTTTACTATGTAAACAATTATATGATCATGGTTATTTTATCTCCAACAATTTAAAAATAGTATTCCACTGTCTTCTCACTTCCATGTTGCAAGTCAACTGTCAAATTAATTGTTCTTCTTTGGTAGTAAAGCTTTCTCATTCTTTCTAATGGATTTCTTTTTCTTTTTTGTTTTACTTTCATAGTTTCCCTATAAGTGTCTAAGTATAGATTTCTATTTAACTTGCTTGAGATTTGTTGGGATGTCTGAATCTAAGAATTAGTCTTGTAATAGATATAACAATTCAACTCTACAATTTTTATATAACTTAAAGTCTGTTAAATTTTTTATTGTTTTCTTTCAAATATTGTTTTTCTTCATTCTTCCTATTATCTTTTTAGAAATCTGATTACATTAGATTATCTCGCCTCATCCTCAGTATCTCCTGATCTCTCTTATATTTTCATTCCTTTTGAAGTCTTTCTATTTCTAACTATATTTTTATCTGATAATTCCAATATCTACCATCTTTGTGGGTCCGTTTCTATAGTTTCCTGTTTTGCTGATTCTTATTCATGGTGGCTTGTCTCTCCAAGTTATTATTTGTATGTATGTCTGTGTGTGTTTGTGTGTGTGTGTGTGTGTGTGTGTGTGTGTGTACAGAAAGTAAGAGAGAGAATGTTGATGCCAGATATTCCATGGAATTCAACATGTAGAAGTCCATTTGAGATCTGAATTTAAGGAGCAATACCAATTTGGGATCTTTTTCTTTTTTTTTTAAATCATTACAGGGTCTCGATCTGTTGCCCTGGCTGTAGTACAGTGGCACGATCTCAACTCACTGTAGCCTCCACCTCCCAGGTTCAAGAGATTCTCATTCCTCAGCCTCCCGAGCAGCTGGGACTGCAGGTGCTCACCACCACGCCTGGCTAATTTTTGTATTTTTAATAAAGACAAGGTTTTGCCATGTTGGCCAGGCTGGTCTCTAACTCCTGACCTCAGGTGATCTGCCAGCCTTGGCCTCCCAAAGTGCTAGGATTACAAGCATGACCCACTGTGCCTGGCCAGGATCTTTTTAAATACCATACAGATATTGGCAATTATGGTCCCAAACCCGTGTGATTAGAAATTCTCAGAAGAAACATTTAACAATATTTTGTCCATCTTTATCTGTTATTTGTATTTCACTACATCAATTGATAGTCTATTTTACTGCAAGCCATCGTATGTCCTTTTTGAGAACAGTTTAAATTGTAACCACAAAATGAAAGGAATAAATTGAAGAACAACTAAAGGCTAGTTGATTACAACATTGGATTATTTTTAAATAAAACTTTGCTAGGATCTCAGGGAACATAAGTCAATGTGCTTTGCTTTTAGAGTAAGTTTCAGGCCATTGCTTGAAGCAATGATAGCAGAATGAATTGATTTTAAAGAGCGCTTAGGCAGGCTCAAAGTCTGAGCTGGGAAAACATGGAAGTTCCAATTCATCATTAAATATTTACATGGCAGTTAAAATTTAAAGACTTAGAAATTCAGACCTGGGTTTGCTTGCCAGTATTAATGGGCAGGTTGGAGTAGCATGGACTCTGTGTAAAAGAGAGTGATGAAGTTCCAAAATATGCTAAGTGAAAAACTGTAAATGCAAAACCTTTGTCTAGTGTGCTGCCTTCCATGTAAAAATAGGAGGAGCCTAGGCGTGGTGGCTCACGCCTGCAATCCCAGCAGTTTGGGAGGCCGAGGCAGGTGGATTGCTTGAGGTCAGCAGTTCAAGACCAGCCTGACCAACATGGTGAAACCCTGTCTCTACTAAAATTACAAAAATTAGCCAGGCATGGTGGCGAGTGCCAGTAATCCCAGCTACTAGTGAGGCTGAGGCAGGTGAATTGCTTGAACCTGGGAGGCAGAGGTTGCAGTGAGCTGAGACTGTGCCACTGCACTCCAGCCTGGGTAACAAAGCAAGATTCTGTTTCAAAAAAAAAAAAAAGGAGGAGAAGGATGTGAATTTACTTGTATGTGCATAAGATATCTACAAAAGGATACCCAGGAAACCAAAAATATTGATGCCTCTGGGGATAGAAACTGAATGGTTGGGACAGAGGTAACACAGATTTTTCCGTATGTACCATTTTGAACCTCTTGAGTTTTGAGCCATGAGAATATATTATCTATTCAAATAAGTAGACATGTAGATGCACAGATTCATAGCTATGAAGATATATAAGAAGAAAAGCCAATGAATGAATGAATAAGCAGGCGAGTGACTGAATGTGCCCCTGACTGGATGCACTGCTTGCTAGCTGTTGCCTAACTCCTGTGTTCCTTCATTTCCTCATCTGTAAAATGGGAATAATAGCACCTACCTCAAAGGGTTATTGTGAAAATCAAATGAGTTAAAACAAGGAATTAGAACAAAGTTTAGTCATCATAAGTACAAAAAAAGTTAGCTATCATTATTTTATTGCTGTTACCCTTGTGACTTTCGGAGCTTACTTACCCAACTAAACACAGGCTTTATACTCAGCTATATCCGGTTTTTTTTTTTAGACCAAGTCTTGCTCTGTAGCCCAGGCTGGAGTGCAGTGGTGCGATCTCGGCTGACTGCAATCTCCCCTCCTGGGTTCAAGTGATTATCCTGCCTCAGCCTCCCGAGTAGCTGGGACTACAGGCGCCTGCCACCACGCCCGGCTCGTTTTTGTATTTTTGGTACAGAAGGGGTGTCACCATACTGGCCAGGCTGGTCTTGAACTCCTGACCTTGTGATCCTCCCACCTTGGCCTCCCAAAGTGCTGGGATTATAGGTGTGAGCCACTGCGCCTGCCCTATATCTGGATTTTAACCCATGCTTGCCTCCATATCTTCTGTGAGATATTGTGCAGGATTTTAAACTTTTCTTTCCCTCAGTTTTGTATTTGTAAAATGTGAATAATAGTATAACAGCAACAATAATAATTAATTCAGAAAACAGACTTACTAACTTGATATTTGTTGATAGTAGGAAATTCTTGATATTTTAGGTGTGATAATCATACTGAGTTTATTTTTATTTTTTAGAGACAGAGTCTCGCTCTGTTGCCCAGGCTGGCGTGCAGTGGTGTAATCTCTACGCTCACTGCAACCTCTGCCTCCTGGGCTCAAGCAATTCTCCCACTTCAGCCTCCCAAATAACTGGGACTACAGGCATGTGCCACCACACCCTGGCTTTTTTTTTTCTTTTGGTAGAGATGCAGTTCTGCCACATTGCTCAGGCTGATCTCCAACTCCTGGACTCAAAGGATCTGCCTGCCTCGGCCTTCCAAAATGCTAACATTACAGGCTTGAGCCACTGTGCCCAGCCTATTGTGTTTAATTTTAATGAGTCCTGTGTTCTATAAATACAAACTAAAATATTCATGGATAAAAATATATAAGATTTGCTTCAAAATCGTAAATGGAAGAATGGGTGGGGGTATGAATAAAACAGAAGTGGTCATGTATCGATGATTGCCATGAGAGAGTGACGGGTACATGGGGCTCAACACTTGATTTTCTCTGCTTTTGTGTATATTTGAACTGTTCCCAGATAAAAAGAGTTTTTCTTAAGAGACTACAGTAAAGTGAGAAAACACATCATACAGTAGCAGGAATGCAGTAATAACTTTAAAAAAAATGGCTGCTGGTAGCCAGGTGTAGCAGTAGTTGTAGTATCGTGATAGTTTTTATTAGCTTCAGTTAAATGGTCAGGAAGAAAGGCTGATAGGCAAGGGAATGGATTAACGGATATGTGAGGAGAATCATCCCTTTTCAAGTTCTTCTAACAAAGATCTCACTTTTCTTATGTTTAAGGGAGCATCAACCCCCACAGGTACAGAGGTCTGCAGAACTCTAACATATAACATTCACAGAACTCGGCCACAAACCAGACCCCAAAACATGCTAGAATTCTCTCTCCATTGTTGAATGTTAGCAGCCATTTTGCTTTCATTTAGAGCTTCAATTAAACAGTATCAAATACGTCAGGTATTTTCTTTTATTTCTGCAAATGTATCTTTACAATCAAATGCCTCATTTTTAGCCATTCACCCTTGAAAAACTGAAAGTGATTTCAAATAGTGATGTGTGGCCAGCTTTAACTTGGACAGTCATTAGTGTTAGAGGAGTGGGGATTTGGAAATACTGCCTTAAGAAAAGTTTCCCCCTTAACTTATTTTTTACCCTTCCCACCTCTGTCTCCATGGAAATGAGGTCAGAGGCCACGGAGAGCTCCCAGGGAGCCAGCAGCTGGGAATGAGAATTCTCACTTAGAGATTTCAGCTGAAAGCTATAAACTCCTTTACAAAGACCAGCTGAGTCTTTTGGCCACCATAGTCTCCTTTTTACACTAATAAATAGGTGGCTTTTTTTTTCTTTTGTCTTTCTCTTTTGGCACATACATGGAGGAAGAAGAGGTGCCACTGAGTAATAACCATTTTTGCATTTATACTTGAACTTCTGTGCAATAAATCAAGATGGAGATATTCCTTAAGAATTTATTTTCAACTTAATATGTTTAAATGATAGTGTACATATGGAATTAAGCAATTATCACTTGCTTGATCTCTGTCCTTTCAAGTTTATGATAACACCAGATATTTGAAGACAAATATATGTGGTTATTCATTACATGCTATCAGTTATAAATGATTCTAATAGAATGTCACCATGACATAATTCAAAATCACTTAATTAAAAGAAAGAACCAATCTCAAGATATGAGCAGTTGGTGCCATTAAACAAAATGTTTTATGAATTAACGTATACTTTACTATTAGTACCTGTTTTTGTTGAACTGTTAACACAAGTCCATATTTTTTTGCACTTTATTCAGTTTATTTACTCATAAATCATTTGAAAATATCTGAGAAGGGTGACTACTCAAATATGCCAAACACTTTGTTATTTTTATAAGTTATATATTATTATTTAGTAGCCGAATATTTATTAAAACAATATGAAATGTAAATTTAGTTTAAAAAAAAAAAAAGCCCTAACAAGTTCTTTTTAAATTTGGAGCTATAGGAGTCTGTGTTTCAAACTTTTTTTTCCTTCATGCCACACTTTGTTTTATGGTTCAAGGTTTGTAGACTCAATAAGATTCAGCATTATTTCCAAGAACTTTTACGAAATTTCATCATTACTCTTACATAAAACACTGAGTTATTACTTTTAATCATCAATCACACAACTGCTCTGAATTTTCCAGAACTTAGCTTCAGCAAGCATCAGAACCACAGCACCTCTCTCAGACACTTTCACATTCTTTCTCTCTCTCTTTTTTCAGCGTTGTGGTCAGCAGTCTAATGATGCTGGGCTTTTATTCTTTACTGTTTCCTTTGTCTTTGGGCCCTTTCGCAGGTCGCTGCTGAGCTCTCTCTCTCTCTGTCCTGGGTTGAGCCCTTATTCCATTTTCCCCTGCTCTCAGAAGTGAAACAGAACATCGTGTTCCGAAGCTGCCCAGCACACATGCTTCACGATGCTGCCAAGTTTGCAGCTGACCAATTGGCCTACTTTAGAGGACTCGCATTTACAAAATTTACAAGTCTTTATTTCCACCAGCCCATCACCTCCTCCCCACCCCGCCGAAAAAGAGTATGTCAAACACACTGATAAATCAAGAGTTTTTTGGTGTTGCAACAAAATGGGCAGTCATTTCTTTGCCCTTTGCTGGCTCTCAGCCTTGCTCTTCCCTCCTGAATAGATGGAAAATATGGGTTGGTGTACGGTACAAAGACATTCAAAAGTGATTGCCTCTGTATTAATAACTAATTTCAAAAGAAACATACAAACGAAATGATATGCTCTTCTATTTTTTTCGGAGATCGGTATTTCTAAAGTAATTCCTTTCCAAAAACTGATCCAGGCAAACCTGTCTTCTTCCAAATTAGGAAGACAGAGTTAATGCTTTGCTTTTTCAATGAGATTGGGTCAGGCAAGTCATGGATTTAGATATTTTGAACACTCCTTATTGGCATTTGAATCTTCTAAGCTTCTATAATAGATTCAAGATCAAATAGGAGAGGGTAAGGATTTAATGGAGCAAAGAAAAGTTGTAGGAATTGGTTTCTTGTGATTTTAGTGATTCCTGCCCCACTCTTCAAGAAAAGGAACTCGGTCAAGGGTAGATCCAGGTTATTGCAAAGCTTATAAAATATGGAGCCCTCTTTATGAAAAAGAATATGAAATTAAGCCCAAGAGTAAATATCTACTTAGAATAAGAGAAGAAACCATAACAAATGACAAACTTTAAAAAGCATCCAGAAAAATAGCATCATTACCATTAGTATTAAGAATTATTGTTATTATCATAACTTCACTGTTTGATCCACCTATGTAACATTTCTTTTCCCTACTTTTTTTACTTTATCCTCTTTGATCGTTCCTCAAATAACCAAAACTTTATAATACTATTTTGTGTAAAGAGAATAGAAAGATAATTTTGTTTTTTTTTTTCTGGCATGGCAGATAGAAATATGTTTTTTGTTATTAATGGCTTAGAAAATAATCTTTCAGCTTGAGAATTATTGGTCATGCCACAGCTGAAACAATCTCTTGCTCCAGAGGTGCTTCGTGCTCTAAGAAAATTCCTCAGAGACTCCAGACCTTTGATCTTGCTGGGCAGGGCTCCAGCTGACCCTTTGGCCATTGTCTCAGCAACTGATCCAGCATCCCATTTGGTGTCCTGGGTGGAAAGGGCAGGGCTCGAGATGCTGGTGGTGGGGCCTTTGTCTGGAGAACCCTGAGCAGAGAGTGGTGGAGCATCTCATTCCAAACCTTCTCCTTGGTGCCAGAGTTGGATTTCAGATACCTGGGGAGGCTCCACATGTTGCAGGGCATCACTGGAGGTCAGCAAAAATTGAGAGTACGTTCAACCTACCAGCCTTCCACACAGACCGAGAATGTAGAGATTGACCCTCTGGCTGGCGTGGCTCTCCATGCATCCAGCTATACCTTAAATCCCTGCGAAGGACACACAGAACCTTGGAAGGGCCTGTGAAAGTAAGCGGCTGTGAAACTAAAAGCTCATTAACTTTATGATAATCCTCCCCTCTGTTCAGTGCTCATAATATAGTGGACATTCATGGAACTGAAAATAGAAATGAATTCTCTGGCCAAAGTGACCCCTATTTAGTATTCTCAAAATTTTAAGCTCCACAGGGCAAGGATTTTGTCTGCTTGGGTCACTGCTGTATCTTCATCTTCTTCTGAATATTGTTCCATTTGTTAAGGGGACCAAAATTTGTTAGCAATGCCTTTTATTTTCCTGGGTTAAAATAGGCTGGCCAACTGGAAGCTACTGGATATTGCTCACTATTAATTTCTTCACATACCCTTGAGATACTTGTTCTTACATCATCCGAGCTCCTCCACTCCCGCATTCATTTTGTTGTGGGGGGGTGGGTTTTGAAGCATAGTCTAAGCATCATGTCATCTTCTTTTCATTTTGAGTGCATGCTCTATCGCTGCCCAGATAGTCAAAAGTCAAGCCTTTTTGGCTGGGACTCTTCCAGTTGTATTACAGTGCTGGAACTTTTTTAAAGTAGAAAAGCCCTTTACCCTGTTTTTAAATACCAGTTTAAGATATTAGAAGAATATTTTTGAAAGTATGAACATATTTTGTTGTTTCTTGAGGATTCTGAGATGCTTCTTTTGGCCTATGGGGAGAAAATAATGCAGTCAACTTGGTCAGTGTGAGATTATATTGGGTCTCTTCATTTCTTAAGCTTGCAAGTCGCAATATGGCCATCTAAGCATTCAGACAGTGAGTCAGTAGGTTCTACTTCTCCTCACTATCTATATATTTAGATGGCCACATTGTGACTTACAGACTTAAGAAATGAAGAGACCCTGAGGCCAGGTGTGGTGGCTCGTGCCTCCACAGCACTTTGGGAGGCCAAGGTGGGTGGATCACTTGAGGTCAGCAGTTTGAGACTAGCCTGGCCAACATGGTGAAACCCTATCTCTACAAAAAAAAAAATACAAAATTAGCCAGGCATGGTGGCACACAATTGTAATCCCAGCTACCTGGGAGGCTGAGGCAGGAGTATCGTTTGAACCCGGGAGGCAGAGGTTGCAGTGAGCTGAGATTGCACCATTGCACTCTAGCCTGGGTGATAGAGCAAGACGCTGTCAAAAAAAAAAAAAAAAAAAAAAAAAAGAAGCAGCAGCTGAAAACATAGAAATGAAGAGACCCAAAATAATCCGCACATTGACCAAATCAACTGTATTATTTTCACCCATGGGCCAAAAAAACTCATAGATTACACAGAATATTAGGGATGGAATGACACAATGTCTTCTCCCCTTTACTAGTGAAGAAACTGACCCTCAAAGGGATAAAATTAATTGCTCAAAGTTGTAATCACGAGTAGCATCAATCAGAAGCTCTATTAAGGGAAGCATAATAAAGTTATTCTTCCAAATAAGTGTCTTGGTTCATTCAGGCTGCTATACCAAAATGCCATAGATACGGTGGCTTAAAAACAAGGAGAATTTATTTCTCAAAGTTCTGCAGACTGGGAAGTTCAAGATAAAGGCAGCAGATTTGGTGTCTGCTTAAGGCTGACGTTTCCTTGGTGCATAGAGGGTGCCTTCTCACCGTGTCCTCACATGGTGGAAGGGCAAGGGGTAACCTTTGGGACCCTTATTTATTTTTTTAAGAGGCAGGGTCTGACTCTGTCACCCAGACTGGAGTACAGTGGTGCAATCATAGCTCACTTGAACTCCTGGGCTCAAGTGATCCTCCTGCCTCAGCCTCCCAAGTAGCTGGGACTACAGCCTTGCACCACCACACGCAGCTAATTAAAAGAATATTTTTTGAGGCCGGGCGTGGTGGCTCATGCCTGTAATCCCAGCATTTTGGGAGGCCAAGGCAGGAGGATCACCTGAGGTCAGGAGTTCAAGACCAGCCTGACCAACATGGAGAAACCCTGTCTCTACTAAAAATACAAAATTAGCCGGGCATGGTGGCACATGCCTGCAATCCCAGCTACTCGGGAGGCTGAGGCAGGACAGTCACTTGAACCTGGGAGGCGGAGATTGTGGTGAGCCGAGATCACGCCATTGCACTCCAGCCTGGGCAACAAGAGCAAAACTTTGTCTCAACAATATATATATATATATTTTTGTACAGATGGGGTTGGAGGGTCTTGCTATGTTGCCCAGGCTGGTCTTGAACTCCTGGCCTTCAGTGATCCTCCCACCTCGGCTTCCCAAAGTGCTGGGATTACAGCTGTGAGCCACCACATCCGGTTAGGCCTCTTTTATAAGGGCACTAATCCTGTTCATTAGAGATCCAAGTTCATTACCTAATCACCTCCCAAAAGCTTCACCTTCTAATACCATCACCTTGGGGATAAAGACTTCAACATAAGAATTGAGGGGGGATAGCCAGGCACAGTGGCTCACGCCTGTAATCCCAGCACTTTGGGAGGCCGAGGCGGGTAGATCACCTGAGGTCAGGAGTTCGAGACTAGCCTGGCCAACATGGCAAAATCCCATCTCTACTAAAAATATAAAAATTAGCTGGGTGTGATGGTGCACACCTGTAATCCCAGCTACTTGGGAGGCTGAGGCAGGAGAATTGCTTGAACCCAGGAGGCAGAGGATGCAGTGAGTCGAGATCACGCCACTGTATTCCAGCCTGGGTGACAGAATGAGACTTCATCTCAAAAAAAAAAAAAAGAAAAAAAAAAAAGGAATTGGGAGGGATGGCAGGGGGGACTCACAAACATTCAGACCATAGCAGTAAGTTTTGAAACTTTCCTTATCTCTTATTTTCATTTTTCCATCAGCTCTTATCTCTAATACCATGATAACTGTGATTAACTATGTCTGAGTCAGTAACATTTGAAACCCCAATACCTATATGTTATGATAAGGAACACTGGGAGACCAAGAAAATCAGAGACATTATCTTGGAGGGACTCGACATTGGCATGGTGCTGGCCACTGGTAGAATACTTTCTGAAGTAAAATTGAGTACACTCGAACCTTGTCTCAGTTGCCTATACAGTACTGCAAATGCAGGACTTATTCATTTATTCAACAGACATTTATTAGAGCATTGCTCCAAGCCAGGCACTTTGCTCAGAGGAGCTTAAATAGATTAAAAAAAAAAAAGACATGGATTCTGTCTTCCAGATCATAATTGAGTGGAGAAGCAAATACATAATGTACAGTAATGCTCCGCATAATAACGCTTTGGTCAATGACAGACTGCATATAATAGGACAGTGGTCCCATAAGATTATAATGGAGCTGAAAAATTCCTATTGCCTAGCAATATCATACCCACTGTAACATTGCAGTACAATGCACTACATGACTCAAGTCAAAGTGTTAAAAAAAAATTTAAGTTCAGAAAATAAAAATGTTATAGTAAGTTAAAGTTAATTCATTTTTGAAGAAAAAAATTGTTATGAACTTAATGTAGTCTAGGTGTTTATAAAGTCTACAGTAGTTTACAGTAATGTCCTAGGCCTTCACATCCACTCACCACTCACCCACTGACTCACCGAGAGCACCTTCCAGTCCTGCAATCTCTATTCATGGTAAGTGTCCTATACACGGTGTACTTTTATTTATTTATTTATTTATTTATTTATTTATTTTTTATCTCTTTTTGAGACAGACTCTTGCTCTGTTGCCCAGGCTGGGAGTGCAGTGGCACGATCTTGGCTCACTGCAACTCCGCCTCCCAGGTTCAAGCGATTCTCCTACCTTGGCCTCCCTAGTAGCTGGGAATACAGGCATGTGCCACCACGCCTGGCTAAATTTTGCATTTTTAGTAGAGACAAGGTTTCATCATGTTGGCCAGGCTGGTCTTGAACTCCTGGCCTCAAGTGATCCACCCGTCTCAGCCTCCCAAAGTGCTGGGATTACAGGTGTGACCCACCATGCCTGGCCTATTTTTAAAGTCTTTTATGCCATATTTCTACTGTACCTTTTTAATGTTTCCATACACAAATACTGACCATTATGTTACAATTGCCTACAGTATTCAGTACAGTAACATGCTGTAGAGGTTTGTAGCCTAGGAGCAATGGGCTATACCATATAGCCCAGGTGTGTAGTACACTCTACTGTCTAGGTTTATGTTAGTACACTCTATGATGCCCACAGGACAAAATCACCTAATGATACATTTCTCAGAATGTATCCTCCTTAAGCAACACATGACTGTATTTGTTTCTCCTGCTGTGACTGCAAATTACCACAAATTTAGCAGCTTAAACCCACACTTGTTTTTAGCTCACAGTTCTGTGGATGAGAAAATCTGGGTACAACACAAATGGGCTCTCTGCTCAGGTTCTCACAGGACTAAAATCGAGGTGTCAGGCAGCCTGCATTCTCGTCTGGAGCTGGGATCCCATTCCAAGCTCATGTGCTTGTGAAAGAACTCAGTTCCCTGAGGCTGTAGAACTGAAGTTCCTTGCTGGCTGTCAGCCAGAGGTTGCTCTCAGATCCTAGATGCTGCCTGCATTCCTTGCCATGTGGCCCCCTCTGTCTCCACGTAAGCAATGGGTTATCGTTCTTGCATCAAACCCCTCTAATATTTCAAATCTCTTTTGAAGAGCCTCGTCTCTTTTAAAAGCTGACCCGATTAGGTCAGTCGCACCAAGGGTAATCTCACTATCTTAAGGTGAGATTTGGCATGTTAATTACATCTGCAAAATCCCTTTGTCATATAATAGAACATAATCATGGGAGCAATACCACATTGGCCTCGTTCACACTCATTGGGAGAGGATTTAGGGAATCATTGGAGGTCATTTTAGAATTCTGCCCACAGCCTACAGCAGGTAACAAAAAGTAATGATATAGTGAAGCGAGCTACGAAGAATGCAGCGAGCTGTGAGAATGCAGAGAAGGGTAAATTTAACTCTGCCTAGTGGCAGGATAGAGTTAGGCTAAGAGAAGAGGTAAATTTTGAGCTGATGGGGAAGAATGAGTAGGAGTAGAACAGGCAGGAAAAGGGCAGGCCCTTCTACTTTATTGCATGTGTCTGTTTTACCTCCGCCAGTACAGCTGACGTCCTTGGGTATGTGGAGCAGGCCACTTCTGGCGACTTCCTTCCCCAACTCCCAACATACCAACCACAGTCATGGACTCCTAGGTAGTGTTCAAGAAATATTTTGCAGGCAGGGCGCGGTGGCTCACGCCTGTAATCCCTCCACTTTGGGAGGCCAAGGCGGGTGGGTCACGAGGTCAGGAGATCAAGACCATCCTGGCTAACACGGTGAAACCCCATCTCTACTAAAAATACAAAAAATTAGCTGGGCGTGGTGGTGGGCGCCTGTAGTCCCAGCTACTCAGGAGGCTGAGGCAGGAGAGTGGCGTGAATCCAGGAGGTGGAGCTTGCAGTGAGCCGAGATAGCGCCACTGCAGTCCGGCCTGGGCGAAAGAGCGAGACTCCGTCTCAAAAAAAAAAAAGAAAAAAGAAATATTTTGTATAGATTCAGTATCTAATTAATTTTGTTTTTTTAAAAAATATTTATTTATTTAGAGACAGGGTTTTGCCATATTGGCCATGCTTGTCTTGAACTCCTAGGCTCAAGCAATCCACCCCCCCTCAGCCTCCCAAAGTGTTAGGATTACAGGCGTCAGCCACCATGCCCAGCCAATATCTAATTTGTGATAGCCATGTAATCATGAACCTCTCACCTACCTTATTCTTACTCTCTCTGCATCAGAGGTTTTAAAACAATAAAATTTGAATTTTATAAAACATTTTCACACACACACACAGAGGAAATATCTAGTTGATTTTTGGTGACTGACTTCTATTAATCTCTTCTGTCGTTTTCTTTTGCTCCTCCTACCCACTTTGCTCACCTTGCCCCAGCTGAGTCATCCCTGGTCAGATGTTGTCTCAATCAGGATTCTTCAGAGAAATAGAACCAATAGGAGACAGACAGATGGATAGATAGACATAATTTTAAGAAACTGACTCATGCAATTGTGGAGACCAGCAAATCTGAAGTCTGAAAGTGTGGAGCCCACAGGCAGCCTGGAAATTCAGATAGGAGTTAACACTGCAGCCTTGAGGCAGATTTCATCTCCAGAAAAATCTTGACTTTTGCCCTTAAGAATTTTCAACGATTTGTATAAAGCTTATTCCCATTATCAAAAGTAACCCCCTTTACATAAAATCAACTGACAACAGATGTTAACCACATCTACAAAATATCCTCACAGCAACATCCTGATGTTGTTTGACTAAATAACTGGGTAATACAGCCTAGCCAGGTTGACATATAGAACTAGCCATAACATATTTTTTCATCCAGGCTTGGACGTTTTAGACCAGTCAAGCCCCCCAGTGACTGAACCCTCAGCCAAAAGGTGGAGTAGCAGTGATAGCAGTGATCAGCTGCACCCAGTCAACTTTGAATTTTGTGAAATAGCTGGGCGCGGTGGCTCACGCCTGTAATCCCAGCACTTTGGGAGGCCGAGGCGGGCAGATCACAAGGTCAGGAGATCGAGACCATCCTGGCTAACACGGTGAAACCCCGTCTCTACTAAAAATACAAAAAAAATTAGCCGGGCCTGGTGGCGGGCGCCTGTAGTCGCAGCTTCTCGGGAGGCTGAGGCAGGAGAATGGGGTGAACCTGGGAGGCGGAGCTTGCAGTGAGCCGAGATAGTGCCACTGTACTCCAGCCTGGGCAACAGAGCAAGACTCCATCTCAAAAAAAAAAAAATATATAGAATTTTGTGAAATAATAAAATGGTGGCTGTTTTGAGACAGAGGTTTTTTGTTGTTGTTGTTGTTTTTCTCTTATTGCCCAGGCTGGAGTGCAGTGGCACCATCTCGGCTCACTGCACCTCCTGGGTTCAAGCAATTCTCCTGCCTCAGCCTCCTGAATAGCTGGGACTACAGGTGTCTGCCACCATGCCCAGCTAATTTTTTTAAATATTTTTAGTGGTGATGGGGTTTCACCATGTTGGCCAGGCTGGTCTCGAACTCCTGACCTCAGGTGATCTGCCCACCTCGGCCCCCCAAAGTGCTGGGATTACAGGCATGAGCCACCACATCAGGTCAAAATGGTGGTTCTTTTAAGCCAGTAAGATTGAGGTGGTTTGTTAGGGAGTAATAGAAAGCCAAAACACCTACCGATTAAAAGAAGGCCTTGAACCACACATCCTTGGGTACAGATAAAAGGTGGAACAGCTCTGGGAACAGAAGCAAGATTTTCAGTCCCAGTCTTTGGAGCAAGACCATTAATGTGACTGTGCTCCAGTGAGCTCAGAACCATGTTCAAAGTTCTTCAGGTATCCATCAGACATGTGTTTTATTACCTTCCCCTTTCTCAAGAACACCTGGTTTCTGTTTGGGAATCCAAGAAATATACTGTCTCTTTCCCCTCAAAGATGAAGCATATGACCTTGGCTAAGCCAATTAGCATCTCCTTGGATGTAGTGATTGATTCAAAGAAGGACCTATGACCTAAACCTGTTCAATCAGAGTGACTTTCTGAGCTTTTGCTGAAAACAGTGGCAATGATACTCTTTCTGCCTTGCTGGATGTCAGTTTTAAAGCACACAGTTCCTTCCAGGAAATGCTGGTAGCCAGCTGGTGACCTTGAGGGGAGTTAAGTATTAATCCAGCAGCCTGGAAGGAAGAACAGAGAGAGAGAAAGATAAGCCACATCTTTAGTCCTTCCACTTAGCTGCTGGAGTAAGCCTCACCTGAAGCTTATTTTCTGCTGGCTTTTCAGCAAATTTCCTCTATTACTTAATCTTACTTAAGGTGTATGTTTTGTAATTTGCATCTGAAAGCCTGTATGTATCAGGGCCATTCTTAAAGAAGAGAGAATTGTTATGAGTTCTGCAAATACCTCAAGAGGGGTCTACAAAAAGGCTGTAACTCCTTTTCACCTACATCAAGAGATGTCTTGAAAGCAGGGACATGGAAAGAGATCCCATGACATCCCTACTGACACAAGGACTCTGGACTCTGCTTGTCACCTGTTAGGAAGGGAGAATGATGAATGATGAAACTGGAACTAAAACTTACTGAGCACCTACTGTGTGCCAGGCACTGGCCTGGATCCTTCACATACATTATCTTACCAAATATCTACAAAATCCCTTTGAGTGGTTATTCTAATTCCTGCAGATGTGAAAGCTGAAGCTAGGAGAAGATAATTAACTTGGCCAAGGTCATGCTGCTATTTAGTTTCAGGCAAGTTTCAAACTCTTGTTTGAAGAGTTCTTTCTGACTCCAGTGCTCCTTCCCTCCCCCTAGGAGTCTTTAGACTCCTACCAGAAACACCCTCTCCTATCAGTTCTGTTATGATCACATCCACAGTAACTAACAGTGAGGATAAGGAAAGGAAGGCATAAAACCTTGGAGGCGGAGGTGTGGGTGTGGGGAGGAACGAGCTCTACCCTCAGCCTAACTGTAATAGTTGCACAGGCTGTCAAGTCTCATAGCCAGATGTGTTCCATATAGATTCTTCAAATGTCAGAGCAGAGTCATCTACTCTGACTTTCTCCTTTTATAGTTGAAGAACTGAGTGAGGCCAGAGAGGTCAACTGACCTGCCCTAAAGCCACACAGCTAAAGGCTGAACTAAAACCAGGCTGTGCTTTGGCTCCACCTCTGGTTCATAGTATAGACCTGGTTTCATTGCTTGGCCTTGCCACTTACTGAATGGTTTGGGCAAGTTATCTAATCATTCTGGGCCTTGATTTGCTCACCCGTAAAGTGTGGAATTTTAGCAGCACTTATCTCTTGGATATAAATTACATAAAACACCATCAGGGAACCTAGTGAGTGCTAAGTGTTAACTTCCACTGATGGGCTCACAGCTCACTGTCTCAATGGCACTGATTCTCTTCCCATCCAACCCCAACTTCAGCATCTCTCAGGTGTCTTTTTACACTCTGGTTACCTCCAGTGTGATCTAAATTACAGTCTGTCACGAATCTGCGTGTATCTGCTCTAGAAAAGAACTTACAATGACTATACCATGAAATCAGGGAGGCAATAGGGCAAGAGCCCTAATTTTAATCTTAATTTGTCTAACCTTTAGTTTTCCCTTTTTCCTTTTTCTGACTGTTGATGGAAGTAGGAAGAGGAAGGTTTTCCTGTTTCTCTTTCCATCCTTTCATTATTGAAATCTGCCACCAGGAAAGGATCTGATAAATTCATTCTGTGGTAACTTACTGATAAGGCTTAACTAGTGACTTTTGTTTTTAAGGGTATTTGCAAGCTTCATCAAAGGTCAAAGCCTAAACCAAGGATCTCCAATGTTAGAGTTTTAGTATCAATCAAGAGTGGGACAGGTTTGCATTTTGGTTTGTTTTTGCTGGTGTTGGATCAGGGAGAATGAAAGGAAGGAAACCCAGAAGATTTTTTATAAATCCAGGTTCCACCCTCCAGGCTGAGAGTGAGCTAACCATGTGGGCAAGTGGGAAGGGGGAAGTGTTGAATATTCCCCAGGACTTCCTGGTAGACAATCAGAATTGCCTTTGAGGGAACCTAGGGGTGGGAGTGGAGGACAGATCCACCAAGAACCAAGGCCTTTACTGAGGACCAAAAAGCCATGCGTCATATCCAAGGAACCAGAAGGGGACAATGTAACCCGTGAACAACCTCTGGAGTAAGTCTGAACCCAGAGCTCACACCCTTCTTTCCCTTGAGCAGGCTCTGTGCTGTGGGGTGGGACAGATTCAAGGCTCTGAGATGGATGACACTCCCTACTGTTGCTGCCCCTCTTGCCACCCTCTACTCTCAGGGTTGTCACACTTTCCAAAGAGTTGAGGGGGCGGGGTGGCGGGGCAGAGGAGGCAATAACCAATGTTACCAAGAGTCTCTTGGACTTTGGAAGGGCACCAGAGCTCCAGCCAGGTCAAAACCATCAGCCCACGTGGTGCTCTATCAGCACTTCCTTCTCACATTCTCTGAAGACACAAGGAGGAAGTGGGAGTCCAGGTAGAACAGCTCCCCTACTAGAAGAGAAGACCTAGGTCAGGAACACAGGGCTGGGCATGGGAGCAGGAGAGACAGAAGTAGCAGCATATGCCTTCCTGGTGAGGGGCCCCTGTGGTCCCAGGGCTTTCTGCAAGGATCTATGCAGCAAACACTCTATACAGACTTACCAGATGCATGTCTTCACACATATATGCCACTGGCTTTTCAAATGTATACAGAAGGCTATAGTGTGATAATGTGATAATATCATCCCTAATTTATAATTTATAATTCTTATTTAGTCAATAACTGGACAGTATAAGACAACTGCTCTTGTATTTTTAGTAGAGATGGAGTTTCACCATGTTGGCCAGGCTGGAACTGCTGACCTCAGGTGATCCACCCACCTTGGCCTCCCGAAGTGCTGGAATTACAGGCATGAGCCACCATGCCTGGCCCAATTTTGGCTTTCAAAGGGGATTCTCACTCTTGAAAAGATTAGACACATTAGGCTACATCATTGCCTTTTCCTTTCCTCTCCTTACCACTGCCACGTGTGCCAATTATAGCTTTATGAATGTGAGTCCTTTGCCCATCCCCTTCACCAGCAGAAAACAGCTATTTGTTGTCCTCTGCTGCACACTGGATAAAACTAATCAAATAAATATATCTGTTTAAAACTTCCTTTAAAAATGCCTCAGTGTATTTTCCATTGAGGAATATCTTTTATGTTCTTCCCTGGGGGGAATTTAGCCTAATCCATCCTGCCTACCAGCTCCTTTACAATATGTTGATTTGGGGGCAGATTCTTTTGAAAAAAAAAAAAAAAAAAAAAAAAAACTGAACTCCGCTTTCTGAATTTTCCCACTCACAAAAAAATTTAGCTAGATATGATCTACAGGCAAGATATACCTAAGTTGTCTGGGACTGGCACTCAGATTGTTAGTTAAGTATCAATTCAAGGTCAAAGGCACACTGCTAACTTTGTTCAGTTTTCTTTCCACTAAAATAAATTGACCATCAGACAATTTTTGGTTATATTTCTAACATAGTTTTTAATTAAGTGACAAAATGTTTAAATTTACAAAAATATACTTTAAAACATTTAAGCAAAATAGAAGTGTACAAAGAAAAATGCCCTCATTAGCCCATAGGCAGAAGTGATTATAATTTGAAATGTTTAGGAAGATAACAGTTGTACTTACATCTAAGAGGTTATTTTATGTTTATTTTTTCTTTTCTCCTATAAATACCGTAGAAATCCAAACAAATGCGTTTGTATAAAACACTGAAGAAATGGTACTACCTCCTTCTCAAACTTCTACCCCTACTCATCATTTTTGTCTTCCGCCTCATCATCACCAAAGAATCAGCTACCTTCTGTGTTTTGTAGGGAAATCTGTGCCTGTTCCTCTTCGAAGCAAGTGGACTTTGTTTCCTTGGAATAAAACTCTGTGGCTTGGGACAACTCACTTTCCCTCTCCAATTTCTTTGCAAAATATGAGGGGTCCTTAGGACTTTGATACTAAAACAACTATGCCCATCTTTTTGTTTTTGTTTTGAGATGGAGTCTCGCTCTGTCCCCCAGGCTGGAGTGCAGTGGCGCAATCTCGGCTCACTGCAAGCTCTGCCTCCCGGGTTCAAGCAATTCTCCTGCCTCAGCCTCCTGAGTAGCTGGGATTACAGCTGCGTGCCACCACAACTGGCTAATTTTTTGTATTTTTAGTAGAAACGGGGTTTCACCATGTTGGCCAGGATGTTCTCGAACTCCTGACCTCGTGATCCACCCACCTCAGCCTCCCAAAGTGTTGGGATTACAGGTGTGAGCCACCGTGTCTGGCCGCCCACCTTTTATATAATTCAAAATAAAAACAAAACTGGGTCCTAAAATAAATGTCAGGATACCCAACAATTTGATTCGCCCCATGATGACTGTTTCCTTGCTTTGGGGAAATATAGAAAATTCTTCCAATACATGTATTTCTGTTTCTTCTGGCTTTGGCAATCAAGCCCCAAAAGAACAAGGAGCAATACATTGTCTCTGAGCTCTGAAAGTCTATAATTTGTCAGTTATAATTTGGAGAATAGAAGTAGAGGTGATGAGATTGAAAAACATAAATAATATCAAATAAAGCTAAATAAGAATAGATCATTTTGAGAGATTGGGAGAAATGAACAAGACTCTTGCTAATGAGAGCCCTACTTCATAGTGAATTCCAAAGAATACAATATGTAAAGGGGCAAAAAAAAAAAAAGTAACTTTACAGTGGAGAAACCTGACAAACGCTACTCGGTCAGGTGATCAAGGTCAACAGCAACAGTCATAAATCATGTAGATAGTATAAACCCTTGATTTGATGTGACAAAGTGGTATCTTACCTCTGTGGTCTTCTAGAATCCATTACCCCTAGTCTAATCATAAGAAAAACAACAGACGAATCTCAATACAGGGGGGGTACCCTCTTACCTCTTTCAAAATTAATAATCAGTAGTCCTCAAAACTATCAAATAATCAAGACTAACAAAAGTCTGAAAAACTCTCACAGCCAAGTGGAGCCTAGGGTGACAGGACAACTAAATATAATGTGGTACCCTGGATGGGATCCTGGAGTGGAAAAAGGAATTAGGTAAGAACTAAGAAAATCTGAATAATCATGATCTTTAGGTAATAATAGCATGTCAATATTGCTTCAATAATTATAAAAAATTTCATTATAAACGTAAGATGTCAATAATACGCGAAACTGGCTGGAGGGTTGATGGGAACCCTATAGTATCCTCAATTGTTCTTTAGATCTCAAACTGTTCTGTTTCACTTTTTTGCCCAGGCTGGAGTGAAGTGGCAGTGATCTCGGCTCACCGCAACCTCCGCCGCGCCACTCCATCCCACCAGGGTTCAAGCGATTCTCCTGCCTCAGCCTCCCAAGTAGCTGCAATTACAGGCACCCGCCACCACGCCTGGCTAATTTCTGTATGTTTAATAGAGATGGGTTTTCGCCATGTTGGCCAGTCTACTTTTGAACTCTGATCTCGGGTGATCCACCCGCCTTGGCCTCGTAAAGTGCTGGGATTACAGGCGTGAGCCACCGTGCCTGGCCTAAAACAATTTTTTTAATGAATAAGTAGTTATTTAAAATAAGAATGACAATGGCCTGATGGCATTACACATTTTTGCATAGGCTCACGAAGCCCAGGCTATAGTGTTTTTTCTTATTCTTTACATGTTGGGAAGGGAGGCTTTTTCAACTCTGCCTAATGATTTTACCTTAACTGAATTTTTCCTGAAATTATCTGCAGTGAAAAGCTCCTGTGTGTGTGGGTGGGGTCCGGTTGGCCGCGCCCCGCCCCCACCGCCGTGCGCTCGCTCCCTCCCTCCCTCCCACGCTCCCTGCCGCCAGCCCCACCGCCCCTCGCGTCCGGGACGCCGGTCCCATCCTCGCGAAGCCCCGGCCTCGGGGAATCTCCACGCTCTGGCCGGGCGCGGTGGTTCACGCCTGTAATCCCAGCACTTTGGGAGGCCGAGGCGGGCAGATCACGAGATCAGAGGATCGAGACCATCCTGGCTAACACAGTGAAACCCCGTCTCTACTAAAAATACAAAAAAGTAGCCGAGCGTGGTGGCGGGCGCCTGTAGTCCCACCTACTCGGGAGGCTGAGGGCAGGAGAACGGCGTGAAACCGGGAGGCGGAGTTTGCAGTGAGCCGAGATCGCCCCACTGCACTCCAGCCTGGGCGACACAGCGAGACTCCGTCTCAAAAAAAAAAAAACAAACAAACAACAAAAAAAAAAACTCAGAGCAGATATTATAGCGTATGTGAATTATTAATTTACTTTGTTTTCCCATGGCCAACTCACCTGTTCTAAGCCACAGCCACCTGGCACCTTCAATTTGAAATGTATAAGGCATAAGCTATACGTTCCTCATGGAAAGAGTAAAAGTTATTTTATAGCCATACCAAGATTGGATTTCGGGTGTACTATTTATAAGCTGTGTAATAACGTTGGACAAATTACTTAACCTCTGTGAAACTCAGTTTTCTCTTTTATTTTATTTTACTTTATTTTATTTTTTTTAGACGAGTCTCGCTCTGTCACCCAGGCTGGAGTGCAGTGGCGTGATCTCGGCTCACTGCAACCTCTGCCTCCCGGGTTCAAGCAATTCTCTGCCTCAGCCTCCCGAGTGGCTGGGATTACAGGCGCCCGCCACCACGCCCAGCTATTTTTTTTGTATTTTTAGTAGAGACGGGGTTTCAGCATCTTGGCCAGGCTGGTCTTGAACTCTTGACCTGGTGATCCACCCGCCTCAGCCTCCCAAAGTGCTGGGATTACAGGCGTGAGTCACCGCGCCCGGCCGAGTTTTCTCTTTTATTAAAAAAAGAAAATCAACAACAAAGTTTTGCAGGATTGTAGTGAGTGAATATAAAGTATGTGATTCGGTATCCGGAACATAAAAGTTCTCAGGAAATCACGATTAATAATAAACAGTAACAAATAATGATCCGTCCAAACCAAGAGAAGATAATCTCCTTTGGCTGTAAGAAAATATGACTTAAACAGCTCTTTCCTTCAAGTCCTCCTTCCCACTTTAACAGGCCACACTGTACTGAGCATCTAGAAGGCTCTCTGCCAACAGCAGCGCCGGTTTGTTATCTAAGTGAGTCTTGGTCATTAAGCAAAGTCAGGGTCTTTGTTATTGGTTTCATCCCCACTGGCCTTGCAGAGAAAGCCCAAGCCACAGGGTACATCTCTGCCTGCCAATGCCCTGTATTCCTGAAACAAAAAGGCAATAAAAAACACGACAGTTAGTGTCAGACACGGAGCCCGGGCTTGGGAGCGGGCGGGGAGGGCTCCCTTTTCTCCTTGTTCCGCAGCACCTGTCACGGAGACGGGAGATGGGGGCCTGGCCCGGGATGGGCAGCCCTGCTTCCTCCTGCCCCCGCCGCGCTCCCTCCCGAGCTGCTCCGGCCCCGGCTCCCAGCAACGCGGCGGCGGCCCGCTCTGCGACTAGAAAGCGCCCATTGAGGGCTTGCAGCTGCCAGTGCCGCTTGCCCAAATCCGACATAAAGCCTCGACTTCAGCTCCAGTGAAGAAGACACTACTGTGTTCTTCCTGAGCCCCAGTCATGGCTATAAAACATTAAAAGCAAACTGGCGATTGTTAAACACTGCATTTGTTTACACCCCGAATCTTGAATCACAATGGGGCAGCTTGGGCTGCCCAGGCCCGGCGAGGCCGGGCTTTCTCCTAGACACTGAAGTCTGTTCTCCGACCCAAGGGACACAAGAAAAGTTGAGTAAATACCATATCGCTTTTCTGTTGATAGATGTTTGTTCACGGAGACTTCAACAGGATATTTGCTTGGGGTTGGGTGGGGGTGGGGGGCGTTGGGTTGAAGGACACGTCCTTGCAGAACCAAGATGCTGTCTCACGTTAGCTTTGAGGCTCTCTAAAGTATCCTGAAAGAAAACAAACAAACAAAAAAAGCCGAGTTACATAAAATATATCCGACCGAATTAAGGCATAACTGGCATCCTTAAAAACAAACAAACAAAAAAACCCAAAACTGCTTGGAAGGAAAAATGGGGAGGGGGAAATAAACGAAACGATGATGGCAGTGTGGTTAATTGGTTAAGCCAATGGAAGCTCAATACACTATTCTACTCTTGCAAATTTCAAAACAATGTTTCATTTTAAAAATTACACTTAAAAAAGTCCCTTTGCTCTCCCTTTTTCCCAGGCTACAATACATAAAACAGATTTCCTTTTAAATGTCGCACTCTATTTCATTTTTGAATTTTTCAGGGGTTTTGTGTGTGTGTGTGTTTTTCTGTTTTAAAAAGTACATCATAATTTGGTAAATTGAGAAGATGCAGAAAAGAAGTATAATGAAGAAAGTAATTATAAGTCCCATGATTTCAATTAGCACTTGCTTATATTCTTATGTATTACCTTTCAATCTTTACATACACACGTGCACACACAGAAAGAAAGAGAAAAAAATGAACATACCTAAATGGAATTCAATCCTACTTAGCTTTATACCATGCTTTTTTTTTTTTTCCTTCTGGTAACCATTCCCCATGCCATTAGATATTCTTAAAAGGGTGATTTGTACTGACTTTGGAATATTTCTAGGCTATGTTTCTTTATGCTAGAAAAAGTTCAGACAGTTTTATTTACACCATGCCATACTTAGAAACTAGAAGAGGATGCTTATAGTTAGAGATTACAAGGAAATGTATTTTGCACTAGATATATACCACTTTCTTCAGAATCATTTAAGAATTGCAGCTGGATTCAGCATAGTATTTGGCAAGTACAAATATAGTAATACAATGAAGTTTTCTCACCTTCAGATGTGCTCCAAAAAGAGAAATCAGAAGGAATGAAAATAGAGTGTGAGGGTGGGGTGTGGAAGTTAGGAGCAAAGCAAGAGAAAGGGAGACAATGCTCAGCCCACCCACCCACACCCACACATAAACACACATACACACATGCACACACACACAAACACACCAATTTCCGTAAGCCTCACATCAGCTGACGTGATTTCTGTTTCTTAATTAAGAACCTCAGAATCAGGCCGGATGTGATGGCTCACGCCCATAATCTCAGCACTTTGGGAGGCGGAGGCGGTGCAGAGGGGGTGGGGTGGGGATCACTTGAGGCCAGGGGTTTGAGACCAGCCTGGCCAAAATGGCCAAACCCCCTCTCCACTAAAAATACAAAAATTAACCAGGCATGATGGTGCGTGCCTGTAATCCCAGCTACTCAGGTGGCTGAGGCATGAGAATTGCCAGGAGGCGGAGGTTGCAGTGAGCCAGTGTACTCCAGCCTGGGTGACAGAGCGAGATTTTGTCTCATAAAAAAAAAAAAAAAAAAAAAAAGAACCTCAGAATCAAAACTCAAAAGAATCCAGTGGAAAATCACAAGGATTAAAGCGAAGAGACATATTGCATATTAGAAATGCACAGCTAACGATGTGACAGCAGAAGGGTCCAATGACAGGACACTCGGCATTGTTTGATCACCTGTTGCACACAGGGCTGTACAATGGACATGGAAACGTAGAGATGAATAAATAAGTCACAGGCCTTGGTCCCTTGGAGTTCACAGTCTAATGGGGAAGACAGGATATAAGCAAGTAGTTTCAGCATAGCTTTGGAATTGCATGCAGAGAAGTGAGTGAAGTGAGTGAGGGCCCAGCCAAGGTAAGACCAGGATTCACAAGAACATCCCAAGATCTCAGAGAGGAAGGGAACTTGGAGCGAAGTAGAGAAGAATAAGACCTTACAAACATAGGGGAAAAGGAGTCATAATGGGAGAAATTTTAACAGTTTGATTAATTTTTTTAAAAAAAGGCAAGTGTATTTTAAAATGTCTGTTTTTCCTAGGCTTGGGAACCAATGTTATTGGATACAAACTTGCCCTTGTTTTTGTAATAAGAGATATTCCTTAAAAAGTTTGGTATATGGCAAACTTTGATATTTTAAGCATATTTCAAAAAAAAAAGGACTCACCATGTAAAGAAACTGAACTATGAATTTGTTTGTTGTCTAGATAACACCTAATTTGACTTTTTTTTTTTCTTTTCTTTTTTTTTTTTTGAGACGGAATTTCGCTCTTGTTGCCCAGGCTGGAGTGCAATGGCACCAGCTCGGCTCACTGCAACCTCCTCCTCCTGGGTTCAAGTGATTCTCTTGCCTCAGCCTCCCGAGTAGCTGGGATTACAGGTGCCTGCCACCAGTCCCAGCTAATTTTTGTATTATTAGTAGAGATGGCACCATGTTGGCCAAACTGGTCTCAAACTGCTGACCTCAGGTGATCCACCTGCCTCAGCCTCCCAAACTGCTGGTATTACAGGCGTGAGCCATCATGCCTGGCCTATTTGTCTTTTTTTCATATGGACTTTACATACCACACGTAGTTAGTGCAGTCATGAAAATAGTATCTCCCCACTTGTTCCATTCATTAATGTCAAGCCCAAAAGGACCTTGAGTGAGTTTTATGTTTATTTGCTTGAGCCCATCCCCCAACCCTCCACCCACACACATTCACTTACCCTACTTATATGTGAATATTGCAATTAAGATGGCAAAAGGCAGGCAGCAGCGCGAGCACATGTGGCCATGATGAATGCAAATGTTAAAGATTAACCTTTTTTAAAAAAAGCAGGTTTACTTAATTTTGAAAAGTATCATATTTGCAAAGCTAATTTAGTATTTTTAATTCCCACACTGATTTTTCTTAACCAGTTTGCAGCCTTCCCAACCTACACAGTGACTTTGACTTCTTTTTCTTTCTTTCTTCCTTTCTTTCTTTCTTTCCTTCTTTCTTTTTTTTTTTTTTTTTTTTTTTTTTTTGTAGTTTAAGATCATTTTTTTGAACAACAAGAGACAGGGAGAGGGAGGGGGCAACTACATCCCCCAAGCCCTACCATGGGGAATGGACCTCTCCCTGCCTCCTGCCCCCTAAGCAGCTCCCCTTGTACTATGGGAGGGAGACTTTGTGCAAACTCAGCCCTGAGGGGGTCACAGTGACTCTTAAGGTTGGTCAGGGCTGTAATTACAACTTAGCAAACAGAGAAACCAAAATAAAGAGGCAATTTTAGCTGCTTTCTCAGGTAGGCCCTCAAATTGTCACCTGTTAGAGTGCATTTTCTGCAGTGACTAGAGCCTGCATCTTTAGACAAGCGCTCTGTCCATAGAGTCATGAAGCTACTATTCTTGGGAAATGGATCATGCTCCACCCTTTAATTGAACAGAGTACTTGAATTCTTATAGTATTGAAAATCTCTATGAATTTAACATGGGAGGAGCATGTGCCACACAATCTGGCTGGAGGGGTGGGAGGCAGGAGTCTATGCTTATCTTCCTGTATTTTTCCTCTGATCACCAGACCAGAATGTGTTTCACTGTGGTTAGAGTAAATAAAGTCTCAGGATAACTTTTTTTTTTCAAACAAAAACAAAAAATTCAGTTGTTCTGAAAAGCACTGATAATGTGAAATAAGACAACTGTAGCTGTAATTTAAAGGGTCATCTTTGTTTTATTTTTCTTAAATTGAATATTGTTTTTTCAGAATACTTATGTTCCATGAATATATTTCTAGTTTGAAGAAACTTAAGCTGCTTTTCAAGGTTATACTTAAAAAAAAAGTCATTTAAAACATTGCATGATCCAGTTTACGAGGTTCTTAGGTCAATTACACCATTGTTATCTTTCTCTTCTTGAGCATAGTCTATAACCATTGGGGAAAATAATTAAATATAAATGTTTCTGTATTAACTTTGATTCTGGATGACTTATCTTTTTTTCTTTCTTTTTTTTTTTTTTTTTGAGACAGGGTCTCACTCTGTTGCCCAGGCTGGAGTGCAGTGGCGTGATCTAAGCTCACTGCAACCTCTGTCTCCCAGGTTTAAGCGATTCTCCTGCCTCAGCCTCCTAAGTAGCTGGGATTACAAGACGCCTGTCACCACACCTGGCTAATTTTTGTATTTTTAGTAGAGATGGGGTTTCACCGTGTCGGCCAGGCTGGTCTTGAATTCCTGACCTCAAGTGATCCGCCCTCTTTGACCTCCCAAAGTGCTGGTATTACAGGCATGAGTCACCGCGCAGGGCCTGAATGAGTTATCTTAAGAATAATATCACTGAAGATACCATACTGGTTAACAATTACTACATAATAAATTACTCCCCCAAACCAGTAGCTTAAAACCTTCATTTCATTTTGTTCACGGTTTTCTGGGAATTCAGGAAGTACTCAGTCCAGGCAGCTCTCTGTTGGGTTCTCTCATGCAGTTGCAGTCAGATGTTGACTCTGGCTCCAGTGACATAAGGATCAACTGTCATAGGTCCAGCAGTTGAGGCCCAGCTCTGCCATAGGTCCAGCAGTTGACATGTCTGCAGTGAGCTTGGCAGAGGCTAATAAGCGTATCTACACCAGCATGGCTGTCTCAGGGTAATCAGACTTTTTACATGGCGGAAGACTTTCTCCAGAAAGGCTCAAGAGAATCAGACAAGGGCTTTTTCCAGCCAGCCTCAGACATCACACAGCATCACTACAAGGTTCAACTGTTTCCTATTGAGTCACTAAGATTGGACCTCTCTAGATGGGAGGAGTATCAAATAACTTGCAGATACATTTTTAAACTGCCATACATGTGCTTTTGTGTTTTTCTTCGCAAACAGCTCAGCATGTATTCTCTTTAGCTAAAGACCCCAGTAGTTTTTGAGTTCATTTTGTGCTTCCAGAACCTAGCACAGGGTATGTGTTACAGCAAATGCAGCCAAATATTTGTTAAACTGAACCAAAGGCTGACAAGCCATGAACTCCTGCCATCCACATGAAGGAGGGATTTTGTGGCTGCCAAATTTTTCTTTTGATAAGTTAGATGGCTTATCATGCTGATAATACAACTATATATATAGATAATAGAAAACCTTGGTTTTTTTCCCAAGGTAAAGGAGTCTCAGAAATCCTGTAGTCCCACCCTTTACCTTGTACCTCCCAGCCCTCCTCACCCCACCCCAGTTTCATAGCTGAAGCCCAGAGAAGTTAAGTGACCTAACCAAGTGATAAAGGTATGGTCTCTAGTTGTATTATGTTGGTGCAAAGTATTTGCGGTTTTTGCTATCAAAAGCAATTCCAGGCATTGTTTCTTGTCCATAACAAAATATTGTTTTCTCGGTTACTGTTTGGGGTTATGACTTTATCAAAAATTGCAGGGACATTGTGGGCGTTAGGTCATTTTTATACATGAGGGTGAGGAAGTGATACTTCTGCCAACCTGTTGATCTCAGCAAGAATTCTTTTCCTCCCTGACCTTTCTATTTATTCCATCAGGCAGATAAAGAAAAGACCCAGAAAGATCTCACCAGGAGGCTGTGGGACTCCAAGTTGCTCTCTTCAGATATAGGTCAAAAAAACTAACTTCCTGACCCTTTCTTCATGCCTTGCAATAAGATCTTGTAGTTTCTATGTCTGGGGCAGTGCTGAGTCTAGAAGGCTTCCTGTGATTTACAAAAAGCCTGTGAGGAAATGGAGATGTCCCTGAGCCTGCCTAAACCTGCAACAGTGATCCATTGTATTTCCAGGGGGCAACCCATCATACTTTGATGTAAGACGTCGTTCCAGCCCTTTGGGGTCAGGAATGCAAAATGCCAAGTCATCTATTTTGCATCACAATGATGCAGTTTTGTCAGGAAGTATAGTATTTTTAAAGTGATCACCCAGTTGATTAACAAAAGAAAAGAAATCACACCTTCTCCTTTGAAGTTTGCCAAGCTTCCCTTAACTAAAGAAGGCTCTTTCCTTAGCTTGTATCAGGACCATATTCAAGACTTTTTCAATTTGGAAAATTTCATATTTATTAGGAAAGGTGAATAATAGAGCTAGTATATGGAACTAATTTCTTAGGTCAGTCAACATTTCTTTAAGTCAATTCATTGAATTGATGTTTGTGTGAATGTCTGGCTTATAGTGAGCACTCAGTACATGTTAATTCCGCTTCTTTTCCTAACACCATTGTATGGGGAATGACTCAGGTTCACAATGTTTAGTATTTCTCCAAAATACTCTGAGTCTTCATTACCAAAAAAAAAAGTTCGATAACATTTGACCTCCTGTATTTACTAAGGCAGAAAAACCTTCTAAGCTCCTTGTATTGGTCAGTGTTCTCCAGAGAAACAGAACCAATAGGATGTGTGTGTGTGTGTGTGTGTGTGTGTGTGTGGTGTGTGGTGTGAGTGTAGGGGGCAAGAGAGTTATTTTAAGGAATTGACTCGTGTGATTATGAAAGCTGGCACATTACAAGAGCTGCAGTGAGCAAGCTGGAGATCCAGGATACCTGATAGTATAGTTCCAGTCTGAGTCCAAAGCCTGAGAACCAGAAGAGCTGATGGTGTGTCTAGTCTAAATGCTGGCAGGCTGAAGACCCAGAAAGAGCCAATGTTTCTGTTAGAACCTGAATGCAGTGGGGGAAAAAACTAATGTTCTAACTCTAGGTAGTCAGCCAGAAGGAAATTCCCTCTTACACATGGTAGCACCAGCCTTTTTGCTGTATTCAGCCTTCAACTGACTGGATGAGTCCCATCCACGTTAAGGAGGGCAATCTACTTTACTGAGTCAACTGATTCAAATGTTAATCTTGTCCAAAAGAACCCTCATAGAAATACCCAGAATAATCTTTGGCCAAATACCTGGGCATCCCATGGTCAGTTAAGTCAACATATAAAGCTAACTATCACACTCCTTTTCCGTTGAGCACTAGTCAAATTGAAATTTCATAGAATTTGTGTGTTTGTAATAGAAATGATTTTCTGGTTAACCCTGTTTTACCAAATATGTACGGTGTACCCAGTTCTCCTTAGGATTTACTCTTTGCTCAGAGCATTTCATTTTGGGGCATGCAAATAAATGGGATGCCCCCCTTATCCCTGCCCCATTATCCCTTATCCCTGTCCCTGTATGGAATACAATGTACACTCATAACATGAAACCAAAGGGAGGATGTTCTATGTAACATTACTGATTCTGTGACCATCCTAGGAAGGAATGCTGGTGCGAGCTCTCCATCTTCACTTCATGAATTAATAGACTTGTCATCGGAGGTATTAATAGGGCTTGGAGTTACAGCAAAGCTTCACAGACATTCTCAGACATCAATCACATTTTGGTGTTTGCAGCTCGAAGGCAAATCATCTGCACAATTATGATTTATATGAAATTCAGGAATCATAAATGTGCTTCACTTTGGTCTTATTCAGAAACCAGTAGCTTTTACTCATGGATGCTAGCAAGTTTGGCTTGCATGGTGGAGGCTGTGTGCTGTTGAGGTTAATAGCATGCAATTACCCGGGCTCCAACTGCAGCTCTACCAACACAGAAGCAAAAGTGGAAAACATGGCAGAGTTCTTAGAGTAGAAATAAAACTGTAAAAACAATGGTTGAAGAAGGATCTTTGTGCTTGTTTTAGATAGAATTCATTAAATTTTTAACTGCTATGCCAAAGAGACTATATCCATATAATCTTTAGACATGCAGTGAGGTAGTTACTGTTATTATCCCCATGCTAGAATTTGAAAACAGAAACACAGAGAACATAAGTAACTTGTCCTAAGGTCACTTTGATTTGAAAGTAGGGAGTGTGGTTCCAAGACTAACTACCAAACTAGGTGTTTCTTTGCTGGGTGAGTCCTCTCTCTGTCACCCAAACAAACACACAGCCTGGCCCAGTGATCCCATAGAGGTGCTGCCTTGCACTGCCAAGTCCTATGGGAATACTGGGCAAAGGTTCTTTTCTGCTTTCAGACCATACCCCTTGCGTCTCAGGTAGAATACTACAGGGGATAAATGGAAGACCAGATCCAGTTGGGTCAGAGGCCTCCCCTCCAGATCTTCCGCTCTCCAGAGCCTTTTTCCACCCTCTCCCCTAACCATCAACCACATGTCCCTTAGAGTTTCGTACTGTCCATTCCGCTCAAGACTTGGGTTTCCCTTTAATATTTTTATTGGTTTTGTAATAAACATCTTGGTGCTGATTAGTTGTTTTTTTTTTTTTTTTAACCGAGTTTCACTCTTTCGCCCAGGCTGGAGTAAAGTGGCATGATCTCGGCTCACTGCAGCCTCCGCCCCCGCCAGGTTCAAGTGATTCTCCTGCCTCAGCCTCCCGAGTAGCTGGGATTACAGGCGCAGGCCACCATGCCCAGGTAATTTTTGTATTTTTAGGAGAGAGGGGGGTTTCTCCATGTTTACCAGGCTGGTCCCGAACTCCTGACCTCAGGTGATACACCCGCCTTGGCCTCCCAAAGTGCTGTGATTACAGGCATGAGCTACCACGCCTGGCCGGTGCTGAATTTTAATTCCTCAACCAGCTGGGCTACCCTCGGTAATACCCTCAGTAATCATTACCCTCCCCATCACGAACTGCTCACTTGATCACTCAACACATAGAGAGTCTCCTTCATTCCCAATGTAGAATAGAGAGCAGAGATAACAGTGGAGAGTAAAGGCAACATGGTCCCTGCCCTCACGGAGTTTATACTCTAGTGGGGAAGACAAACATTATTCAAAGAGTTACATATAAATATAAAACTATACTGTGACAAATGCCACAAGGAAAAGGTGCAGAGTTTGATGACCCCAGGACCTGGAATTTACCTAGTCAGAGAGATCAAGGAAGGCTTCCCTAAGGAAGTGGTGCAGAGCTGAGATCGGAAGAAGCAGGGATGTTCTCCACAGAAAGAACATGCTCAGAAGCCCAGTCAGCAGCAGGAAGGAGTGTGGTGATTTTGAGGAACCGAAAGAAGACCAGCATGGCTGGAGAACAGAGGATGGGGGTGTGATATGTGACGAGCGAAGAGAAGTAAGCGGGGGCAAGATTGTGTAAGCCTGTGATCAGGATTCTGGCCTGTATGCCTAGAGCAGTTATTTTCAACTTCGGCTACATGTCAGAACCACCTACAAAGCATTTTAAAATACTGATTAAAGGATCCCATTCCAGAACCATCAAATCCAAACTTCTGGAAGTGAGAACCAGGCATAAGTATTTTTTTTAAAGCTTTCAGGTGATTTTATCATGAAAACAAGGGTGAGAATCATTGACCTATAGCAATGAGAAGTCACTAAAATGTTTGAAGATAATATGTATGCTATGAATCTTTAGAGGGAGTTGGAAGCCATTTCCAGATTTACATTTCAAAAAGCATCCTCTGGCTAGAACCATGGAGTTATCAATGCTAGTGATTGAGAGTTCAAAAAGGAGACCAATTCAGTGACAACTATTTTTTTATTTTTATTTTTTTGAGATGGAGTTTCCCTCTTGTCATCCAGTCTGGAGTGCAATCTCACAATCTCGGCTCACTGCAACCTCTGCCTCCTTGGTTCAAGTGATTCTCCTGCCTCAGCCTCCCAAGTAGCTGGGATTACAGGCGCCTGCCACCACGCCCAGCTAGTTTTCACATTTTTAGTAGAGATGGGGTTTCGCCATGTTGGCCAGGCTGGTCTCAAACTCCTGACCTCAGGTTATCCACCCGCCTCGGCCTCCCAAAGTGCTGGGATTATAGACATGAGCCACTGTGTCTAGCCAGTGACTGCTATTGATAAATGGTGCAGGTGAGGATTAGGGTAGCATCAACGGAGATGAAAAACATACATATATTTACAAGATTTTTAGTTGGTTAAAACACTGAGACTGGCAGAATGATGAAATGATGGATTCTATAATGGGAAAAAAGAGAGCAAATGACTATCAGTGTTCTGCTCACACAAGATGGATAATTGTGCCACTTGTTGATACAGGGACGAGGACTAGAATCAGAAATGTTTAGAGTGAGGGTACGTTTTCATTTGGGCATGTGAGGTTTGCTTTCATTTTGTCATGCATGTTCTTTACCTCTCTTTTCTGTAGGTCACCCGTACTTCATTTACCAGTCCTTGCTAAGGATTATTCATTAAAACACACAACAGCAACAATAACCACAAAAGCAACAATAAAAATACCTTTGAACTCACTCAATCTTGAACTATTGAACATGCTAAGTCCGTGTCATTGGCCTACTTAATCAGCCCTCGATTGTAACTTGAAGAAGCTTATTGATAAGAAAATAAACTTCTCATAAAGTATAACTACTTTCTTAGCAAAACTATTTGTTTCATCTTCTCTTTAAAATTTTTGATATTATGTATTTCCTTTTTTTTTTTTTTTTTTGGAGACAGAGTCTTACTCTGTCACCTGGGCTGGAGTGCAGTAGTGTTATCTCGGCTCAATGCAACCTCCGTCTCCTGGGTTCAAGCAATTCTCCTGCCTCAGCCTGCCGAGTAGCTGGAATTACAAACACCCGCCACCACCCCCAGCTAATTTTTTGTATTTTTAGTGGAGACAGGGTTTCACCATGTTGGCCAGGCTGGTCTTGAATGCCTGACCTCAGGTGATCCATCCACCTCAGCCTCCCAAAGTGCTGGGATTACAGGCGTGAGCCACTGCACCCGGTCTATTATGTATTTCTGAAGATATTTAATGCCAAGTAACAGAAACCACACTCCAATGAGTTTAAACAAAAATAACATTATTATAAGAATATAAAGGTATCTTATGGAATATAAGAATAAATCTGTGGCTAGAGTTAAGGAAAAGCTAGAATCACGAACTCATGACTTCACAGTTCCCTCTCCCCAGCTCTTCTTCTCTTGTGCATCTGCTTTGTTTTTCTTTCTCTGTTCTCAGAAACTAGCTCCCATCACTTTTCTTCTTAACATGAACAAAAATATGACAAGTGACAGCTCCTGAGGTTTAAGCCCTAGAGCTCAGACATCAGAGGGAAACAATCTTAACTCTTTCAGTACAAAACCTAAAATCCTGGGGTAGAAACTCAAGTAGACTATCTGTCCTTCTTCAGACCAATCCACTGTAGCCAGGAAGTCGGAGCTGGGGAAAAAGCTGTAACTATCCCACTTTGATTCATATATGTTACTGAACTGTGGCCAAAATGGATACCCCCCTTGATAGTCTCAGGGGATTCCCTTAGGACTTGATTTGCAAGACCCAAAAGAGCAGGGACTGAGCAAAACATGCAAGTTTGCCATTACATCCCAACTAAGTAAATTAACATGTGTGATCCTCAAGATCTAACTGAAGACAATCCTAAAAAGGCTGATAGTTATGCAAAATATTTCATCTCCCTGAACTAGTGGATTTTTTTTTTAATTATTATTAAGGCAGCTGAAATTTCCAAATTTTTAAAAATTTTATATTTGATAATGATGTATGCCAAGAGATTTGCATTTGTCTATGATATGAACTATGATGTTTGAACTGATTCTTTCAACAAAGCAATGCACTAGTTCTGAAATTATCCTAATTTTAAATATCATTTGCATTTCTGTAGATGGAAAATTATATAACAAATTCTAGTTCTTTTCATTTTCATTTGATTAACACTAAGACTCTCCAAAGCTCTAAAAGAAATAGCAGGAGTTGAAATTTCAATTGCATTTGGGAAAATATGTACTTTGTTCCTTTAGAAATAAAGGAGAACATGTGAGATGACAAGTCATAAAGAAGCTGGTCTCAATATGTATTCTTTTGAAGCTCTAAGATGAAATGAGGGCTATGCACACTACTGGTGATGAAAATGATCACAAATAAAGATCTCTTATGAGCCTTCTTGTGGAAGGACATTGAAAAATGTAAGGAAATAATCAGGCCAATACTTTCCTTCTGACTTCCCAGTGTACAGCCTTCTCCTGCAGGAAAGAGAGACAGACCATACCCCATGTGGTCATGACTTAAATGGACTTTCCCTCAAGGAATTTATAATCTAGTTAGGACTGAACATATATATGGCTAATGACATTTATAAAATAATCCATTCTTAAGTGTCCAGTAGACAATGCACATCAGTGTAAACAGAAGTCAGAGACTAGGAGTCCAAGCAGGCTTGAGTGGCCCTGCCAGGGCTAGCCCTTGACAAAGCTGTGAAGCAGATATAGTTTGTCTTGGGGGCTGTTGTGCCCCAATTATCAGCACAGTCCCTGTTTCCTTCCTTTTGGCCCCCCTGTACTTAACTTTAACTTCATTCTTCATCCACTGGATGGTATCTATCATTCTTTCCAGTTTTGCTCCTAACTCATTTTCAACAAATCCCTGCCATGGTACTAACTGAAACTTGAAACTGAAACATAACAGATCTGTGGGTTGCAGAATTGAGTCCTAGTCCTGGCCTGCACCTCTCATTCAGTGTAATCCATCACTGTACCTAGCGAATTTTTGTATTTTTAGTAGAGATCGGGTTTTGCCACGTTGTCCAGGCTGGTCTTGAACTCCTGACTCAGTTGATCCACCCGCCTCAGCCTCCCAAAGTGCTGGGGTTACAGGCATGAGCCACCACACCTGCTCTGCATTTTTATTTTTTAAAGCGGGAGAAGGACAGTCCCTATTATTTTCCAGTATAATTTACTGCAAGAGTCAGCAAACTTTTTCTGTAAAGAACCAGATAGTAAATATTTTAGGCTTTGTGGGTCATACAGTTTTTATTGCAATTACTCAGTTCTGCCATGGTAGCAGAAAAGCAGCCACAGACAACTTCAAAAGTCATTTAAAGGACAGGTGGTGGGCCAGAGTTGGCCTGCAGAGTGTAGTTTACAGACGCCAGGTTTAGAGGATGCTGTCTAGAGCCGATTTGCTTGAGTTCAAAACTCAGTTCTACCTGCTTACTAATCTCTTTGTGCCACAATTTTCTTATCTGTAAAACATCTACCTCATAGGTTGTTTGTAGGGACTAAATGAATTACTATGTATAAAGCACTCCTCTATTTGTGAACTTTCTACCTGTAATCATAGATATTGTCAAATCTTTTTACCAGAGCAAAAACACACAAACTTGGCCCACCTCAAACTATTGACTCTAGTGGCCACTTGCATGGTATTACTTTGACTCTAAAGCCAAATGATCTTGCAGCCTTCTGCAAGGTAACTTGTTGATAAGCCAAGAAGTTTCTGAAGAAAGTACGAAAAAGAAAAACTTGGCGAAGCCACCTCTGCCAAAGTACTGAGCCTCGTGTTAGGGAGAACGCTAGGTTTTGGATATTTATTTATTTATTATTACTGTTATTATCATTTTTTGAGATGGAGTTTCACTCTTTCACCCAGGCTGGAGTGAAGTGGCGCAATCTCGGCTCACTGCAACCTCCGCCCCTACTAGGTTCAAGCAATTCTCCTGCCTCAGCCTCCCGAGTAGCTGGGATTATAGGCACGCACCACCATGCCTGGCTAATTTTTTATTTTTAATGGAGACAGGGTTTCGCCATGTTGGCCAGGCTGGTCTCAAACTCCTGACCTCAGGTGATCCACCCACCTCGGCCTCCCAAAGTGCCAGGATTACAAGTGTGAGCCACTGTGTCTGGCTGGTTTTGGCTATTTTGTATGTAGTAATACCAGGTTTATAGTATTACATGGAAATTGGTATGGGAATTAGGGAAATATTAACATATCATTTTAATGGGACCCAATATGGATTGGCGAATGGAGGTGGTGATGGTGGTGGAAATGATGGTGTGTGCAAACACTCCCGGACAGGTAAAGGGCTTAGGAACAGATGTGTATTCTCTTTTCCCTCCAAATTCAGTGACTGAAAAAAGAGCAGTAATTGCCAACTCCTCTGCCACAGTCGTATGGTAAAATTATGTGATAGAGTATTTTATAGCATTTCAGGTTTAAGTGAGTTTTGCCTTGGATTGCAACATCAACCTGCCTGGTTCCTCCTGTTTTTCATGTGGCATGGTGCCCAAATTTTGTACAAGATTATTAATCTTTTACAAGGGTATTGTTGACAGTCCTGTAATCATGTATACAAGTCATAAATCTTTTCTTCAATAAGTCAATGGTGCCTGCCATATTTGGCAGGTATTTCCCAGGCATTAGCTAAACTGGAATGATAACAGTGAGGCCATGAGCTAGAACAATGAGGCCTGGATTGATTGATTGATTGATTTTTTCGAGATGGAGTCTCGCTCTGTCACCCAGGCTGGAGTGCAGTGACGCAATCTCGGCTCAGTGCAACCTCTGCCTCCCAGGTTCAAGCAGTTCTCCTGCCTTAGCCTCCTGAGTAGCTGGGATTACAGGCATGCATCACCACGCCTGGCTAATTTTTTTGTATTTTTAGTAGAGATGGGTTTTCACCATATTGGTCAGGCTGGTCTCGAACTCCTGACCTTGTGATTGCCCGCCTCGGCCTCCCAAAGTGTTGCGATTACAGGCATGAGCCACCATGCCAGGCCCTGGATTTATTTTTTATTTTACTATATATATTTTTTTCAGAGACAGGGTCTCACTCTGTCAGGCTAGAGTGCAGTGGTACAATCATAGCTCACTGCGGCCTTGAACTCCTAGCCTCAAGCCATCCTCCTGCTTCAGCCTCCCAAGTAGCTGGGACTACAGGTGTATACCATGGACCTGGATTTAGACTTAGGTTCTTCTCATGGTTCTGTCACTAACTAGCTGTGTGACTTGAAGCATTAACTAACTTTGTATTATAGAGATAAGGGTCTTGGTTTTCTTATCTGAAAAACAGTTAAATTAGATATATGTAGCACTTGCCAATTCTATAGTTCAATATTCCTGAAGTAGAGAGATTAGGTGATCCAAGAGGTCTGAAACTCTGTGTTAATTAGCCCAAAGCCTTTTTGGGCCCTTTCAAAATTTATCCTAGGTTTGTGGTAATGATAGGTCAGTTAATAATTACAGAAGTTAGACTGAAAGTTACCTGGAAGGAACACAACACGGATTTAGAATAAGGAGCACATTAACCCAGATGGAAGAATCATCAGACAGTGAGGCAGCACGTGCTGCTCGAAGAGTCAGAAGACCCAAGGGTAGATTTGGTTCTGTTGCTTCCCACCTATGCCAAACCATGGAGTTTTCCCAAGTCTTTTTCTTCATCTATAGAATGAAAATCATGATACATGCTCTGCTTACCACCCAGGGCTGGTGCGTCAAATAAAACCATTCATGTAAAAGCCCTCTTTCTTTCTTTCTTTTTTTTTTTTTATTTATTTTGAGATGGGGTTTCACTCTGTCATCCAGGCTGGAGTGAAGAGGTGCAATCTTGGCTCAATGCAACCTCTGCCTCCTATGCTCAAGCGATCCTCCCACCTCAGCCTCCCAAGTAGCTGGAACCACAGGCTCATGCCACCAAGCCCAGCTAATTTTTTGTAGTTTTGGTAGAGATGGGGTTTTACCATGTTCCCAGACTGGTCTCGAACTCCTGAGCTCAAGCAACATGCCCACCTCAGCCTCCCAAAGTGCTGGGATTGCAGGCATGAGCCACCGCCACCAACCCGTAAAAGCCCTCTTGAAACATTAAAATTGAATACCACAACCATCGTAAGCATGGTTCCCTTCTTCAAATAGAAAACATAAGCTACCTTTTTCAAACACATTAGTATTTAAAGAATCTAATAACTTCTAAAACATCCTAAACTATCCATAGTCACTCTTTCCGAAGTCATTCTTCCAAATAGAAAGTTGTTGCTTTCTATTTATAACAGAAAGGAAATCCTTGTTAACATTGTGATGCATGTACCAACAACGGGTTTAAGTGTTTAAATGAAAAATTCTAACCCTTTTGAAAAAATCAGTATTGTCAGAATACAGCTTTGCCTGATCTAAAGTGTTTTCTTTGCACATAGCTTAGCAGGATTCAGAGAAAAGTCTATACGATAGGAGCTAGACTGGGGAGGCTGATGGGAATGTGTCTCCTTTATTCTATGAGCTTGTTTGAATGCTAGGGGCCAGGTTCTGTCGGCAGCACTGACATCTCTGGGTCCCCTCCAGTGGAGGGAACAAAGGCTGGGGTTTCTTTTGAAAAATTCTTTCTGAGCAGTGAGATTGTCCAACACAGTTTCCTTGATAAAGGGCTCATTATCTATCAGTGTGACTTTGCCCTTAATTTTTACGCCAGCAGTGCCAACATGAACATACTCAAGCAAATCCTTTTACCCAGACAGTTGTAACAGCACCCTGATAATTTGTGCCAGTGCTCAAGGCTTGGGTGTGGAATATAACCAACCATGGGCTAAATTTCCTATTAGTTGAATCTCTAAGAAATATAATTTATTAGCTTGCTCTTCATCATGTTTACGCTCCTTGTCACTTTTCAAACACAAGCTCATTTTCAGATAAGCATAGTAGAATGTTTCAGAATTGCATCTTTAGTTCAACTAACACATTCCTTATGGATCTAAAAGAGTTGCTTTTGTTGGAGAAAGGTAGGTCCAAAACTTTGGGAAAAGTGACCTTCTGAGAAAGAAATCAATACAACAATGAACACGTGATGACTCAGTCTGACAGAGTCTTTAAATGGTGGAGAAAATCTGGTATCTCCCAAATCTGAACATAGGGATTAAGTTTTAGTCTCTAAGAGGTGGGACTAGAGTATTATGTTAACTGAAGAAGCTGAACGCTAAGTGTACTGTAAGTGTTGTAACACAGTTGTAATCTAATGGAGTGGCTGTGTAGAACCTACACAAAAGGAAGCCAGAGAATAAGAGTGAGTTCATGTTTATCAGGCAGTCCAGGGGAGAAGGTTCCTGGGATGGGGGATGAAACATTCTGCTCACTAGGAAGATGGACTCGCTTGGGTGACTGGGACACTTCAATAGGGTTTTCCAAAGCCAAGATGAAATATCCCTCAAGACTCTCCACCATCATTTACTCTGAATCTATGCTCTTTAAAAACAACTTATCAATGAATAATTCTGCTGCCAGGTTTTCCTAGTATTGGGAAGGGGGTTCTGTGAACACGATTTCAGGCTGCTATTCATGGAGGTACTGGCTGTGCACTGGACAAGAGCATCATATGAAAGGGAGCATCAGTCACAAGACAAACCTTGTAGATTTGAATATTTCTTATGACAACTTTCTGGCAGATATTAGAAAATTCTCATTGTACTTAACAAAATCAGTATTTCCTAATAATTTTCTGACTTGATGAAATTAGAACATCATGAGGAAGAAGAGCTTTATAGTTTTCTATTTTTCTTATGACTTCATTGAGATATAATTGATATATAATAAACTACACATATTTGAAGTGTACAATTTAATGAGTTTTGACATATGCAAATACTCAGGAAACTATAGCCTTCACCCCCAAAAGTCTCTGCGTGCCCTTTATAACTCAACCATCTTTTCACTCCTGCCTCATCCCAGTGAGGCATCAGAAACCCACTGGACTGCTTTCTGTTACAGATTAGTTTGGATTTTCTAGAATTTTATAAAAAATAAAACCAAGTTGTACATATACTGTTTTTCTTATCTTGTTTCTTTGTATTAACATCATAATTTTGATATTCATCCATGTTGTGTGTATCAATAGTTTGGGGTTTTCAGGGCTGTGGTTGTGAAGAAGATCAAGACCCATGATGGGAAGCTGGTATCCAAGTCCTCTGACGTCCTGCTCAAGTGAACAGCCACAGCAGCCCCTCCCAGCCTATCCTTCCTGCAGCTGCCCCAGAGCCCATGAGAAAAGCCACTGCGCAGGGGAGCACAGGGAACAGGAGACCCACCTGAGGCTCAGCCCTATCCCTAAGCCCACATAGGGGAGTTTACTCTCTGGGGCACCCCCCTTGCCCATGCCTCCAGCAACAAAACAATTCAATTGCTTTTTTTTTTTTTTTTTTTTGTCCAAAATAAAACCTCTGCTAGCTCTGGAAAAAAAAAAAACAAAAAGAAGTTTGGTGTTTTGTTTGTTTGTTTTTTTTTTTTGTTTGTTTTTTTTGTTTTTTTTTTTTGCCAAGTAGTATTCCACTGTATGGGAATACCATAATTTGTTTATTCTTTCACCTGTTAATGGACATTTCGGTTATTTACAGTTTGGGGCTACTAAAAATAAAACTCCCATGAATATATATCCACAAAATTTTGTATGGACACATGTTTTTATTTTTCTTGGGCAAATACACAGAAGTGGAATCACTGGATCTTACAGTGGATGTATGCTCAACTTTTAAATAAATGGCCAAACTGTTTTCTTCATTACATCATTTTACATTACCATCACCAGAGTTACAGAGTTGCACCTGTTCCATATCCTTGGCAACACTTGGTATTATCAACCTTTATAATTTTAGCCATTCTAATGGATATGTGGTCATATCTCACTGTGTTTTCTTTTTTAATTCAGAAAGTATTTATTGGGTACCTAGAGAATACAAAATAATGTCCCTAATATGGTTTGGCTCTGTATCCCCCACCCAAATCTCATCTCAAATTGTAATCCCCGAATGTTGAGAAAGGGACCTGATGGGAGGGGATGGGTTCATGGAGGCAGTTTTTCTCATGCTGTTCTCATGATAGTGAGAGAGTTCTCACTAGATCTGATGGTTTAAAAGTGTGGCACTTTCCCTTCATTTATGTTCTCTCTCTCTCTCTCTCGCTGCCTTTTGAAGTTGTGCCTTGCTTCTCCTTCACCTTCCACCATGATTGTAAGTTTCCTGAGGTGAGGCCTCCCTAGCCATGTAGAACTGTGAGTCAATTAAACCTCTTTCCTTTGTAAATTACCCAGTCTCTGGTATTATCTTTATAGCAGTGTGAAAACAGGATAATACATTCCCTTTATATATATTTGGCCCTTAATTATTTTTTAAATTTTTATTGAGTTAAAATATATAAGATAAAATTTGCCATTTTAACCATTTTAAGTGTACAATGTAGTGGTATTAATTACATTCACAATGCTGTTAAACATCACCACTATCTATTCCAAAATTGCTCATCTCAAACAGAAACTGTACCCATTAAGCAATAAATTCCCATTCCCACTCACCAAATCCCATAATCTCTATTTTCAGTCTCTATGAATTCATCTATTCTAGATATTTCACATAAGAAGACTCATACAATATCTGTCCTTTTATGACTGGTTTATTTCATTTAGCATAATATGTTCAAAGTGTATCCATGTTGTAGCATGTGTAACAACTTTCTTCCTTTTTATGGTTGGATAATATTCCTTTGTATAGATACACCACACTTTGTTTATCCATTCATGTTAATAAATACTTGGATTGTTTCCAACTTTTGTGTGTTGTTGAGTACTGCTGCTGTGAACATTGGCTTACAAGTATCTATTTGAGTCCCCTCTCATTATGATTTTAATTTGCATTTCCCTAATGACTAAAGATGTTGAGCTTCTATACATGAACTTGGTTGCCATCCATATATCTTTTTTCTTTTTTCAGAGACAGGGTCTCAGTCTATGGGCTACATTGGAGCGTAGTGGCTGAATCCTAGCTCACTGCAGTCTTGAACTCCTGGGCTGAAGCAATCCTCCTGCCTCAGCCTCCCAAGTAGCTAGGACTACAGGTGCATACCACCATACTCAGCTAATTCTTTCTTTCTTTTCTTTTTCTTTTTCTTTTTTTGAGTTGGAGTCTTGCCCTGTCGCCCAGGCTGAAGTGCAGTGGCATGATCTCGGCTCACTGCAAGCTCTGCCTCCCAGGTTCATGCCATTCTCCTGCCTCAGCCTCTGGAGTAGCTAGGACTACAGGTGCCCGTCACCACACCTGGCTAATTTTTTGTATTTTTACTAGAGATGGGGTTTCACCATGTTAGCCAGGATGGTCTCAATCTCCTGACCTCATGATCTGCCCTCCTCGGCCTCCCAAAGTGCTGGGATTACAGGCATGAGCCACCATGCCCGGCAGCTAATTCTTAAATTTATTTTATTTTTTGGAGATACAGGATCTTGCTATGTTGCCTAGGCTGGTGTTGAACTCCTGGCCTCAAGCAATCCTCCAGACTCTGCCTCCCAAAGCTCTAGGATTATAGGCTTGAGACACTGTTTTTGTTTGATTATTTGCTTTGTTTTGTTCCCCTGGCCCTGGAGTGCAGTGGCAAGATCTCAGCTCACTGTAGCCTCTGCCTCCCTCAAGCAATGCTCTCACCTCAGGCTCCTAAGTAGTGGGGACCACAGCCACATGCCACCACTCTCAGCTAATTATTGTATTTTGTGTAGAGACAGGGTTTTGCCGTGTTGGCCAGGTTGGTCCTAAACTCCCAGGCTCAAGCAGTCTGCCCACCTTGTGTTCCCAAAGTGCTGGGATTACAGGCATGAACCACCATACCCAGCCCTATATACCTTCTTTCATAAAGTGTTGTGCAAGTCTTTTGCCCATTTAAAAAAAACTGCAGTTTTTTTTTTTAAATTAAGTTGTAAGAGTTCCTAATGTATTTTAAATACAAGTTCTTTGTTGCATATGTATTTTGAAAATATTTTCTCCCACCGGGCGTGGTAGCTCATGCCTGTAATCCCAGCACTTTGGGAGGCTGAAGTAGACAGATCATGAAGTCAAGAGTTTGAGACCAGCCTGGCCAACATGGTGAAACCTTGTCTCTACTAAAAATAAAAAAATTAGCCAGGCATGGTAGCACGTGCCTGTAGTCCCAGTTACTTGGGAGGCTGAGGCAGGAAGACTGCTTGAACCTGGGAGGCAGAGGTTGCAGTGAGCCAAGATTGTGCCACTGCATTCCAGCCTGGGTGACAGAGTGAGACTCTGTTTCAAAAAAAGAAAACATTTTCTCCCAAGATAGGGCTTTTCATTGTCATGACAGTGTCTTTTGAAGATCAAAATTCTCAATTTTAATGAAAGGCCAATTCACTGATTTTGTTTTTTTCTTAAGCTCAAGCTTTTTTGGTCCTGATATTTAAGAAATCTTTTCCAAACCTTTTTTTTTTTTTAATTTTTTGAAGTATTGTGTTAGCTCTTAAATTTAGGTCTATGATCCATTTTAAGTTAATTTTTTATATGGTAGGCTATAAGGGTCAAGATTTATTTTGCCTCGCATATGGCTTTCCAGTTGTTTCATGCTCACAGATGTTTTGGCACCACTTGCAGATTGGCTTAATGGGTGGTCCTGTTGATCTGTTTCCAGATCTGGCTCTGACTTACCAGACCCTCAGAAGGATGATCTAGACAGCATTTGCATTCTATTGTTTCAACTGCCACAAATGTAAGAAACTGGTGTCAAGTTTCCTTTCACCCTTCAGACCTTTCTCCCTTACTGAGTGCCCATGATGTACCAGGAAGTCTGATAGCTGCTGTATTTTATACAAAAATAAAAATTCGCTCTTGCTTTCAAGCAAATAGCACAGAAATCTTCTACATTTCATATTTTATCAACTCAACTGGGATAATTGTATTTTAATTTTTTTCAGGTGAGTTTTTTTTTTGCAGGTGATTTTGGGATCAGATATTGAGTAAAATTGATCTGAAACTATAACTCATGAGGCTCATTTACTTCCATTCTATACTGGTTGACTTATTTTCAGAGTCTTATTCCTGAAGTATGAGGACTGAAGAGCTAAAAGAGAAAAAAATCCCTAGAGCATACATTATGATAAGAGACCTTTGAGTACAGGTGATTGTAATCTGACTTGCTCTCTGGGATACATTAAAGTTTCCTCTCCTTCTAATGCTTCAACATGAATAACAGCTTGAAAAAGCTCAGAAACAACAGAATGGGAATTACAGTACTGTTGGTCTTCTGAATTCTTACTATGGTAGTATATTTGCCCATTTTCATGCTGCTAATAAGGATGTACCCAAGACTGGATAATTTATAAAGGAAAAGAGGCTTAATGGTCTCAGAGTTCCACATGGTTGGGGAGGTCTCGCAATCATGGCAGAAGGTGAAAGGCACATCTTACATGGTGGCAGGTAAAGGTAGAATGAGAGCCAAGCGAAAGGGGAAACCCCTTATAAAACCATCAAATCTTGTGAGACTTATTCACTACCACGAGAACAGTATGGGGGAAACCACCCCCGTGATGTAATTATCTCCCACTGCGTCCCTCCCACAACATGTGGGAATTATGGGAGCTATAATTCAAAATGAGATTTGGGTGGGGACACAGCCAAACCATATCATTCAACCCCTGGCCCTTCCCAAATCTTATGTCCTCACATTTCAAAACCAACAGTGCCTTCCCAACAGTCCCCCAAAGTCTCAATTCATTTCAGTATTAACTCAAAAGTCCACAGTCCAAAGACTCACCTGAAAGAAGGCCAGTCCCTTCTGCCTATAAGCCTGTAAAATCAAAAGTAAGTTAGTTACTTCCTAGATTACAATGGAAGTACAGGCATTGGATAAATACACCCATACCAAATGGGAGAAATTGGTCAAAGCAAAGGAGCTAAAGGCCCCACGCAAGTCTGAAATCCACCAGGGCAGTCAAATCTTAAAGCTCCAAAATGATCTCCTTTGACTCCGTGTCTCACATACAGGTCATGCCGATATAAGAGGTGGGCTCCCATGGTCTTGGGTAGCTCCACCCTTGTGGCTTTGCAGGGTACAGTCTCACTCTCGGCTGATTTCATGGGCTGGCATTCAGTGTCTGTGGCTTTTCCAGGTGCACGGTGCAAGCTGTCGGTGGATCTACCATTCTGGGGTCTGGAGGACAGTGGCCCTCTTCTCACAGCTCCACTAGGTGGTGCCCCAGTAGGAACTCTGTGTGAGGACTCCAACCCCACATTTCCCTTCTGTACTGCCTTAGCAGAGGTCCTTCATGAGGGCCCCACCCCTGCAGCAAACTTCTGCCTTGACATCCAGGCCTTTCCATACATCCTCTGAAATCCGGGCAGAGGTTTCCAAACCTCAATTCTTGACTTCTCTGCACCCACAGGCCCAACCATGTGGAAGTTGCCATGGCTTAGGGCTTGCACCCTCTGAAGCCACAGCCCAAGCTGTACCTTGGCCCCATTTAGCCACGGTTGGAGCAGCTGTGGAAAAGGTCTCTGGCAAGCCCTAGAGACATTTTCCCCATTATCTTGGTGATTAACATTTAGTGCCTTGTTACTTATGCAAATTTCTGCAGCCAGCTTGAATGTCTCCTCTGAAAATGGGTTTTTCCTTTCTATCACATCAGGTTGCAAAATTTCTGAACTTTTATGATGTGTTTCCCTTTTAAAACTGAATGCTTTTAACAGCACCCAAGTCACCTCTTGAATGGTTTGCTGCTTAAACATTTCTTCTGCCAGGTACCCTAAATCTTCCCCCTCAAATTTGAAGTTCCACAAATCTCTAGGGTGGGCCAAAATGCCACCAATCTCTTTGCTAAAACATAGCAAGAGTCATCTTTACTCTAGTTCTCAAGTTCCTTATCTATATCTGAGACCACCTCAACCTGGACCTCATTGTTAATATCACTATCAGTATTTTTGTCAAAGCCATTCAACAAGTCTCTAGAAAGTTCCAAACTTTCCCACATTTTCCTGTTTTCCTCTGAGCCCTCCAAGCTGTTCCAACCTCTGCCTGTTACCCAGTTTCAAAGTCACTTCCACATTTTCAGGTATCTTTACAGCAGCACCCCACTGCTGCTGTAATAATTTACTGTATGAGTCTGTTTTCATGCTGCTGATAAAGACATACCTGAGACTGGGTAATTTATAAAGGAAAAGATGTGTAATGGACTTAGAGTTCCATGTGGCTGGGGAGGCCTCACAATCATGGCAGAAGGAGAAAGGCACGTCTTACACGGTGGCAGGCAAAGAGAGAATGAGCGCCAAGTGAAAGGGGAAACCCTTTATAAAACCATCAGATCTTGTGACACTTACTCACTACCATGAGAACAGTATGGGGGAAACTGCCCTCATGATTCACTGATCTCCCACCAGGCTTCTCTCACAACATGAAGGCATTATAGGAGCTACAACTCAAGATGAGATTTGGGTGGGGACACAGCCAAACCATATCAGGTAGTAAGTATTCCAGTCAATAATTTTTTCATGTTTCTCTTAATATGTAATTAACCTGCATAACTCACAATAGGTGCAGATTTTAATCTAAGTAATGCAAAGATTCATTCTACTTTCCCACCCCCAACACATCAGTTAGCAGGCAGGAGAAAGAGAAAATAAAAATATTGCATAGAAGACCATAGTGTTTTGCCCCAGGGTTGCAAGCATTGATATCTCACCCATTACCAATTCCCAGTCATTGAATGCCTACAGTGTTTGGTTCTGTTAGAGAACAGAACATTTAAAACACTTGACTCTTTAGATCATGAGGCTTACATTCCAAGAAGCCAGTACTCTTCTTGGGTGATTTTTTTTTCCCACTTTATTTTATGATGTGCAGCATCATAACATCACACTAACCTAACCCACATTTCAAAAAAATCACACGAATGTGGCCTAACCTATATTTCTAAAAAAGGTTGAATTCATTGCCAGCATTCAATAATTGGAAAATAGTCCATAAAAATCTGTATTTTCAGCTTCTCTAGGAAAATTGGAAAATTTGGGCTCACATTCCTGTGCGGCAACAATTAGCTAAACTCTAGTTCAGCTGCCCGCTTTAAGACCAGCCATTTGTACTCTACTGTACCCAGAGGGCTTTCCTAATAGCGCCTTTCTTAAGTGGCTCCTCCAAAGCAGTGGTTCCTAAAATCTGGCTTCCCACTGGAATAATGTGAGGAGCTTGAAAAGTTACTAATGCCTGCATTTCACCCCAGAGATTTTGATGTAATCCATCTGGGGTGCAGACCAGGTATTGAGATTTTTATAAGCTCCTCAGGTATTTGCAATGTGTAGAGAAAACTGAGAACCCCTGTCTAAGATAGGGCTTCTCAAAGTTTAACTTGCATAGGAATCACCTGATAATCTTGTTAAAATGCAGATTTTGATTAAGTATGCCTGGGATAGGGCCTGGGATTCTGCCTTTCTAACAAGCTCTTACATAGTGCCAAAGCTGCTGGTCTATGGGCCTCACTTGAGAAGTAAAGGTCTAAGCCATTTGTATTTCACATTGGCTTTGAACCCTAAGATACATTCTTAGGTTTCAAGTCTAATGAAAGCTAATTCTAGCACTCACAATATTGATGTAGCTGGAATGATGATGCCAAATGAGAGTATCCTACCATACTTTGGGGAGAATTCTTTCTCAGCCTATAGCTACTCAGCCTTTCTTGACATTGGGGGGTCCTTGACTTCTTATGCCTTGTATGTGACACCCCTGTATCACCCCTTTCGTTGCAAATTGTACATCTTCTGCTATTTCGAGCTCCTTGCTGGTGTCACTACCTGCTGGCCAACAGTTTGGCCATTACTGATTGAACCATGGTGTTTGGGTACTTAATGTGAGTATTTTATTGCAGAGGTTTTCAATCAGTGTTTCCAGAAGCCTTAGAGTAATAGTTCTGAAACCATAGGGCATGCATCAGATCACTTGGAGAGCTTATTAAAATACAGATTGCTAGGCTCCACCCTCAGCATTCCTGATTCAGTGAGGACAATTTGAATTTCCAACAAATTCTCAGGAGATCCAGATGTTTCTAGTCCAAGGATCCAGAGGTTCTAGACAGAAGGAAGGGAGGTGGTGCAATGGGCCTCTTGGTCTTGTTACATGACTTCTTATCTTATAGTTGTATTTGGGGATTCTAGACTAGATTTTATTAAATAAAAAGATTATTTTTAAAAAAGCTTGAATACTGCTGTTTTGTTGCCTTTGCTTTTGTTTCATAGAAATCAATTGAAGGTGAAAATAAATAAAAATGCTAATACTAGTGATATGGGGAGATATCATCAGTTTAAAACAAATGAAATACTGAATTTATTTAGTATATGAAAAGAGAGCCTTATTTTCTTCCCTTGGGACACTCTTTATGATGAAAAAACGTAAAGGAAATACAATGTATGCTGGAAATAAATTACTAAAGACTGTGTCTAAATGAGGAGGTGCATTTGGGAATTTTATTGTTTTTAGGTTTGCGGGTGAACAGAATCCCACTGCAATAGTGCATAAGACTCTTTCCAGCTATCTCCAGAAGAAGGAGATAACTAGCAAGGTTTTCACTGTTAGAGTTTGTTCAGAGCGGAACCTAAAGGAAATACTGGGAAGGTCACAGCAGTTTCATCTCAGCTTATTGGATTGGATCAAAGTAATTCTACTGCAAGGCAAGGTATATCATTCCATTTACAGACAGAGAATGCATGAAGTCCTTCATTTCACACAGTAGGTGTGAAGAAGGTACCTTGGTAAATTTCCTATTTGCTTTCAGATAAAGTGTATTCTTAAACATGATGTGGGTAGCTGCCTGTTTTTGTGTCGCCTCTGCAAGAGACATCTTGGAATAATAGAAACACCAGTGTCTGAATAGCCTAAAGTGGAGCTTACTTTTCTGTTAGGTGAGTCACCTTTAAAAATGATATTTTTTAAGGATAAGCGATGAATTTTAGGACGTTCTTCCCTCTACTTCCAACGTCCACAAGAATAAACCACCAAATTCAACGTTTTACAGAGGCCAAGTGCTTAGGTTTTGTGTGTTTGTTTTTAAGAGTTTTCTTGCAAGGAAACTGGGAGGGAACTATAAAAGGGCTTTAGGCAAACAGGGTGGGCGGGTGCAGGGCTTTAAGCTGCAGAAAGGAGAATCTGGAAAGAGCTTTTAGGAAGCAGATTCTCACATGTTTTAATATGAAAGAGTGGCACACGTGGTGCTGGCATTCCATCTTACCATCAGTGGAAGGTTTGAACCAACATCAAATTTTTCTGGAGCAACTTAGGTAATTATTACTTGAAGAATATGCATTTCAAAACTAACACCTTTAAGAGACAATGTAATTCACCTGCGCTTCCCCGCCCCCCCCGCCCGCGCCAACCCCACCCCCCGCCAACCCCGCCCCCGACTCCGCGAACGCCGAGGGGCCCGTGGTCTGCCTGAGTGACCTCCATTTGCTCTGTCATCTCAGGACTAGAAGCCATCAGCCAGCGTACGCCCTCAGAAAACTCTCTTCCCTTCTCGCGGGTCCGCCTGGCTCCCGGAGGCGGCGGTGCCAGGCTGCCGGAGTTAGCCAGCGGCAGGCTGCGGGCGCCCGTCCCTCCGGTTCACCCTTTCACCCCTCCTTCACCCCCGGAGCGCCAGGCGGGTGCCGCGGGTTTTCCGCCCACTCGGAAGGCAGTGCTGGCGAGACCAGGAATTGCAGGGCCTCTCCGCTTTGGCGAGCTCTGGAATCCGAGTCCTCCCCACCCCAGCCACTCTGCTGGGGCGCTAGGGGCTCGAAAAAGCCTGGGGTTGGCTGAAAGACACTCGGATTAGAGACGCAGCCAGCCTCCAGGGAGGTCTGAACTTGTCTTCGACCTCCCCGAACCCCTCCGCCTCTGCGCTGGGAGACGCCCAGCAGCCGGGCGGGCCCGGGACGTGTAGAGCCAGAGCACTCCGCAGCGGAGGCAGCGCGCGGCACGGCCGCCCGGGGCATCCCCGCGGCTGGGGGGCGGAAGGCGAGGGCGGTGGCAGGAAGGGTCCGCCAGGCCTGAGCTCGCTCCCCCACTGCCAGCCGCCGGCTCGGAGGCCCGAGCCGTGCGGACGGAAAGGGGCGGAGCCGCGGGCTCTGGTTGGTGTGGGCTCGGGGGCGGGGCGCGCGGGGCCGGGCCGGAGGCGGGGCTAGCGCCGGGCGCTGGAGCTGCGGGCGCACGGAGAGGAGTCGCCAGCAGCTGGAGCGGAGTTGGAGGAAGCAGCGGCAGCGGCGAGGGCGGCAGGCTAGCTGTCGGAGACGGCAAGCACGGATCGGGCACGGCCGGCGGGTCGCAGCCGGGCTGGAGGCCGGTCGGAACCGAGCGGGCAGGAGGCCACCGCTGCAGCGCGGGCCCCGCAGAGGAAGGAAGCCGGCGGGCGGGGTAGGTAGGCAGCAGCAGCCCCGGGTGTGTGTGCTCGGGCGGGGGAGGCGGTGCATGTGTGCACGGCTGCCGCGACTCTCTTCCTGTCACTGGCAGCGGCTTCTCCTTCTGCAGAGCCCCGCCGGGGGGAAGCGGGCTGGCCACCGGCCCTCCCCGCCTCCGGCATCTCCTGGCCGCCGGGCAGCACTACCCCCGCGCGCGGCCGGCGTCCTGTGAGATCCCCGCCATCCTGACTCCCGTTTCCCCCGTCCTCCTGCGAGCTGGTCCTGCACGCCGCCGGTCGCATTTGCCCCCGGAGTTGCCGACGAGCTCGGGCTTCCTCCCACCCTCCGTCACCGCACACTTCGGAGGGTCCCCGCTGTCGCCTTGCTGCAGTTTTCCGGGGCCCCTCACCGGAGGAGAGCGCCCTGGCCGCTGCCTTCGTGTTGCGGGAAGGAGCGCTCCCTTCCCCCGTGGCCCTCCAGCTGCAGCCAGGGTCGCTGCCCGGGCCCTTCCCGGGGCGGGCGAGGCGGCGGTGGTCCCCGGAGCTCGTCCCCTAACCCCCGCCTTCCGAAGTTTGCCGCCCTCCTCTTCCGGGGTGGGGGAAGTGCGCCTCGGGGCGGTTGGTCGCTGGGGCCCTAACTCAGCGTTTATTGCCAGCCAAGCTTGGGCAGGTTGTTGGAGGCATATTTAGTGGGGTCTTGGAACCGCCCGGAAATCCAGCTTTTGGAACGTGGGGCGAGGCGGGAGGGACCTGCCCAGCAATATGGAGCCGGCTGGGGAGAGCCAGGGAGCCTGCAACCCGGAGCTAAAATATCGTGGGCAATTCTCTGGAAACCACAGCTCTAACCTAAGCTCAGAAACTGCCCCTCAGATCACAAGACAAAGAGAACAGAAAACCTCTGGCCAGGCACTCCTGTACAGAAATACACTTTGATAACCAGAATTGGAGCCTGAAATGCAAGGATATATGCAGAATGGCTGTTACGTGTTGAATGCAGAATGTGTGTCAACTGGGTTTGGGGGAATTCTTCTGTTTCCCGGGGCGCTATTAATATCGGAAAGGTCTCACTTCCACCGTTAATCCCTTGAGCTGCAGCGCTGTTGGTGTCCGAGTGTGAGTCTGCTCTTTATTTGGGGGCTTCATGATTTTAGGTTTTTTTTCTTTTTTCTCTTCTTTTCCTCTTTGTCAGCCAGTGCGAAGTACCAATGGATAAAGCAGTTCCGGGTTTTGAATGCAACATAAGATTGTCATTTTGGTGTGATGAGGCTCAAGTTTTAGTAATCAGGAGGGATATTCACAGAGCTTATTGGTCAAGGCTTGATGTGGAGTTATATTTTAATGCTTCATTAGTTCTGTTACGTTTTGGCAACCTTAAAGATGGTTAGATATTAGCTAGGAAGGGTTGGAGTGGGCAGACAGGTTCATTTCTTAAGCAGGTTATTAGAATATTAGATTGTCACAGTTTGAATTACTAGGAATTTGGTGACTTCTGCACAGAAGGCCACAAGTATCTTTTAACATTGAAAAAGGAAGAAAAAGCAACTCACTAGCTATACAACTTTTTGACAGATTACACTGTTCTTGAAAAACCGTTTAGAAGAAAGCAGATAAGAGTTTTCTTAGGTGCAAAAGTTGATTAAACTTTAGGAAGCAAGTGTTTTTGACCAGTATAAAGAAAATAAGAGTAATGTGTGGGGGTGTGTGTGTGTGTGTGTGTGTGTGCGCGCGCGTGCCTGCGGCTAAAGTTTGGGAAGAAATGTTGGTTCAGAGTTAAGGTTTAAGTTGGAAAGGCCAGTGGAGGAGGCTCCCTGCCTTGCAGAACTGCTGGGTATTGTCACTGCTTGCCTCTTCAGCTTTTATATGCAGGTAGGTACTAGATAATCATATTACTTTTTCCAGAGAAGTGGATAGATTTTTATGATTGGGAGAAAGTTTAATGTATCTGATACTGGCTTGCAAAGTGTAATGTGCATTTACTTTTAACTTTCATCTTGACTTGGGACCTGTTCTTAGTTGCATAACAGAACTCTGCAGTGTACACACTGCTATTTGATGTTTTATCTGCTTTTTAAAAATAATGATATCAGTGAGTCTCTTCCTATCCATGATGCTGTATAGTCAGTGTAAAAAGCATTTTGTTTCCCATTTATTGAATGTTTTTTCTTTAGCGATTTCTTGAGTTTAAATATACTAAGCGCAGGAAATCCTCACAGAATAAAGTTGGTTCTGGGAAACAGAAGTGGAACAATAAGTTATAGGAATACATATTTTGATTATAGACAGTGATGATGGTGGTATGCGTTTATCTTTTGGTAATGTCAGTTTCACCTAACGTGATTTTTGAAGGACTTTGAATTGTAAATGCAAACCTACTCAAACTAACCCAAATTTTGTACTGTTAAAAGTTTTGGCCATTTCTTTACATTTTTCCATGACTGTCATATAATTTTTAGGTTGATATGTTGATTGAACATATCAACCTAAATTGATATGTTCAATCAACATATTGGTCGTTCAGGGGAGTATTGTAAAAAGGCATCTACTCTGAAAGATTGTTCACATGATCATTAAAATAGGAACAATTCTAGTTCAGCTTTTATTGTGTTTGCATTTTGTGATTTGCAAAATACATGTTTTATTGAATAAAGAGATGGTGAATGAGCAGGCTGAAAAAAAATTGATTTTTATGCTCAAGTAGAATATAGCCAGTTGAGATAATGTTTGTGTTGGGTTTTGGAATTCTCTCACGTCAAGGCATACACAATGCAAAAGATATTGTATGTTTCATATGAGCTCCTCCAGCTCTCCCTCTTGCAGGGCACAGGGTTTGCAAGTGAAGGCAAGAGAATGAAGCATTTTAATGAAGCCCTGGAAGACTAGAAAGTTAGTTATCAATGGAAGGAATTATCAAGTTAGTTTTTACTTTAGAAAGCAGAATATAAATTATATCACAGCTTTTTATCAAAACCTAGGTTTTAATTAATTTTCAAAGTATTCATATCATTTACTGCATTTTCCCATGCCTCCTTTACGTACACCCTAATGCCCTAATGTGATTACTTGCCATGATTCTGCCAATACTTGTATGGAGTTACTTGCTTAAAAGAGTGGCAATTAACGACCATTTCATGTACATTAAGCCACATGAGCTGAAAAAATAGACTATATAGTTACTTATAAACTTGTCTGTATGGCCTTTATTTATCCCCTAGGTGTTAGGTGTTTATTTATTTGAAAGGCTAGAGTGATTGTAGTATAGTGTTATTGGAAAAAATGTCTACTGTAGAAACATCTTTGGAGATTTTATTCTGCTAGCATTGTTTTCCTTAAAGTAAATCAAATACATATCCACAGGCACCTGTAGTCAAAATAGTTGTCAGGTTAATGATCATCCAAGAGAGTATTGAAGTCACAGGAGTCTGGCCACAGTGTGAGGAGGCTCCACCAGTGAGTGTAGTGAGTTAATAAAGCCAAGGCATCTGGACCAGCCATTCCTTGCCTGTTGTCTTCCTCCCCGGATGTCCCAGTGTCCCAGCCTGGGGTTCTGCCCCAGGATCAAGGGCTGTACCATGAGGACACAGCTACTCATCTCTAAATCCTGGGGATGCACACACACATGTACACATCCCTTGGCCTCTCCCAGGCCTCCTTTGTCCTGACCTCTGTAGAGCCGTCCTCTACCTCAGGTAAGGAGAGAACTACATGGGCAAAGTCCACACTCAGCCTTTATCTATTTACTCCAAAAGGGGTTTAAGACAGCGGGAGTTTTATTTTAGCTAGATTCAGGATTCACTTAGAACTGTTTGCAGAGTTAAGAGGCAATGCAGAAGAAAATCCCTCATAAATGTTTGTTCCTCTGTTAAATCTGAATTGTATAAATGGCAGTAGGTGACATTCAATACTAATAGAAATAATAGTAATATAATAGTTGCAATTTACTAGCTATGTAACTTTAGGCAAAATATTTAACTTTTATCTGCTTGTTTTCTCATCTGTAAAATAGAGATAATTGTTGTACTTAGAGTGATTGTAATGGTTAAATGAGTTGATATATGTACAACTCTGAGAACTATGTGCCTGGCACATAGTAAGTACTATGTTGGCATTAATTATCCTAAGCTCCTATTATCAAGTATGGAGCGAAGTGCTTTATGTATGTCATTTTGTTAATCCTCATAATGACTCTGTGGGCTGTAGGTTTGCTTATAGCTGTCTCACAGATGATAAAACTGTGCCACAGAGAGGTTTAAGTAACTTTCCTGAGGTTACATATTTAGGCACAATCTGACTGGGGCAGCTGCCTGAATCTGAAGCTCAGTGTTCATACTAACCTTGCCAAGAAGTTTACAGAATAGCATCTTTTTTTCAAAAGAAGAGAGACTTGAAGTCATCCCCTTCAGTCCTCTCATTCCTGCCCCCTCAGGTCCTCTTCATTGTGATGATGCAGAGAACCGGAATGGTCAGCCTCATGGCCTTTTCTGGGTGATAGGATCTGTCTGTCCCTCAGGTCCCAGAAGCTACGTCACCCTTTCTCCCAGCCTCCGCGTAATGGCTACTGCGTGCCTAAGCGTTGCTGTCACCTGGGCCAGGGTCATTCCTCTGTGTTTCCTGCAGTACCTTCCCCTCATGTTGGCTGCTTTCTGAAGAGCCCTAGCTCCTTGTTGTGTTACCTGGGCTTGTGCTACCTGTTCTCCTCTCCCTCGCCCCACAAACACAACACCAAAAGGGCTTGTAGGCGAGAATTACAGCCTATACAGCCTGTTTACCCACACCACACACCCAGCCCTGAGCATGGCAGCATGCAACACATTCTATTTAGTTGGTTGGTTTGGAAATGAATTTGATGTCTATTATTTGGGGTTAATCTCAGCCCATTATTTTCATTTTATTTTAATTGATATAAAGTCCACATACCATAAAATTCACCCTAAATTCATCATTTCAAATTGAAGGCAATTTATTATGTTTACTAGGTGCTCTGGGTTGAATGTGTCCCCCAGAGTTTACATGTCAGAAATGTAATCCCTAATGCAACTGTGTTGGGAGGTAGGGCCTAATAGGAGGCTGTGCTCTCTTGAATGGATTAATGTCATTATGGCAAGAGTAGATTAGTTATCTTGGGAATGGGCTTGTTATAAACTCGAGTTTGGCCCTGTCTTGCTGTCTTGCCCTTGCAAGAGGACATAAGATGAAGGCCTTCACCAGATGCTAGTGCCATGCTCTTGGACTTTCCAGCCTCCAGAACCAAATATACTTCTGTTGTTTATAAATTACCCAGTCTCAGGAATTCCATTATAACAACACAAAATGGACTAAGACACTAGGATATTTTAATTTTGTTCGTCTTGATTTTCATGATTTCTGGGACACCATGATTTGGAAGGTAAACCATTTTTAAATAATGATTTTTTTAAAGACTGTATGAATTTAGGTGAGGAGCTTGACCTAGACTCTGAACTAGCACACTGAAGTTAAAAAGATGGACTGTAGAGAGATATGGGCTGTGGGCCCAGGAACCCTTCCATACCCTCCTGCCTTGGTTGAAGACCCATTTCGTGCTGCCATCCAATGCCTAACTGCTAATTTCATTGGGAGATAGAATCACATGACTTGGATATATTCTTGATTAATTTAATGTGATTTAAAAATATCCTGTATTCCTGCCTGTCCATCAAGTTCTCCAAATTCTTGTCATTTCTAAATGGAGAATGGAGTAACTCAACAAAGTCAGAGAGGGCTTTTTTGTTTGGCTCTTTGCCAAAATGCCTATAGGTTAGAGGGTTACACAGAAAATCTACTTTACAGCAGTTGTACGTTAAGTAGCTGTGGATTGCTATTTGTCAAACATCAGAAACAATTTTATTTTGGGGAATAGAAAGAGAATTTCTCTGTATGTTAGCAGGGACAGAAAATATGCTTCTGATTAATGGGATTGCAGGCAGTCATTAGAAGGATTGAAAGACTGGAGAAAAATTCCTTAAAATTTTGAACTGTTGCATATGATATTATATAAGAGTAAGTTAGTTTACTTGTTCGTAGGATTCCTTTATACCCTTTGTTACAATAACTTATGCATGCACTAGCTTGGAGCCTATATCACAAAACTGCCTTGGTTATTTGAAAATATTACATTGTAGATAATGTTATCTACATATAAAAAGCCTTTGCTATGTGAATAATCATGTCAGAACTGGGTAAAAATAGTTTAGTGGGCAGGTATATGTAGCAAAAGAGAATAGAGGCATGATAGAGTGAATCTGAGGAAAAATCCTGTTGATTTGGATAGTTTAGGCTCCAGGTCGATCTCGGTAGGGGTGGTGGTTACACAGGTATTACCAAATACCTCAGGCTGCTGGGTCTTCTGCAGTACTGTGAAGAATTTGAGGATGAGAGAAAAGAGAACTTCCCAGTCCTCTAGATGTGACAGTCCTTGTGGCAGTGCCATATCCCCCTAAGGAGGAGCTGGGTTATTGGAAATTGTTCAGTGGAGGGGCCTGGGATAGTGGCAGGAGGCAGAGGTGCTAAGGATACAGGTGGCAGAAGCGAAGCTCATAGAGCAGAAATAGGCAGGATTCCAGAAGTGGGCAGCCTTCCAGAAGTGGTGTGCCCAGTATTCTTTTATTCACTAGTTTATGGACTTCTTTCGCAGGGACACATTTTAATGAAGTCTCTTTGGAAGAAAATTTGCATGGCTGAGATGCTGGGTTTTGGAGTTGATGGAACTGCCGAGTTAAAATAGCTTTTTTGTGTGTGCAGGTAGTGTGAAAGAGCCACATACACTATCAGTAAAGCCGCTGTCTGAGAGAGTTAAAGAGGCAGACAGACAGTTAAGGTTAATTGGAGTGATCAGCTTGTGCAGGCCACGAACCTGCATCATCCACACCAAAGCAAGTTGAGTTCAGGCAGTAGATGCTGGAGGTGTTAAAAATGGGACTTACAGAGCTAGACTGCCTGGATCTGAATTCTAGTTCCTCTTCGCAATTGCTAAGTATTATCGTGACAGAGATATTTTCTGTCCTATGTTAAGTGAGACTACTGATAGTACCTGTTTTTATATAGTTATCTACACACACACACACATACATATATGACTATATATATGACTATATATATATGACTGTATATAACTATATATAGTCAGCATCATCATATCATCTAATACTAATTGGGAGCTATATGTGTACAAACTCAATCATCATCATCATCATCATCATCATCATCATCATCATCATCATCACCCAATACTTAACCGGAGTTTTATGTGGATTAACCCATTCAGTCCTCAAGAATGACAGACGTCAAAATGGACATGGCAGTCAGGAGAAAGTGTACAATGTGCAAAAGAGTAGGGGTGGCTGCCTTCTCTGTCTAGCTAAGGGCTCTCTACATCTTATCACCATGCTGTCCAGTCCCCACCCCAATGACTTGACTGCTCTCCTTTTTTTTTTTTTTCCACAACATTGCCCTCAGACCACTTAATTGACACTGACTAATGGCTGGCCTTGAATTAACGTCTGCATCAATGGATGGATGCCCTGTTTGTATCCATCTTCCTGGCCTTACTTTGGGGTCTCAGAAGACAGAAATGGTGTGTTCTATTTACCATCCTAGAGTCATAGAAGATTTGTGGTTCTTTTTATCAGATGAGGACCCAGAGTTCTGCACAGGGTTCTTCTTACCCACAAAGTAAGGTTCTTCTTACAGGTGGCAAGGGAGAGAGAATTTGTAGAGACCTTTAGTTCTCTGTCACTTCAGACAGGGATTGCCTCTCTGGTGTCTAGCCTCTAAAAGTCATCATGTTCCTTAGGTTTCTATTTCCCTTTGCACAAATTTAGCCTCAGGCAGACTCAAGCACAGCTTTTAGGTTTGTAAAACCTTGACAAGTCCTGGAGCCTTTTCTTAATACAGAGCCCCCTGGCAAGGAACAGCTTCAGAGGTAAGCTGTGAGCAGGGGCTTGCTTGATGGTTCCTGGAGGATTGAAGATGGGGAAGAGTTTGTTCATTATACTTCCCATTCTATTAAGAATCCCACCAAACTGGCCCACTGGGTGGCTGGAATAAAGGAAGTGTTAGGAAGCAGCTGGCATAAAGATCTACCCAGCCTACTGGTTGAGGATTTTTTTTTCCCCCCTAAAAGACATACATTGCCAGGAAAAGCTAACAAAAATTTCAAGGCAGATTTGGAGGAATTAAATTATTCTTAGGCACATTGCCTGGTTTCTAAGCATTTAGGGATATGTAAATGTTCATGTTCTTTAGAGGTCTCTGTCTCTTTTGTACAGAGTACATTAGTACTAAAAATGAGATTTGCTAGTTCTACATTTTCATGTGAATTTATGCAGTGAATATTCAATTTGATTCTGGATCTTTCAAAAGGAAAGGCTTTCTTTAAACAAATAATATAGCTTATTTTTCTGATATGCTCTATTGGTTGCTTTGATTTTTTTCTCCGACAACTGAAATGCGAAGTAGAGTACTATCCCCAATTAATATTCTTGCTCCACAAAGACTTCCAGTGTTTGTTTTTGCTTCTTTTAATATGTAACTCTCCTAAGTGTGTTATTGTATTACAGCTAAGAGGCTTTACCCATGTAAAGTTGAATACTTTACACTTCTGAATGCCAACATAACAATTAATCTATGATTAGATTTTGCTTCTTAAGATGCCTCCACTGACGAGTGCCTGTAATATTAAACTTCTAAAGTGTTCCACTCTTTAAAACTTATAAAAGCTCTCTTTGATATAGCCCACTGAAATTGTGTGGCTATTGTTTTTATTGCTTTATTGTGCAGCCAGCTTAACTGAAACCTTTGGGTGGCTTTTACTCTTTATAATAAAGATAACATTGAGAAATGCCTGGAGTACAAAGTGTATATGTGTACATGCCGTTCTCAGCCATCTACTCTGACTTAGTAACTCTCTAATTCCCTTGCCTCCACTATGTTTAAGAACAAAAAAGAAAAACACTTACATTTCACATTTCCTCCATCAAGCTGTCTTTATAGAGTGGTCTGTAGCAACCATTGCTACTTCCTCTCTAATATTTTTTAACTCCTTAAGATGTTGTTGCTGTCCTCACTGCTGGACTGGAATCTGCGTGATGATTCCATCATGGGCGAAGCCCCAAATTATTTAGCCTTGACTCAGTCTCTCCTGTCTGGATGCCTTTGCAGGATTTAGTCTTAGGGATCACATTTTCCTACTTGAACTCTTCTTCCTTGTTTTTGGGATGTTGTCTCTAAACCTTGACTTTCCTTCCTCAGTTACATACATTGAACTTCACTATTTGGCCCTTGGATCATTTTTTTTTTTTTTTAACTTTTGATTTGTCCTTGTGAGCTCTTCCATTCCATTGAATTCAGCCTTGCCTAATTGTGGCCGATTGCCAAATCCCTAGCATGTTTCCTCTTCTGAATCACAGACCAGGGTTTCATCAGCCACTAGCACACTTGCACAGGGGTGCCCAGAATCACCGTCAGCCCATCAGGTCACCTGGCTTCTCTTTGCCTGATAGTGCTCCAAACTCTCATTAATGCAGGATCAGGCACCCTTTGCTCCTCTCGTTCTCGCCGCACATTTAAGCATTTGCCACATCCCACATGTTCTTTCTCTGCAGTGTTTATTTCACTCCTCCCCTTTCCACACCTGCTGCTGCCACCCTGGTTTGTGTCCTCACTACCTCTTGGCCAGACCTCTGCAACACACCTTTCTCGCACACTGTGGTTAGATTGATATTCCTGGAGTGCAGCTCTGATCCCGTTGCTCACTTTTCACCAAGCCCTTTCCGTGTTCCACACTGTGGGCTGAATTACTCACAAACTCAGCATGGGCATGCGTGATGTCCTACAGCCCCTACCTAAATCTCTAACCCCAATCCCACTGCTCCCTCTTTGGCTCCAGACGGATTGGACTGCCTGTTCTAGCTCTTCTCAGAATATGACATTTTCTTGGTCACTTCTGTAACTAGCGTCCGACCACACATGCCATTCTGTCTTCAGATTCCTGCAGTTAGTGTGCTTTCTCCCTCGTTTGAACCCTGCAGTGTTTAGTTTCTGCCTCTCTTATGACATGTACTAGTGTTGTGGCTCTGTGTACTCTGAGCCACATTATCAGCGATAATGTCACATTATCGCTAAGACATTGCCTCATGCCGACACTCCTCCCCTCTGCCCCCGCCCGGTGTTCTTAGAAGGCAGGGACTGCCTTACTAATCTCTGTTGTGTCAAGCAATAGCACACTGGCCTGTGTCTGTCTGCCAAATCGATTAAGTACTTGTTGAATGGAAGTAGAAATTCCAATTAACACAGATGGCAAAGTGTGCTGTTCATTCTTAAGTCTCGTTTTTTTCATTCCTAGGTGAAGCTCGTGTGTGGAGTGCCACGGTACAATCAGACGACAGATGGACAGTGTGACAAAAGTGTCAGAAAGGATTGGGCCTCGCTGTGAGAGTCAGCCTGGATTCAAAGTGTTGACAAGTTGCTGAAAAGGAAGCCAGTGAGAGGACTGTGGCACGCAGAGGAAGTGGAGCCCTGTCTTCGGTCACACCATTGATGGAGGACAGATGGACAGCCGTATGGCCAGTCACCTCTCCTCTTAAACCTTTGGAGAGTGGTCCTTTGTCCTCTGCTGGACACATAATAGGAATTCTAACACATTCTCTGAATTCACTTTTCATAAAAACGTAAAATCAGACTGCTCTGTACAACCAGGCTCAACTGTTGCATGGTAGCAGATTTGCAAACATGAGTGCTGAGGGGTACCAGTACAGAGCGCTGTATGATTATAAAAAGGAAAGAGAAGAAGATATTGACTTGCACTTGGGTGACATATTGACTGTGAATAAAGGGTCCTTAGTAGCTCTTGGATTCAGTGATGGACAGGAAGCCAGGCCTGAAGAAATTGGCTGGTTAAATGGCTATAATGAAACCACAGGGGAAAGGGGGGACTTTCCGGGAACTTACGTAGAATATATTGGAAGGAAAAAAATCTCGCCTCCCACACCAAAGCCCCGGCCACCTCGGCCTCTTCCTGTTGCACCAGGTTCTTCGAAAACTGAAGCAGATGTTGAACAACAAGGTCAGTATTGATAAGTGGTTGCTTAATGACTCCCTTTCTTTTTCTTTTTAAGGAAAAGTCTTAAGTTTGGGTTGAGTCGTTATGTTCTGGGCAGAAGTTACCTTGGCAACTGCACCTGAATTGATGTGTGGTGCATAAAAGCTTGGTCAATCATTACACAACTAGAAATTTGTGTTTGTGGGGTTGGAAGTTGTTATAAAAATAGGGACACAGTATCCGAGAACCTGTTTAGTGAGTGTCGTTGAACACTATTATTATAGTTGTCATTGAATTAAACATCTACTATATTTCTTATTTTTGTAATTGGCATTATAGGCGGAGTATTCCTAGTCTGAAAATATGAAATCTAAAATGCTGAAAAACCCAAAATTTTTTGACACCCAAAGGAAATTCTCATTAGAGCATTCCAGAATTCAGATTCAGTGGTCAAGGGGTATAATGCAAATATTCCAAAATCCAGAACAACATGAAATCTACAACACTTCTGGTTCCAAGCATTTCAGATAAGGAATACTCAACCTGTGTATATCTAATAATAATTTTGGGAAAGTGGAGGGTAAGTCTAATATAAGTATATTTAACATGATTTGTATGGAAAAATGTAGAGAGTAATAAAATGACCACAGAACTCGGCTGAGAAGAAACCATTGTTTTTATAACCTGGTATCTACCTCTTGGTTTCCTCTCCAGGATCGCTGTGGCCAAAGCTGAAACCCAATCCTATAGTTAGTATAAAAGTAAAGGGATTTCACTTCCTTTGTGGGTAGTGTCATTTGTAGCATTAATGCCTATAGTCTGGTTCGCCTTCATGAGGGGGAAGAAAAATTCACTGAATACTTTGCTTAAATGGAAACCACCTTCATTCAAAAACCACTTATTGCTTATTGGAGATGGTCCATACTTGCGCTTCAGGCACAGCTGTGTCTTTAAGGTTTATCTTCTGTTCGGTTTCACACAGAGACAAGCCTTATGCTCAGCTTTGCTGTTATCAGCTTTGTCAAATACCGGTTTCCTCACTAGTAAATCACACGCATTTTTCTTTTTTCTCTTGTGTAGTCTTCTTTCTTAGGGTCTAAGAAGGGAATGGGAAGGAATGGTTTAAGATGGGTGGGCCTAACTGCAGTAGTTATATATTGAGGAGACCTGACTGGCATCACAGGATATTTCTGGAAGAGATTCTGATACCACTAGTAAGCTATTATACCTTCTTTAATGTTGCCTTATTCTAACACAAGTGAATAAGACAATGAGAACAGAGAAACAGAATGCAAGGGTAAGAGCTGCCTTTCAGTATTGAGTAGTAATAGATTGGGAATATTGTGTTAAAATCAAGGAATTTATTAATGATACCTGAAGGGAAGCCCTTTTCTTTCCCATACCCAGCCCAAAGGGATACTTATTTCATAAATGTTATACTTTATAATGTTCAAATAATATCTTTTATTATATTGTTCAAAAGCCAAAGTTAATTTTTCTTTGCAGATCAATCAAAAAACCATGACTCTCCGCACATACATAAGTGATTTTATCAACCATTGCAGCACTTAGCAGATTGAAGATACATACGTAATCGTTTTTCTCCACCAAGTTATATATTTTCACCTTTTATTTTTTTTAAGTTAAAAACGCTTTCTTCAGTAGCCTAATTCCAAAGGAAAAGTGATTTAATTTTTCCGAGAATACAGAGCTTTACAGAATCATAAAAATAGTTGAATTAGAGAAGATTATTTAAAAGGTGGAATAAGGGCACCTTGTCAAGATTAGTTACAAAACAATTTTATAAAAGCAGTTTCTAAACAAAATTTGCATTTGATAATTGCTATCAGGTGCAAGTTTCTTTGGCTCTGGTGTACAGAAAAGCAAGTCTTTCCTTATAGGAAAAGTCATTTTCTCTTTTTATATCCTAAACTATTTTATAATGCTTGCTTTCTCATGTAATGTGATGACAATTGAGATTTTTAGCAGCTTTTTCATTTTTCTTTAATACATGGAAAGATGGAGTGAAATGAAAATTTTTAGCAGAATTCAAGAAAGAGACCCATGATAATGTGCATAAAAGTATTAGAGCCTGAATATAAATGAGAAATTAGTAATAACTGAAAGATTGAAAGGAGAGTGTTGGGGGGGGGTCATGTGGGGAGTATAATACTAAACATTCAATTTTCTAGAAGTGTTGGTCTTGTATTCTCATTTAAATATTCCTATGAAGCGAGAATTCAATAGCTCCTATGAGTTGCATGTTGAATTCATATGGAAAGTAGTTATAAGGACAAATTTTATATGTTAGAACCTGTGAGACTAGTTTCTTTTGCCTCCGTTTGTATTTCTTTGAAAAGCTTTTGCAGTGACAAATTGTGTGAAGGCAAGAAATGATAGTTCTGTTCTATTCTTACCATAATTGAATTCTTTAGTTCTTTTCTTTTTTTTTCCTTTTAACACCCTCCACCTCCACCTGACTTAGCCAGTTTTTCATGTTATGCTGTGTTTATTGCATTTAGAAGGTTATTCCTCACCAACCCCCACCCCAGGTCTAGGAACCACATGCAGTTTTGTTTTGTGGACTTGGCACACCTCGTTAATGGGCAGCAGGGTAGACAGAGGGTGCGAGGACAGCCTGCATGCCAATTGTGTGTCTGTGTCCTGCTGAGCCTTGCTGCCCTCTCTGTTTTTAAAAGGAAATTGTCCTTAGACTCTGGCCAAGAGTACGTTCTGTGAGAGATTCCTCCCTGTACGATAGTGTCTTACTTTTCCACTTTGCTTGTATGTTCTTGGAAATAAAGCTGTGATATTTAACTTTTTGAGAGAAAGAGTCAAAAACCCATTAGGAAATCTTATATACGGCACTGTACTTTCTTCCAATACATTTTGCATGCAGTTTTTAGGAAGCCCTGGCATATAGATTGAATGAATTGTTTTAATTGGATAATTTTGGATGTTTTTGGACTTAAATACATTCAGTAAGCATGGTCTGAGTCCTTATTTTGTGCTGGAAAGCAAAGATAAAAGATGAAATCAAGGCTCAAGAGCCAGCATGCCCTGAGATGCTCTCTCATGCCTCTCTTCCACCTTTGGAGCTGTGCTTTTTCTCCTCTGCTAGTACAGCTCTTCCCCTAGACATCTGCCTGACTGACCCACTCTCACTTCTCTGCTCAAATCTTTCGTCTCATGGAGTCTGGCTCTACTCACGCTATTCTATGCTGGGACCTACCTCTCTGCTTTTGCAAATCATTGATTACTTAACCCACGATATCGTTTACTTATTACGTTTATTGTTCATTGACTGTTCCCTCTGTTAGATTTTAAGCTCCATAAGGGGAGAGATCTTTGTGGTCCCCCATTATCCTAAGTACCTAGGACAGTGTGGTAGTTTCCCAACATGCTGGTAAACAGGTGCTGCTGCAGCTCATCCTACAGCTATTTCACTTTCTGCATTGCTTTTGAAATTGACCACGTGCTCTGAATGTCATGTGCAGTCATACAAAGCTTAATGGCCCATCTTGTTTTAGAAAATAACAGCTTATTTGTTATCCACATCCTTCATCTGAGGCATCCTGCCTTGGCCTTAACCATTGCCTGGTATGTCTCCAGAACTCTTTATTTTCTTCCCAGGGCCTGGGACAGGTAGTTCTGCTGGTGGGAAAGTGCATTAAGCTGATAGTACCTTCAGTCACTTAAGCCAAGTGAGTAGAGGGGCTGTCATGGTCAGCGAATATCCTCAGGGCAAATTCTGTGCCCTTTCTCCCATCCTTTTATCTCCTTCCCTTTGCATGGGGGCTAAAATTGCCAATATGAGGATGACGTTTTATTTTATTTTTCTACAAGCCAGTAGAGCCCTATGTTATGTTCTTCGGAGAGAACCTCTTCCATGTTTTGTTTGGATAAAGAGTGTGCTGGGTGTGCAAGGTGGGTGTTACATGTCCTCGGGTGAGGCAGCTATTGAAAGGCAATCTTATGGCTCTTTCTGCTTTAGCTTGCTCAGATCCTGGCATCCCATCCCGCTACACCAACCCCATTCAGCCAGGGTCCTGTATTTTCTCTTGTACACAACGAAATGAGTTGATTGAAAATGGGGATATAGGGATATGGGAATAAAAATATATTCCTCTGTCATATGTAAGCCATCCAGTGGGGCTATTTCTCAAGACAGTGGTTTTAACTCATACTTTGAGATCCTTTAATTAAAGTCATGCTAATGCAGAATATTTAGACGGGTGAGAGTCTGTGCCCATGTTAGTTTGTGCAGTGCAGTGAAACCTGCTAACACAAGAGATTACTTACTGCATACCCACCTCCATCCTGACCTGCACAACCCTCCCTGGCTCCTCCTGCAGCCTCTGACAGTGGATTTCAGCTGGTTTCAAACCTAAGACATAAAGCATGCATTTGACATGGCTTACGCTAAATTTTGATCAAAATCCCTTTTAAACAGAAAGAAAAAGGCCACCATTGGTGTTGGTTTTCATGGTTTCCCAAGGCATGTTATTGTTAAATTTTTCACATTCAGCATTTGAGTGTCCCTTCATGGTTGTTGTTCCCTGTCCAGAAAGCAGGGCTGCAATAAATCACAAACATTGACTACACTGTACAGAGGTCACAGAAAATAGTGACCTGATCCCAAATTACACACCTCTGCTGAGCCCGTTGGTCATAACCTACGCTGTCTCCTTGAGGCAAATAGTGCTTGTGCAAGTAATTTGCTTTGCTTCACAAATTCCTGCCTTTACGAATTCTGTTTTCTTTCAGAATATACTTTCTCATAACATTCTTCACTCTTCCTTCCTACTTAAGTCTTTGCTGTGAACTTGGAGGTTTGTCTTGTTAAGCCCAAGTGATGGGGAAAACCACCCAATTTATGGTGCTGACTGCTCATTCTGCATCTATCGACCACTCTGTTTTTGCGAGAAAGTTGGGTCAGTTACAGGATCTTAGAAGATAAGGGCCTTTGAGCTCTGTCTCTAACTTCTGACCACAAGAAAAGTTCATCAGGACATTATGGAGATTTTTACCCAGGCATGAAAATTTAAGTGTTTGCCCTCTGTGTTTCAGTAGGAAATGAAATATATTTCTACTGAAATATAATTGATTAAAGAGTGTGTCTGGAAAAAACAAATGTGCTAATTATTTTGAATAAAATCAGATTAGCCTAACCACTTAGGGTCACAGAATATGTCATTTGCATATTAAATTACTTATTGCAACACAGTTCACCCTCTCATGAGCATTTATATTCTCAATACATTCTTGATTTTTTAAAAACATTTTTTCTGTTAACTTTGTTTCCCTAAAAATGTGTAAGAGAAAGGAAAGTAGCCCTAATTAGCGATTTGTGTATCCGTGGTTTTTTGAAAATGAAATTGACAAAAAGAGACAGGATGCTCACTTTTATTGCTTTTTGCAGGAGGGTTCTTACCCTGAGCTGGCCTGGCCACTTTAGGAATTCACAGGCACGCTCTGAGGGGCCTGTGAGTAGGGAGGCTCTCTTACCCAGAGGGGAGAGGAAGGCATTTCTCCCTCCTTCCCTCAGTCTGTTATTTGAAGGGAATCACTTGAACTGCTCTCCTAGAGCTGCGGTGACAGTTAAGTCCAGGGTTGCAGAATAAGACAGTATTTGAGGAGAAGAAGCTTTCTGCCAGGTGTCTGTTTCTGCCTCTGTCCTTTAGAATCACAGGGTTATGGTAGGCAAGTTATATTTTCTTATTTAAGTGAAATGTTTGTTCAGATGCTTTTGTTAAGGCTTCTGTTCTATACACTTCTTTCTGTGTTCTTTTTTCAAAAATGGGAAAAGGGTCCAGTGTCCTTATATGTATATCCTAAGTAAAGCCCTCACACACCTCTGATTCAAATAGGAGTTATTTAATTAGAGGGAGCATATTTTGTTTTCTGGCAACTAAGTTAATGTTGATATTCTAATACAATTTTCTTTGTTATAAATATGGAACTCTCTATTTAACTTGTCAATAGATTCTTTGATAAATTTGATGTCAGTCTTCTCTGGTTTCTAGGTGATGCATCTTTGTCTACAACAAGAGACATTCTGATTAGTAAGAATTTCTTCTCTGAGTTAGAAAAAAAATTAGAAATTCTGAAATTCAACAACAAATGCTGACTTACATCTGCTAAGTAGCACCCAAAAAGGGGAGAATTTTTTACCTATGGCAAATAAGAGTGCCAAATGTGACATCATTTACATATCCATGTTTTGATTAGTAAAAACCAAACAGATGTTAGCAGTACAGCTGGCTCTTGCATATATGTGTATCTTTGTTGCTAACAGATTTCCATGGGGAAGGATGTAGCACTGGTCTGAAGTCTCAGATAGGAGAAGATAACATGGTGTGATAGCTTGAAATGAGGAGCATAATTGCATGATGGATTATATCTGAATGTTTTGAGGTCTTGAGTTTATAGCATTCGATATCAAAGCAGTCCTTAGGCTTTCAATAGAGGAGGACACATGGAGGGGGACAAAGTGAACTAGAAATGGGCTTTATTTCAATTGCTTGGGTATAGTGTACCTAAAATGTCAAGTTGTTTAACAGAATATCAGACTACTTTATAAATGTGTTATTCCTTCTTACCAATTTATGTAATATTTTATTTTTACTATGAAAATTCCATGCAGTATACAAACAGTACGTGGAATTGTAGTAGAAACATTGTTAAAATATAACTTTGAATTAAAAACAAAACATGGTATACATTGTTATATAATGGATAACATAGTGTATACATTGTTAAAATATATCCTTGCAATTAAAAACAAAACAAATCAGCTGCAAACCTTTGTTTAATTATGTATGCAGAACTTTCTCCCAATGGCTTTATACCACCTAAGGCATGGCTGTGATTTTCAGGAATACCCTCTCTGGACTGTTTCTTGCTTGGAGGTGTTTGCGATGTATTTGTATTTGTCTGTCTATCTATTCTCAGTTGGTAGATTATGTAATGCCTATAGATTATTCTGTCCTGTCACAGTTTGATTCATTTTGAAGTTATAACTGTGAATTTATTACAGCGTATTGCAGGAGACGTAATTTGATGATCAAATCTGATATCCAAGATCGTAAAGAATATAGGCATAAATGAAATATAAATCTGTGATATATTATTTGAATCAGAAATTCCACATTGCTTTGCTTTCTATAAATTCCTTAACGTTCTAGTTCCAGTGTTCTCTAATTGTAAGATGAGAAGCTAAATGCTGTCTCTTTTGAGTTTCAGCAGTTTTTGTTTTAATCCTTCTCTTCCCAATCAGAAGAACTGTCGGAGAAATAAGACCCAGAAAAATTGGTTCTCACTAGTAGTGTTTCCCCAATAATGCAACCCAGAAGCCCTGTATATGAGAATAAGGGAATGTAGTGAGAGGATTTATGCAGAGAAACAACCTAGGATGGTTGGAAAGATGTACTTACATGACCTCATTGCACGATCTGATTGGAGACTGGTCCATGGATTGTATGGGATTATTGCTTATGAAAGTGCCCACCTGGTATCAAGTTTTTGCAGATGCATGCGGTGTATGGTTTTAAGACATGTTTCACCAGTGTGAATATTTAGGCTCTACTTCTGTTGGTGGGCAGTTAGCAATTGCTGGTATCTAAACTGGTTTGAGACTTACTGCCTCATTTGAACAGTATCTGTGCAGTAGCGCTAAACTCGTTGACATGATCTGTACTGAGAGTTCCTACAGATTTGTTTCATATATATTTGTTAAATTTTCCAAGGTAAGTAGAGAGTGATGGTTATAACATTTGTTTATTCAGACCCCTCTAAATCTACCTAAGAGGTAACATGTTAG